>NC_000016.10:5010000-5635000 GCF_000001405.40 Homo sapiens
GTCAGATTTCTGATGTGCACTGTGGTTTCAGAACTGATGCAAAAGAAACTGTAGGTCTTGGGCCGGGTGCGGTGGCTCATGCCTATAATCCCAGCACTCTGGGAGGCCGAGGCAGGTGAATCATCTGAAGTCAGGAGTTCGAGACCAGCCTGGCCAACATGGTGAAACTCCGTCTCTACTAAAAATACAAAAAAAAAAAAAAAAAAAAAAAAAAAAAGCGAGGTGTGGTGGCGGGTGCCTGTAATCCCAGCTACTCGGGAGGCTAAGGCAGGAGAATCGCTTGAACCTAGGAGGCAGAGGTTGCAGTGAGCTGAGATCATGCCATTATACTCTAGTCTGAGTGAAAGAGTGAAACTCCGTCTCAGAAAAAAAAAACAAAACTGTAGTCTTGGAACAGAACTTGAACGTGTAACTGGAATATGAGCTGCCCCTGTTGATCCCCACATTCTCCAGGAGGCTGGCATTGCAGGTGGAATGTCACTCTCTGACTCCCGAAATGACACATGCACACACGCAGCACCAGCTCCACGAGCACTGGCAGTTGCTGTCGATCTCACCGAAGTTCCCGGTGGGGAGAGGGTGGAGGGCCGTCCTGCATGTCCCTCACAGCCACTGCTGGGTCCCACTGAACTTCTCAACCCAGAGCAACCCAAAGTGGCTCTTCTTGTAAAAACAAACACTTCCCTTTCTCACTCTCCCTGATCCCTCCACAAATTCTCTCTAAGCACCTGTGAGCTCCCGGCCCAAATCCCTTTCCTAATCCCCTTGGTTTGCAAATCCCACTCAGCAGAGCAAAAGCCCCACAAAATCCAGGTGTTTAAGCACCTCTGTTGTCCTGAAGTTGCACCCCCACCCCCAGGCGTCAGCTCCTCCCCAGATTAAGAGGGAGGCTCTGGTCCCAGGGATATGGGGATAATAGCAAGGATGGCTTCCAGAGGCCCTGACAGGAGGAGTTGCTGGTGGACTGGAGAAAGGGACAGAGGGAGAAGAGCCCCAATTTCCAGGCCTGGTGATGAGAAGCCCATGAAGGCTCAGCCTCCTTGACCTGTCCTCTGGAGGGCGCAGGGCCTCAGGGCAGGGCTGATGTGTTTCAGGGCTCCCATGTGACCCGGTGGCCCGGCGTCTACCTGCTCCAGTGGCAAATGCACAGCCCCCCCAGCAGCGTGGCCTGCAGCCTCCCGGGTGTGGACGATGTCCTGACGGCTCTGCACAGCCCCGGGCCCAAGTGCAAACTTCTCTACTACTGTGAGGTGCTCGCCTCTGAGGACTTCAGGTAGGAGGGCTCCGGAGCGGGGTCCTGGGCAGGAAGGACCCTGGGGCTGATTGACAATGCAGATGCCTGGCCTCCTGTCTCCCAGCTGGGTCAGCTTCTCCCGGGGTGGGACCCCAGCATGGGTATGGTTGGAGTTCTCAGGTGACACAGCCCCGCACTAGGGTGTGAGGAGAGCCCAGCTCTGCGCGTCTAACTCTGCTTCCGAAGCAGGGATTTTCCTTCAAATGAAACCTTGGGCAGAAGCTCAACTTTTTGGAGCAGTTGGAGGGGAGGAGAAGGGGAGTCTTAAACCCTTCCATGTGGGCTTCCCCTCACTCCTAGAATTCCATGGGAATATTTTAGAATATTCTAAAAGGGTGCTTTTTAGACAACCCTCCCCAAGTTGTTGCTTTCAGAGAGACAGGGAACTGTAATGGTTAAGACCTCCAGCACTTCCTGGTTGCTGTGTGACCTCGGGCAAATCACTTTTCCTCTTTGAGCCTCAGGTGCTTCATCCCTTAAATGGGAACCACTGGAGCCCCAGTCTTGTGGGTTTGTCATGAGGATGAGATGGCTGGGGGAAGCTGCCTGTCACCTGGGCATGCGGTGTGCATGCCACAGCAGAAATGAAGGAGAAGGTCTGGAGGCGGAGCAGGCAGTTTCTTCAAGGTTTTGCATTCTGTAAAAGCACTTATGATTTTGCACCCTGCTTCATGATGGATCTGCACTGGTTTTCATCTAAAAATGATGCTTTAAATTCTTTCCCGTGGGGGTAAAATTAAGGCTCAAGGAAGGTGCTGAGTCTAGACCTCAAATTCCAGGTGGAGCTCCAAGGATCCCAGGAGCATGGGCACCCAGAGTGAAGAACACTGGGGCAGAGTCTTTATCCAAGGAGGGGTCCCATAGTTTGTCAGGGGGCTGGCGATTCACTCTTTGTGAAGCTGCATGTTTTGGCCATCGGTCCTCAGTGTGAGGCGACAGGCTGAGGCCCAGGGGGACACAGAGGAATAGACACAGGCATTGGAAGGTTGTCTCTGGGAGGGCTGATTCTGAGGCCGGGCATGTGGAGGCCAGAGGGGTGGGCTGGGCCAGACGCTGCACACCAACCTGTCAAGGGTGGTCACCATGAGAGGACCTTACTGCCCTGTCCTCTTGTAGCCTCATGAGAAAATCAGTTCAAAGGCTGTTTCCTGGTCGCCCTCAGGGGGCAGGTGGTGGCTCGGATCGTGGGGGGACCACACAGATAGGGTCTGCCATCATGAAGCAGAGACCAAAGGCTCACACCCAAGTATAACTATGGGCAGCGATGGATGCCATGGCCAAGGCCACTGTGTTAGTCCGTTTCCACACTGTGAGAAAGAACTACCTGAGGCCGGGTGTGGTGGCTCACGCCTGTAATCCCAGCACTTTGGGAAGCCGAGGTGGGTGGATCATCTGTGGTCAAGAGTTTGAGACCAGCCTAGCCAACATGGCGAAACCCCGTCTTTACTAAAAATACAAAAATTAGCCGGGCATGCCTATAATCCCAGCTACTCAGGAGGCTGAAGCAGGAGAATGCCTTGAACCCAGGAGGTGGAGATTGCAGTGAGCTGAGATCGCGCCACTGCACTTCAGCCTTGGCGACAGAGCGAGACTGTCTCAAAAAGAAAAAGGAAAAAAAAAAAACCTACCTGAGACTGGGTAATTTATAAAGAAAGGAGGTTTAATTGACTCACGGTTCTGCA
Source organism: Homo sapiens (assembly GCF_000001405.40). Taxonomy (NCBI): domain Eukaryota; kingdom Metazoa; phylum Chordata; class Mammalia; order Primates; family Hominidae; genus Homo; species Homo sapiens. The sequence goes on from NC_000016.10 coordinate 5,012,977, forward strand.
TGACTGGGGAAGCCTCAGGAAACTTACTATCATGGCGGAAGGCAAAGGGTCAGGAGAGAGAGAGAGCAGAGGAAGCCACACACTTTTACACCATCAGACCTCATGAGAACTCATTCACTATCGCAAGAAGACCATGGGGGAAACTGCCCCCATGATCCAATCACCTCCCACCAGATCCCTCCCTCAACACTTGGGGATTACAATTTGAGATGAGATTTACTTGGGCCATAGAGCCAAACCGTATCAGCCACCCAGCCAGGAGGTGCTCAGGGACGTAACCTAGAGCCTTGCCAGAGCACAGGACGGGCCTGGCCTAGGGTTGGGAGAGAGGGTGGGGGAAGTAATATGGAACGTGACACTGGACTGAGATCTAAGTAGTGTGGTGGTCACACAAGTCACCAGGGGGTCTTTTTATTTATTTATTTTTGGAGACAGAGTCTCGCTCTGTTACCCAGGCTGGAGTGCAGTGGTGCAATCCTAGCTTACTGTAGCCTTGAACTCCCGGGCTCAAGCAATCCTCCAACCTCAGCTTCCCAAGTAGCTGGGACTATAGGCATGGGCTAGCTTGCCTGGCTTTTTTTTTTTTTTTTTTTTTTTTTGGAGACAGGGTTTCACTCTGTCACCCAGGCTGGAGTACAGTGGCACGATATCTACTCACTGCAACCTCCGCCTCCTGGGTTCAAGCAATCCTCATGCCTCAGCCTCCTGAGTAGCTGGGATTACAGGTGCGTACCACCACCCCTGGCTAATTTTTATATTTTTAGTGGAGACAGGTTTCGCCATGTTAGCCAGGCTGGTGTCGAACTCCTGGCCTCAAGCAATCCACCCACTTCGGCCTCCCAAAGGGCTGGGATTACAGGCATGAGCCACTGTGCCTGGCCACTTTTAAAATTTTTTGTAGAGATGGGGTCTCACTATTTTGCCCAGGCTGGTCTCAAACTCCTGGCCTCAAGCGATCCCCCTGCCTCAGCCTTTCAAAGTGTTGGGATGACAGGCGTAAGCCATGGCACCTGGCGAGGTTCTGCATCTCTAACAAGCTCCGGGCACTGCTGGTGCTGCCAGTTCCCAGACCATGCTTTGAGTAGCAAGGCCCTAAAGCTGCACTGTCCTATCTGGTCGCTGCTAGTCACCTGCAGCAATTTAACTTAGCAAGGAGAATGAAATAAAAGGAACAATTCAGTGCCTCAGTCGCATGGGCCACATTTCAAGTGATGAGCAGCCCATGTGGCCAGTGGCTGGTGTGTTGGACTGTGCAGGTGTACAGCACGTTCATCGCAGGAAGTTCTTGGAGGGTGGGCATGGTGCCTCACGCCTGTAATCCAAGTGCTTTGGGAGGCCGAGTCACGAGGATCTCCTGATCCCAGGAGTTTGAGACCAGCCTGGGCAGCATAGTGAGAGCCCCGTCTCTATACAAGAAAAGAAAGTTCTCGAGGATGGCGCTGCCCTGAGGTTTGGAGTAGGAGTTAACCAGACAGCTGGGGGAGGAGAGAATGGGCTTCTGCCTCAGGCTCAGCGCACACGAAGGCCACTGCAAGAGCTAGGAGGAGGACCATGGAATTTGAGTGCAAAGAGTAAGGAGGGAGTGAGACTGGAGACAGGGCCGGGGACTCCCTGGGCTGTGGCGGCCTTAGGGCCATGCAAGGGCCTCAGGCCAGGGGAGCCCCTGATGGGTCTGTGGCAGGCTGGGCTCCATCTGGGGAGATGGGAGTGTGGGGAATTCGGTAGTGCTTTTCTCTTCATGGCGTCACTTGCTTTTCCCTTTGCATCGGCCTGGGGCCCTGGGGCCTGATTTGCAGCATCAACAGCTTTTCCACTGCTGTGTGTCAGCCCAAGGGCCTTGTCACTGTGAGAGGGTAACGTGTGCCACGCCCTTCCTCCCCAGGGGCTCCATGTCCAGCCTGGAATCCTGCACCAGCGGCTTCTCCCAGCTCAGCGCCGCCACCTCGTCCTCCTCCTCCGGCCAGTCTCATAGCAGCTCCCTGGTCTCCAGATAGCCGGGCCCAGTGTTTCAGGGCCGCCCGCTCGCCTCCAGTGTCCAGAAATGTCCAGAATGAGAAGCCAGCTAACTGCAGGGCCTGGGACCATGTGGGCTGGAGCCCCAGGCCTAGATGCTGCCCAAGTTGGGGTGTCTGGAGCGGATGGCAAGGATCCAGAACTGGCCTGTGGGTGGTGTCAGGGCTCTTGAAATTGCAAGGACAGAACCATCTCCTTCCGGCTTCGTGTAAGGAAGACCAAGCCAAGGCCAAGGTGTCTACCATACCACACCTTTGGGACATCCGGGCTTAGCGACGTCAGCCAGGCCCATCTCCTCTCTGTCCACCTCTTGCTCTGCTTTCGCCATGCAGGGGACCATCACTATCAGGTGCCCTTCTCCTCCCTGCAGCTTGCCTGCATAAGAGAGCCTCTTCCTCCCAAAGGCTCCAGCCCACTTCCCAGAGCTGAGTCTTAGCCTGGAAGGGGGAGCGATTGCCAGGTCAATTCCTGAACCAATCACAGTTGCCAGGCACACTGGAGAATGCTGATTGGCCAGCAGGGTCATGCCCAATCTGGACCAATCACCGTGATCCAGGGTTGCAGTGAGGTGCAGTGATTGGCCAGCCTGGATCACATGCACATCTCTGGAACCAACCACCTGCTCTCAAAAGCACTAGTGGGTGCCTCGAGGAGTACTGGGGTCCCCCCTAAGAAGAAGGAGGAAGGATGCTGGGGAGGCAGAAATGAAGGGTGTTTACCTTGGCATCTGATTGCATAACGTTCTGTTATGCAGTATCAAGATGTGCTTGGTGAGCAGTTAAGTGAGTTACAGGCGCTGCTCTTTGTGGGGAACAGCACATCCTGAAGTGAAAATCCATGTTCCCTGCACTTGGCCAGCATGGCCTAAGCCTGACCATCCCTGATTGGAGAGGGTGGGAGAGCCCTGGGTTTCTGCTAAGTTCCAGGCAGTGATGGGGTGACTGAGGCTGTCTGTATACCCCACTGGAGATGCCTTTCTCTCCTAGGGAACTGTTTAATTATGACTGTTTTTGGTTGTAAGCCACAGAGACCCATGCCCAGGTGCTTCAACACAAAAGCATGATCATTCATGGGTGCATAGAACTGGCCAGTCCAGGAGGGCTTGCTTCAGGTAAGGCTAGATCCAGGGTCTCAACATGGAGTCTCGATTCCCCCCGCGAGTGGAGGCTGCTGTGTTTGCCCTGGGGCAGATATGACTCTGGAACTAGGTTCAATATTGACATGAGTTCCCCTAGTTACTACACAGGAGCGTCTTGGGTCTCCTTGGGGCCTGAGGACATTTCTCCTTTCCTTTCCTGGACTCCCCAAAAGGCAGCCAGTCAGGGGTCACCAACTTGAAGCCTGATCTGGCCTGCTTTTAGTGTTGCTTTTTTGCCTTTAGAATGGTTTAAAAATTGAGGCATTTCGCATCGAAATCAGGATTTCTGGCTTCCCTTAGGCATTTGGGAGCACCAGCAGAATGGGGTCACTATTGTTGCATGAAGACAACACCTCTGCACCCCTGGATGTGGCCACGCCAGTCCCTACCCCATTGACTTGCGCCCAGCCCACATTACACATCCTCATGACCTGCGTGGCAGGAGTCTCACTGACATGGCTCTGTCAGCAGTGGCTGGTACCCTTGTCTCCTGGCCTTGCTTAGAGTTGGGGCTCATCTCTGCTGCAGTAACTGAGCCAAGGGGTGGTTTTGTGGCCACAAGAATCATCTTTATGCAGGCTCAGCAATGCAGGGCCAGGAAACTTATATCTACGCCAGCCTCAACCCCAAACCCAAGGAAGAGAGAAAGTGTCATCTTTTCAGATACATCCTTCTTCCTGCTGGGAGAGAGCCTTGCCCACCTTCCTGTTGGCTCTCTGTCCGCTTCTCAGGTATCTGAACAAAATAGATTGCTTTGCACTCTGCGTCAAGGTGTGTGTGCACATGTGTGCATAAGAGACCGACTGATTGGAAGGAGACGTTCTCAAAACTAATTGCTCCCATATCACCAGGCATTTATTGCTGAGAGCAACTTGCAATATTTTCAACTATCTTTAAGTGAATTTCTAGCTTTTCTCTTAAAAACTAGGTGTTATCCTACAAGTATGCTGGGATAAGCTGCCCTGGCAGTCTTTATACATTTATTGTCTAGCCCCAGAGAAGGACACAGAAGCCTTTTACGGAAGGAAGCTGGAACTGCCTGTTCCAGAGGCGGGTGGGGGGAGGGGAGTCTGCTATCAGCTGTCCACCCTTAACAGTGGGGGTGAGGAACCTCAGGCCCTTTCAGTTCTGCTCTTGAGAGTGCTCTCTCCCTAGGGAAAACCAGCCCAAACTGGCTTAAGCAACAAAGCAAATTCCCTGGGTCCTGTACTAGGGATGGCTGAAGGTGGGTGCTGCTTCAGATATGGCTGGATCCAGGAGCTTAATGTCCTCAGGCCTCTCAACTGCACCCAGGCCTCTTGACTCTGCATCTCTTTGCATGCTGACCTCATTCTTTCTTCCACCTGGCGGGAAAGATGGCTGCCAGCAGCCCCAAGCCTATAATTTCAGGATTCACACTCTAAGAGATGCTTTTCCATCTCAAATCTCATGGAAGGCTCTGATTGGCCCAGCTCGAGTCACATGCTTATTCCTGTGGGCCACACTGGCAAGGAACTAGGGTCCCGTGATTGACATTCCCTGCAGAAGCCGCAGCAGGATTGGGGAGGGCCATTCCCCCAATGGACAAGAGAAGCTGGACCACAGAACCAGCAGGTATCCATGGTGGCATCTGCTACGGCCGGCTCTCCTCCCATGTGGAGGTCTCGGGGACCCACGTGGAAGCATTATCAAGGTCATTCTTCTTGCCTTCGGGAGGACTGGAATTAAAAATAATCCAAGGAAGGGATTGCCAAGCTTTTGGCTTTTGAATTTCCCCTGAGCCACAAAGGCTGGAAGTGCCTTGGCTTGGGCTTCTTGCATCATTAGTTCATTAATCCATTGTGACCAGGACAGAAGCAACCCACAAGCAGCATTACTGTTGGTGTTTGGGCACCTGGGCCTTGAATTTAGGCCAGGACTCAAACCCCAGCCTTCCTTTCACTAGCTGTGTAACCTTGACCAGGTGACTTAACCTCTCTGTGCCTCAGTTTCCTCATCTGTAAAGTGAGGATAGCAGTGCCTACCTCAATAGGTTGTAGTGGGACGAAATGAGGGAGTAGCTGTAAAGCTTTCAGCACAGCTCCCAGAACACAGAAAGCGCTCCATTAATGTCAGTGGTCATTCTGATTACTTAATGCTTCGCATCCAAAGACTCGTTTTCTTCCTGAGGTCGCCTATCCCTGTTTTTCGTTATTGCACCCAGAGAAAAGTAGGTGTCAAGAATTATTGCCCTCTGAGTTGGGTGTGCAGTCTTTCTCTTTTAGAAACTGCTTGTGTGGGCGGGGCGTGGTGGCTCATGCCTATAATCCCAACACTTTGGGAGGCTGAGGCCGGCTGATCGCTTGAGTGCAGGAGTTCAAGACCAGCCTGGGCAACATAGTGAGACCCTGTCTCTACAAAAAATTAAAAAATGAGCCAGGCGTGGTGGTGCGTGCCTATAGTCTCAGCTGCTCGGGAGGCTGAGGCAGAAGGATTGCTTGGAGGTCAAGGCTGGAGTGAGCCATGATCTCACCCCTGTACTTCATCCTGGGTGACAAAGCAAGACCCTGTCTCAAAAAAAGAAGAAAGAAGCTGCTTGTGTTTTCTGGGTAAGTCCACCCATCTGAGGGAGTGTATTCTGAGTGGTATTTCCCTTGGCAGTTAGAAAATGTTTTTTCCCAGAGGTTGAAGTATGGAGAGTTTGAGACTCTTTTTTTCTACCCTGCACTCTCTGGAATTCCCCCTCCCTGCTGTAAAATTTATTGTCCAATGAGAATAGTATAATTGTTTTCAACAAAGTCTCTTTGAGCCAGTGAAACACGATGGGTTTTTTTGTTTGCCTGATCACTTGCTCCAACCAGCAGCATTAAATGTTTTCCATTTGGATAAACTTGCATCGTCAGCTTCCTAAAACCCTGGAGGTTTCCCGTGGGCTCGTTCAAGAACTTTCCAGCTGTTGTTTAAAAGACTTTAGAGCTAGCTTGTTCAGCCTGTGGCCTGCAGGCTGCACGCGGCCCCGGACTGCTTTGAATGTGCTCCAACACGAGTTCGTAAACTTTCTTAAAATACTGAGGTTTTTTGTGTGTGTGTTTTCTTTGTTTTTTCAGCTCATCAGCTATCATTAGTGTATTTTATGTGTGGCCCAAGACAATTCTTCTTGTTCCAATGTGGTCCAGGGAAGCCAAAAGATTGGACACCCTTGCTTTAGAGCATTTGCAACCGGAGTGATATCACCCCCAAGGGGCTGCATATCTGTTTAATGCAGGTATAATTGTGTATCATATATATTGTATACATATGTAATGGATTGGATAGCATGTCCCCAAATTCATGTCCACCTAGAACCTTAGAATGTGACCTCATTTGGAAATAAGGTTTTTGCAGGTGTAATTAGTTAAGGTTCTCAAGATTGGTTATTGGGCCGTGTGAGGGAGGATCACAATTTTTATATATAAAGCAGAAATAGGCCAGGCGCAGTGGCTCACGCCTGTAATCCCAGCACTTTGGGAGGCCGAGGCGGGTGGATCACAAGGTCAGGAGATTGAGACCATCTGGCTAACATGGTGAAACCCCGTCTCTACTAAAAAATACAAAAAATTAGCCGGGCATGGTGGCGGGCGCCTGTAGTCCTAGCTACTCGGGAGGCTGAGGCAGGAGAATGCCGTGAACCCGGGAGGCGGAGCTTGCAGTGAGCCAAGATTATGTCACTGCACTCCAGCCTGGGTGACAGAGTGAGACTCCGTCTCAAAACAACAACAACAGCAACAACAACAACAGGAATGTTCTGGAGGCTGGAAGTCCGGAATCACCATGGAGGTAGGGCCCTGCTCCTTCTGAAGGCTGTAGGGGAGGACCCTTCCTTGCCTCTTCCAGTGTCTAGTGGCACCTCGTGGCTTGTGGTTGCATCACTCCAGTCTCTGCCTCCATCATCATATGGCCTTCCTCTCTCTCTGTGTCTCCTCTTCTTGTAGGGATGCCAGTCATTGGATTTAGGACCCATCCTAAGTCCAGTATAACGTCTTGAGATCCTTAACTAATTCCACCTGCAAAGATCTTACTTCCAAGCGAGGTCACATTTTAAGGTTCCGGATGGACATGAATTTTGGGGCATGCTACTCAACTTATTATGTATGCATACAATAGCTAACCAGATACACAGTTATATCTGCATTAAACAGATATGAAAATCCCTGGTGCCCATCTCTCCTGGGCTGCCCTGCCCTCCCCCTGGGGTTTTACCAAAGTGCCAGACCTGGTGTCCTGGAGAGCTGCATCCCAAAACAGCCACAGTCCTGACGTCAGAAGGTTGTGATGAACCCTGTCCAGGGTGCCACCTGTCCTTCCCGTGAGCTCTCTTGGGGCACGGAGAGTGGAGCTGGCTGCCACACAGATCCTGGGACTCTGAAAAGCCTTCGTCGTTTTGGAGCTGGTGGCTGGGGTTGTCATTTGTGAGAGCAGAGCAGGTGTGGTGTTTTGTGTGATGGCACGAGGGCCATCTGTCCACCCAGCTTCTGCTCCCCAGCCCTGCCCAGCACAGCTCGTCAGGGGAGAGGAGGCGGCTTGCACTTGCGTGTGTTCATGGGCGGTGACTCTTCCGTGGATTTCTCTGGAACTGTGGGTGGCGGGTTTCAAAGGAACAGCCAGCTGACTCGTGGGTGCGGCGGGTATCGAGAAAGAACAGCCCTGTGGGGGAAGATGGAGCTCCGGAGGGTGGGCGGGAGCTGGGATCAGGCCTGAGCTGTGGGGCCCTGCTGATGCCTGTCTCAGCCACAGCGCTTTCCTTGGAGGCCTCCTGGGGCCTGGACCCAGAGCGAGCAAAACATGCCCAGGGCTCCCTGTGGCCCAGAGGCTGCCTCTGGGATCAGTTCTTGGGGCACAGACCCCTGGGACCTCTGCGGAGCCAGGTTGGACGCAAGCAGCTGCAGTGGGAGCTGGGGTAGGGCCTGGGAGGAAGGGAGCCCAGGGCCTCCAGGGATGTCAGAGGCTGTGGCTACCAACTTCTCCCTCTCACTTCCCTGCCTCCCTTAGTGCCCAGCCCCCAACAAGGCATTTTGGAGGAATGCGGATCCCCAAAAGTCACATTTTTTTTTGAGACAGGGTCTCACTCTGTCACCCAGGCTGGAGTGCGGTGGCATGATCATGGTTCACTGTAGCCTCAACCTGCCGGGCTCAAGCGACCCTCCCACCTCAGCCCCAAGTAGCTGGAACCACAGGTGTGCGCCACCATGCCTAATTCTTGTATTTTTTTGTAGCGGCGGGGCCATGTTGCCCAAGCTGGCAAAAAGCACAATTTGAAACCTCTAAGCCAGGATTTTTTTTTTTTTCCGGACACAGACTGCTTGGAGAATCCCATGAGAACTCAGGACACACACACGAATTTCATTTGTTTTGGGGCCCCAAAGAGTCCTTGAAAGCCCACCCATTGACGCCAGGATGGGAACCTTTCTGGGGTCTTTCCGAATACTAAAGTTCTGTGCAGAGCACCCCAGAAGCTGAGACGTGTCACCATGGCGATGGCCCAGCATGTGGAACTCTCAGGGTTCCCAGTTGAGCTGCAGAGACTTCAGTGTGCAGTCCAAGACCACCGTGCCTGTGCCTGGGGGTCTTGAGTCACTACTGTGGGTGGGGGAGGGGACCCTTATGCTGCTGGGATCGGAGCACATGAATCCCCAGCCGGCTTGCCTGCAGTTTGATGACTTTAGCTCTTGTATATTTGTGTCCCCACCAGCACCATAGGTTGGTACTGGAATCTCAGACACTTCTGCCTCCTGCTCCATGTCCTATCTAAGGTCTGCCGTCCAAAATCTAAATGCCTGAGTCCCAAAATGTGCCTCTCCTGTAACAATACAAGTGTCACACGTTTGGGTTGCCGGAGACCCCAAAACCCAATACAAATTGCCTCAAGCAAAAAATGGGAATTTATGGGTTCATGTAATTCGGAAGTCCAAGAATGATCTGGCTGGCTTCAGGTATAGCTGGATCCAGGCATTCAAATCATGTCCCCCCACCCCCACCCCAACACCCTCAGTCTAGTCGTTTTCCACACTGGCTCACCCGCTCCATCTCTTGGTTCTGATCAGGTCTTCTCCACACTGGAGAAGAGTTGGTTTCCGTTCCTCCTCCTTGTGGCCCACCTTGGCCCACCTTGTGGCCCTCCTTGTGTCTAACCTTGGAAGTTAGACAGTCCCAGCAGAGAGAGTTTCTTCTTCCAGCTGCAGCAGAAGTTCCACGATGGGCTCTGACGGGCTGACCCGGGGCAGGTGCCTAACTCTGGACCAATCTCTCAGGCCCACCTGCAACTTGGGGTGAGAAGACAGTGCCACCCAAACCACCTGGATGGAGAATGGGGGAGAGGTACTACCCTGATAGCAACACGCTAGAGGCTCACAGCCAGGGCTCCTGGGTTTTGGGGTCTCCGGCAACCCAAAACGTGTGACACTTGTACTGTTACAGGAGAGGCACATTTTGGGGCTCAGGCATTTAGATTTTGGACGGCAGACCTTAGATAGGACGTGGAGCAGGAGGCAGAAGTGGCCACCTCCCCGGGCACTCTCATTACCATGGAAGGCTTCAGGTCACAAGATGTTGCAACTTTCCCACAGCTCCCTGTGGTTGCCAGGGCACATTCGGTCTCTGGGTAGGGCAGACTGGCACTGCCAGGGAGTCAACCCCCAGGAGCGGCCCTCAACCAATGATGAATGGGTGTTGGCTGATAAATACCCCAGCTTCCTCGCCCTTGTGTGGTGCAACCAAGACCTGTTCTACCAACTGTCCCAGAGGCCCCCAGCAGGATTGAGCCCCTGTTGCCTACAGTATAGACTTGCTCACTCCTGCACTCTGCACAGGCTGCCTTCCCTCCCTGTCCTCTACCAGTGCTTCCTGGGGCCGCCTCCCCAATAAAGTACTTGCTCTCACCTCCTTGTCTTAGTTTCTGCATCTGGGGAATCCTAGCCTAAGACAGGGCTGTTGCTAGAAGAGAGACTGGATGTCGGGCAGGCAAAGAAAATCAATAACACAATGACAAATTAAAAAGAAATTACAGGCTGGGTGCGGCAGCTCATACCTGTAATCCCAGCACTTTGGGAGGCCCAGGCGGGTGGATCACTTTAGGCCAAGGGTTCGAGACCAGCCTGGCCAACATAGTGAAACCCCGCCTCTACTAAAAATACAAAAATTAGCCAGGCATGGTGGTGCATGCCTGAAATCCCAGCTACTTGGGAGGTTGAGGCATGAGAAACGCTTGAACCCGGGAGGCAGAGGTTGCAGTGAGCCGAGGTTGCACCATTGCACTCCAGCCTGGGGAACAAAATGAGACTGTCTCAAAAAAAAAAAAAAAAAAAATTCCAGGGGCCACAGGACTCACACCGCTTGGCATGTTTGAGTCACCTGACCTGGGACCCCTCTAACTTTGCTGTGACAGGCCCTCTTCAGGTACTGCTGCCTCTGGGCCTGGATTCCAGTGCACAGGACTGTCACTTTTCCAACTTAGCCGCCAGCACAACAGAGATGTCCCCTCAGAGGTCATGGTTCTCAGGCCAAGGGTCATTTCAGGATGGTCATCATGGCCATCATCGTGGCCGTGGCGTCAGACTGAGAGTGATCCCTGTAGATTCCAGGATCTGCAGCCAGGCTTGGGAACTGCTCTTAGGAATACACCTGAATGACTCTAAGGCGCCTGACTTTGCAGCTCCTTTTTAAGAGGCAGAGCCCGTTTCCCTTCTCCCTGAATCTGAGCTGGCCTGGTGACTTGTGCAGGCGCCCACCAGGGCTGCCAGATCTTTAAAGAGAAACCAGCAAGCTGGAATTTTTGTCAATCTCTGGACTTTTTGAGATGGAGTCTTGCTCTGTTGCCCAGGCTGGAGTGCAGCGGTGCGATCTCAGTTCACTGCAACCTCCACCTTCCGGGTTCAAGCGATTCTCCTGCCTCAGCCTCCTGAGTAACTGGATTACAGGCTCCCACCACCATGCCTGTTTTGTATTTTTAGTAGAGACGGGGTTTTGCCATGTTGGCCAGGCTAGTCTCGAACTCCTGACCTCAGGTGATCCGCCCACCTCAGCCTCCCAAAGTGCTGGGATTACAGGCGTGAGCCACTGCACCCCCGCCCTTATTTATTTTAAAATCTCTTGACTTTTAAACATGGGTAACTAATTTAAATTCTATAAAAATACTGTGAGGAAAAACTAAGCCCTGGTCATTCAAATTATGGTCAGGGGCCAGGCGCAGTGGCTCGAACCTGTAATCTCAGCACTTTGGGAGGCCATGGCAGGAGGTTGACTTGAGGCCAGGAGCTTGAGACCAGCCTGGGCAACTCAGTGACACCCCTTCTCTGCAAAAAAAATTTTAAAAATTAGCTGGGCATGGTGGCATGTGCCTATAGTCCCAGCTACTTGAGAGACTGAGGTGGGAGAATCACTTGAGCCCAGGAGGTCAAAATTGCAGTGAGCCGAGATCGTGCCATTGCACTCCAGCCAGGGCAACAGAGCGAGACCCTGTTTCTAAGAAAGACAAGAAGTGTGGTCTGGGGACCTGAAGCATCAGCATCGTCAGAGAGCTTGTTGGAAACGCAGAATTGCTGGCCTCACCCCAGGCCCAAATCTGCATTTTAACAAGATCTCCTCGTGACCTGTGGCATATTAAAGTTTGATAAGCACTGGATTAAACAAGCAGGGAACAGGACTTGGCTCCAGGATGCCGTTGTGACTTCTGTTTCAGGATAAGCCACACCTGCTAAGCCCTAGCAGTGACCTAAGTCCATGATTCAGAATCCACACACCACCTGGTGGCTCCTTTTATTATATCAATTTATTCAAGTGATTAAAAAACTTCTTGGCAGCAGGATGACAAAACAGGTCTGTAAACATGATCTCATCCCCCCATCCCTTCTTCCAAGGAGCTTCCTATGACAGGAAATCGAATTCTAGTTGGCAAATCCAGTGATGAGGTCTGTAGAAAAGGGGTCCCGTGTCACAGCCAGGAAGGCAGACTCGTCCCTTTAACCCACTCCAGCCAGGGGTGCTGGCCAGGATGTGCTGTTCTGTCATGACGTGGTCACTGAGTCTGGTTCGTTGGCAGCCCCTTCCCCAGGAGGAGGGAGACTCTTTGGCAGTGCGGCAGCCCTCCCGGGGGCACGGGCTTCTCGGCAGCAGACACAGGCAGGCCAGAAGCAGGCAGCTGAGCCTCTCCAGCGAGCATGGTATTGCTAGGGTTGCAGGTGCCCTGGCAGGTGGCCAGGTGAGGGGCTGAGGCACAAGTGCTATCAGGAACTTGGCTGCCCCACAGGGGCTGAGGACACCCAGATGGTCCACGCCAGTGGCCTTGAAATTTCCCCTGCAGAAGCCAGACCGTGGGGAAACAAGCTTTCGCGACGTGCCACCCCGGGCAGCTTGAGGCTTCAGTCCTTGAAGGGGTTGTGGGCGCCCCCTGGCTGCTCCTTCTCTGCGGCCAGAGGCTCCCCGTTCATCTCCTGCAGCGGGTGGTATGCATAGTCCCCATGCAGGCGCCGGTTCCTCTCTGCTCTGGACAGGAGCAAGGACAGGTTTGCTGCAGTGCTGATCAGCAGGAGGAAGGCCAGCGCCAGGGTGAGGGCTAGCCAGGCGGTCCTGCAGACAGGAGAGAAGCCCCAAGTGGGGGACTGCTGGGTGGGCTCAGGGCTTGGGTAGCACTGGAGGGGCTTCCCTCTACCCGGCATAGATAGCACTAAATCAGGTGCCTCCAGGGACCACACAGGGAATGTTATGAGCAAAATGGACTAGGTGGGGATGGGGCAACATTTAAGACATGTGCAGGGAACAGCAGAGGCAGTCATGACGTACAATGCAGGTCCGTGCTGCCCCATCTCCTGATTTTTTTTTTTTTTTTTTGAGACAGAGTCTCGCCCTGTCATCCAGGCTGGAGTGCAGTGGCATGATCTCAGCTCACTGCAATCTCCGCCTCCTGGCTTCAAACGATTCCCCTGCCTTGGACTCCCGAGTAGCTGGGACTACAGGCTCGAATCACCACGCCTGGCTAATTTTCGTATTTTCAGTAGAGACCAGGTTTCACCATGTTGGCCAGGCTGGTCTTGAACTCCTGACCTCAAGTGATCCACCTGCCTCGGCCTCCCAAAGTGCTAGGATTACAGGCGTGAGCCACCACGCCTGGCCTGATATTTTAAGAGAAGCCATTAAAAAGGTTTTTAAGGCTGGGCGTGGTGCTCATGCCTGCAATCCCAGCACTTTGTGAGGCTTAGGCGGGCGTATCACTTGAGGTCAGGAGTTCAAGACCAGCCTGGCCAACATGGCGAAATCCTGTCTCTACTAAAAATATGAAAATTAGCCGGGCACCTGTAATCCCAGCTACTCAGGAGACTGAGGCAGGAGAATTGCCTGAACCCAGGAGGCGGAGGTTGTGGTGAGCTGAGATCGCACCACTGCACTCCAGCCTAGGCAACAGAGTGAGACCCCGTCTCAAAAAAAAAAGTTTAAAAAAATGTGAATGTTACTGATTTTTAGATGCTGCTGATATATTTTAACTTTTTAAAAATTATGTAAGCCAAATAAAACACAGCTGGATGCTGGGCATGGGGGCTGGGAGGCCAAGGTGGGAGGATCACTTGAGCCCAGGACTGTGCACCTCGTCTGTGCAAAATAGTGAGATCCTATCTCTAAAAAACAGTAAGAAATAAAATTAGCCGGGCATGGGGGCACGTGCCTGTCGTCCTAGCTACTTGGGAGGCTGAGGCGGGAGGATCGCAGTGAGCTGACTGTACTACAGCACTTCTGCCTGGGTGACAGAATGAGGAAACCTCCTGCCCCCACCCTGGGATCTCATCTAGCCCAGTTTGCATTCTGAGCTCCAGTGGGGGATGCTGACAACAGAGGCTGGGCACTCGAAGGCCCTGGGCTCTGCTCCAGGGTCCCCAAAGCAGACAGTGGGGAGAGCTGGTCCCGCTTCCTCTAAGGCAGGGAGCTGGCAGGGGACAAGGGCAGAGATGGACCTCACAGGGGAAGGGTGCGGGAGAGAAGGGGGATTCCTCCCGCCCTGGCCCCAGCTCCCACAGAAGCACCTACCTGGTGAAAAAGGAGAGTTCTCCCGCCCTCAGGGTGGCTTCAGGTGGCTGGAGACACTGCTTTACTGTAACATACCAGAGACAGGCTGAAGGGGCCGGAGCAGGAGCGTCTGCCCATACCCCTCCCCTTGGAGGGATAGGTACCTCTGGAGACGCTGCAGTTGCCAGTCTTGGGGTCACAGGGACAATGGTGCTCACACTTACAAGGCCTCTGGCAGCCCGGCCCATGCCAGCCAAGGGGACACTCTATGGAAAGGAGATGGGAGGAGGGAGGAGGGAGGAGAAAGGTTGGGGCCTCCAGTGTCAGAGCCTTTCTCGACAGGACAGGATACCTGCCCCTGCCCATGTGTACAGAGCCGGGCTAAAGGTGAAGCACCCCCTGCCCTCCCTGGACTAGCCCCTGAACGTGACCTTATTTGGAAGCAGAATCTCTACAGAGGCACTGCAGTTAGGATCTCAAGATAAGACCGTGCTGGATTTGAGGTGGGCCCTGGAGCCAGAGCCCGGGGACCCTTGTTTTAGCCGAGCCCTTTGTGGAACGGGCCGCAGCAGCCACAGGGGAGTCACACAGTGATGTGCAGGTGAGGCCGGGGCAGAAGACAAGAGGCAAGCATTTCCCAGACCAGAAGGTGGAGACAGAAGCAGCAGAGGAGCAGTGGGGGCTGCCGGGGGCCACCGTCTCCCCATCCGCTAGTGGCGTGGCAGCTCCTACCTTCACTGCAGTTGGACCCGGTCCATCCGGCATCACAGCGGCAGCCGGCTGCCGAGACAAGACCGGGGAGGCCAGGTGAGGGCCTAGGGCAAGGCAGGGCTGGGCAGAGCCCCCTCCCCAGAACCCCCACTCACTCTCCGTGCACAGTCCGTGCTGGCTGCAGTTAGAGGGGCCACAGTCCAGCTCATCACAGCCGGGACCCCGCCAGAAGTGCCCGGTGCATTGGCAGTGCCCGTCCACGCAGGTCCCGTGGCCGTGGCAGTCAGGCGGCTGGCAGCGGGGTTCGTGCACACACACCACGGTGGACACTTGGCGGGGACAGCGCCACATGTTGTCCTGGCTGTAGAGGGATGTGATGTGTGAGGAGAGGACACCCCCAGACGGCCCCTCAACTCCCTCCAGGCTGCCCCCAACCACCCCTCTCTCCATTCTCACCTGTCTACCTACCTACCTACAAGATGGCGTCTATCTATTTTTGAGATGAGGTATTGCGATCCTTCCACCCGAGCCTCCTGAGCAGCTGTAACCGTAAGGTGTGCACCATCACGCCTGCCTAATTTTTTTTTATTTTTTCATAAAGACAGGGTCTATGTTGCCCACACTGGTCTTAAACTCCTGGGCCCAAGCGAACCTCCCACCTCGGCCTCCCAAAGCACTGGGATTCCAGGCGTGAGCCCCTGTGCCCAGCCCTCTCCAGTCTTTTATAGGTTCCTCCGCTCCCTACAATCCCTCCCAGCCCTGGGCCTTTCACATGTGGTGCCCTCTGCCCGGAAGGCTCTCCCACCCCCACCCAGCTACCACCTCCTTCAGATCTCAGTTCTTATTCTGTCATCCTCAGGGAGGTCTTTGCTGACCAACTGACCCTGCTCCTAGGCCTGGGTAGTACTGGCATCCTGGGGGAGGGACTGCAGCAATTTCTGCTCTCTTGAACCCCCGGGGCCTGGCACATAGCAGGCACTCAATATTGGCTGAATGAGACAGGCTGGGGCAGACCTGGACTTCAGCCCTCACGAAGGCGGCTCTCACGTGCTTACCAGTGATCTGACGGGTAACTGGCCAAGGTCCCGTTGAGCACAAAGGTGGCAGAGCCACCCCCATCCAGGTTGATGGCGTTGACCACGTCCTGTTTCAGCAGGAACTCCGCCATTTCCCACAGGTTGATGCTGCGGCACAAAGCGGCGCTGCTCAGGCTCAGCGCCCACCATCATTTCTCATTTAACTCCTTTTCCTTCCACAGTGCAGAGCATCACGCCCACAGTGCAGGCACATTTCTAAGTGGCCCCCGCCCCCAAGCATGTCTCATCCTAGCCCCCGGAAGCTGTGAACACGTGAGATCACACCCATGCCTGTGCTGTTACATGGCATAGGAATCCTTAAGGGAGGGGAAACGGCCCGGAGGATCTGGGTGCAGCCACTGGAATCACAGGAGTGTTCAACACAGAGAGCCTTCTCTGGCTGGTGACAGAATAGGAAGTGAGATTTGAAATACGAGGGGGATGAGAGGGTGGCCGGACAACTGGGGGAGAGGACACACATGGGAAGGAACCTGGGCAGCTTGAAGGAGCTGAGGCCCCAGATGGCGGCCAGCAGGGAAACCAAGACCTCAGTCACAACTGAGGAGGCGACGGGGATTCTTCCAACAACCTAAACAAGAGGATTCTTTCCAGATAAGAGAAGAGCCCTGCCTAACCAGCATCTTGGTTTTGTCCATGGGACACCCTGAACATAGAACATTCCAAGTTGACCAGCCTGGCCAACATGATGAAACCCTGTGTCTACTAAAAATACAAAAATTAGCCAGGTGCGGTGACTCACGCCTGTTAATTCCAGCACTTTGGAAGGCCGAGGTAGATGGATCACCTGAGGTCAGGAGTTCGAGACCAGCCTGGCCAACATGATGAAACCCCATCTCTACTAAAAATACAAAAATTAGCTGGGTGTGGTGGCGGGTGCCCGTAATCCCAGTTACCTGGGAGGCTAAGGTGGGAGGATCACCTGAACCTGAGAGGTAGAGGTTGCAGTGAGCTGAGATTGCACCACTGCACTCTGGCCTGGGCGACGGAGTAAGACCCTGTCTCAAAGAAACAAACAAACAAAAGAACATTCCCTGCTGAGTGTTGCTAAATTTGTGCTGGTTATGCAACCAGAGCAAACCAAAACACTCTCTTTACAGGGGCTAGAAATGAGGCTCAGGGAGGCCGAGGGACTTGTCTACGGCATAGGTGGGTAGACAAGTCATCGATGGCTAAGCTGGGATTGGAACCAAGATCTTCTCCCTGCTCACTTTGTGACCATTTCCTTGTATCCTATCTAGGGTTCAGGAAAGGTGAGGCCTAAAGCTGAAGATGATGAGTTCTTGGAATCGGCAAAGATCTCAGAACCCTCATCCTGTGGGAAGGTGAGGGGGCCCTGGGAGGGGGGACAGATAGGTGTCAACATCCCAGAAAGCAGGTAGAGTCAGAGGGTGGCTGTCATTGGGTCAACGTTCCTCCTAGCAGGACTGAGCCCCGGCCGGGGGGCCTCAGCTCCCAGGACTCACCCACGCTGCTCCGTTTGGCCGTCTGCATGAAAGAGCACCAGCTGCCCTTTCCGGTCGTGGCCAATGGCCGTCCTGGCTGATATCACATTCACAAATTTGCTAAAGGAACCTGAAGGAAAAGCAGCCTGGCTGATCACCGCCCCTTGGGAGGCCTCCTGCTTCTTGCCTAACTCCACTTCCCACTGGTCTGAGCTACCTGGTACCTCCCTGGGAAGCACAGCAGCCTCCTTGCTCGTCTCCCTGCCTCCCCTCTGCACATCCCAGTCTCCCCAGGGCAGCCGGGGGGTCTCTTCTTACAGGTAAACCAAGCTATGCCAGCCTCCAGGTGAAGACCCTCTAATGGTTTCCCCTGTTCTTAGAACAAAATCCAAAGAGCCAGCATGCCCTCCCCAGCCTCTTCCTCCTCCTGCCTCAGCTCCTGGGTGTCCCCTCACCACCCTGCAGCCACTTTGCACTTCCTGTTCCCTCTGGCTGGGAACTGTGCTTTTCTCTAGCTTGCTCCTTTGTCAGATCACCTCCTTAGTGAGGCCTTCCTTGACCGCCCACTCTTTTTTTTTTTTTGAGACAAAGAGTCTCGCTGTGTTGCCCGGGCTGGAGTGCAGTGGCATGATCTCAGCTCACTGCAACCTCCACCTCCCAGGTTCAAGCAATTCTCATGCTTCAGCCTCCCAAGTAGCTGGGACTACAGGCACACACCACCATGCCTGGCTAATTTTTGTATTTTTTTTTTTTGTAGAGATAGGTCTCACTATGTTGCCCAGGCAGGTCTTGAACTCCTGGGCTCAACCGATCCTCCCGCCTCGGCCTCCCAAAGTGCTGGGATTATAGGTGTTAGCCACCACACCTAGCTTACTGCCCACTCTAAAATGGTCATGGTATCCTGTCCCCATCCCAGTATTCTGCATCCCAGTGGTTCTCAACCTTGAGTGTCGGTCAGAGTCACCATGGAGGCCCGTTAAAACATAGACTCTTGGGCCTTGCCTCTGATTCTGCAGGTCTGAGGGTGTGGGGCTTTGAAACAAGCTCCTGGGCCACGCCGATGTTGCAGGTCCATGAAGATTTTTTTCTCTTCACTTTTCTCTTCCTGTACCCACAGCTCCGGTCCCCATCTCTCCCCTTTCCCCTAACTTTATTTTTGTTTCTGAGCACTTATCAATTCTTTTCAGCATATTCTATAACTATTTTTTGTCCTATATATTCAATATAAGCCTATCTTCCTCCCCATGAATCCCCAGTACCCAGAATAGTGCTGGGCACAAAGTAGCTGCTCAATACTTGTTGAAAGACTTAAGAACAGCTCCGCCCAGCCCACTGGTCCTGGTTCTCGAGAGGGTTGTTGCCAACAGCCTCCCCATCCAACCTGTCTCCTGTGTCTCGTCACACTCTGTGGCTTGGCTCTCGTTGATGTAGATGCTTCCATTACGAATCAGCCACACGACCCCACTCAGCAGCTGCACAAATGGGTTCTCAGTGTCCAGCACCTCCTCCTCAGACAGGTACCTGGATCCGGGGAAGGTGGGAAGCTCACTCACCAGCAGGGGCAACTGCAGATAGTCAGGCTCTTTCTCCCTAGCCATCCCAACCTGGCTGCTAGATTCCCCCTCATGCCCCAGGAACCTCCTGGGGCCTGAGTGTAGCTGGGACAACTTAACAGCCCTAGGAATCTCCCTGTTGTCAGAGCTGAAGCTGGACAGGGTTCTGACAATACAATCCCCACAAGCCTTTGCAAACAGTCTGTTTCATTTAACAGAAATGACCATCCCCCAACAGAGCTCAAATCCATCTATGGCCCTCAATCCCCAGGCCATACCCAGCCCAACTACCACTTGATCCCTGTTACGGCCCTTCATTGGCTTCCTTGTTTCTCCACTGCTCTCTCCCACCTGGTCCCACTCAGGATCAGAACAAGCTTTATCATCAACAAATACTTTTTTTTTGAGACTCAAATAATTTTTAAGATAATTTTAAATAATTCAAATCATCAATCTTGCCAGGGCGTGGTGGCTCACACCTGTCATCCCAGCACTTTGGGAGGCTGAGGTGGGTGGATCACTTGAGGTCAGGAGTTCGAGACCGGCCAGGCCAATATGGTGAACCCACTCCCCCGTTCCCCACCCCATCCCGTCTCTACTAAAAATACAAAAATCAGCCGGGCGTGGTGGCACACGTCCGTAGTCCCAGCTACTCCAGAGGCTGAGGCAGGAGAATCGCTTGAACCCGGGAGGCAGAGGTTGCAGTGAGCCGGTATCATGCCACTGCCCTCCATCCTGGGCAACAGAGCAAGACTCTGTCTCAAAAAAAAAAAAATCATCAGTCTTGATGAGTTGATGTTTCTGACACCCCACTCCTTTTTCAGTCCCTCATACACACAAGCCCCCCTGAGCCTCTGAGCCTTTGTGCGTGGGGTTCCTTTGGACTGAAACGCTCTTCCTCCAGTTCTGACCTTGGCTCACTTAGTGATTCATCTTCAAGTTCCCACTCAAAGGTCACCTCGGAGAGGCGTGTTCCAGATCACCCTCCCTAAAATCAACACTATTTACAACGGGTTCACCCCGTTGGTTGCTTTGCTGCACACACAGCAATCAGAATGTATGTTAGCTATTTACCCGGCTTTTGTTGATTTTTCTAGTAATGGGGGAGGGCTGTTAAGGCAAAGACTGTGTTGTTCACGGCTATCTCACCGGGGCGCGGCACATTGCCTGATACAAGCAAGTGCTCAATGATACTGGATGATGAATAAACTCTGCAAGGAAGCGATTCCTATCCCCATTCTGCAGAGGAGGAAACAGGGGCTCAGCTTGGTTAAGTGACTTGAACACGGAGGCACGGCTACAACCCAAATCTCAGGCCCTCTGCCCTCGACAGCACGGGGCTCCCTGCCTCCTCACCCGGTGACCAGGGTCCCGTCGCGGCGGATCCCGAACTGCGCGTTCTGCAGCCCCCCGGAGCTGCTCACCCGCCGCTCGTCGCTCACCACGTTCCCCAGGCACTCGCCCGAGTTCATGCGGAAGAAGCCGCCGTTCTGGGCGACACGGCAGTCGGCCGCCCGCGCCGTCTCCTCCACGGTGGCGCGTCGTCTCGCCGCGCAGCCGCCGGGTCCACCGGGCTCCAGCACCGAGAAGGTGCGCAGGGGCTCAACGGCCCGCGTCAGGTGGCCGGCCACCGCGCGGTCCCTGAAGTGCGACACGAAGGTGCGCACGGCCAGACCGCCGGCGCCGGGAGTCGCGGGAGGCGGAGGCCAACTCTCGTGCTCGCGGTTGCCGGCGCGCACCCGTGTGCAGTCCCGGGGGAGGCGCGCGCGCGCGCGTGGATAGGGCAGTAGCAAGTCGTCGTCGCGGGAGGCCCTGCGGGGACGGGCGGCCGTGAGCTCAGGGGGCTGTCCTCGTGAGCTCGGAGGACAGGGGGGACCCCCCGAACCAGGCTGGCCCAGGGAGCTGCACTCACCCCGAGTCGAGGCCGCCGGACGCTTCCCAGAGGAAGCCGAATAGTGCAAGCCGGAGGAGAAGCCAGCGACCCGTGGAGGTCGCCATATTGGACCGGGGCCTCGGGTCATGTGGGCTCGCCTCACGTGACTCAAGTCCCAGGGTGGCCGCTTTCAGCTCGGACTGAATTACCTGCGCTCTTTTCGGCTGGCGGGCTGGCGGGCGGTGCTGGTGATGTTAACTTTTTATCTCCAGGTAATCTCAAACCTACAGGAAGTTGCAAGGAGAGCATAAAGAACTCTCGTAGAACTGTTATTCATGTTTAGCAGTGGTTTAGGCTTGCCTGATTTACTCAATCATTTGTACTTTGTTTTTTTTTTTTCCTGAACCAATGGCAACCAAATTGCAGATGTCATGATCCTTTACCCCATACCTCGCCATGAATCTCCTAAGAACAAGGGCATTTTCTTAACCACAGGGCAAATATCATTAGGACAACTCCCATTGACATTTCTGTGATGTCATCCACAGCTAACCTTCAATTGTCCCTCTAATGTCTTTTTTTTTCTTTTCCTTTTTGTCCGCCCCTGACCCTGTAACCCAGGAGTTGCTTTTAGTTGTCATGTCTCTTTGATCTCTTCATCTGGAAGGCTCCTCAGCCTTTTGTCTTTTACTACCTTGACATTTTTGAAGACAGCCCAGCTACATGATTTGTGTGACTCAATGCAAAATGAAAACGTGGGGACACTTACTAAAAAACCCAGAAAACTATTAAGAATTTCAAGATGGTCAGAGCAAATGGTTGCAGCAAGCCAGGGACCTTCTGAGTGAGCCCATGAAGCTGGCCCTGAGTATAGAAGCCAGTTTATTTTGTAGCATGTACTTCAAGCTTCCTTTGAGAGGATTCTTCTCTTCAGGCCTCCTGTCCCAGTGCAGTGTCCAGGGTTGGGTGGTGTCTTGGTGCCAGTGCAGTGCGTGGGCCATTCCAGGAGCCACGGCAAGTCTAATTGGCTTGATACTGTTGCGGTCTTGCCAGTGCACCTTAATATAGCAGTTTCTCCTTGTCTGAACTAGTCCCGGGGTTCTTTGTCCTACCTCCAAGAAAACTAAGGAGCGTGGACACAAGGGTGGGGTTGGAGCGAACGTTTAATAAGGGAAAGAAGAAAGCTCTCCAAAGTGGAGACGGGAGTCCGAGTGGATTGTCGGGTTACAGCTGAATGCAAAAAGCTTTTTTTTTTTTTTTTTTTAAGACAGAGTTTTGCTCTTGTCACCCAGGCTGGAGTGCAATGGTGCGATCTTGGCTCACTGCAACCTCAACAACCTCTGCCTCCTGGGTTCAAATGATTCTCCTGCCTCAGCCTCCCGAGTAGCTGGGATTACAGGCACACGTCACTGCGCCCTGCTAATTTTTGTATTTTGGGTAGAGACGAAATTTTACCATGTTGGCCAGGCTGGTTTCAAACTCCTGACCTCAGGTGATCCGCCTCCTTCCGCCTCCCAAAGTGCTGGGATTACAGGCGTGAGCCACTGTGCCTGGCCGCAAAAAACTTTTATAGGACACTGCTCTCCTCCTGGTAACTGAGTAACTTCTTACCAGTAAAACTGCCTGTGCAGCTCCCCTTATGTTATGCAGCTGTGGGTATGTCTCTAGGCAAGTGCAAATCGCTGCTTCTCTTGTTTGTGTAACTGTGGGTTTGTTTTAGATAAGGCCCCCTCCTCCCTGTGCCGGTTTCCATGGAGCCCACTGTGTATATGCCTGAAAAGGAGAGGAAACTTTTTCCCGGGAGCCTGCTAATTATGCAAAGAACAAAGGGCTTCTGCGCTGGACCCTGTCTGCTTATCTCCGTGCAGGTCCAGCCTGAGTTTTTTCCCAGGTTGCTTTATTTTTGCCAGTTTCTATGACTTTTCAGGCAGGCCACTTCTGAGGTCAGAATTTTCCCCAACGGATTTTTCTTTTCCTTCTCCCTCACTACCACAGGTATGGGGGGACACAGATAGGGGCCAGGCCAGCCCCTTTTCATCCACAGTCAGCACTTCTGGTGCTTGATCTCAGGCCCCTCTTTGAGCCACTGCTCCTTTGAGCCAGTCCACGGTGAGGGTTAGTGAACTCAGTTAGAGAGTGTCCCCCCAAACTCATGTCCTTACCAGAACCTCAGAATGTGAACTTGTTTGGAAATTGGGTCTTTGCAGATGTAATTAGTTAAGATGAGGTCATTCTGGAGTAGGGTGGGCCCTGAATCCAATCTGACTGGTGTTCTTGTAAAAGACACAAATACACACAGAGGAAAGAAGCTCATATGAACACAGGCAGAGATTGGACTGATGCAGTCATAAGTCAAAGAATGCAAAGAAGGCTAGCAGCCACCAAGAGCTAGGAGAGAGGCGTGGGAGAGACTCTTGAGCTTTGACAGAGAACATGGCCATGCTGATGCCTTGCTTTTGGAAACTAATACAATTCAGGGACCTCAAAGGGGTCCCGGGAACAGCTCTGACGCTCCTAGTTCACTTTAACCATGTACAAAATGACTGCTCCTCCTAGAGGCTTAAATGACCAATATATTGATGTGAAGGGAGTATATCTTTCTGAGCTTTGCATTGGGCTGCTAAAAATAACCAGCAGAGGAGCCCAGGCCTGACGCCTACTCCCTGCCTCCGGAAGCGCTCTTTTTTTCTGCCTCAGTTAGGAGTTGCAGGAACAGGCAGTCTTTGGCAAGTTCTGACTTTGGTTTTCTCCCTACTTTGAGGTTTGCTACTCCTTTGCCAAGTTTTTCTAAGCACATAACGGGTGCCACAGAAATTCTGCATTTGAACAGAGCAGCCCATATCCACAGTTCTAGCCAAAGCTGCTAAGAAGCCAAGGGTTTTCTTTTTTGCTCTTCAGCCTGGAATACTTTTGTCCCCTCTTAGCATCCTCATTTGAGTTCTACCATCATTTGTGTGTTCAACAGGCTGAGCACCTCGTATGTGCTCCGTTGCAGCTGATCCCTGCCTTCATGGAGCTTAGCTTTTCAAGGGGAAACAGACATGAAACAGTTATGTGATGAATGCAAGAAGCAAAGGGCAGGACTGCGAGAGAAGGATGTTGCAGGTGTGGCAGGGAAGCCTCTCCAAGCCCCTTTAGACTGTGATTGAAGGAAAGAAAAGATGCGGCTGTGTGCAGATCTGGGCCAGAGCCTGAAGTGGGAAACAGCTTGGGAGGTGCAGCAGGAAGAGCCACCTGGTGGGAGAGGAGGGCCGTGGGGGAGGGGTTGGAGGTGGTGAGCAGGGTTGAAGTGGGAGGGCCAAGGCAAGGCCAGATCGTACATGCAGGGATCCAGGGAAATGAGTATGGATTTCAGCCAAAGTGAAATAGTAAGCCATTGGAAGGTTTTTTTTTAAACTTTATTAAGATAAAATTTACATACTGTAAAATTCTCCTAAGTGTACAATGCAATGATTTGTAGTAAATGCACAGCGATATTCCAGCATCACCATTATCCAGTTTTAGGATTTTTTTTATCACCCAAAAAAGTTTTGTTATGTAATTCTATTATTATTTAGAGACAGGATCCCATTCTGTTGCCCAGACTGGAGTACAGTGGTGCAATCATCGCTCACTGCAGCCTCGACTTCTTGGGCTCAAGCAGTCCTCCCACCTCAGCCTCCTGAGTAGCTGGGACTACAGGTGTGTACTACCACACCAGGCTAGTTTATTTATTTATTTTTAGATGGAGTCTCACTCTGTTGCCTAAGCTCGAGTGTAGATTGAAATGGCCTGATCTTGGCTCACTGCAACCTCAGCCTCCCAGGTTCAAGCGATTCTCCTGCCTCAGCCTCCTGAGTAGCTGGGATTACCGGGGTGTGCCAACACGCCCGGCTAATTTTTGTATTTTTAATAGACACAGGGTTTCACCATATTGGCCAGGCTGGTCTTGAACTCCTGACCTCAAGTGATCCACCCCCGTTGGCCTCCCAAAGTGTTAGGATTATAGGCGTGAGCCACTGTGCCCGGCCCGAAAGTCATTTTTGTAAAACTCTTAGGAAATGGAAACGTCAAAGGATCAATTTCTTCTGTCCGTGCTGTGTATAGTATCTGTTGTGTAAAGGGCTGGGAGGGCATTAACAGCATCCCAGAAACTGGCGTTGAGGTTCTGAGGGGCAGGAGATTCTGTCATAGGCTGCGTGTCTGGTAGGTGGCCCCCACGTCCAGTTGGGTACATTAGGGGTGCCCCTCATCCCATGTGGACTTGCAGGGTGGTGTGGGGGCTGCCAGCTGGGCAGACCAGACTCAAGCACGCTCACAGCCCAAGGTCCCTTCCACCAGCTAAGACCTGGACAAAACATCTCCAGGTGCCTCTTTTTTCTTTTTCTTCATTTTTTCTATTTAATTCAGCAAATATTTTTTAAACATTTCTATGTTCCAGGCTGTATAGTAGGAGCCAGGCACCTGAAGAGGAGCAAGACATCGTCTGTGCCCTAAAGTCATTCACAATCTGAAAATAGAGTTGACAAGCACACAAACGAAGCCAGAGTGAGCTGCCACAGAGCAGTGTAGGGAATGAGATGGGCAAGTAGGTGTGAGGAGGGGAGGAGGCTTCACAGAACAAGGGACAACCTTGGGGAATCTTTTTTTTTTTTTGAGACGGAGTCTCGCTCTGCCGCCCAGGTTGGAGTGCAGTGGCGCCATCTCAGCTCACTGCAAGCTCCGCCTCCCAGGTTCATGCCATTCTCCTGCCTCAGTCTGCCAAGTAGCTGGGACTACAGGTGTGTGCCACTACGCCCGGCTAATTTTTGTATTTTAGTAGAGAAGGGGTTTCACCATGTTGGTTGGCCAGGATGGTCTCAATCTCTTGACCTCGTGATCTGCCTGCCTCGGCCTCCCAAAGTGCTGGGATTACAGGTGTGAGCCACTGCCCCCAGCCAATCACGGGGAATCTTAAAGGACAAATCCAATTTAACCAGATTGGGGGTGGGGGCAGATTCGCAATTGCAAAAATGTGGAACCAGCCCAAATGCCAATCAATGAGTGGATAAACATCATATATATATGATGGAATACTACTCAGCCATAAAAAGAAATGAATGAATGGCATTCGCAGCCACCTGGATGGGATTGGAGACTATTATTCTAAGTGAAGTGACTCAGGAATGGGAGACCAGACATCACACGTTCTCACTCATAAGTGGGAGCCAAACTGTGAGGATGCAAAGGCATAAGAATGATACAATGGGGCCAGGCGCGGTGGCTCCCACTTGTAATCCTAGCATTTTGGGAAGCTGAGGTGGGTGGATCACCTGAAGTCAGGAGTTTGAGATTGGCCTGGTCAACATGGTGAAACCCCGTGTCTATTAAAAATACAAAAATTAGGCCAGGTGCAGTGGCACATACCTGTAATCCCAGCACTTCGGGAGGCTCAGTTGGGTGGATTGACTGAGCTCAGGAGTTCGAGACCAGTCTGGGAAGCACGGTGAAACCCCATCTCTGCTAAAGCACAAAAAATTAGCCAGGCGTGGCGGTGTGCACCTGTAGTCACAGCTACTCAGGAGGCTGAGGCAGGAGAATTGCTTGAAGCCGGGAGGCGGAGGTTGCAGTGAGCCCAGATCGCACCACTGCACTTCAGCCTGGGGGACAGAGCAAGACTCTGTTTCAAATAAACAAACAAACAAAAAAACCCCCAAAATTAGCCGGGTGTGGTGGCGCGTGCCTGTAATTCCAGCTACTCAGGAGGCTGAGGCACAAGAATTGCTTGAACCCAGCAGGCGGAGGTTGCGGTGAGCCGAGATCGCACCACCACTGCACTCCAGCCTCAAAAAAAAAAAAAAAGTTACAGTGGAATTTGGGAACTCGGGTGGGGAAGAATGGGAAGGAGGTGAGGGATAAAAGACTATAAATTGGTTTCAGTGTATACTGCTCAGGTCCTGGGTGTACCAAAATCTCTCAAATCACCACTCACGTAACCAAATACCACCTATTCCCCAAAAATCTATGGAAATAAAAAATGAGAAAGAAAGAGAATAGGTGAAGACCCAGAAAAAGCAAGGATACTGGTGGGACATTGCCCAAGTCAGTCTTCCTGGCTCTGGTGGGTGAGGGGGCAGAAGCTTAGCCACTGAGAGATGGGAGTGGGGAAGCAGTCATGAAAGGGTGGCTTGAACTCGCCCCAGCTCTCACCAATCCCTTCCCCGCCCTCTCTTGCTCTCTCAGACCTCATTCCAAGCAACAGTTCTGCAGATACTGTTCTCACAACTCCTTCACACTAAAGCTACATGATGGAGAAAGTCTTAACTCATTCCGTTTCCTGTGTATATTTACATCTTAAGAGGAAACACTTTCAACCAGGCATGGTGGCTCATGGCTGTAATCCCAGCAGAGGCAGGAGGATTGCTTGAGCCCAGGAGTTCCAGGCCAGCCTGGGCAACACACCAAGACCCCCGTCTCTTTAAAAAAAAAAAAAAAAAAAAAAGGGCCAGGCATGCTGGTTCATGCCTATAATCTCGGCTCTTTGGGACGCCAAGGCGGGTGGATCACCTGAGGTCAGGAGTTCGAGACCAGCCTGGCCAACATGGGGAAACACTGTCTCTACTAAAAATACAAAAATTAGCCGGGTGTGGTGGCACGTGCCTGTAATCCTAGCTACTCAAGAGGCTGAGGCAGGAGAACCGCTTGAACCCAGGAGGTGGCGGTTGTAGTGATCTGAGATTATGCTACTGCACTCCAGCGTGGGTGACAGAGTCAGATCCTGTCTCAAAAAAAAAAAGGAAAAACTTTAAGAACATGATGACTTAATGGAATTACTTGTTTACAGTAGGATTTTATACCTTGAGCCGGGAGCCGGAAGGAATGCACTTTTGACCAAGGATTGTGGCAGGGGCACATAGAGCCACCGTGGGCTGGGTGCTTCCACCAATGAGGGCCTCTCTCTCGGGGTGTGTATTTGGGGGGCAGGGAAAGAAGGCCTTGATGAAGCCCTGAGGTGGGGTTTGTGCCGGGGGAACCTGCTTTTCCATCCCTCTCTCATTTAACTCCAAGTCCCAAGCCTCCTTTCCTCCCTGTCTTCCTCCCACCCGCTCCAAACAATCTGCCTGTGACTGGTTTTTCTGCTCTCTGTGCTACTTGAACAGGAGGCTGTCAGGAGCTGTTCTGCTCCAACGAGGAGAACCATTGACTCATTTGTGGGTGCTCCTTGTCTTGACCTCGAGTTTTGTTTCAAGCCCTTTGGAGGGTTCCCTCTTTTTTTCTTTTGAGACAAGTTCTCGCACTGTCACCCAGGCTGGGATGCAATGGCATGATCATAGCTCACTGCAGCCTCAATCTCCCAAGTCTCAAGTGATCCTCCTGCCTCAGCCTCCCAAGTAGCTGGGACCACAGGCACGGGTCACCATGCCCAGCTGATTTTTGTGTTTTTTTGTGGAGATGGATTTTTCTCATGTTGCCCAGGCAGGTCTCCGAATCCTGAGCTCAGGCAATCCGCCCACCTCGGTCTCCCAAAGTGCTGGGATTCTAGGCATGAGCCACTGCGCCTGGTCATATGAGAGGGCATTTGAGCAGAGACTGGGGCAAAGTGGAGTGTGAGCCACGTGGATGTCAGGGGAAAAGTATTCAGAAAGATAGGAGAGCCTTGCAAGGGACGTGAACTCCATGTGGGCTGGATGTGTGTGCTGAGTGGATAAATTCCAGGGAGTTTTTGGGCTACAGTTGGGCTGTGGCATGCCACTGAGAAAGTTCTTTTTGTGTTTGTTTGTTTTTGCTTTTTTGAGATGGAGTCTTGCTCTGTCACCCAGGCTGGAGTGCAGTGGCATGATCTTCCCTCACGGCAGTCTCTGCCTCCCAGGTGCAAGCGATTCTCCTGCTTCAGTTTCCCTAGTAGCTGGGAT
Source organism: Homo sapiens (assembly GCF_000001405.40). Lineage (NCBI taxonomy): Eukaryota > Metazoa > Chordata > Mammalia > Primates > Hominidae > Homo > Homo sapiens. The sequence goes on from NC_000016.10 coordinate 5,041,661, forward strand.
TACAGGCGAGAGCCACCACGCATGGCTAATTTTTGTATTTTCAGTAGAGATGGGGTTTCACCATGTTAGCCAGGCTGGTCTTGAACTTCTGACCTCAAGAGATCCGCCCACCTTGAGAACGTTTTTTTTAATTTTCGGTTTCACATCGATCCTTTAAATAGAGGATCAGGCTGTGAACCAGGTCATCAGGACGGGTCATCTGCTTCCCCACGGGTGTGGTTGGGCTGCAGGGACCTTGTTGCTGAGACTAGGAACAGCTCCTTGAGGCAGGTGCTGCATTAGTTTCTGGGGCTGCTGTAGCAAGGTGCCATCAACTGGGAGGCTTAAACCACAGAAATGTATGGTCTCACCGTTCAGGAGTGCTGGGATTATAGGCATGAGCCAAGGATTGCCTTTCCTTGAAAGTGACTCATACGCTCCGCTTTCCTCCACAGTCATTTCACCCTCTCCCTGGTTTGGTAACTGAAGCCTTCTGAAATGAACCAGTGTCAGGCTCCAGTGAGGACTCCATCCCCAATTCAGGAAGCACAGAGGTGGAGCATAATCCCCCCAATTTGTTTATGTGCGGCTGACTTCTCTCAAGATGGTGTGCCTGTTTGGGAAAACTTTTGTTTGCAAGACAATGTGAAAGAAATCCTTAAAGCTCACAGACTGCTGGGTGGATATGACATTCTGGCCCTTGGTTCCCCCAAGAAAACAGCAACTTGCAGATAGCAAGTCAAACTTGTCAGCAGAATCCAGGGATGTTCCTCGAGGCCTGACAAGTTAAGAGCAATCATGGGAAGGCATTCAGAGGACCGCAGCAGAGGATCAGGTCAAGGGAAACCTACCTCCTAAAGGAAAGATCGAGAAGAACCATGCGCCCCACCACCCACCTGGGCTGCTCAGCTGGGCACAGAAGCAGCCAAGGATATTTTCATTCGGATGCTCACATATGACTGAGTTGCCACATGAGGATGATCCGTGGCGATTTTCCACCTTGAGGCAAAGCAGGACAATGCGTGTAAAGAGGTTTGCAGCCCCGGGACCGGGTTTTCAGCTGGTTTTTCTACCCCAAAGTCCAATGCGTGCAGGCTGTCATCAGCACCACAGACAGCACCAGAACCCATCATAATGTCCCAGAAGGTTTTATTGCTAAATTAGTGTCAGAGCTCCAGGGAACACATTCAGATATAGTCACACTGAGTCAGAGCTCGAGGGAAGAGCTGTAAGCTGGGAACCAGAGAACCGATGACAAGGCAGCGGCCTCTTCTGGCAGCTTCCGGAGGAGCCCCCACTTAATGGGACGTCATCACTTGAGGCAGCAGGTAACGTTTACTTGGCACTTAGTATGTTACGGGCACCATTTCCAGTATTCTAGAAACACAATACTCACAGCAGTGGAGGTAACATTGAGGTAGGGGCTGGGTTTTGTTTTTTTTTTGACTCCCACTCTGTTACCCAGGCTGGAGTGCAGTGGTGCAATCATACCTCACTGCAGCCTTGAACTCCTGGGCTCAAGTGATCCTCCCTCCTCAAGTGAGCCTCCCGAGTAGCTGGGACTACAGGTGTTCACTACTGCACCCAGTGAGGGTTGGTGGGGAGGTGTCTCGTTATGTTGCCCAGGCTGGTCTCGAACTTCTGAATCCAAGCGATCCTCCCACCTCAGCCTCCCAAAGTGCTGGGATTATAGGGGCGGGCCACTGTGCCCTTCCAAGGTAGGGGTTATTATTATCGCAATTTTACTGATGAGAAAACTGAGTCCCAGAGAAGTTGGTGACTGCTCAAGGACACAGACAGCTAGGACTTGAATTCAGGCAGCCTGGCCACAGAACCACACCATCAACCGCTATGCTATACTGTGTTTTGTAAAATGACATGATGGCCATGTGATGCAATGTAATGATACAGCAGAGTTTTGTGCTCAGGATGTAAAAATGAGTATGTGCTGCCTTTCAGGGTTATCTGTTGAGTTCTGGCTCATGACCTGAACTATTTTTTCCAAGACCCTTCCTTCTCCCACTGGGAAAGATACTATATTTGGTACCTGAACAAATAGCCTTTAAGATATCAGTTTATGGGTCTTTTTAGAATTTGTGGCTGGGTGCAGTGGCTCATGCCTGTAATCCCAGCACTTTGGGAGGACAAGGCAAGAGGATCACTTGAGGCCGGGAGTTCGAGACCAGCCAAGTCCATGTAGTGAGATCCCATCTCTACAAAAAATTTAAAAGTTAGCTTGGCATGGTGGCATACACCTGTTGTCCCAGCTACTCAGGAGGTGAGATGGGAAGATTGCTTGAGCCCAGGAGTTTGAGGCTGCAGTGAGCCTAGGTGACAGAGCAGGACCTCATCTATTAATTAAAAAAAAAAAAAAAGGAAAAAAGAAAAAAGAATTTGTGTTGAGTGGGATTGGAGAGTTGAAACAGACCAAGAGGTTGTCCAAGGTTGTCCTCAAAGCTGAGAAACAAGACTCAACCCTGGGTCAGTTGCAGTTGAACTTTATTCATCCGTTCACACCTGGGTCCCTCCCGGCCCCCACCTACCCTGGCCTTGCCTACTCAGGGCTTCCAAGATTGGGTGTCGGGGTGGCTTTGCTTATCCTCCAGATGCCTTCTTCCCAGGATGTGATCCGTGCCCTCCAGGATCTAAGGGATGAGGACTAAAGGGGTCTGTTCCTCCTCCAGGCAGCTGGCATGGAACCGTCCGTCTCAGCGGCTGCTTGGTGGTGGCGGTGTGGATGGGTGTGGCTCTCTGTTTGCTGGGGGGTATTCTGCCAGGATGTATAGGAAGCCACCCAGGGCTGCCACTGCTGTGGCTGTGTTGTGGGAGGAGCAGCCATCTAGGGGAGAGAGCCCCCATGAGTGCTGGGTGGCAAGAACCTTGGCCCTTTATTCAACACAGTCTCATTGAAAGTGCTTTTCAGCCAGACGCGGTGGCTCACACCTATAATCCCACACTTTGGGAGCCTGAGGTGGGCGGATCTCTTGAGATCAGGAGTTCGAGACCAGCATGAGCAACATGATGAAACCCTGTCTCTACTAAAAAAATATAAAAATTAGCCAGGTATGGTGGCACGCTCCTGTAGTCCCAGCTACTCGGGAGGATGAGGCAAGAGAATTGCTTGAACCCAGGAGGCAAAGGTTGCAGTGAGCCGAGATTGCGCCACTGTACTCCAGCCTGAGCAACAGAGCGAGAATCTGTCTCAAAAAAAAAAAAAGTGCTTTTCAGATGTCATTCCAGGCAACTTGCAAGACGCTGAGTGGGTGCTTCGGTGCTCCCTTAGGCCCCTTTTGCTGGGCCGGGTGCTCTTCCGCCAGCTGCTAAGGGCTCCCTTCTCTGGGAGGTATGTCCCTCCCAAATAACTTACCAATACAGGGATACAAAAGCCTGGCCACCTTGGCCCAGGGGGATGACTCTGGTGCAATTTATGCTCCAAGGCATTCCCCTCCCACCCCTGCGGGGGGATCTGGCCTGAGGCCGCATCCTGTCCAGCTCCTGCCTGGCTTAGCCTGCTTCCCTGACTTACGTACCTCAATAAACCCACGCACCGGAGTCCTGTCCCAGGTCCTGTGTAAGACCTTCTGAGATGGGGAAACTGAGGCTTGGGTAGCCGAGCTGAGCCCCTGGCCCTGGTGACTCCACAGCTCATTTCCTGACCCCAGTGGCCTTCCTCTTAGTTGCCTCTGGTCTGCCTGGTCCCGTGTGACCTCATGGCTCATGGAGTCAGAGTCTCAGGCCTGAGCACTTGCCTGAGATAATAACCCTTAGGTGTAGTTAGTTCTTTGAGCTCAAAGTGGGCTGCACGCCTCTAGTCTCACAATCTGTCTGCTTGTGGAAGGGAGCCAGGAATTCTTTCCTCCCTACCCAGAGACTTTGGGAAGGGGAGGGGACCCCAGCCAGGTCCGTTGAAGGGAGGGAGAATGCAGATTTCAAGGTGCCGAATGACTAACCCTGGCAGCTCATGCCTCTCAGTGGCCTACTGTATGCCAAATACAATGGGGAGGGCTTTGCACGATGATCAGTTGTTAGCCCCCAACAGTTTGGTGCCCATTTTACAGATGAGGAAAATGAGGCTCAGTGAGGTTGTGTGACTTTCGCAGCAAGTTAGAGGCAGAAGCGGGACTCGAACCCACACAACCTGACCTCAAACCCTGTGCTCCTAATCTCTACACCAGCTGCCTCCTGCTCCGTGGGCTTGTGTCATAAGTGCAAGAATCAGCACACCCCTCCTGGGCAGTTTTCTAGGCTGCTGGTCAACCTGGAGGTGTTCCAGGAAAGGCCTTGGGCTCTGGAATTTCTGTGGCTTCCGCTCCAGTCCCTAGGACAGTCCTCGTGTTGGGCTCTGGGGACGGGCAGCTGACCAGGTAGTACACAGCAGGCCCCTACCACCCTAGCCATAGGCAGCCCCAGCCCCTCTGTGTCATAAAGGCCTAGCTAGGGTAGGACCTCTGGAAGTCTCCTGGGAACTTCTCTCCCTTCTCCTGCGTGACTTTTGGTGGCAGCTACGAAACTGACTCACTGGATTTCTGCTTTCACTCTCTCCTGTCCACCTGTAGGTGGATGATGAGGCCACAGTGGGGTTGATGGAGAGATGTTTAGTTACTGGAATCATATACCCACATATGTTGGACATCCACTCTGTGAGCTGGCTATTCCATATCCCTTCCTGTTTTTGCCTGCACTTATTTATTTTTTATTTTATTTTATTTTATTTTATTATAATTATTTTTGAGACACAGTCTCACTCTGTCACCCAGGCTGGAGTGCAGTGGCACAATCTCAGCTCACTGCAACCTCTGTCTCCTGGGTTCAAGCAGATCTCCTGTCTCAGCCTTCCAGGTAGCGGGATTACAGGCATGCACCACCACGCCTGGCTAATTTTTGCATTTTTAGTAGAGATGGGGTTTCACCATGTTGGCCAGGCTGGTCTCAAACTTCTGACCTCAGGTGTTCCACCCGCCTTAGCCTCCCAAAGTGCTAGGATTACAGGCATGAGCCACTGTGGCTGTCCTATTTATTTTTTATTAATGAAAAATTGAAATCAAAGTCCTCTCTTTCTTCTTGGTTCCTCCCTTCCTGTGTCCCCCTCCTTCCCTTTCTTCTACGTTATTTCTTGACTTTCTTCTACGTTATTTCTTGCCTTTCTTCCCATCCCAATATACTTATATCCTGTTCTCACTTTCTTTACATTGGCCAACTGACCATACAGTTTATTGTCGCAACCAGGACACTTTGGAGGAAAGAGGGCACTATTCATAATGGCTCCAAGACAACAGGTGTAAACTGGGGCAGCTCTGGGAGCACTGGGCTGTGTGGCCACCAAAACTGTTCTGGTCACTTGCCCATTCATTGGCTTTCGGGTCCCTTCTCTGCCTTTCCTTATTCCAAACTCCAGCACACAGACCCCTCCAAACTACATTTCCCAGGATGTCTTGCCTACTGGTTTCGACCAACAGGAGGTGCAGGTGGAATGAGGGGAGAAGCCAGAATATTTCTCCCTTCCTCTCTCTGTCTCCCCCTTGTTCAGCCCCTGCAGGCCCTATTAACACTGCCTCCTCCTGCCATTCTCCAGCTCTAGGGAGGGTAGTGGCTTCCTGCAACAGTAAAATCTCTGGGTTTTTCCACCTTTTCTGTTTTCAGCTCTTACAACACCTCTGAGATGAGTTTCCTCTAGTAAATTCCCTCTGTTGAAGTTCCTGACGCAGGTTCTATTTTCCTGACCAGACCTTGACTTAGAAGGGTTACTGTTGCTATTTTTAACAACTGAAACTTCTCTTTTATGCTCCTTTAACAAAAGACAGTATCTCTTGGACTCCCCACTTTCTTTCTTTCTTTTTTTTTTTTTTGAGACAGGGTCTTGCTCTGTCACCTGGGCTGGAGTGCAGTGGTGCGATCTCAGCTCACTGAAGCCTCCACCTCCTGGGTTCAAGTAAATCTCATGCCTCAGACTCCCGAGTAACTGGGACTACAGGCGTGTGCCACCATGCCCAGCTAAGTTTTGTATTTTTAGTAGAGACAGGGTTTTGTTATGTTGCCCAGGCTATCTCCCCACTTTCTAAGAGGAGGCCATCAGGGACCCCCAGCCTCCCTTCCACCTCTCAACATGAAGGCCCTCTGATTAGTGCCCCTTTGGTGATGCCAAGTGCTTTTCTTCCATAGCAGAGAATAAACACAGGCCTCTGTTTTGCTAGGATATCTTAGTTTCATGTCAAGAAACTCCCTTGGGTATTTTCATTACCTGGAAATTGTTTTTCTCGCCTCTTCACTCTCCTCGAAAAATGCTGCTGATATTGAATAGCTTTAGATAATTCTTCATCTTCAGCATCTGGGAGAAGAGCAAAAGTTGAACTTCTCAAGAGAGATTTTTATTTTTTACATTTTTATTTCTTTTTACTGCTTTTATTGTAGAGACAGGGTCTCATTCTATTGGCCAGGCTGGGTGCAGTAACGCAATCATAGCTCACCACAACCTCGAACTCCCAAGCTCACAGAATCCTTCCTGCCTCAGCCTACCAAGTAGCTCGGACTACAGGCATGGACTACCATGTCCAGCTATTTAAAAAAAATTTTTTTTTGGTAGAGATGGGGTCTTGCTATGTTGCCCAGGCTGGACTTGAACTCCTGAGCTCAAGTGACCCTCCAGCCTTGGCCTCCCAAAGTACTGGATTATATGTGTGAGCCCCTGCAGCTGGTCTCAAGCTGAATTTTTAAATGTTACTCACTAAACCTCCTGCCCCCATAACATTTCAAGGAAGTTAGGTCTTCTCTTGAAACTTGAGGCTATTCCGGAAGTTTCCTCCTGCACCTGTCTGCAGATCCTTTTGCATGGCCTAAACTTGTCATCTACTGATGGTTTTCCAAACTGTGGCTCCCCAAACACCCACCATCAGAACCACTGGAGGTGCCTGTTAAAAATGGAAGTCCCTCCAAGATAAGCAAAAAACTGAGGGATTTCATTACCACTAGACTGGCCTTACAAGAAGTGCTCAAGGGAATCCTACATCTGAAAAGAAAAAGACAATAATAACTATCATGAAAACATGAAAAAGTATAAAAGTTACTGGTAGAGGAGAAATAGAAAGAAGAAAGAGAAAAGAAGCAAAACTATCACTAGAGAAAAGCCCAAACAGCAGTGATAACAATAAGAAAGGAAGAAAAAAAAATCAAAGGATATAGAAGATAACCAGAAAACAATTAATGAAATGACAGGAGTAAGTCCTCACAAGCCAATAATAACCTTGAATGCAAATTGATTCAGTCCCCCACTTAAAAGATATATAGAGTGGCTGAATGAATGAAAAAAAACGACCCAACTATATGCTGCCTACAAGAATCTCACTTCACTGGTAAAGACACATATGGAATGAAAGTGAAAGAGTGAGAAAAGATCTTCCACATAAATGGAAACCAGAAGGAAGAAGGAGTAGCTATACTTAGATAAAACAGACTTTAAGTCAAAAACTGTAAAAAGAGACAAAGAAGGTCATTATATAATGATAAGGAATTTAGCAAGAGGACATAACAATTCAAAAAATATATGTATTAAACACTGGAGAACCCTAAAGCAAATGTTATTAGATATAAAGGGAGAGATAGACTCCAATACAATAATAGCTGAAGACATCAACACCTTGCTCTCAGCATTGGACAGATCATCTAGACAGAAACTCAACAAAGAAACACTGAATTTAAACTGCACTTAAGACCAAATGAATCTAACAGACATTTACAGAACATTTCATCTAACTGCTGCAGAATATATATTCTTCTCATCAGCACATGGAACAGTCTCCAAAATAGACCATATGTTAGGCCAAAAAACAAGTCTCAGCAAATTTAAAAGAATTTAAATCATAGCAAGTATCTTCTTGACCACAATGGAATAAAACTAGAAATCAATAACAAGAGGAACTTTCAAAATTGTACAAATACAGGGAAATTAAACAACATGTTCCTGAATGACCAATGAGCAAATGAAGAAATTAAGATGAACATTTAAAAATTTCTTAACACAAGTGAAAATAGAAACACAATATGCCAAAACCTATGGGATATAGCAAAACCAGTATTAAGAGGGAAATTTACATCAATAAATACCTACATCAAAAAAGCAGAAAGATTTCAAATAACGAACTAATGATACATCCCAAGGAACTAGAAAAGCAAGACCAAATCAAGCCCCAAATTAGTAGAAGGAAAGAAATTGTAAAGATCAGAGCAGAAATAAATAAGAGACTAAAGAAACAATAGGAAAGATCAATGAAACAAAAAGTTGGTTTTTAAAAAAGATCAACAGATAAATTATTAACTAGACTAAGAAAAAAAGAGAAAAGACTCAAGTAAATGAAATCAGAAAGAAAAAGGAACTTTTACAGCTGATACCACTGAAATACAAAGGATCATTAGAGACTATTATAAACAACAAATTAGAAAACCTAGTGGAGTGTGCTGGGTGTGGTGGCTCATGCCTGTAATCCCAGCACTTTGGGAGGCCAAGGTGGGCAGATCACTTGAGGTCAGGAGTTCGAGACCAGCCTGGTCAATATGATGAAACTCAGTCTTTACTAAAAATACAAAAATTAGCCAGGCATGGTGGCGGGCGCCTGTAATTCCAGCTACTTGGGAGGCTGAGGCAGGAGAATCACTTGAACCCGGGAGGTGGAGGTTGCAGTGAGCTGAGATTGCGCCACTGCACTCCAGCTTGGGTGACAGAGCAAGACTCTGTCTCCAAAAAAAAAAAGAAAACCTAGTGGAAATGGATAAATTGCTGGACACATACGACATACTGAAATTGAACCAAGAAGAAATAGAAAACCTGAACAGACCAATTATGAGTAATGAGATTGAATGTGTAATAAAAAGTCTCCCCAAAACAAAAAGCCCAGGACCTGACAGCTTCACTGCTGAATTTTACCAAATATTTAAAGAACAAATACCAATTCTTTTCAGTCTCGTCCAGAAAATTGAAGAGGAGGAAAATTTTCCCAACTCATTCTACAAGTTCAGCATTACCCCAATACTAAAACCAGCCAAGGACAAAGCAACAACAAAAAAACTATAGGCCGATTTCCCTGATGAACCTAGATGCAAAAATCCTTAACAAAATACTAGCAAACCAAACCCAGCAACACATTAAAAACCATTCATGGCTTTCCTACTTTGACCACTTCCAGTAAGTAATGAATGTTTTGCATTTTAAAAAAAATCATTCATCATGAACAAGGGGACTTTATTGGAGGGATGCAAGGATGGTTCAACATATGCAAATCAATAAATATGATACATTACACCAATAGAATGAAAGACAAAAATCATATAATCATCTTAATAGATGCAGGAAAATGCATGTGATGAAATTTAACATCCCTTCATGATAAATCTCTCAATACGTTAGGTATAGAAGGAATGTGCCTCAATATAATAAAGGTCATATATGACAGACCCACAGCCAACATTACACTGAGTGAGGAAAAGTTGAAAGCTTTTCCTGTAAGAACTGGAACAACACAAGAGTGCCTAATTTCACCATTTTTATTTGACATAATACTAGAAGTCTTAGCCAGAGCAATTAAGCAAGAGAAACAAAAAAGGGCATCCAAATGAAAAAGGAGGAAGTCAAATTGTACCTGTTTGCAGATGACATGATCTGATAGACAGGAAACCCTAAAAGCTCCACCAAAAAAACTCTTAGAACTGATAAATGAATTCAACAAAGTTGCAGAATACAGAATAAACATACAAAAAATCAGTAGCATTTCATACACCTACAATGAACTAGCAGAAAAAGAAATCAAGAATGTAATCCTATTTATAAGAGCTAAAACCAAAATACCCAGGAATAAATTTAACCAAGGAGGTGAAAGATCTCTACAAGGAAAACTGTAAAAGACACTGATGAAAGAAATTGAAGAGAACACACAAAAAATGAAAAGACATCCCATGTTTATGGATTGGAAGAATTAATATTGTGAAAAATATCCATGCTACCGAAGTGATCTACAGATTGAATCAAAATACCAATGACATTCTTCACAGAAATAGAAAAAAAAATCCTAAAATTTGTATAGACCCACCAAAGACCCCAAATAGTGAAGCAATCCTAAGGAAAAAGAACAAAGCTGGAAGCATCACATTACTGGACTTCAAAATATGCTTCAAGGCTATAGGAAACAAAATATGGCCAGGTGCGGTGGCTGACGCCTATAATCCCAGGACTTTGGGAGGTCGAGGTAGGCAGATCACTTGAGGCCAGGGGCTCAAGACCAGCTTGGCCAACATGTAGAAACCCTGTCTCTACTGAAAATACAAATATTAGCCGGGCATGATGGTGGTGGGTGGCTGTAATCCCAGCTACTCGGGAGGCTGAGGCAGGAGAATCGCTTGAACCCGAGAGGTGGAGGTTGCAGTGAGCAAGACTGTGCTACGGCACACCATCCTGGGTGACAGAACGAGACTGTCTCAAAAAAAAAAAAAAAAAAAAAGAAGGAAAAAGAAAAGAAAAAAGGCAAATGAGCTGCATAGACATCTCTCAAAAGAAGGCATACAAATGGCCAACAGGTCTATGAAAAACGCTCACTATCCCTAATCATCAGAGAAACGCAAATCAAACCACAATGAGATAGCATCTCACACCTGTTAAAATGGCTACTATCAAAAAGACAAAAAATGGCCAAGCGCAGTGGCTCACGCCTCTAATCTCAGCACTTTAGGAGGCCGTGGCTGGTGGATCACTTTGAGCTCAGGAATTCTGGATCAGCTTGGGCAACATGGCGAAACTCTGTCTCTACAAAAAATACAAAAATTAGCCGGGTGTTGGTGGCTCCCACCTGTAGTCTCAGCTACTCAGGAAGCTGAGGCTGGAGAATCTCTTGAACCCAGGAGGCAGAGGTTGCAGTGAGCCGAGATCGCACCACTGCACTCCAGCCTGGGTGACAGAGTGAGACCCTGTCTAAAAAGAAAGAAAGAAAAAAAAAAAAGACAACAGATAACAAATGCTGGCAAAGATGAAGAGAAAGGGGAACTCTTACACACAGTTGATGGGAATGTAAATTAGTACAGACATTATGGAAAGCAGTATGGAGATTTGTCAAAAAGCTAAAAATAGGACTATCATATGATCCAGCAATCCCACTACTGGATATTTATCCAAAGGAAAGGAAATTGGTATGTTGAAGAGACATCTGCACCCCCATGTTTATTGCAGCGCTATTCACAGTAGCCAAGATACAGCAACCTGAGTTTCTATCAGCAGATGAATGGACAGAGAAAATGTGGTACACAGACCCAATGAAGTACTATTTCACCATAAAAATAACCAAATTCTTTCATTCATAGCAACATCGATGAACTTGGAGGACATTATACTAATTGAAGTAAGCCAGGCATGGAAAGATAAATGTTGCATGTCCTTCCTCGTATGTGGAAGCTAAAAAAGTTGATCTCATAGAAGTGCAGTGTTGAGGCAGGGTGCCTGTAATCCCAGCACTTTGGGAGGCCGAGGTGGGTGGATCACTTGAGGTCAGGAGTTCGTGACCAGCATGGCCAACATGGTGAAACCCCCTCTCTACTAAAAATACAAAAATTAGCTGGGCGTGGTGGCATGCACCTGTAGTCCCAGCTACTCGGGAGGCTGAGGCAGGAGAATCGCTTGTACCTGGGAGGCGGAGGTTGCATTGAGCCAAGATAGTGCCACTGCACTCCTGCCTGGGTGACAGAGCGAGACTCCATCTCTAAAAAAAAAGAAGTGGAGTGTTGAATAGTGGTTACTAGAGGTGGGGAGGGGGATGGGGGAGAGGAGATAACCAGAGGTTGGTTAGGGGATGCACTAGTACAGCCAGGAGGAGGAATAAGTGGTACCGTTCCATAGCACTATAGGGTGATTGCAAATAACAACAATTTGTGGTTTTTTTTTTTTTTTTAAAGACAGTGTCTCGCTTTGTCACCCAGGCTGAAGTGCAGTGGTGCAGTCATGGCTCACTGCAGCCTCGGCCTCCTGCTGGGCTCAAGTGATTCTCCCACCTCATTCTCCCAAGTAGCCGGGACCATAGGTGTGCGCCACCACACCCGGCTAATGTTTTTGATATTTTTGGTATAGATGGAGTTTTGCCATGTTGGCCAGGCCGGTTTCTAATTCCTGAGCTCAAGCCATCTGCCTGCCTTGGCCTCCCAAAGTGGTGGGATTATAAGGCGTAGCCTATTGTGTATTTTCAAATAGCTAGAAGAGCGAATTTGGAATGTTCCCAACACAAAGAAATGACAGATGTTTGAGGTGATGCGTCTGCTCATTACATATTGTATACATGTATGGAAATATCACACTGTACCCTATAAATATGTACAATTATTACATGTCTATTGAGAATAATAATAAAGCCAAAAATGCAAGTTCCACAGCCCCATCCCCAACCCGCCGAAGCTATACATCTGGAGGCCTAAGAATCTTCATCGTATAAACTCTTTTAAAAACGCACCATCTTATTTCAAAAGCTTTTGCTTCGTGGAGCATCCCAAGCTTCTAATGAGGACACTAGCATTTCCTGGGAGCTGCCGTGTACCTGGCACAGGCTATGCGGCTTCAAATGTATTACGTTGACTCTCCTTGCAGCTCAGGAAGGTGGGGATTACTATGCTCATTTATTTTCAGACAGGGAAATTGAGGCTGAGAGGGGTGAAGCGACTTATTGCAAAGGGACCAGCTGTCCATTGTCACATGGCTGGGAAGTGGCTGAGTCCTCTGCCTCTCCACCCTCTGCTACGTCACCTCCTCCCATGTAGTTGTTCCCAGTCACCCACCTGGAGAGCCTTTCCTGGACTTCTCTTCTTCCTCACCCTGTCGTCTCCTTTATAGCTCTTATCAGAATGTGCAATTATTTCACTTCTTGGTTTGTTTAGGTGATTTATGTTTCTTTTCCTCAGGCCTCTAGTTTTCCCTAGAGCCTAGATGGTGTCTGGTACATTAGTGGGTGCTCAATACGTACTTGCTGAATGAATGCTGATGTGGTTTGGCTGTGTCCCCACCCAAGTCTCATCTTGAATTGTAGCTCCCATAATTTCCATGTGCTGTGGGAGGGACCTGGTGGGAGGTAATTGAATCATGGGGGCCGTTTCCCCCATACCGTTCTCACGGTAATGAATAAGTCTCACAGATCTGATGGTTTTATAAGGGGTTTCCCTTTGTGCTTGCTTCTCATTCTCTCTTGTCTGCCACTATGTGAGACGTCCCTTTCGCCTTCCACTATGATTGTGAGGCCTCCCCAGCAGTGTGCAACTGTGAGTCCATTAAACCTCTTTTTCTTTATAAATCACCCAGTCTTGGGTTTGTCTTTATCATCAGCATAAAAACAGTACAATACAAATGGGCTTGTTAATGCAGCTGTAGGGGCCAACACCTTCCAATAAGACGGCCTCCTGTCTTGCCACATTTTGGCTTCCAAGGCTCCGAGCCCGTTTCTCCTTGTGTGTACACGTCTGTGTGTGTGCACCTGTAGGTTACAAATCCCTTGGCAACCTTAACACCAATGCATTGTTCCCACACCTGGCCTAGAAACTCAGAGCCACCCCCACCCCCACTGCCCCCCTTCTTAGCCAGGGCAGCAGCGCAGCTCACCAGGCTCCCCGAAGCATCCTTCCTGCTGTTTCTGCCAGCTGAGAATGGCCTCCAGCCACCGGAGCTTGTAGAAGTCGGAGAAGCCGCCCATTCCACAGAACATGACTGGAAGTAAAGACGGGGGCCCTCTGCAGGCCTGCCCCCCAGGCCCACCTCCTCCCACTCCCCAGGGCTGCCACGGTGCCACCTGCCTTCATCTGCCTGGGTTAGGCTTAGGAGGTGGGCGTTCAATGCAGAGGAGGGAAGGAGGCAGCTTGAGCCTTTGCCTGACCAACTAGGGGCTCCCATGCTTGTGTCCCGCCTCCCACTGAGGGCCTTGGTCAGGGCTGCTCCAAAGTCAGGATCAGTGGAGGAGTTTGGACACCCCAGCCAGCTAGCAGCCTCCCAAGCGCTCCCTGTCTGCCTCATCCATAAGGCTTTGTGGGTCTGTCTGCCAGTCACCTGGTCCATCTGTGTAGAGCTCCGTCACTGGGGCAGCCTTTGGGGGCAGGAAACTGTCACACAGTGGCAGGTAAAATACAGGATGCCCAGTTACATTTGAGTTTTCGATAAACAATGAATATAATTTTTGAGTGTAAGTATATCCCATGAAATAGTTGGGATAAACTTATACTAAAAATGGATTCATTGCTTATCTGAAGTTCAAATTTAACTGAGCACTCTGTATTTTTACTTGCTTAATCTGGCAACTCCGTGTGTGTGTGTGTGTGTGTGTGTGTGTGTGTGTGTGTGTGTGTGTGTGTGTGTGTGTGTGTTGGTGGGGGGACACCCTGTTCCTTTGCCCCGGGGGCAGAATGCTGGCCATACTGTTTTCCATGAAGATGTCCCGGGTAGGGTAGGCGTATCCGATGGCCTCAGCTCTGCGGTTCAAGTCCATCATGTTGGCGCAGAAGAGGTTGATATAGTCCTGGCTCTGTTGGAGTGGTCCCTGTGTGCACCCCCTCTGGGGAGACAAACACCCAAAGACAAGGGAGTCAGTGGTACAGATGACAGACACACGCCCTGCTATGGGAAAGTCTTGCAGTTCTGAGACGGTCTTGCAAGGGGCTGTGTTTAGGGCTGTGTTTAGGGCAGGTCTTTTTCTCCTTTTCGCAGGATTTCTTCCCCATGCACACCCCCAGCCTGCTGGGTTCGAGATCCAGCTCTGCCACTTAGGAGCAAACCACTTGGTTTGCTAAAGTAACCTTTCTGAGCCTCAAGAGTTTTTATCAGGAAAGGGCGAGGCCTCTAGAAACGGCACCAGAGGGGCTCTCGTAGGGGGATGACACAGCTGGGAAGTGCCCAATGTGATGCCTGGGCCACTAGGAGGTGCTCTGTGACCGATCGCGGGGGCAATGCAATGTACAACGAGCCTGAACCCGCGGGCAGCTTCAGTGCTACTCAAAGTGTGGGCCAAGAACCGGGCTGGTGACTCCCCACACTGGGAGAGAAGAACAAGAGTTGACAGCAGGCTTTAGACACTTCTGTAGCAGTGGTCAGAGTTACTTTCCACCTGCTGAATCTAATGATCAAAATAATTCCCTTGTAATATGGTTTTTATTGTATTTATAAAAATATTGGGCTGTCACAGCTTGCAGAGAAATAATAATTTTTAAATTCTGTTGAACAAAAACAGAGAGTGTCTCCTCAGCTAAGGATTTCTGGACACTGAATCACATTGTTTTTTGAATGAAGATAATGAACCCTACCTTTCTGTATGAAGAAATATATATGGCCAGGCACAGTGGCTCATGCCTCTAACCCCAGCACTTTGGGAGGCCGAGGCGGGTGGATCACGAGGTCCGGAATTCAAGACCAGCCTGGCCAACATGGTGAAACCCCATCTCTACTAAAAATACAAAAATTAGCTGGGCATAGTGGGACGTGCCTGTAATCCCAGCTACTTGGGAGGCTGAGGCAGAGAATTGCTTAAATCCGGGAGGCAGAGGTTGCAGTGAGCTGAGATCGTGCCACTGCACTCCAGCCTGGGCAACAGAGTGAGACTCCATCTCAAAAAAAAAAAAAGAAGGAAAAGAAATATACATATATATATGTATATATATATGTGTATATATATATATAGTGGTATATATATACATAGTGGTGTATATATATAGTGGTATATATAGTGATTATATATATCGTGATATATATATAGTGGTATATATATAGTGGTATATATATAGTGGCATATATATATAGTGTGTATGGTAGTATATATATAAAGAAAAGAAATATATATACTGGTGTGTGTGTATATATATATATATGCCACCATATATATATTTTTCTTTTTCTATTTTTTTATATGTATATATATAGAGAGCGGCATATATATATATAGTGGCATATATAATGTAGTAGCATGATCTCAGCTCACTACAGCCTCTGCCTCTCTGGTTCAAGCGATTCTCCTGCCTCAGCCTCCCGAGTAGCTGGAATTACAGGTGCATGCCACTATGCCCGACTAATTTTTGTATTTTTAGTAGAGACGGGATTTTACCATGTTGGCCAGGCTGGTCTCGAACTCCTGATCTCAAGTGATCCACCCACCTCAGCCTCCCAAAGTGCTGGGATTACAGGTGTGAGCCACCGTGCCCGGCCTCATTCATTTGTTTTTGTTTACAGAGTTCTTTCTGATGATTCTCTTTTATTCTCTCTTTCTCTCTCTCGTTGTGTTTTTCTGATGCCCTACAGTCCAGTTCAGCAGGCAAAGCTATCTGTTTCACTGGCCTAACAGAATCCCAAATGCCAGATCCCAAATCGGCTCAATTACACAGCAGGAGTATGATAGGGGCCCTACTTCTCCCTCCTGAGGTCCCAAGTAGAAATCCAAAGCTCTGCTTATTTTCCTGGTGTGTAGCAGACAGAACTACACTGCCATGAGCCCTTTTTCATTTATTTCTTTTTTCTTTTTTTTTGAGGCAGAGTCTTAGTCCATTGCCTGGGCTGGAGTGCAGTGGCGCAATCTTACTCACTGCAACCTCCGCCTCCCGGGTTCCAGTGATTCTCCTGCCTCAGCCTCCTCTTGTAGCTGGGATTACAGGTGCACGCCACCACGTCCAGCTAATTTTTTTTTTGTATTTTTAGTAGAGAATGGGTTTCACCATGTTGGCCCAGCTGGTTTTGAACTCCTGGCCTCAAGTGATCTGCCTGCCTTGGCCTCCCAAAGTGCTTGGATTACAGGCATGAGCCACCACGTCCGGCTGCCCCTTTTCCTTTTTCCTTCCCCTTCCCCTGGCACGGCGGGGGCTCCCTGGGCACTCACCATTCTGGCCCAGAGGAAGAAGAGCAGTTGGTGGGACAGGCAGTAGCCTGAGCAGCCGGGCTTGGTCATGAGGCTCCTGCAGAGGTCTGAGAGGCCGCAGGGCTCGCTGCTGTCCGTCCTGGGGGAAAGTGGTTCCAAGCTGTTAAGGATGGAGCGCTGACTCTGCCCTGCGTCTTCCCAGCCCCCTAGTTGTAGTTGTTGGAACTCCCAGTAGATTCCAGACACCCAGCTGGGCATGGGGGTTGACAGAGACAATACAGCAGTCCTGCATTTTGATTTGCTAAATCTGGCTGCCCTAGCCCAGGAAAGATGACGCTAGAGCTATTCTGGGGTTGAGGAAGCCACCAAGGCTGAAACTTCCTATTGCTCCATGGGCCAAATCACATCTTTTCCAGCCCCGAACAGTGGGTACTTGAACCCAGACCACTTGGAATCTGGGCCCAACATGCTTATTCCTCCTGCACCAGCCAGGCGCGGTGGCTTACACCTATAATTCTAGCACTTTGGGAGGCTGAGGCAGGCAAGTCACCTGAGGTCAGGAGTTCGAGACCAGCCTGGCCAACATGGTGAAACCCTGTCTCTACAAAAAATACAAAAATTAGCTGGGTGTGGTGGCACGTGCCTGTAATCCCAGCTACTCGGGAGGCTGAGGCAGGAGAATCACTTGAGAATCACTTGAATCCGGGAGGCAGAGGTTGCAGTGAGTTGAGATCGCATCACTGCACTCCAGCCTGGGAGACAGAGCGAGACTCCATCTCAAAATAAATAAATAAAAATAAAATAAAATAAAGTAAAAATAAAAAATACACACACAAATACAAAAATTAGCCGGGCATGGTGGCGCACATCTGTAATCCCAGCTACTCAGGAGGCTGAGGCATGAGAATCACTTGAACCTGGTAGGAGGAGCTTGCAGTGAGCCGAGAAAGAACACACCACTGCACTCCAGCCTGGGGGACAGTGAGCCTCTGTCTCAAAAAAATAAAAATAAATAAAAATTTTTAAAAAGCAGAGGTCCTTGGCTGGGGCCCAGCCCCTCCGTGAATCCAGCTGTGTCCTGGCCTAAGCACTGCTCTGAAGGATGCTGACAGGATGCGGCCTGGGCACCGGCTGCCCACTTTGCCCATGGGCCCTGCACCTAGGGCTGCCCTGGGGCCTTGTTCCAAGCCCACCAAACACCAGGATAAAATGAGGAGCCCAGCTAGGCTCAGTCCTGTCTTCCTGGAGCTGCATCCTCACTGGGGATGGGGACAGGCTCATAATACAAATGTAAATTGCATCTGTGGCTATAAGAGGTGCCAGGAGAGGCCCTCACAGGAGGTCTGCTATGTGCTGGGGTCAGAGATAGGATGGGGTTGGAGGTAGGATGCTGGCGCCAGCCCTGGAGGATGGGCAGACTTCCTGAGGCCCAGGGGGTGGAGTGGGTGGGGTGGGGGGAGCAAAGTCTTTGAAGTGGGAGGAAGCCTTGGAGAGTCTGAAAAGAGGCCTCTAGGGGCCTGGAGACTTGGAACTGCGGAGAGGAATTGGGGATTTGTCCTGGGGCCTGGAGGTGGTGTGTTCAGCCATGGCTGCTGGAAGGCCTGCTGTGGCATGGGAGGCCAGCGGGCGGCTGGAGCAAGGGGGACCCTGCTGGAGTAGGAGAGGGCAGTACCCGGCAGCTACAGGGAGCTGCACCTGTGTCTGCACAAACCCCTGGCTTCAGCCCTAGGGCTTGGAGAAGGAGGAGCGGGACAGGACCAGCTGAGAACTAGTGCGTTTGGGTTTCCAGCAAATAGGGCAAGTGCAGGGCCCACCCGGTTCCCAGCAGCTGCACCAGGCACACGTCACTTCTCTCCTCTGAGAATGAGTCCTGGGGCCCGAACGTGGGGTACACCAAGGAGGCATCAGTGTGGATCCAGGCATGTGGGAGCTTCCAAAACCCGGGCTGGAGGGTCAGCTGGAACTCTGGCAGAGAGGACAGATAGATGGGGTGGGGTGTGGGGGTGACCCAGGAGCAGTGGGCCACCCTGGTGTCCCCACCTCCTCCTGCAGCCCTGCCCACTGGCAGGTGCAGCTCAGGGCTCTAAGCCCTGTCCCCTGGTCCCAGATTGGGTTTGAAACACTCAAGAAAGCTCCTTTTGCTTATAAAACCATTTTTTCCCCTAATCAATAGGAACAGTGATGGGACGGGATTTGACTAAACCCACTGCATCCCATGGAAACCCCAGATAAATAAAAGGTTTAGTTTCCCAGGTGCAGGGCTCACGCCTGTCATCCCAGCACTTGGGGAGGCTAAGGAAGGAAGATCGCTTGAGGCCCAACGTTCAAGACCAGCCTAGGCAACATAGCAAGACTCTGTCTCCACAAAAATAAAAAAAGTAGCCAGGTGTGGTGGTGTGCACCTGTAGTCCCAGCTGAGGCAGGAAGGTTGCTTGAGTCTAGAAGTTGGAGAATGCAGTGAGCTATGATCAGCCTTTTTTTTTTTTTTTTTTTTTTTTAAGAGGCAGGGCCAAGAGCGGTGGCTCACGCCTATAATCCCAGCACTTTCGGAAGCCAAGGCGGGCGAATCACTTGAGGTCAGGAGTTCAAGACCAGTCTGGCTAACACAGTGAAATCCCATCTCTACTAAAAATACAAAAAATTAGCTGGGTGTGGTGGCAGGTGCCTGTAGTCCCAGCTACTCAGGAGGCTGAGGCAGGAGAATAGCATGAACCCGGGAGACAGAGCTTGCAGTGAGCCGAGATTGCACCACTGCACTCCAGCCTGGGTGACAGAGCAAGACTCCATCTCAAGAAAAAAAAAAAAAAAAAAAAGCCGGGCGTGGTGGCGCATGCCTGTAGTCCCAGCTACTTGAGAGAGGCTAAAGCAGGAAAATCACTTGAACCCAGGTTGCAGAGGTTGCAGTGAGCTGAGATCGCACCACTGCACTCCAGCCTGGGCGACAGGGTGAGACTCTGTCTCAAAAAAAAAAAAAAAAAAAAAAAAAAAGAGAGACAGAGTGAGACACTGTCTCAAAAAAAAAAAAAAAAAAAACCCCCCCAAAAAAAAAAACAAGTGGGGAGGTGGAATTAGTGGGGAGGTGATATTGGTAGACCTTTTGGTTTGGTGAGAACGTGGAGCTCTTAACTAAACAGATGCCCAGTCATAGATATCTTTAAGATGACATAGGTGGGGACAGTGTTAGGGACCAGGCCTGGGAGAGGGTGGGGGACCTTAAAATTGGAAAGGTCAGCATGGGCTATGGTCCCTGCGGCTGGACTGCCGTGTGAGCATGAAGCGTGGCCTGGCTACCTCCCCGCTCACCCCCATGCATCTGATGGGAGTGGGGAGCAGAGGGGACAGGGTTGGAGCAGCATGATGGACTGGTTATTTGTGCCCCGCCCTTGCCATCCAGGAACAACTCAGCCAAACTTATTAGATGGGACCTTTTGCAGGGTCACTCGGGGCTGGTGAGGAGAGAGAGACTCTCAGTGGTCATAAGGCATGAGAAAGATAAACCCCACTGTTTTGAAAAATAGTGTGTGGACAACTTCGGGAATTTCTACTGACATTTAATGAAGTGGATTAAAATAATTTGGTGACATGGGACACTACTGTTTGCTGTGCAAAGGGTTGAATTGCCTTTTGGATACTCTCCCCTCTGGGACAGCCCAGCCTCTCCGCTCTAGTCTAGGACCAGGACCTCCAGCTTGTGCGTGCGCTGAATGCTTGAGAGAAGACACCCTGCTTCCTCTGCACACCTCTGTGTGGGTAGGAGAGCCCGTCAGAGTCTGAAGTCAAGGATGACCGCACGTCCCCAGGGCTCGTCTGTGGCTTGCTCAGCAGACAGGTCCAAGTTGGTTACGGACTGTCCCAGCCCAGCCTTGCCCCAGGAGAGCCCACGCTGGGTTATTTCAGTCAATATCCCCATAGGCGCTATTCCTGAGGGAATGGGACACCCTGCGTGTGCTCACCTCTTAGGTACTTGGGATCACTCAGCTTGAGGTAGTGGAGGGATCTCTGGATGGCAGCCTCCAGCTTCTCCCCCAGCATCCCCACGCGCAGGCTCAGCGGCTGCAGCAGGGGCTCCTGGGCCCACTTCTCCCGGACACTTTTTAGCTGCTCTGGAAGGGAACAGAGTTAATTCATTCAACTATTTGGAATCGGGACCTTTTTTTGCCTTGGAACAAGAAAAAAAAATGCCCCAAAGTCTAATGCTTCCTGGGAGCCTCTCTGCCTTCTCCAGCACTCAGAGGGGAAGGATTTACTGAGCTGACTGGAAATGAGGCCAGGATGGGGGTGATCTGGGCAATGAGAATGGGTGTCAGAGTAGTAGAAGGTGGTGGCTGAGAGCTTGGTTTCTGGAGGCGGGCCTGGGTTCAAATCTTTGATACTTGAGGTTCAAATCCTCAAATCCTTGACTCATATACTTTCTTGTTGGATGGCCAGAGAAAGGTTGCAGGGTAGAGAACCACTGTGTACAGTTGAGCAGGTTGTACACTGCACAAGGGCAACACACATTTGGATCATGGGTTTGTATATGCAGTAAGACAATTTCCCAGCAGATGGCTGTCAAGTGACTTCAGGAAGGAAGTGCCTTTTTCTAATTCCCACAGAGGTACCCTGTGGGCTAGCAGTGGCTTTGTTGAGGTGGGAGACAATGGTGAAGATCCAGAGGTGGCCAGAAATTGGGGAGACATGAGTGAGAACATCCGAGTGAGAGCATTCACGCAGGGCTGAGAGGGCGAGGGATGAAGTGGGGCAGCTGCAGTCAGGTAGGAACCTTGTTAGGGAGGATGGGCTAGGTTAAGAAGGATGCTGAGGTAGTCCTCCAGGGCGACCGGCTCTGGCACGCCCCCTCTGCTCAGCCCCCTCCATGGGCAAACCCGCAGGGAAGAAGTAAAGGCTTGGGAGTGCTGACAGGGAGGGGCTCCCTGTGTGTCAGAGTGTCTCCTCCTGTGATTGCACCGGGTCTACAAAGTCCAATAGGACAGGGGTCCCCAACCTCCAGTCCATTACTGGTCTATGGCCTGTTAGGAATGGGGCCGCACAGCAGGAGGTGAGTGGTGGGTGAGCGAGCTAAGCTGCATCTGTAATTTACAGCCACTCCCCATCATTCGCTGTCACTACCGCCTGAGCTCCGCCTGCTGTCAGATCAGTGGCTGCATTCGATTCTCACAGGAGTGTGAACCCTGTTGTGAATTGCACATACGAGGGATCTAGGCTGCACACACCTTATGAGGATCTAATGCCCGATGATCTGAGACCGTCTCCTATCACCCCCAGACGGGATTATCTACTTGCAGGAAAACAGTCTCAGGGCTTCAACTGATTCTACATTGTGGCGAGTTGTATAATTATATATTATAACATAATAACAATAAACAGAAAGTGGGCTGGGCACGGTGGCTCACGCCTGTAATCCCAGCACTTTGCGAGGCCGAGGCAGGTGGATTACTTAAGTCCAGGAGTTCAAGACCAGCATGGCCAACATGGTAAAACCTCATCTCTACCAAAAATACAAAAATTAGCCGGGCGTGGTGGTGGGTACCTGTAGTCCCAGCTATTTGGGAGGCTGAGCAGGAGAATCGCTTGAACCTGGAGGTGGAGGTTGCAGTGAGCTGAGGTGGCACCACTGCACTGCAGCCTGGGCGACAGAGCGAGACTCCGTCTCAAAATAATAATAATATAATAATAATAATAAATAAAAAATAAAGTGCACAATAAATTTAATGCACGTGAATTGTCCTGAAACCCTCCCCTCCACCTCAGTCCATGGAAAAATTGCTTTCCACAAAACCAGTCCCTGGTGTCAAAAAGGTTGGGGACCACTGCAATGGGACGTAGACCCTGCCCACTGGGAGCTCATTGTTTAGAGAGACACAGGTGAGGAAGCCGTTGCTGCTAGTCAAGGATGCTCAATGCTTTGATAGATGGAAACAGTAATGGCTGACAAGTACTGAGCCCCACTGGTAAGATGACATATACACACAATCTCATGAGACACATGTGCATGATCGTGTGATACTCCCATCCACCAGCTGCAGCTGAAGGATGAGGAAACCAAAACTCCACGAGAGCAGTTAACTCAGTGCCATGCAGCCAGTTGGGGGAGATCCAGGATTTGAACCTGGGCAGTCCAGTTCTGAAGCTCTGTTCTAGGCACTGGCACTGCCTTTGCTCCCTTCTGGGCACAGTTCACGGGTGTGGTTGTATTAAGCACTGAATTCCTAGGGAATCTGTTATGGAGCAAGATTATTGAGAGGAGAAGGGGCAGTGGATGTGGGATGTGGCGTGGGTGGAGAAGCCGGGCTCACTGCAGCTGCCAAGGAGTGGGGACCCTGGTCTGAGGCTGTTAGGTGGGGCCGCTTTCCCAGTGAATGCTGCCCAGTCATGATTAAGAGAACCCCCTCCCTTCTTTGCTAAAAGAGGATAATAATAATGGGTGTAACCTCAGGGATGACGGGGAGAGGGCACTGAAGTACCCCATGCAATGCACCTGGGTTGTGCCCACATTGAGCAGATACTTAGTGAACTACAGCTTTTGCTATCACATGCGCCCCAGGAAGCACCCAGCCCTGTGGGAGCCACCTGTGTGCTTGTGTGTGTGTGTGATATGCTTGTGTGCATGCGTGCATGCGTGCTTGTGTGTGTGATGTGCATGTGTGTGTGCGTGCGTGCATGTGTGCTTGTGTGTGTGTGCATGATGTGCGCATGTGTGTGTTTACCTTGGCCTGTCTCCAGCCCCCTTCTTGGGGATCTTATAGCTCTCAAAGCTAAACAAACACTTGACTGTTTTTGCAGAACCTTCAGGAGACTTTGGCTGCAAGTGGAGGAAGTGGGGTGGGAACCCGATCTTGAGGGTCCTCAGTTTTGTCCACAGCCACCTCATTCAAGGGGAGGGGTCTTCCCACAAATATCTGTTAACGGGGCACTCTCCCTGCTCCCCTTGTTCGTGGCGTTGTGAGGAGGGGCTGTCAAATGGATCATTTCATTCTGAGAAAAAGATAATTCCCAAATCCCTTCCCATGTTGCCTTTAAATCTTTCCTACTTCTAAAAAATTGCGTAACAGTTAGCTGGGCCACAGCCGCCAGGAAGATCCAGCCCCTGGCCTCCTCTCTCCTTATAGCCGAGGCAGGCTATACTGGGGCCAGGAGTCTGCCAGGTCCCAGGCGTACAGAGCAGGGCAGGGGACAAAGCTGAGAGCTAGCTTCCCAGTGTCCAGCCAGAGGAATTGGGGCTCACTCACCTTCCAGCACTCGGACCCCCACCATGCCATCCAGGTTGATTTCAGGCAGCCTCTGTTCTAGGAAGACGGTGGCTCTCTCCAGCGCAGACAGGATCAGGTCTGCAATGGTGGCTTTACTTTCAGCAGTGTCCAGCCCAGGCAGTGAGGAGGACCACAGCGGTGGCAGTGCTGTCAGTAAGAGCAGGAGCAGCAGCCCCAGGCTGGCCATGGCCGGCCTCTGCTCACTGCTGGTCACACGCTCAGCACCCTGAGCTCTGGCCAAGCCCAGACTGCCTCTGCACGCCCTCCTCCCACCTCCTTCCCACCTCCCCCTGGCAGACATGAAGACAAGTGGCCCGGCAGGGCTGCCAAGAAGCCTGGGGTGGCCTGGGCAAAGGACTCTGGGAAGGGTGGCTGCAGGGGGATGACGGTTAGGCAGCGGAGGTTAGGCCAGTCCTGGGCGTAGAGCC
Source organism: Homo sapiens (assembly GCF_000001405.40). Classification (NCBI taxonomy): domain Eukaryota; kingdom Metazoa; phylum Chordata; class Mammalia; order Primates; family Hominidae; genus Homo; species Homo sapiens. Next base: position 5,066,150 of record NC_000016.10, read on the forward strand.
TGCTGTCCACGGGATGCTGGGGAGAGGGCTGCCCGCCCTGTCCTTCTCAGCCCTGATTCTCCAGGCTCACAGGCTAGATCTTTGATCTAGCAATTGCAATTCAACCCAGAAATCCAAAAGCTCTGAAAGCAAAACGAATTTTTTTTTCTTTGTTTTTTGAAATAGGGTCTCATTCTCTTGCCTAGGCTGGAGTGCAGTGGTTTGATCACAGCTCACTGTAGCCTTGACCTCCTGGGCTCAATAGATCCTCTTGCCTCAGCCTCCTGAATAGCTGGGACAATCGGCATGTGCCACCATGTTGCCTAATTTTTGTAGCTTTTTTTAATAGAGACAGGGTCTCACTATGTTGATCAGGCTGGTCTTGAACCGCTGGCCTCAAGCGAGCCACCTTCTTTGGGCTCCCAAAGTGCTGGGATTACAGGCTGGAGCCACCACACCCAGGCTTTGTTTTAAATAAATTTGAAACAAACTCATTTGAGGGCACGTCTGCCTTGAACTGAGGCAAACTTCCTTAAAGGGGCACCGTCCAATTGAAATAGAATTGGAGCTACAAAGATGAGCCATGTGTGCATTTCGAAATTTCCTAGTAGCCACATCTAAGAAAGCAGCAATAAGCAGGTGAAGTTAATTTTAACGATCTAGTTTATTTGACCCAGTTATTTAAAATATTATAATTACATCTGTAATCAATATAGAAATGATTTGTTTTTATTTTTGTCATACTAAGTCTTTGAAATTGATGAGTAGTTTATGTTCACAACACAATTGTTTTATTTTGTTATTTTATTTTTAAGAGACAGGGTCTCATTCTGTTGCCCAGGCTGGAGTGCAGTGATGTGGTCATAGTTCACTGCAGTCTCGAGCTCCTAGGCTCAAGGGACCCTCGCGCTTTAGCCTCCCAAGGAGCTGGCACTCCAGATGTAAGCCACCATGCCAGGCTAAGCACATTTCAATTCAGACTATCCATATTTCAGGGGCTTGATAGTCACATGTAGCTGGTATACTGGGCAGTGTCTTAGTTTTGTGCTACTACAACAGAATACCTGAGACTGAGTAATTTATAAAGAAAAGAAATTCATTTGGCTCATAGTTCTGGAGGCTGGGAAGTCCAGGTTCAAGGGGTTGCATCTGGTGGGGGTCTTCTTGCTATATCATCCCACGGTGGAGGGCAGAAGGGCACGAGAGCTGGAGAGAGAGAAGAGAAAGAAGCTAAACTCATTCCTTTATCAGGTACACGCTTTTGCAATAACAGCATGAATCCATTCATGAGGGCAGAGGCCTCATGAAAGATTCCATCTCTCAACACTGTTGCATTGAGAATTAAGGTTCCAACATACGAACTTTAGGGCACACATTCAAACCACAGCAGAGAGTGAGGACCTAGCGTCCTTATTGGTTTCATTCAGTGTGAATGCGCATCTGTTTCCTTGCAGAAATGTTAATGTTGGTTTCCTGGGTGCTGTCCCAAACCTTGCTGGGGCTGTTGTATGTATGTGCACCACATTATCTTTCTAAAATCCCAACAATTTTGAATTCAGAAACATACTTGGTCCCAAGGGCTTCAGCAAACAGATTACAGATCTGTAATAATAATCAAAAGAACACCACTAAAGTGTGTATGTGATGCTCCCTATGTGCAGATGCTAGGTTAGGGCTTCTCCACCTTTTAATTTCGTCATTGTTCTTTTTTCTACCCCCGGAGTGTTTTTAGACGTTTTAATCCTGAAAAATCTTTAGTAAGAGGCTTATTGAGATATTATTCACATACCATAAAATTCACCTTTTAAATGTGTACAGTTTCACAGTGGTTTTTAGTATATTCACAAAGTTGTGCAGCCATCACTATCTATCTCCAGAATGTTTTTGCCACCCTGAAAAGAAATCCCATACCCATTTGCAGAAACTCCCTATTCCCTCCTCCCCAGCCCCTACCAACCATGAATCAACTTTCTGTGTCTATGGTTTGACCTACGGTGGATATTTCATATAAATGGAATCATACAATGCGTGGCTTTTTGTGTCTGGCTTCTCTCACTCAGCGTGATGTTTTCAAGGTTCATCTGTGTTGTAGCACATGTCAGTACTTTATTCTTTTTTATGGATGAATAATATCATCTCCCGGGGAAGCCCCTCCTGCTCTGATGATTTAAGAGGATGAGGACTATGGAGATGACAAACCAAAAGTAGACACCTAGGCCGGGCATGGTGGCTCATACCTGTAATCCCAGCACTTTGAGAGGCTGAGGCGGGGAGATCACTTGAGGTCAGGAGTTCAAGACCAACATGGCCAACGTGGTGAAACCCTGTCTTTACTAAAAATACAAAAATTAGCCAGGCGTGGTGGCACGCAACTCTAATCCCAGCTACTTGGGAGGCTGAGGCAAGAGAATCACTTGAACCTGGGAGGCAGAGGTTGCAGTGAGCCGAGATGGGGCCACTGCACTGCAGCCTGGGTAACAGAGTGAGACTCTGTCTCAAAATATAAAATGAAATGAAATGAAATGAAATATAAAATAAAATAAAATAAAATAAAATAAAATAAAATAAAATAAAATGAAAACAAGACACCTGGAGCAGGGCGTGGTGGCTCACACCTGTAATCCCAGCACTTTGGGAGGCTGAGGTGGGCGGATCACTTGAGGTTATGAGTTTGAGACCATCCTGGCCAACATGGTGAAACCCCGACTCCACTAAACATACAAAACTTAGCCAGGCGTGATGGTGCAGGGCTGTAATCCCAGCTACTAGGGAGGCTGAGGCAGGAGAATCACTTGAACCTGGGAGGTGGAGGTTGCAGTGAGCCGAGACGGCACCCCTGCACTCCAGCCTGGACGACAGAGTGAGACTCCATCTCAAAACAAACAAACAAACAAGCAAACAAGGAGACACCTGGGAAACCTCGGGTGGGAGGCTGTGGGAGCTGTGGACAGACCGCATTCTGTTCATCACTCATCCACTGATGAGCCTCTGGATTGTTTCCATGATTTGATTCTTGTGGACAGTACTGATGTTTGTTTACAAGTTTTTGTTCGAAAACCTGTTTTTCATTCTCCTGGGTGTATACGTGGGAATGCCATTGCTGTGTCACGTGATAATTCTATGTTGAACCTAATGAGGGACCATACGACTGTTTTCCACAGTGGCTGGGCCATTTACGTGCCCACTGGCAGAAGATGAGGGTTCCTTATGTACTGCCCCATGAAATTTTATTTTACTTGTTTATTTTTTTGAGACAGGGTCTCGCTTTGTCACTTAGGCTGGAGTGCAGTGGTATGATCATGGTTCACTGCAGCCTCGACCTCCCTGGGCTCAGGTGATCTTCCCACCTCAGTCTCCCGAGTAGCTGGGACTATAGGCACACGCCACCACCATTTTTTGGGTATTCTTTGTAGAGATGGGGTTTCACTATGGTGCCCAGGCTGGTCTTGAACTCCTGGGCTCAAGTGATCCTTCCGCCTCAGCGTCCCAAAGTGCTGGGATTACAGGCATGAGCCACTGCTTTCAGCCTTCATAAAATTTTAATACTGCAGATATACTGCATGCTTGTGTATTGTATCATTATCTGTGCTTTATACATAAAAAGGGTAAGGATGTTTTGCTCCCCAAGAGCCATTTTTGCCCCCTTGGGAGCACCACTGGGAACAGAGGTTCTAGGGGAAGCTTGTCATTGTCATTACTTCTGTTAATCCTTGATCACCCCTCAAGTGGGTGCTCAGTCAACTTGAACAAAATCTGAGGCTCCAAGGGAGATTGAGTGACTTATCCATATATCCTCTTGATTGTTGGAAAGACTGGATCTCATGTGGAATGGATGCCAAGTGAGAAAGCCGGACAGGTGGGCTGGCCCAGCTATGAAACCGCCCCCCTGCTGGGGATGGCTCCGTCCCCTCTCTCCAGGAGACACCACGGCAACTCCCTCCCCGACGGAGGTTCACCTACCAGAGGGAGGCATCTACTTTTGGTTTGTCATCACCATAGTCTTTATCCTCTTAGCTCATCAGAGCAGGACAGGCTCTCAAAGACTTGAAGTTCCCCTCCCTTAATTCACAGACGAAGAAAGCAAATTGATGGGGAGTGACTCGCCCGAGGTGGAGCAGGAAAGCCAGGAGTCCTGAGGCTGAGGTCCCAGATCCCTACCTGTCCCATTACAGAGCGTCGACAGAGTTGGGCAGGCGATGTGTCACAGGCCTCCACCCCAGCACACGCAACCTGGAGGCAGGGGCCTCGCTGGGAACTGGAGGATAAATGCCGCTGCCAGCATGTTTGTATGCCCATCCCTGCTGTCTGCAGATACTTACTCGTCCTTCCTTTCCTTCTGAAAGCTCGGGTTTCAAGGTCTGGCTTAAGGCGTGAGCTGTCCCTTCTGAATCCATAGAAAGGGAGTGATGGGGCAATTGTGAAAAGCAGATGCAAAGTGTGCCAAGCCCTGAGCTGAGCCCAGGGACACTGGGGAGCCACATCCATGTGGGCTACCCTGTCCCGTGGGTGCTGCCTGTGGTCCTCATCAGGGGAGGAGTCTTGTTTGTTTGTTGAATACGGTCTGGGTGGTGGCTCTCCAGGTTCTGCGGCAGCTCCCAAGTGGAGGCAATGGGGTAGCATCACCAGTGAGCTCTTGGTGTTTCTCTGCAAGGGACCGCTTTCAAAGAAAAAAGGTCATGATACGGTTTGGCTGTGTCCCCACCCAAATCTCATCTTGAATTCCCATGTGTTGTGTGGAAGGGACCCAGTGGGAGGTAACTGAATCATGGGGTCAGGTGTTTCCCGTGCCGTTCTCGTGATAGTGAATAAGCCTCACGAGACCTGATTGTTTTATAAAAAGGAGTTTTCCTGCAGAAGCTCTCTTTTTGCCTGCTGCCATCTATGTAAGAGGTGACTTGCTCCTCCTTGCCTTCTGCCATGATGGTGAGGCCTTCCCAGCCATGTGGACCTGTAAGTCCATGAAACCTCTTTCTTATGTAAAGTGCTCAGTCTCGGGTATGTCTTTATCAGCAGCATGAAAACGGACTAATACAGGCCATCGCAGAGACACACATTAAACTCTCACTATGGCTACTTTGGGAGGTGAAATTGGAGGGTCACTGTGGAAATTTCCTTTCTAGCCATTGATACTTAAGCAAAATCATGATGGTGTTTACTTCCTTGTTTGTCCTTCCCCCTCTCTACCTTTTAAATGTTTTATTAAGTGTGATGTACACCCTGGAAAATGGGCAGGTAATCTGCTGCTTGAGGTACCGCCCCAAATGCAGCACACCCACATTACCAGCACCAGATCCAGAAGCAGAACCCACCAGCCCCTAACTTCTAACAGCGAGGACTGGTTTTTATTTACATAGACGGAACTCTACAATTCGTACTCGTCAGCATCTGGCTCCTTTATCAATGTTAGGATGAAATTTATCCAAATTCTTGTGTCACTATATTTTGAAATTATCTTTGAATCCTGAAGAGAGTTCTTAGATCCCAATACAGTAACAGCTTTACTTTAGTCGGGGAAATACACTGGTGTGTAGGGAATCTGGTGTATGTGCGTGTGTCCTACTACTACTAATTCTTGGCCCCGAGGGGCTCCTGGGGGTTCCCCGGGCCCCTGTTAGGGAACCGCGTCCACTTCTCGCCCTCTCGGCCCACTTCGGAGGCTCGGTCTGCGGCTGCGCACAGCGCGAGGAAGCGCGGTCACGTGACTGCTGCGGGCCAGCCAAGATGGCGGCCTCATGCTTGGTCCTGCTGGCGCTGTGTCTGCTGCTGCCGCTGCTGCTGCTGGGAGGATGGAAGCGCTGGCGCCGGGGGCGGGCGGCCCGGCATGTAGTAGCGGTGGTGCTGGGCGACGTGGGCCGCAGCCCCCGTATGCAGTACCACGCGCTGTCGTTGGCCATGCACGGCTTCTCGGTGACCCTCCTGGGGTTCTGCAGTGAGTGGCCAAGGGTCTGGGAGGGACGATGCTCTCTCAGCCGTTGATCCTCGGTTCTAACCGCCCCGGGGAGTCGAGGCGGAAGTGCTCCTTTAGTCGCCGCCTTTGGGCAGCTCTCCGAGATTAGACGAGCGGTTCTGCCCCAGCCTTTCCTGGGTGGGTCTCTAGGTATAGCCGGCGTTAATCTTGCCACGTGTCAGAAGTGTGTTAAGTGAATCCATTGCGTGGTCTCACGTAATTCTCCTAGTAAGTGGAACCCAGGTGCGTGGAACTCCAGGGCTAGTGCTGGTAGCTACGTCCCTGTGCAGCTACCCTTGTCAGGCTATGTCTGAGCTGACAGGATATTTCATTCCTCATCCCTCAACGCAGAGCTCTGCAGACAGATGTTTTCATTTGTTCTTCATGTCCAGCTTTTCCCCACAGTGTGCAGGGCAGCGGTGTCTGCTCCCTCATTATTCTCCACGTTGGTATCTTGAGAGGGTAGCTCAACCCCATCTCAGGAAGAAGTGGGAACAGCACTAGTTGCCTTTAATCCCTGTTTAGAATCTGCTATCCTAGGGTGATGGGGTAGAGTGGGACTTCCTAGGGATGGCTCTGTGGTGGGAAAATTCCACTATCCAGACAATCTAGATTAGTTTAATTGAGCACCTACTGTTTGCCAGGCATCATGTTAAGTGAAGGTAGGTAAGATTCAGGCCCTATCTCTGTGTGCCTCCTAGAGCAATCTGAACAAGAATTGGCCGCATTCTCTGTTCTGGCTAGTGAGGAGCAGAGAGAGGTTTTGAAATATCTTACTTTCCAAAACACTGTCCGTGATTCAGCCTGAGTTGGGAGATTATCTGACTTTAGATTGCTGCTTCTGGTACATTAAAGGGATCATTCTCATTTTTCAGACTCCAAACCCCATGATGAGCTCTTGCAGAACAACAGAATTCAGATTGTGGGGTTGACAGAACTTCAGAGTCTTGCAGGTAGGATGCCGTCAACTCCAGAATCCTCTGAATCCATGGGCTGGGGGCAGGGGGTGTTCGTTTGAAAAGCCGTGCAGATTGCCAGACGCTCCTTTGGTAGTCACAGGTGTTTTCTGACTTGCAGTTGGGCCCCGAGTTTTCCAGTACGGAGTCAAAGTTGTACTTCAGGCTATGTACTTGCTGTGGAAGTTGATGTGGAGGGAGCCAGGTGCCTATATCTTTCTCCAGGTGTGTATCAGCCTCTGCCTCCCTCTGTGAGAGCCATGTTAGCAGTTTACTTTCCAGCACAAATTGGTACTATATTGCATATTCATATGTGTGTGTGTTGTGTGTATGGGCGTTTAAAGACATGAGTAGGAGCCTATGGTATGTGTCTATTTATGGCACCTATCCATGCTCTCTGTGTCATTACAGATAGTCTTACATTGTACTGACTGTGTATCAAGTGTTTTCCATGTATTAACTCATTTAGTCCTCACAGTTACCCTAAGAAATATTGCATGTAGGTAATACAAGAACCTGTTTCTTAAGGTTGTTCTCATTTAGATGAGAAAACCTAGACTGAGAAAGGCTCTGTAAGTAGCCCATCGCCATACAGCTAGGAAGTGGTGGAATCAGGATTTGAACGTAGGTCGTCAGTGTGGTTCTATAGTATACACACGCACGCATACGCGCGCACACACAAACACACATATATTTTTTTGAGACAGAGTTTCGCTCTTGCCGCCCAGGCTGGAGTGCAGTGGCGTGATCTCGGCTCACTGCAACCTCTGCCTGCCGGGTTCAAGTGATTCTCCTGCCTCAGCCTCCTGAGTAGCTGGGATTACAGGTGCCCGCCACCACGCCCAGCTAATTTTTGTATTTTTAGTAGAAATGGGGTTACGCCATGTTGGCCAGGCTGTTCTCGAACTCCTGACCTCAGGTAATCCGCCCCCCTCGGCGTCCCAAAGTGCTGGGATTACAGGCGTGCGCCACCGCGCCTGGCCTATCGTTATACTTTTAATCCCTTCCCTTGATCACTTTTTCTTTAAAAAATTTTTCTTTCTTTTCTAGCTGAAGGAAGAATACTTTTTTTTTTAAATCAATTTTTAATATATAGAAGCACCTTCCTCTTTTATTTATTTATTTTTATTTTTCCTGAGATGGAGTCTCTGTTGCTCAGGCTGGAGTGCAGTGGTGCGATCTTGGCTCACTGCACCTTCTACCTCCCGTGTTCAAGTGATTTTCCTGCCTCAGCCTCCTGAGTAGCTGGGATTACAGGCATGTGCCACCATGCCTGGCTAATTTTTGTAATTTTTTTTAGTAGAGATGGGGTTTCGCTATGCTGGCCAGGATGGTCTTGAACTCCTGACCTCAGGTGATCCACCTGCCTCGGCCTCCCAGATTGCTGGGATTACAGGCATGAACCATCGTGACCCACACCTTCCTCTTTTAATAGGCAGCCTTGAATTCCAATATGTGATGTACTATACTGCATGTATTTAGTCTCATGTTAATGGATACTCAGATTCTTCCTGATTTTGTTTTTACTTTTACAAATAGTGTGGCTCCAAGCACAGCGAGCATATGCCTTTTGTATAAGTCCAGTTTCTTTCTTAGGGTAACTTCCCAGCAGTGGAATTGTGTAGTCAAAGTTGATGCATTTTAAAAATGTGTATGTTACTGGATAGCTTTAGAGTAAGGTTGGGTCAGTTTGGCCCCCGCTGAGTGGGGGTACCTCTTCTCCCCCATGCTTACCATCACCAGCTGTTGTTAGACCTTTTTAGAATTTGCATTCCAACAGGTGAAAAATGCCATCTCTTTGTTCTGTTTTTTGCCTCCTTGATTATTGATGATCTTGGACTTTTCAGGTTGGTTCTGTTTGTTTGTTTGGTTTTTGTTTGTTTGTTTTAGAGGCAGAGTCTAGCTCTGTCGCCCAGGCTGGAGTGCAGTGGCACAATCATAGCTTAACTGCAGCCTCATCCTCCTGGGCTCAAGTGATCCTACCTCCTCAGCCTCCTGAGTAGCTGGGGCTGCAGGTGTGTCCCACCACACCTGGCTAATTTTTAAATTTTTTGTAGAGATGAGGTCTCACTGTGTTTCCTAGGCCGGCCTTGAACTCCTGGGCTCAAATGATCCTCCTGCCTTGGCCTCCCAAAGTGTTGGGATTACAGGCATCAGCCACCGCACCTGGCCCATTCTGTTTCTTTTATGACTTTTTACATCTATTTTGGTGGTGGAGAGGGTCTTTCTTCTGCTTATTATCAAGAGCTCTGTAAAGATAACAGACTCATCACCATGTGTGTTGTGACTATTTTTACTGGGTTTATTGCCTAGCATGGTCTGGGTTTCCTCCCCTTCAAGTCTCTATCTTTCCTAGAACCCCCCAGGTCTGCCTAGCATTGCTGTCTGCTGGTTCGTGGGCTGCCTTTGTGGAAGCAAGCTCGTCATTGACTGGCACAACTATGGCTACTCCATCATGGGTCTGGTGCATGGCCCCAACCATCCCCTCGTTCTGCTGGCCAAGTGGTGAGAGTCTAGGAAGAGGGTAAAATACCGTCCCCTAAACCACTCAAGGATGAGTGAGAAGAAGGGCCATAGTGGGCCTCCGGAAGTCGGTTCCTTGTGGGCTCTGCAGGAGGTGGGGTGAGGCTGGTGAATCAGGCCGAATGCTGGTTCCAAATGATAGAAACAGGCCTCAGCAAAGGACCACATTTTTTGGCCCATGAAATGGAAGTGTCTGTGGAAATGGTTGGTTTCGAGCTCAGCAGTGTCACTGGGACCCAGCTCACGTCTGTCTCCACACTCCCTTCTGGTGGTGGTTCCCGGAACTCTCCTAGCTCTTGTCCTCACGTAGGCTCATTGGGGAGGGCAGCCCTTTCTGATTGGCTCATGTAGGTTACCTGCCTTCCTCTGATCTGCCTGTTGAGGCCAGGGGGCAAGTGCTCCAGCAGAAGAGCTGGGTCTCAGGAGCATCCATATCTCATGGACAGAGGGTGGGTGAGGGCAGATCCCCAAATTAAAACCCAGGGCTGCTGTTGGTAGCTGGAGAAGTGGGCCACAGTTGCTGCAGCTGATGTGACAGGGAGGGAAGAAGGGCCAGTGGTAGCAGTGGGACGTGGAGCTGGGAAGGTCATCTGCTGTCCTCTGAGCCCAACTATAACATCTCTGTTATACTCTGCACGGCCAGCCTTCAGGTGCACATCCAGCCTCCGTGTGCATGTCCAGCTGCTGCGTGTACTTCCGGCCTTGGGCCATTGGCTGGCTGTGGCCTTCGCCCTGATAGTTTGTTCACTGGCAGTGGTGACAGCAGCAGCAAACAGCTTAGTTGAGCAAATGGAGCAGAATGGTCAATGGTGAGCACCTGCTGCATGCCAGTCCTCCATCCAAGCCCTTTTTGTATTTTACCCTGTTCAATCTCTATGCACCTCAGGAGGGTGTACCTTTTACAAGTCAGGAAACTGAGGCTGAGAACGATTATGCCTCTTGCCACACAGCTAAGTGTGAGGACCAAAATATCCCAGGCAAGCCCATTTCCGAGCTTTCTCTGCATCTTGAGAGGAACAGGCGATGATACCCTGGCGGTGATAAATAACCCAGAATCGCGCATGCCGTGTTCCGGCTCTACCCTGCGATCAGGGCTCAGTCTCCGTTAGGAGAGAATGTGTACAATGCTCACTGAATCCCTTTGCCCCACGTTGAGAGCAAGCCGTGACCTTACAGCCTTTGCAGTGGTAGCACAGGGTGGCTGAGATCGCTAGTGAGGCCTTCATTGTATTTCTTCCTTTTTTTTTTTTTTTTTTTTTTGAGACAGTCTCACTCTATGTCCCAGACTGGAGTGCAATGGCGCCATCTCGGCTCACTGCAGCCTCCGCCTTCTGGGTTCAAGCAATTCTCCTGCCTCAGCCTCCTGAGTAGCTGGGATTATAGGCACCCACCACCACGCCTGGCTAATTTTTGTGTTTTTAGTAGAGACAGGGTTTCACCACGTTGGCCAGGCTGGTCTCGAACTCCTGACCTCAAACGATCCACCTCCCAAAGTGCTGGGATTACAGGCATGAGCCACCGCGCCTGGCCTGTATTTCTTCCTTTTACAGCAAGAGAGAGGATGTTCACTTTGGCAGTGATACACAGTGTCCTTCTATTTATTTTTTTAAATTTGTATTTATTTATTTATTTATTTGAGACGGAGTCTTGCTTTGTTGCCCAGGCTGGAGTGCAGTTTCCTTTTAAAGTGATTGTATTTAAGCCAACAAGTGACACAACATAAAGGAGGGTATATACAGCATAAAGAAAGAACACTGGCACAGCTGGGGCTCAGGGAGCTCAAACTCTCCCAGCTCTGCGGCCTTTTCTCTGTTGAGGGATGTCGAGTCACGCTGTGGTGGTAGCGGAGGCCTGTCTAGGGCTCTGCTGACTGCTGATCTCTCTTTTCAGGTACGAGAAGTTCTTTGGGCGCCTGTCCCACCTGAACCTGTGTGTTACCAATGCTATGCGAGAAGACCTGGCGGATAACTGGCACATCAGGTACCATGGCCTGGGATGACGGCGGCCTGGGAGAGGCGCGGGGCCCCTGATTGGCTGCAGTGAGAGCTGCCTTGCCTGCTGCCGTCCTGCTGAGGGGCAATTTGAAATACTGAGGGCCTGGGAGGTGGTCTTTGGTTTGGGGAAGCTGGGGGAGGAGGGGGCAGAGTTTCTTTCTTAGCCAGCCAGGGGGTCCAGGCAGTTTTGGTCCTAGGACGTCTCTCTGTGCATTCCCAAGTAATTGCAAGGCTTCTTCTTGTCATCATCTGAGACTTGGATTCCCCAAGCGTCCTTCTTTTCCTGGAGCCTCTGAGTCCTCTGTTCCTGAGGCCTTTCTTCAGCCCTCCCAATAGCCCCGTCATGATTTCATTGCAGGGCTGTGACCGTCTACGACAAGCCCGCATCTTTCTTTAAAGAGACACCTCTGGACCTGCAGCACCGGCTCTTCATGAAGCTGGGCAGCATGCACTCTCCGTTCAGGGCCCGGTAGGCCTCCCATCCTCAGCTGCCTTCTCTCCTGCTCGCCACTGCCCTGGCCTCTCCCCTTCTCACTGCAGACCTGGGAACCCACTCATCCAGGGGTTGGCAAACTAAGGCTACAGGCCAGTCTGCTGCTTTTGTAAATCAAGTTTCACTGGGACACAACACACTCATTGCCTTCTGAGTTGTCTACAGCCGCCTTTGAGCTGCAATAGCAGAATCGCGTTTTGCAACAGAGAACCTGTGGCCCGCAAAGCCTGAAGTATTTACTCTCTGGCCCTTTAAGAAATGTTTGTGGACCCCTGCGCTGTCTTACTCTCCTGCCAGTGGCTTCCCAGGCCTGTGGCAGGATCTGTGGACCTGTGTGTCCCCTGGGGTGTCTCATGGGGCTAAGGAGGGGACCTTTGTGCAGGTCTACGCACCCTGAGGTGTGCCCTGGGTAAGCTGGGGTGGTGTGGGAGGGCGTCCCTGCACCCTCATCTTGAGTCCAGGGGATGATAAGACAGTAAGTCCCGTGGAGAAAAGGAATGAGTCAGTCTTGTTTGCTGTTGTAACCTTAGCACCCAGCAACAATATTAGAGAAAGCAAGCCCAGGCCTCAGATGGCAGGGGTGGCCTGGTGCTGCTGATGTGGCTGGGCACCCCAACCTCTGGGAGCCTGCAGGCCTCGCCACGGCAGGAGATGCCTCTCCTGGGTCCCGGGCCTGCTCTATGGCCTCTCACAGGCTTTTTTTCTGCTCCTTCAGCTCAGAACCTGAGGACCCAGTCACGGAGCGGTCGGCCTTCACGGAGCGGGATGCTGGGAGCGGGCTGGTGACGCGTCTCCGTGAGCGGCCAGCCCTGCTGGTCAGCAGCACGAGCTGGACAGGTCTGCAGGACCCCTGGGGCACTTGGGGTTGGTGTGACGGGCACCTGGCCAACCTGTGTTCTCCTCACCCCTGCCAGTCCTGCATGCTCCCACCCTGCCACGGTCTCAATGAGAACGGGAGGGCCTGTGAGCTGGAAGAGGGGTGTCTAGAAACAGGCCCCTGACATTCAATTCTCTTCTCATAGAGGACGAAGACTTCTCCATCCTGCTGGCAGCTTTAGAAAGTAGGTGTGTGGCTGCGGTGAGGAGCTCTGGGCTTGTCGGGGGCCACTGAGCTGTAAGCTGCTTGCCTGGCCTGCAGCATGTTCCTGTCCCAGGCCACTGGGTGGGGCAGCCTGGGGACAGCGGGGGTGGTGGAAGTGGGCCGCCCTGAATCCCCAGTTGGGTCATTGAGTGACCAGGCCCTCAGGCTGAAATGCCCCCTCCAGGAGAGTATCTCACACAGGCTGGTGGCCTCCCCGCCAGAGCAGTGCTCTTTCTCCACCTGACCAGGTGACTCTGGCTATTGTTTATTTAAAAATTTTTTTCTGAATGGGCATGGTGGCTCAAACCTGTAATCCTAGAACTCTGGGAGGCCGAGGCAGGCAGATCATCTGAGGTCAGGAGTTCGAGACCAACCTGGCCAACAGGGCGAAACCTGTCTCTACTAAAAATACAAAAATTAGCTAGGTATGGTGGTGGGCGCCTGTCATCCCAGCTACTTGGGAGGCTGATGCACGAGAATTACTTGAACCCAGGAGGCAGAGGTTGCAGTGAGCTGAGATCGCGCCATTGCATTCCAGCCTGGGTGACAGAGTGAGAGTCTGTCAGAAAAAAAAAAAAATTCTATCAGAAATTCCATGTAGAATTGTTTCTTTTTCTAAACACAGAGTTTGAACAACTGACTCTTGATGGACACAACCTTCCTTCTCTCGTCTGTGTGATAACAGGTACTGCCTGGGACCCTGGGTGTCTGTTTGGTTGGGGGATGGCGGAGGGGGAGGGGCACGCAGCCTTTACCCTGTGCTTCCCATGATCTTGTCTCCTTAATCCTCACTGCAGCTCTGCCATAGGGTCTTATACTGCTTGACATGGGGGAAACTGAGGCTCAGAGGCAGGGCAGGGAGCCCAGATTTGAATCTGTAGATACCAAGCTTTCTACTTTTTCAGTAGTTTCCAAGCATCTTTTTTTTGTTGTTGTTACGTCATTGGTGTCTTTTTTTTTTTTTTTTGAGACAGAGTCTCTGTCGCCCAGGCTGGAGTGCAGTGGTGCGATCTCGGCTCACTGCAACCTCCGCCTCCCACATTCAAGCAATTCTCATGCCCCAGCCTCCCGAGTGGCTGGGACTACAGGTGCCCACCACAACTGCCTAATTTTTGTATTTTTAGTAGAGACAGGGTTTCACCATGTTGGCCAGGCTGGTCTTGAACTCCTGACCTCAGGTGATCCACCCGCCTTGGCCTCCCAATATGCTGGAATTACAGGCACAAATCACTGTGCCCGGCCATGTCATTGGTGCCTTAACCAAGCCTCTTAATTTTTCAAACGGAAGAGCCCCTGTCCCACAGTTACTGCTGCTGAGCCCTTTCAAGGTGACTCAGTGAGGAGGGAGAAAAGCGGAAGCGGTGTGGGAAGAGGCCGGGTCTGGGCCAGCTGCTGGTCCTGCTCTCCTCCCTCCTCTGGCCTCTAGGCTCCCAGGAGTGGTTTGGAACCCGCGCCATATGCTCTGGGGGCTGTGCCAGGGCAGGAGGAGTCCTCGTGTCCCCTGTGCACAACACAGACAAAAGGCTGGGTCCACCCAGTGGGCGGTCGGGTGCCAGGCCAGTGCTTACCCCGCCATGTTTGCAGCCCGAGGCCAGCTGGCTGCAGGTGAAAGGCTATGCGTCAGGGGTCAGGGTGCACACACCCCTGCAGGTCTCAGGGCTCCTGGGTTGCTTCTGGAAGGGCCCGGATGGGGCCTGACTGGAGCTGCTGAGGGGTGGAGCTTCTGGGAAAGGGATCCCTCCTAGGGGGGAGTGTCTTGGGCCTGGGGCCACGTGGCAGGGACAGAGATGGGTCCATGGCAGTGTCTGCTCTTCTCTGTGAAGGCAAAGGGCCTCTGAGGGAGTATTATAGCCGCCTCATCCACCAGAAGCACTTCCAGCACATCCAGGTCTGCACCCCCTGGCTGGAGGCCGAGGACTACCCCCTGCTTCTAGGTGAGAGGCCAGCAGGAGGCTCAGGGAGGAGGCGGGGGGAACAGGGTGGGCGGGATGTACTTTTTCTGAAAAGGTGGCTCTGGAGGCCACTGGGGGACGGGACCTGGGCTCTGGCTGAACTCCCAGGAGGAGGCTACTTCCTGGTGTGCCAGCCCCTCCCTGCCAGGTGGCCCCAGGGGCCGTTTACCAAGGGGTTTGAGGAGGCCACGTCCTTTCAGCCTGCCACGCCCTCCATTCAGTCCTCTTCCTTCCTGCAGGAGGGCTGGGCCTGGGGTTGGGGCCACTGTTGCCCAGGTGTGGGAGGGCAGTGGCTTTGGGAGGTACGGGGACGATGTGTCAAACAGCGTCGCCTCTCCCAGTGAGATGGTTCTCCTTTGCCTCCGTCTCTTTCCCCGTTGATTTCTCCAAGTGGGGAGTCGTGCCTTGGTCCTGATGCGTCTCTAGAGCTGCATCTTCCAGCTTCGAGTGAGCAGAGCAGTTGGAGGCTGAAGGCCTTTTCCTGGCAGGACTCTCCACCTAGTCTTTGTTTTAGACAGTCTCGCTCCGTTGCCTAGGCTGGAGTGCATGATCTCAGTTCATGCAACCTCTGCCTCCTGGGTTCAAGCGATTTTCCCACCTCAGCCTCCCGAGTAGATTACGGGATTACAGGAGCCCACCACAACACCTGGCTTATTTTTGTATTTTTAGTAGAGACAGGGTTTCACCATGTTGGCCAGGCTGGTCTTGAACTCCTGACCTCAAGTGATCCTCCTGCCTTGGCCTTCCTAAGTGCTTGGATTCCAGGTGTGACCCATCACGCCTGGCCCCAGCTAGTCTTTAGAAATGTTAAGCTATTTGGCTTTATTTTCACAGTGACAGCTGGTTTGTGGTGGGTGTGCTGTGGTTTATTATTATTATCATTTTGAGATGGAGTTTCGCTCTTGTAGACCAGGCTGGAGTGCAATGGTGTGATCTTGGCTCACGCAACCTCCGCCTTCCCGGGTTCAAGCGATTCTCCTGCCTCAGCCTCCCGAGTAGCTGTGACTACAGGCGCCTGCCACGATGCTTGGCTAATTTTGTATTTTTTTTAGTAGAGATGGGGTTTCACCATGTGGGCCAGGCTGGTCTTGAACTCCTGACCTCAGGTGATCTGCCCGCCTTGGCCTCCCAAAATGCTGGGATTACAGGCAGGAGGTGAACCTGGGAGGTGGAGGTTGCAGTGAGCTGAGATTGTGCCACTGCACTCCAGCCTGGGTGACAGAATGAGACTCTGTCTCAAAACAAAACAACACAACAACAAAAAAACCAAATTGTGGTTACGTATAAAAAGTGTCAACTTACATTTTCAGATGTCCCAGCCAGGCTGTGTGGCTGCTTGGCCAGCTTAAGCCACTTGTGTTTGGGGCTGTTGGGGGCCTTATCTGATTTTCACTCTCCTTGGGGGATGCTGCCTCACTGTGCTGGGAGGATTTGTGTTCCCAGGGCAGAGACCAGTGCTCTGACCCACCCCTCTTGCCTAGCAGGGTCGGCGGACCTGGGTGTCTGTCTGCACACGTCCTCCAGTGGCCTGGACCTGCCCATGAAGGTGGTGGACATGTTCGGGTGCTGTTTGCCTGTGTGTGCTGTGAACTTCAAGTGGTAGGAGCAGAACCCAAATCCTTCTGGGGATAGCTTTGCAGATCCACCGCTGAGGGGGAAGCAGTGCAGAGGGAGCTGCCCACAGTGAGGCCCTGCCCCTCGGTCAGTCCGGCACACACTGGAGGCCATGAGGAGGAGCCCTGCGGTTACTGTGGCTGGGCTGAGCCTCACTGAAGTAGTTGCTTCCATTTAGAGCTCATGTTATATTTAGGTTGGTACAAAAGTAATCATGGTTTTTGCCATTAAAAATGGCAACTACTTTTGCACCAACCCAATATGAAAACAAAAAGCACCTTAAATACCAGAACTCCACTCGGGGCTTTTGCTCCTAGGGTAGAATTGGTGGGAATTGCCTGCAGGCTTACATGGTTTTCTTTGTTTTTCTCTCCCACCATGTCCCTTTTGGCCAAGCTCACATGGTCGGTTTGAATCAGTTAAATGAGTGTCATGCTGTGGCCTCACTGCACCCAGCGTAGACGGGTGTTTGGAAGGGCAGTGTTAGAGGAGATTCTAGAAGCAGTAGCCCCAGCACAAGTTGAGCCCTTGGCCCCTGCTCAGGAGCCGGCCCCTGGATGGGATTTAGGGATGTGAGCCCCTCGTGTGAGCTGAGCTCAGGGAATGTCGGGATCAAACCTGGTGCCCTAGAAAAGTCATCTTTTATGTGCTGAGCCAGTCCCCAGGGCGTTGCCTTTACTTGTTCCATGGCCATGGAATTAAGAAAAACATGCAAAAATAATTCTTCAGTCCTTGAAGAGCATCCAGCACAGAAGGTACAAACCCCCCTTAAGGCTCCCTCCTCAAATGGGTGTGGCCATTTTGATGTGCACCCCCCCAGGCCTTTATACCCTTCAGATGCCAAATCTAAGAACCAGCTCCCGGAAACCACACCCCCTGTTCCAACCCCCAGCCTGGCTTGAGCATGGGGTGTGTGGGGGAGCCCAGGTGGGCACCCCAGGGGTCTGGTGTCTTCTACAGGCAGCTCTCAGGCTCCCTTGGTTCTCTCTGCAGTTTACATGAGCTGGTGAAACATGAAGAAAATGGCCTGGTCTTTGAGGACTCAGAGGAACTGGCAGCTCAGCTGCAGGTAGCCACGTCTGCCACCACGCCAGGGTGGGGAGGGTTCTGGAGACTGGCACCGAGCCAGGCTCCCTGATCCCTGCTTCCCACAGCCAGGGTGGGACCATGTGGGGTCTGGCGGAAAAGCTAGGGAGGGAGCAGAGGTCACAGAGGCTGGCCCACTCTGCTGTCCCGTTTCGGTACAGTAGGCTCGGGAAAGTTAAGACACACCCCCACCTGCCCTCTGGATTTATGGAGCTGACACTCCACAAATGATGCTGGAGCTGGGTGGGCCGGGCTGCGGTTGAGGAAGTGATCAGGATCACGTAGGTGGGCGGGCAAAGGGAGCTTCTGGGACCAGCCTTGAAAGATGGGTGGAATTCTGCAAAGGTTACTTGTTTCTTATTGCAAAAAGTAATACATCATTCTTGCCAACAGAATGATTGGCAGGATTTTCAGTAAAGGTCCAGGTCGGAAGTCGTTTAGACTGGGTTCCCCAGTCTCTGTCAGAACCATGGTACTCTGTTGGGGTGTGAAAGTAGCCACAGATCATCTGTAGATTAAGGGGTGTGGCTTTGTTCCAATAAAACTTTATTTACAAACACAGGCTGTGGGCTGGATTTGGCCTGCAGGCTGTAGTTTGTGATCCTTGATTCAGACAGTTTAGCAAGGCTGCAAAGAACACCGACACCCCCTTGTTACCCACAGATGGGTGAGACTGCGTTGGCCAGAGGCCGAGAGGAGGGTGCTCACAGGGGAATGGGCAGCACGTAGAGGCCGGGAGGTGCTCCAGGGCACCAAGTGTGGGAAAGTGGGACATGCGGGGAAGTTTCCAGAAACTGTGATGTCAAGTTGGAGGCGGAGTGCTGCTGGGGTGTGAAGGGTCTCGAGTCCAAGTGAGGGAGTTAGGGACTTGGGAGGGGTTGTTGTTGGGTCGGGGACCTGGGGTCAGCCAGGTGGTGACCTGGGATGGGGTGGGGACAGGCAATGAGGTAAGCTCTGCTCTTTATTTTTTTGCAGATGCTTTTCTCAAACTTTCCTGATCCTGCGGGCAAGCTAAACCAGTTCCGGAAGAACCTGCGGGAGTCGCAGCAGCTCCGATGGGATGAGAGCTGGGTGCAGACTGTGCTCCCTTTGGTTATGGACACATAACTCCTGGGCCAGAGGCTAAAACCCCAGGACCCCTGCTGTCCTTCCCGCAGCTTCTTCTTGGAGTCTCAGGGCAAACCCTTTCGAGCAGCACCTCCCAGTGGCCAGAAGCTGAAATGACAGCAGTGGTACTGCCTGGTAAAAGAATTGGTTCTGTGACCCGGGAAGCTTTGGTTGGCCTTGATTTCTTCTCTGGAGGCTTGGAAACGCTTCCTCTCTTCTTCTGTTCTTCACGCCCCATGCCCCTGCTAGCGTATTACTGTTCTGTGACTTCCCTGTGACCTCTGCAGAACTCCTCATCCTGCGTTTGGTCTCCAGGTGTCCCCTTTCTGCCGTGTTCCTAACATTTTGATTCCTGTCTTGAAAAAAGCACCTGCTGCACCGTAAGCCCAGGGATGTGGCAGCTGCAGTGGGCTTGGCTTTGTGAGGAACTGAGTGTGTCCACGTTGGGGGAACATCATACTTGATACACACGTTTTTATTTGCACAAAGAAAATGCTATTTTTGGAGCCAGAATTTTCATGTCTGATTTATGGTGATTTTCTTAAGAACCAGAACTGCTGGCAGAAAGGGGGCACCCACACGCTTAGATAGCCGATGTCTTATTAGAGGGCAGTTTGTGGTTCCTGATTTGGAAATTAACATTCTCCAAACATTCCAGTCCAATGAAAGTTTTATCCGCTTTCCCATATAAAAATTCTTCCCATGAGAGTGACTTGATTCTCACAATCCCGTTGGAGTCGTGTGTGAGTCCTACAGGGTGAGATTCAGCATTGCCATCTCCAAGTGCTCTTCGTAGGGAAACAGTTTCTGCTCATGACGAGGTTCCACTTCCCATCTGATCCCGGCCCGGCCTGGAAACAGAGCACATGTGTTTGAGGATGGCGGTGTTTGGGGACAGGACATGAGGGTATTGTGTGGGGCTGCTAGGACAGGCCTGGCGGGGTAGGGGGGTGTCCAAGTCAGTTTACTTGGTTCACAGGTTCCCAGGCCCACCCAGGTGCCTAGAATTGGCCTCCAGGATGGGACCAGAAAGCTGGTTTTGCATAGAAATGGCTAGCAGCAGGCACCGTGCCGCTGTCCACTCTCTGCCTGTGTCTGCCCCAGCACTTGGCACAGCGGGACAGAAGCAGAGATCTGAATAGTCAACCCACTCTTCACAAAGCTTAGAAAGCGGCCGGGCACAGTGGCTCATGCCTGTAATCCCAACACTTTGGGAGGCCAAGGCGGGCGGATCACTTGAGGTCAGGAGTTCGAGACCAGCCTGGCCAACATGGTGAAATCCCATCTCTACAAAAATACAGAAATTAGCCAGGCATGATGGCGAGTGCCTGTAATCCCAGCTACTTGGGAGGCTGAGGTGGGAGAATTGCTTGAACCCAGGAGGTGGAGGTTGCAGTGAGCTGAGATTGTGCCACTGCACTCCAGCCTGAGTGACAGGGTGAGACTAAGTCTCAAAAAAAAAAAAAAAAAACCACACGCACCACACACACACCCACACACACACACAGCTTAGAAGGGGCTGCTGTTCTCATAAGCACAGATGTCTGAAGAGCCGTTAGCCAGAATGATTCTTTTTTTTTGTTTTGAGATATGATCTTGTTCTGTCACCCAGGCTGGAGTGCAGTGGCACAGTCATTGCTCACTACAGCCTCGACTCCTGGGCTCTAGCAATCCTCCCACTTCCTGAGTAGCTGGGATGACAGGTGCGTGCCACCATGCCAGTAATTTTTTTATTTTGTAGAGATGGGGTCCTGAACGCATGGCCTCAAGTGATGCTCCTGCCTCAGCCTCTTTTATTATTTGTTTTTAGACGAAGTTTTACTCTGTTCCCCAGGCTGGAGTGCAGTGGCACAATCTCAGCTCACTGCAACGCCTCCCAGGTTCAAGTGATTCTCCTGCCTCAGTCTCCCGAGTAGCTTTGACTATAGGCGTGCACCACCACGCCTGGCTAATTTTTGTGTTTTTAGTAGAGATGGGGTTTCACCATGTGGGCCAGGCTGGTCTTGAACTCGACCTCCCGTGATCTGCTCACCTCAGCCTCCCAAAGCCTCAGCCTCTTACAGTGTTGGGATTACAGGCGTGAGACACTGTGACCCGGGACGATTTTCAATCACAGTTTTTTGTTACGAGTGGAAAATGCGTATTTATAAGAATGAAGTAGTACAGACATGAATGTGTAGAAATCTCTATAATCCTGCCATCCAAGGATGGCACCTGTTAATGTGTATATCAGGGATGTCCAATCTTTTGGCCTCCCTGTGCCACACTGGAAGAAGAAGAATCGCCTTGGGCCACGCATAAAATACACTAACACTAGCAATACCTGATGAGCTAAAAGAAAAAAAATCACAAAAAAACCTCGTACTGTTTGAAGAAAGTTTACAGATTTGCGTTGGGCCGCAAGTTGGACAAGACTGCTATATGTATATTCTAGGTTTTCCCCTATAGGTATACTTATGTGAAAATGATTATTGTGATAAATTTTGTTTTGAGATGAAGTCTCGCTATGTTGCTCAAGGTGGCCACAAACTCCTGGGCTTAAGCCATCCTCCCGCGTCAGCCTCCTGAGGAGTTGGGAATATAGGTACTCATAACCATGTGTGGGTGATTATTATTAGTTTTTAAACAAAAATGGGGTTGGGCGCAGTAGCTCACGCCCGTATTCCTAACACTTTGGGAGGCTGAGGCGGCAGATCACTTGAGGTCAGGAGTTCAAGACCAGCCTGGCCAACATGGCGAAACCTCAACTCTACAAACAATACAAAAAATAGCCAGGTGTGGTAGCACGTGCCTGTAGTCCCAGCTACTCAGGAGGCTGAGATGGGAGGATAGCTTGAACCTGGGAGGTGGGAGGTTGCAGTGGGCCGAGATGGCACCACTGCACTCCAGCCTGGGCAATACAAAGCCAGACTCTGTCTCAAAAAAAAAAAAAAAAAAAAAGGTGGGTGGGGGCTTATACTATGTGTGCTGCTTGGCACTGTTTTTTTCACTTAAAATATATTGCAGGTTTTTTTTCACGTAAGTATCTGAAGAAAGACTTCCTTTTTTTTTTTTTATTTTTTATTTCTTTGCTTTTTTGAGACAGGGTCTTGCTCTGTTGCCCAGGCTGGAGTGCAGTGGTGAGATCAGGGCTCACTGCAGCCTCCATCTCCTGGGCTCAAGCCATCCTCCCACCTCAGCCTCCTGAGTAGCTGGGACTACAGGCGTGTGCAACCACATCTGGCTAGCTTCTGTATGTTTTGTGAAGATGGGGTCCCACTATGTGGCCCAGGTTGGTCTTGAACACCTGGGGTCAAGTAGTCCTCTTGCCTTAGCCTCCTAAAGTGCTGGGATGACAGGCCTGAGCCCTGCGCCCGGCCAGCCTCCTGTGCGAGGTTGTGGGGGGACTCTGTCGTGGAACCCAGTACGTCTTCGTGTGCTGGCTTGTTTGTTGGCTCTGTAGTTAACGGGCTGCCCCACGTGGACAGGCACTGGGTTGTCTGTGTCTCTGTGTGCAGGCAGAGGCTGCTGCATGTGCATCTGTGCACATGGCTGCCAGGAGGGGCTGTGCTCAGGGGGAGCTGGGGCAAAGGCTGGTGGCACTGGGGGGCTTGGGTGTAGTGTGGAGGCGTGAGAGCCAGGTGGCTGGGGTGCAGTCTGCGGGAGCTCGGGGGTCTCTTGGCCTCCGTGTGTCCTAGTGTCTTTGTTGGTGAGATGGGACAGTGACAGCACACCCTCACAGTTGCTGGGGGCTGACAAATGTCAGGTCTGAGGACAGTTGCTGGCCCACTATGGGGCCAGTTCCCCTTCTCTACAGTCACCCTGCTCGTCTTCCACCGACTGGGTGCTCAGGACAGTGGCGTGGTGGATCCGCCTGTACATCCTGTGCTCCAGCGTCCTGCAGGCCACAGCTGTGTCCAGCCCTGACCCCGACTGCCCCTCCCGCCACCTCCATTTTATAGATGAGGAAACCGAGGCCCAAGGGCTTAGGGAACCCTGCTCTGAAGCACACAGTAGGGCTGCTGGGCTCAGACCCTCCCTCCCTGTGCTGAGCTGCCCTCCTCCTGCCGCAAGCCCCCCACGCCCCAAGCCCACCCTGCTCACTGGCCTCTGCCTGAGTTCCCCCCATGGTGTGGGAGTGTGGGGCAACCTAGCTTTTCCCCGGCACCCAGTTCTTTCACTTCCACTGGCGTCCTGCAGGGACAGCTCAGGGACCATGCAGGCCCGGGTGGGCGTGGAGGCTCACCTAGCTCGGTGGTGAACAGCTGGCACGTCTCTGGGTTGCGGACGGTAAAGGCCACGTAGACCTCAGGAGCCCGCTGGTGCTCCCGGCAGGCAGCCAGCCTCCGCAGGACCCCGACCAGCGACATGATGGCTTCTGGGCAATACAGCACATCTATGGTGAAAGCTTCAGGTTACTGAAAGGGACCAGTGGACAGGTCCAGGTCATGCTGACGTCAGCAGCAGGGCGAGGCCAGAGAGGCAGCGGTCATATGAGACTAGTAGATGCCATTTGACCATTTGGGCCATTAGATGGAAAGGCAATTACTTGGGTGAAAAAGGAGAACCCTTAGTAGAGAAAGCTGCAAAAGACCGAAGCAAAAGAAAAAAATCTCCAGACTCACTGGTGTTCCTTAAAAAACCAGCTCTGGTTCTTGGCCTATCTAGAGGGCTTTGAATGACACAAAGCCTGACCCTGCCATGAACTTCATGTTTCAGGCATCTGCTGATTTGTCTGCTGGCTTGCAGGGGTGGGCTTGTGTCCCTGGCCACCGCTGGACCTGTGGGTTTCAGGGCTGGGACCTAGGACCACAGGCAGAGCTCTGTTCCACCAGAGAGGGGACTGAGTGTGCTGGCAGGGGTGAGGGGTTTTCGGTGGCCCAGCCAAACACCACCTTCTCTCAAGGGCCCTGTCTTCGTCCCAGAAGTGGTTGTTTTCCTCCTGTGGTCTCTGAAGGACACAGGGCATGGCTCTGGGACAGAGCCATGTGGTAACGACTGGAACGGGAGTATGCCTGTCTCCAAAAAGAGGGCTGTGGGTTGAAGGTCACCTTAAGAGGCACCCCTGTCCTGTGATGTCACCCTGGAGGCCCAGAGTAACTCTTCTGGAAGCCCCATCATGTCCATGCCCGACAGCGTCCATTGTTCCCTTTTCCCAGAGCCAAGAGCTGGGTAGAGCTGCAAGGACACCACCTGCACAGGGTGCCCGGGGCTGGGCATTACCTGCTGCAATGACAACATCTGGCTGGAAGGCAGAGAGCTGATGGACCGTCGCGACGTCCCAGTCCAGCTGGGCCACTGTCACCCTGGGGCTGTCTAACTTGGCAGTGATGTCTGCCTCTAATGAGAGGCCATTGAGAAGGACATTCCCTCGGAGCTGCTCAAGGACCCGGCTGTGACAGTCGCTGAAGATGTATGCCCGGGGGCGGCACATCTTGCAGATGGCCAGGCCTGTGAGGCCAGCACCACTGCCAAGCTCTAGGACAGTCCTGGCGGGAGGAAAGGGGACCGTGTCTGCGACTGCACCAGGGTAAGCCTGCCTCGGTGCCCTGCCCTGCGCCCCGAGGTCACCTGTTAGTGAAGACTGCCGGGTTCTCGATGGCCCATTCTGCAAGGTAGAGGGCGGCGTCCCATGTGACCAGGCCTGTGGTACCGTAGGAGATGATGGCCGTGCTCTCGGAGAGTGTGACCGAGCCTCCCGAGGGCTGCACCAAGAGAAGGCGAGAGAGTCAGTCCAGCGATCAGAAGGCAAGTGGCTTAGAAGACAAGTAGCCCCACCACATGGCTGAATAAACCATGACAGGACCAATCGCCACTCAGCAATGAGAAGCAGCTAACTGTTGGCATGCCAACAGCTTTCACGGGCCTCAAGGGTGTCACGCGGTGTGAAAGACACTCATCTCAGGCCACACAGGATTCCATTCATCGAACCTTCCTGAGACAACGGAATTCTGGCGATGGAACACATGTCAGTGGTGGCCAGGGGACAGGTGTGGCTATGAAGGGGTGGCTGCCTTGTGATGATTCAATATGCTGTTTTTCCTTTGTGGTTTTCTGTATCTATGTTTTATCTTATTTTTTTTTGAGCTCTGTCACCCAGGCTGGAGTCAGTGGCACGATCTTGGCTCACTGCAACCTCTGCCTCCTGGGTTCAAGCAATTCTCCTGCCTCAGCCGCCCAGGTAGCTGCGAATACAGGCGTGTGCCACCATGTCCGGCTACTTTTTGTACTTTTTTTTGAGACAGAGATTTGCTCTCGTTGCCCAGGCTGGAGTGCAATAGCATGATCTTGGCTCACTACAACCTCCACCTCCTGGGTTGAAGAGATTCTCCTGCCTCAGCCTCCCTAGTAGCTGGGATTACAGGTGCCCACTACCACACCCCGCTAATTTTTGTATTTTTAGTAAAGATGGAGTTTCACCATGTTGGCCAGGCTGGTCTCAAACTCCTGACCTCAGGTGATCCCCCCGCCTCAGCCTCCCAAAATGCTGGGATTACAGGCATGAGCCACCACGCCCGGCCTGATTTTTGTATTTTTAGTAGAGACAGGGTTTCACCATATTGGCCAGGTTGGTCTCGAACTCCTGACCTCAGATGCAACCACTTCGGCCTCCCAAAGCGCTGGGATTACAGGCGTGAGCCACCACGCCCAGCCCTGTCAAGTATTCTTTGAGGACTGGGCACCAGGTCCTTGTGAAGCAGGTAGTGTGTGTCACCTATTGGATAAGTGCCCAACAACTCCACGAGACATGCTGTTGTTGTTGAAGTGCCTGATTTACAGACAGGGAAACTGAGGCTAAAGAAGGTTGACGGACCTCATGTCTAAGACTGTAGAATGGGTGAGTCAGGATTTGAACCCACACCCACGTTTTCACTTTGTCTGTGCAGGAAGGGTATCTGGGCTGTGAGGGGGAGGAGGGTGCCCTTCTCATACCAGCAAATAGCTCCGGTGGCCCTGGGTGGACTCCTTGGCCATCAGGGTCTCCGCCAGCGCTTCATACAGCTCGTCCAAAGGCTCTGTGTGGACAGCCTCGTGCTGGGGGCAGACAGAGTGAGAGCTTGTTTGCTTTCGTTCTAATCTGTAAAAATGGCCAGATGATTTTCACCAAGTTTGGAGGGGAGATTTGCGATGGAATGGTATAATACCGGCCAGCTGCCATATAAAATATTCACTTCGTTGGGCTTGGTGGTGTGTGCCGAATAGTCCCAGCTACTCTAGAGGCTGACATGGGAGGACTGCTTGAGCCCAGGAGTTCGAGGACAGCCTGGGCAACAGAGACCTTGTCTCTAAAAAAAAAAATTCACTTGGTAGGGAAACCTGGATGGGAGGGCCTTGAACCAGAGGTGTTGGGAGGGTAGGGTTAGGTGTAGTCTAGGGCAGGAGACAAGGATTCCGTGAGAGTTGCCAGGTGACCATGATAGAGAGCCGTGTTTGGATCAAACACAGAGAGGAGGAAAACAAAAGGTGCTTTTAAGTGAGCCCAGGCAGAAGTGTGAGGGCGGCCCATGCTGCAGGCTGTGGCTGTCAGCAGGCCGCTTCTCCACAGCTGGCCCCGTCCTATGATTCACAGGGCAGCAGCAGAGTACACTGGGTGACTGCTGCCCTCTCCTGGTGGCACAGGGCAGACCTGCTGGTGACCACAGATGCATGCTTCTGGGGAGGACTAGGGAGAAAGCAGGTATTGGAGAAGCAGGGGATTGTTTATTTGCTAAAAGTGTGGCTCTTTCACTCAGCAGGTCTGCTACTGCCTACTGAGGAGGCCTCTCGACATCCTCATGTCAAACCCTGCATGTTCGGGCGCATCTTTAAAATCCATCCTAGGCCAGGTGCGGTGGCTCATGCCTGTAATCCCAGCACTTTGGGAGGCCGAGGCAGGCGGATCACCTGAGGTCAGGAGTTCGAGACCAGCCTGGCCAACATGGTGAAACTCTGTCTCTATTAAAAATAAAAAATTAGCCAGGCATGGTGGCGTGTGCCTGTAGTCCCAGCTTCTTAGGAGGCTGGCATGACAGTTGCTTGAACCCAGGAGGCAGAGGTTTCAGGGAGCCGAGATTGTGTCACGGTAATCCAGCCTGGGCAACACAGTGAGACTCTGTCTCAAAAAAATAAATAAATAAGTAAAAAATAAAATTCATCCTTTATCAGTCAGGAAAGAGCTCATTCCAGCAGGATTAATGCAGAGAATTCACCAGAGGAACTAGTTCCGAAGGTATGGCAAGAGCTAAATCTTCCAACAGGGGCCTGTGGGGCAACCCAGAGACGGACAAGAGCAGGAAACTCCAAACCCTTCAGCGGGCAGGACAGAGGGTGCGGGTGAGGGTTCCAGTGCTGTGGGCTGGGCCAGCCTGGTAGGAATGAGAATCCATATGCTAGGAGCTGGGGCCCCAGAGGAGCAGCTGCCGTGGAAACCCCAGGAG
The DNA here is from genome assembly GCF_000001405.40 of Homo sapiens. NCBI lineage: Eukaryota > Metazoa > Chordata > Mammalia > Primates > Hominidae > Homo > Homo sapiens. The sequence continues at coordinate 5,093,278 of NC_000016.10, forward strand.
GCAGAGTGAGGGAGAGATGCTGGCCTCCCCTTCTTCCCGCCCTGCACTGTCTCCCATGGGTCACATGTGGCTGCAGCCAGTTGCCTGGGGAGGCCCCTGCCATGCTGGGGTTTGCAAAGCAGGCCCAGGGCCTGGGAAGGACGGGGGCTCCAGCACGCAGGTGGCTATGCTGTCCGGCTACTGGGCGGACACTGCCCATAACTGACCTTTTTGATGAGTTCTGAGAGAAAGCACCGGGCATATTTGACGGACGGCGGGTGCTTCACACACACAGGATGCTTCACAGTCTACGGCAAAGGACAGAACGTTGGTTGCTCGAGAGCCCGTCTTAAGTCTCCTATGAGCTTCAAGCCAACACAGCAGAGGGCAAACTCCAGGCTACCCGATCCCTCAGCAAAGATGTAGATGGACACAGCGTTTTGGCCCCATGCATCTGAAGTTTGTCTTAAGATATAAGCTGTTTCCTAAAAATGCTTCCACTGCAGTGGCACAGGCTATGGCAGCATTTCTAACGCCCATTCTGAGCAGGAACACAGGGCATGTGGGCCCAAACCGCCTCCCTCCCAGGGGAGCCAGTGTGAACCAGGGTTTGCAGTAAGGACAGTCGCCAACGGTCTGGCTCTATGGAAGAGGCGGGAAGGCCCACTCGGCAACTGCTCTCTTGGAGTGTGTGTCCCTGGGGACAGGATGGAGGGGACGGGACGCTCCGGGTGACACTCCAGCTAAAGCCCAGAGAAGCCAAATGCAGGATGAGCAAGTTCTAGGCAGTGGGAACAGCTGGTGCAAGCTCTGAGGTGGCCACAGCCTGGCACTTGGAAAGGAGGGCAGAGGGACTGGTGCAGCAGGAGTGGGGACGGCGGGAAAACAGGAGCCTGGAGGGAGAGGGAGGAGACGGTCCACAGTGCCTGCTGGCTGGGAGGGATGCAGATTCTGCCCAAGGGCAGCAAAGTACCCCACGCAATACACAGGCTCTTCAGGCTGGTGCTGGTTTTTCATTTATTCTGACACAGAGTCTCGCCCTGTTGCCCAGGCTGGAGTGCAGTGGCCCGATCTTGGCTCACTGCAGCCTCTGCCTCCTGGGTTCAAGCGATTCTCCTGCCTCAGCCTCCTGAGTAGCTGGGACTATAGGCATGTACCACCACGCCCAGCTAATTTTTGTATTTTTAGTAGAGATGGGTTTTTGCCATGTTGGCTAGGCTGGTCTGGAACTCCTGACCTTAGGTGATCTGTCCACCTCAGCCTCCCAAAGTCCTGGGATTACAGGTGTGAGCCAGTGCACCCAGCCTTGTGCTGGGTTTTAAAGCAGCTCTCCCTACATTTCATGCTTCACCACCTACGAGAGTGAGGCTCAGGGTGAAACTCAGAGCAGGGTGCGAGATAACTTCAGGTATCTCCATGCTCGAAGCCCTGGTATTGCCCCGAAAGTTTTCCCTGCTGTGGCTGTATCTTTTCCACATGGATAATCTTGGTTCACCTCTAGCACAGGAATTCTTCACCGGGGCTCCTAGGATGGGCTGGGTGGGTGGGGGTGGAGGATATCTGCCTCCTGAGTTTGTATGGAAAATGTATTCTTCTGGTGCACTTCTTTCTGCGAGGGAGTCTATTGCTTGGTCTTTTCAGAAGGGCTCATGGCCCTTCGAACGTGAAGACCCAGGATGCAGGGTGATCTGCACTTGGCCCTCAAGGCCAAGGTCAGGCTGTGGCTGGGCCGGGTGGTGATCCTGCCTCTCACCTGCAGGCAGATGCACTTGAGTCCAAACCCCACCCTGGGCAAAGCAAGGGCCCATTTAGGTCTAGAGGAGACAGGAGTGGGCAGGACAGGCCTCATGAAAGCAAAAAAGAAAGTCTCTGAACATCAACCAAATGCTAGAAGCTGTTTTGCACCTGTCATCTCTGTTTTTGCTGTGGATGGTTTAAAAAACATTCCCTAGATTCCCCCCTCTCATTGCAGGTTTTTGTATATTCTGAAGTCTTTGTCTAAGTCTTAAATAGAAAACGAAAGCGCTGGAGCTGTCAGAGGTGCTGACACCCACCTGCAGTGCTGACTCAATGGTTTTGTTTTTTGAACAGGGGTGTTTTTAAAGGGTACAAGCACACCTGCAGTTCTTCTCTCAGGTCTTCTGGAGAGATTCAGGAGGCAGGGTCATGAGTCCCAGGGACTCTGGGATTCTTACCTTGTGCAAAATATCCCGCAGCAGCTCAGAATCTGATGAGTCTCTTAACTTTGCTTCTAAGCTCTGTGTGGAGGGGAAAGAGAGAAATCTCAAGGGCGCATTCACAGGAACATTAAACACGCAATAGAATGTGTTGGCAAAGCGCTGTGTGATCCCTCCCTGGGGACGTGGAGCCAGTTGGAAGTGGAAGCCACAGCGGCTGAAAGCCTGACATTCAGATGTCGCAGGGTGCACCTGGATGAGTCACAGGAAGAAGGCTGACTTTTGGCCACATTAGTCCTGGCTACTTAGCGGCCACCCGGGTCATGGGCCAGCTCCCTGGTTGCACTGCTCAGCCAGGAATTACCAGGGCAGCCATGGCACCAAGGTTTGATGGGCTTGCCATCTAAGTGGAGATGCAGAATGTGCCCATACCAGCCTGAGTTACATTATCCTCTTACAGGGGCCTCAAGCCCAGCAGCGAGCCTTGGCTCCCGAGTTAGGCAGACTGTCTCGGCTGGTATGTGACACAGGGCAAGGCACTTCATTGCTTCAGAGCTCCCTCCATGCCATAAAAGGCCCTACAAGACCTGGTCCTAATCCCTCTCTCTGGCCTGTTCTCCCTCACCCCTGGCCCACCCTGCTCACTCCACTCCAGCCACACTGGCTGCCTTGGTGTTGTTCCTCAACCACAGCTGGCTTGTTTCCACCACAGGGCCTTTGCATATCCTGTTCCCCAAGCCCTTCCCATGGCTGGCTGCTTCACCACTCAGGCCCCAGTTCAAATGCCACCTCTTTGGGGAAGGCTTCCCTGATTCCCTGACTTTGGTGACTCTTCTTCCCAGTTCCCGCATTCACTATTTCCCTGTTTTATTGGCTTTAAAGCCACTGTCATCTGGTCTTTTCTTGTTTATTTATTTGTTTATTCTCTGGCTCTCCCATGCAAGCAGAGCCTCATCTGTCATGGGTACTGCTGATCCATGGTGCCTGGCTCACAGAAGGCATTTATTAAACATTTTGAGACTGAATAAAAACACTAGCTAACACCAACATGTATTTACCATGAGCCAGGCACTGATCCACAGGCTTTTGTACTCAACCCTGACAACAACCCTAAGAGGTAGGTATCATTATATCCCCCATTTTATTAATAAGAAAACAGCACAGAGAGATGCAGTCACTTGCCCAAGGTCACACAGGGCCAGGGGCTGGGCCAGGATTCGAAGCAGACAGGCTGTCTCCTGGGTCTGAACTCTCAACTACTGCACCCTAATCAAACAATCCCTCTGGTCAAATGTGAGTGGTAATAATAGTACCCACCTCGTGGGTGTTGAGGGTGAGCCCAAGTTAGCATTCAGCGTGGGCATGTGAACAATTACAGTCAATACTGAATGGAGACCTATGATGCTTTTATGAAGGTTTCTATTTTGGGTTAAAAATGCACGAATTTCTCTTGACCAGAAATGATCTCTGAGTGCAAATATTTTATGTCAATGGAATAACGCAAATGATTAAGCAACACCCCATAAAATGGGGCAGACCCAGGGAGGAATATATATCCAAACTCACTCATCCCAGTGAGCTCACCGCACATGAATTACAAATGAGGCCGGGTGCATTAAGCCCCTCTGCTGGCAGAAGGGAGGCTGCTGCCTGCCATGGGCCTGTGCTGAGAATGGCAGGTCCCCAGGGCGAGGAGAGGCCACCCCCTTCTCTGTCTCTTCCATCACAGGCGTGACAGCCTCAGAGCATGAGCCGATTCTGTGCAGTGCTCAACATACAGATGAGAATACTGAGGCACGAGGGACAGCCTGTGACCCGGTCACCGCGCTCAGGAGGACGTGGTTACCTGCGGTCCTGACGGCGCTGACTTTTTAGAATGGGCGAGGGCAGCTGTGTCCCAGTGACCAGAACGATTACTGCCTTTAAAAAGTCGTGAAAATGATCGTGAACTGTACCCCACACCGAGCGCGCGTCTGCCCCCCAAGGCTGTGGAGACGCCCCCAGCTTCCCCCGCCAGCTCGCGGGGCAGGAGGGGTGCGAGCGACTCTGGCCAGGCCCCAGGGACGGGGACCGGGTCGCGCGGCCCTGACCGGCGGGAGCCCAGGAACTCACGTGGCGGGAGCGCCAGGGGCTTCAGCACGGAGACCCGTCCCGTCTGCCCCTGGACTCCCGCGAGCCCCGCGGGCCTCTCCGCTCGCCCCGCCGCCCACCTGCCAGGGGAAGGAGCGCAGTGTGCGTGCCGCCAGGAAGCGGCGCTCGAAACTCTGCAGCAAGAGTTCGGTCCCCGCGTTCTCCTCGGGCGCCATGACGTGGGCGGGGCCGCAGCGTTGCCGGCAGACCGGGCGGAAGCCCGGCCTGGACTGAAGAGGGGGCGGGCCCAGGGCAGTGAGCGGGGGCAGAGAGGGGGCGGGGCCCGGGGGTCCCCCGGGGGTCAGGAGGAACGTCGTGGGGGCGGACTCTAGGGCGGGGCCAGGATGATTGTTATGAGGGCGGGGCCTGGGGTGGGGCCAGGATAAGCGTCGTTGGGGCAGGTCCTGGGTAGGGGGCAGGTCCTGGGTAGAGTCCAGGTTGGCGGGTCCTGGGGCGGGGCCAGGATAGGGCGATCCTGGAAGCTGGGCTTCAGAAGCGTCCAGGTTGGTGGCGTCCTGGAGGCGGGGCCTTGCGTGGGGGCAGGATAAGAGTCCTGGAGGCGGGCATTAGGGCAGGGATAAACGCCATTGGGTTCAGGAGGCGAGACTCGGAGCAGAGCCCAGGAGACAGGTCTTAGGGCGGCGCTAAGGCCAGACCCAGAGAAGAGCTCAGGAGGCGGGGCCGGGGCGGGGCGTTGACTATGTCGTAGCACATGGCCAGGCGGTGCTCGGACTCTGGGAGGCGGAGCTTAGGACGGGCCGACGTGGGGAGGGGCCCAGGGTCCGGGAGGCGGGGCCGAGTCCGGGCTGCGGGCTGCGCTCAGGAGGCGGGCCCTGGGAGGCGGAGCTTAGGGAGGGGCCGGTGTCGGGAGGGACCCAGGGACTGGGAGGCCGGTCGGGGCTGGGCTCAGGGGCCGAGACCTAGCTGGGCTTGGGGCGGGGCCGAGACGGAGCGAGGGGTCCAGGGCGTGGGAAACGGGGAGGGGTTTGAGGAGGGGATCGGAATGTGGCTCAAGTTCGGGAGGCGTTACCTGTGGAGGGTTTGAGGCAGGCCCAGCAGCGAGGCCACGGTCTGCCGACGCGGGGCCAGGGGCGGGCCCCAGGATCCGGAGCTTAGGGCGGGGCCGAGTCCGGGTTTGGGGACCGGGAGGCGGGGCCGGTTAGGGCGAGGGTCCCTGGGATCGTCGGGTCAGGCCTTGGGCCAACGTAGGCACTCTCGCAGTTCCTCCGCCTTCAGGAAGGTCTTTTTGGCAGGGGCCCTACGGGTGCGCGCTTCGGTCCTGGAGGCCTTATCCAAGCCTCCTCTCCATCAGCGCCACCCGTCTGGGGTCCGAAAGGAGGGAGCTTTCCCTCTGTCCCCCAGCCTTTGGACTGTCACCAAACAAGCCATTCGTTCACCAAATACTTATTAAGCGCCTACCAGGTACCTGACAAGGGAGATGTAACGGTGAGAAAAACTAGGTGTGGTCCAGGCCCTCCAGGGGCTCAGGGGCTCGTGGAAGAAGTGGACATTGAAGTATTTATCACACAAATGAGTATAAAAGTACAATAGCGATATCTGCCACGAAGGCGAGCAGACAGAGCTAGCGGGGCTTGCAGGAGGAGTTTTGATCTTGCAGGGACAGGAAGGAGGAGTTAGCTCCTGCGGGGTGGGATTGGGGGTGGTGGTGATATAGACGTGGGGACAGAGTGGAAAACAACAAAAATATAATTAATTTAGTTCAAAGTTATTGTGTCTTGAGTTGAAAGGCAGGGCAGTTAGCAACACAGTTCAGATTTCAGTACTGCCCCTGAAATCTGAACTGTGTTCAAAGTCTAAAACGTTTACCTTAGCAAATCCCTCATAAAACTCCATTTGGAAGAGTCCCGAGAGCTAATTTGTAAAGTATACTTGCAGAAGGTAGATGAGGAGACAGATTAAATCTTATTACCTCTTTCAGATGAGAGGCTCTTGAGCCCTGCTCAGCTATGAGAATAAGAGGGGAATTAATTCTAATAGAATACACTTGTTCTCGCATAGCTGTTGTTCCCCACCAGAACCAAATGAGCTCAAGATCTGACAAAGAAAAAAAAAAAGGTTCATCTTTTATTCCCCCAAACACTTTCATTTAAATCAAGAGGGTGGGATGTGGTTATTGCTGTGTTTTTAGACAGAATCAACAGTTTCTGGGTCTGAGATATTGCATACACCCTCTCAGTCCCTGTATCCTGAGATAGAGTCACCTGATAATCCACAGCAAGTCCTAACCAGGGATGGGTCTGGGTGCTTAAGGAAGGTTGGCTTCAGAACTGGGCCAGGGGCACTGCTTTGCTTTTGCTGTTTTGATCAGCTCTCTGCCTGCAGGAGACAAGGAAAACCAATGGTAACAAGTTAGTTACACTCATAAATCCTGGGCTTATTTTATTAACTCACATAATAGCTATTAATTGCCTTTCCTCCAAGGAGCAAAAGGGCATATACGGTCAATGCTGTAATAAGTAACACTGTATTATGTTATACTAAAATATTAATAAATCTAGGTTGGTTCAGTCTTTCCTGATTCCATAGATTGCAAGCAGATTGAGGAAGGACCCTAGCAGACCACAGAGCTGAGCCATGAGCACAGAAGAAATCTTTTTTTCTTTTTTTTTTTTTTGAGACGGAGTTTCGTTCTCTTGTTGCCCAGGCTGGAGTGCAATGGCGCAATCTCGGCTCACTGCAACCTCTACCTCCCGGGTTCAACCGATTCTCCTGCTTCAGCCTCCCGAGTAGCTGGGATTACAGGCGTGAGCCACCATGCCGGGCCATTTTTGTATTTTTAGTGGAGACAGGGTTTTAACACGTTGGCCAGGCTGGTCTCAAATTCCTGACCGCAGGTGATCCGCCCGCCTCTGTCTCCCAAAGTGCTGGGATTACAGGCGTGAACCACCGCGCCTGGCCAGAAGAAATCTTTATCTTGGTGTGCGGGTTCAGATGAGGGACAAATGTCATCTCTCTTGGATCTGAATCTGGAAGGATCAAGGCACTGAAGGGATTTTTTTTGTTTCAGAGAGTCTAGAGTCTCCCTCTGTCGCCAGGCTGGAGTGCAGCGGCACGATCTCGGCTTCTGCAAATTCTGCCTCCCGGGCTCAAGCGATTCTCCTGCCTTAGCCTCCGGAGTAGCTGGGACTACAGGCACGCGTCCCCATGCCCGGCTAATTTTTGTATTTTTAGTAGAGACGGGGTTTCACCATGTTGGTCAGGATGGTCTCAATCTCTTGACCTCATGATCCATCTGCCTTGGCCTCCCAAAGGGCTGGGATTACAGGCGTGAGCCACCATGCCCGGCCTCACTGAAGGGATTTTTTTAATGTCACGTGGCTGTCACAGGTGCGGTGTGTTCGGGTGCAAGTGAAGATTAGGACTGATGCTTAAAAACAAACGTGAAATTCCAGGCGGTGTTGCTACGGGGAGCAGCATCAGGACAAGCTGGTTTCAGTTGCAAGAGTTTGCGTGTACGTGCAAGAACTACAGTCGAGATTCAACTTCCGGCTTTGAGGGTCTCTTTAATAACAGTAATAACAACCTAAGGCAGTTTAACAGTATGGAATGGTTGCCTTTTAGAAGTTAAGCTATGGGCATGGAAGTTCAATCAGTCCATTGAAGTTTTTCCTTTATCTCTCCTATGGTTAATGGTTTCTGCAGAAAAGGACCAATTGATTTCTTTCTAAAACGTTGCTTCAGGGTGTAGAGACCTTTATAGGTCATGTTTCAACTTACAGAAAATTTTATAGTTCAAATATAAATTACGTTCAATGTGGACTTTGCAATAGAATTGAAGGTTAAGTAAAGTTTCCACTTTCCTTAGGCTGTTTGCAGTGCCCAGCAGGCCCCATGATATCGAGGTGGAAGTTATGTTAAAGGAGGAGGTTGGTCAGGGATGGGTAGAATAAGGAATATGCGCAGCTCAGGCTAATGATGCAATGACTGAGGTGTAGAAAGAGGGCCAGGCACGGGATAACGCCTGTAATCTCAGTGCTTTGGGAGGCCAAGGCAAGAGGATCACTTGAGGTCAGGAGACCAGCCTGGTCAACAGAGTGAGCAGAGTGAGACCTAACCTGTACAAAAAAACCACAAAAAACCAAAAAAATTAGTTGGGCATGATGGTGTGCGCCTGTAGTCTCAGCCACTTGGAAGGCTGAGGTCAAGGGATCCCTTGAGCCCAGGAGTTTGAGGCTGTAGTGAGCTATAATCACATAACTGTACTCCAGCCTGGGTGACAGGGTGAGGCCCTGACTCAAAAAAAATTGAGTCAGGGAAAAAATTGGAAATCTTAATCCTCCGTACCCAGGAATGTGACCTTATTTGGAAATAGGGTCTTTCTAGATGTAATCAAGTAATGATGAATCGTACTGGATTGGGGGCTGCTGGTGAGGAGGCAGATGCAATGACCGGCGTCCTGATAAAAGAAGAGAATGAGGGCCGGGCATGGTGGCTCATGCCTGTAATCTCAGCACACTTTGGGAGGGTGAGGTGGGTGGATCACTTGAGGTCAGGAGTTCGAGACCAGCCTGGCCAACATGGTGAAACTCCATCTCTACTAAAAACACAAAATTAGCACTGCGTGGTGGCGGGCGCCCGTAATCCCAGCTACTCAGGAGGCTGAGGCGGGAGAATCACCGGAACCTAGGAGGCGGAGGTTACAGTGAGCCAAGATTGTGCCAGTGCACTTCAGCCTGGGTGACAGAGGGAAACTCCATCTCAAAAAAATAAAAGAGGAGAATGTCAGGTGAAGACAGAGACACAGGGAGAAGGCAGCCATGTGATGAGGGAGGAGAGATGGGAGCGATGCATCTACAAGGAACACCAAGCATTACCAGCGGCCACCAGAAGCCAGAAGAGGCAAGGAAGTATTCTCTCTTACATATTTCAGAGGAAGCGAAGCCCGGCCGACACCTTGATTTTGGGCTTCTGGCATCCAGGCCTGCGAGACAATACATTTCTGTTGTTTTCAGTCACATGCGGGGCCCTTGTTGTGTTGTGGTTTTTTTTTTTTTTGGAGATGGAGTTTCACTCTTGTGCCCCAAGCCGGAGTACAATGGCGCGACCTTGGCTCTCTGCAACCTCCTCCTCCCAGGTTCAAGCTATTCTCCTGCCTCAGCCTCCTGAGTAGCTGGGATTACAGGCATGCGCCACCTTGTCTAGCTAATTTTTCTATTTTAGTAGAGATGGGGTTTCACCATGTTGGCCGGCTGGTCTCAAAATCCTGACCTCAAGTGATCCGCCTGCCTCAGCCTCCCAAAGTGCTGGGGTTACAGGCATGAGCCACCGTGCACGGCCTTGTGGTTATTTTTTTTAGACAAGAATCCGCTGTGTCATCCAGGCTGGAGTACAGTGGTACAATCTCACCTCCTGCAGCCTCGACCTCCCTGGGCTCAGGTAATTCTCCCATCTCAGCCTCCAAGTAGCTGGGACTACACGCTTGGCTAATTTTTGTATTTTCTGTAGAGATGGGGTCTTGCTGTGTTGCCCAGGCTGGTCTCAAACTTCTTGGGCTCAAGCCATCTGCCTGCCTTGGCCTCCCAAAGTGCTAGGATTACAGGCATGAGCCACTATCCCTGGCCACCCTTGTTAAAAAATAAAGAATTTGAAGATGGTGATGGCAGATTATTAAACCACAGTGGGGACTCTTCTGTGTCCCTGTGGGACTGTCCAGGTTGCAAGCCTATGAAGCCGGCCCTGGCTGCTGGGTTCTTGGAGTGCTGGACCTCCCGTGGCATGTGGCAAGGAGTTGTCATGGGTTATCACGACATATGATGATCAACTATGGGAGACCCAAAGACCACTCAGTCCTTTTTCCGATGAATGGCTGTGTATGTCACACTAGCAACAAACAGAACCGCAAGAGCTCCTGTGACAATGCTGAGCCCGATCACTGCGCCTTGCAGAGCAGATGCCGTCTGTACCTCCCTCCTGTTAAGAAACCAGAGGGTTTTTAATTGCCTGATTATTAAGAGGCTCTTCTGGCTGCTCCTGGTTTCCTGGGAAGTTTCCCATCTAGCCGCTAGTGAGTATTCATTATGGAAATGAAATGTACATTTAACCCAAGAAAATGCTCACTCTAGAGAAATCTCATAGGGCAAGTCGTTGAAAGCCGATTTACTAAATGACCTCTTCACCAAATGACCCATTTGCCTAATGACCACTTTGCCAAATGATCAATTTGCTGAAAGCCAATTCGCTGAAAATCTGTTTGTGGGATATCCTGCTTATTAGTAACTGACAGTCAGACGCAGCTTATCCCAGGCTGCCGTTCCCCATTTTACAGCTGGGGAAAATGAGTTACAGAGCTTGTTTGCATTGAGTCAACAGGAGCAAATGCTAGATCAGGTAATTGAACCCAAGCAATCTGGTTCCAGAGCCAAATAGATGTATTTTTTATGGTACAAAAACATATACATACATTTTTAGGGGAAGGGTGGGTGTAGGGTGGGATGAGGATTCTGGGTAATTGCTTGGTAAATGCCAAATACCTTTCTTGTCTGTCCCTCTTTTCAAATGATGAAGTAATGTCAATTGCAACACTTTTTTTTTTTTTTGAGACAAGGTCTAGCTGGAGTACAGTGATGCAGTCATAGCCCACTGCAGCCTCAAATTCCTGGGCTCAAGCGATCCACCCACATCAGCTTCCCAAGTAGTTGGGACTGCAGGCCCACACTACTATGCCCAGCTAATTATTTTAATTTTTGTAGAGATGGCAGGTGGCGGTGGGGGGTGGGGGCGGTTTTGCTATGTTGCCCAGGCTGGTCTCAAACTCTTGACCTCAGGTGAACCTCCTGCCTCAGCCCCACAAAGCTCTGGAATTATAGGTGTGAGCCACTGTGGCTGGCTACAATACTATTTATTTATATTTTAGACCAACAGATATTCTAGCATATAAGAAATGTGATGCTCTCTGTACATTGAAGAGTTGGTCTAATATTTGTCCTGGTGGATAAAGAAATTGCCTGTCTGCTCCGCTCTGGTTAAGAAACCAGTCCGACTGTCTCTGCGGCTATGGAGCAGTCCATCAAGAATGAAAGCCCACGGCCAGGCACGTTGGCTCACACCTGTAATACCAGCGCTTTGGGAGGCCGAGGCAGGTGGATCACTTGAAGTCAGGAGTTCGACACCAGCATGGCCAACATGGTGAAACCCTGTCTCTACAAAAAATAGAAAAATTAGCTGGGCCTGGTGATGCGTGCCTGTAATCCCAGCTACTCAGGAGGCTGAGGCAGGAGAATCACTTGAACCTGGCAGGCAGAGGTTGCAGTGGGGAGCTGAGATCACACCACTGCATCCCAGCCTGGGTGACAGAGCGAGACTCTCTCAAAAAAAAAAAAAAAAAAAAAAGAATGTCTTCATGATGGCCTCAAGCTCATTGGTCCCTGAAGAGAGTCAAGGAAGGCCCACTTTACTCTGCACTACAAAGCAGGCAGGTGGACAGGAATCTGAGAAGTGGATTCAGTGAGAGGCATTGACCAAAAGGATTTTCTGCCTAATGGTCGGTTCAGCAGAAGATTAAACTGAGCACAGCATCCTGTTCCCTCAAACTATCTGGTTGGTCAGTGGGGAATGTTCTTGTCTCGTTAAATGTCCTCATGCTACTGTCAGGATATCCTGTTACAAAACATCATAAACCAGGTTTACAAACAGGCCAGGTGACTGTGGAATTTCTCCTTGGCAAGGCCTTAGCTATGGGCGTGGGATTGGCGTGCAGTAATCACAGGGTTCCGGGCCACTTGAGGGATAAAATATGCCTTAGGTGATAAACTGTTGTATTTTAATGTGAATATTTCCACCAACATTAAACAGTAACCCCATGAGTTTTCTCATACCTGTTACACTCTGGAGTTGCAACAAGCTAACATGAAGCAAGTTGCAAACACAATTATCGCATTTGGCTCCTGTTCACAGCAAGGGTTTTTCAAGCTCTACCTGGGACAGTCTTCCCTCACATGAGGTTTATAGCATCATTTATTTCATTATTTATTTATTTTTTGAGATGGAGTTTCGCTGTGTCGCCCAGGCTGGAGTGCAATGGTGCGATCTTGGGTCACTGCAACCTCCGCTCCCCCGGGGTTCAAGCGATTCTCGTGCCTCAGCTTCCCGAGTAGCTGGGATTATAGGCACCCGCTACCACGTCTGGCTAATTTTTGTATTTTTAGTAGAGACGGGATTTCACCATGTTGACCGGGCTGGTCTCAAACTCCTGACCTCAGATGATCCACCCGCCTCAGCTTTCTCAAAGTGTTGGGATTACTGGCGTGAGCCACGGTGCCCAGCTATAGCATCATTTAAGCTTTGTTTCTGCCATCAATTGTTAGTTGGTAGTTAACAAAATATAGACCACCTCATTTATGTCTCACAGTTAGCATTGGTTTTTGTGTTTTCTTTAGGCTTGTTTTTTAATTGTTTTTAAAATTGTGAAGCAGGGTCCTGTTCTGTTGCTGAGGCCAGAGTGCAGTGCTGCAATCTTCGCTCACTCCAGCCTCAACCTCCTGGGCTCAAGCAATCCTCCTACTTTAGCCTCCTGAGTAGCTGGGACTACAAACACGAGCCACCACCGCTGGCTAATTTTTAATTTTTTTTTTTTTTTGAAATGGAGTTTCGCTCTGTCGCCCAACAGGTTGGAGTGCAGTGGCATAATCTCGGCTCACTGCAACCTCCACCTCTCGGGTTCGAGCGATTCTCCTGCCTCAGCCTCGGCACCCACCACCATGCCTGGCTAATTTTTAAAAAATATTTTTAGTAGCGACAGGGTTTCACCATGTTGGCCAGGCTGGTCTTGAACTCCTGACCTCAAGTGATCCACCTACCTCGGCCTCCCAAAGTGCTGGGATTACAGGCGTGAGCCACCACGCCAAGCCTAATTTTTAAATTTTTTGTAGAGACCAGGTTTTGCCATATTGTCTAGGCTGGTCTTGAACTCCTGGGCTCGAGTGATCCTCCTGCCTTGGCCTCTGAAAGTGCTGGGATTACAGGCATGGCCTTTATGCCTGGCCCTTAAAGCTGCTTTTTAATAACAGCCTTACTGAAATATAATTCACATATCATACAATTTACCCATTTAAAGTGTACAATTTGGCCGGGCATGGTGGTTCACATTTGTAATCCCGGCACTTTGGGAGGCTGAGGTGGGAGGATCGCTTGAACCCAAGAGTTTGAGATGAGCCCGAGCAACATGGCAAAACCCTGTCTCAGCGAAAAATACAAAAAAATTAGCTGGGCATGGTGGGTGTGCCTGTAGTCCCAGCTACTCAGGAGGCTGAAGTGGGAGGATGGTTTGAGCCCGGGAGGTGGAGGGTGCAGTGAGTTGAGATTGCACCACTGCACTCCAGCCTGGCAACAGAGCCAGACCCTGTCTCTAAATAAATAAATAAAGTGTATAATTCAGTGGTTTTTAATATATTCACAGAGTTGTGCAGCCATCACCACCATCAGTTTTAGAAATTTTAATTACCCCAGAAGAGACCCTGTATCCATTAGCAGTCACCCCTTATTTCCCCTGACTATCCCCACCCCTGGCTCCTGGCAACCATCAATCTTTGTTTCTTTGGATTTTCATATTCTGGGCATATATTATATATGTGTATATATATATGTGTATATATGTGTATATATATGTGTGTATATATATGTGTGTGTGTGTGTGTATATATATATATATATAAATAGAGTCATCTAATATTTGTCTGGCTTCTTTCACTTAGCCTAATGGTTTCAAAGTGTATCCAGGTTGTAGCATGAATCAGCCCTTCATTCCATATTTTGGCTGATTAATGTTCCATCACACGGGTAGACTGTACTTGTTTGCCCATTCACCTGTTGTTGATAGACATTTGTGTTGTTGCCACCTTTTGACAATTATGAATAATTTTGCTACAAGCATCTGTGTGTGTCTTTGTAGGAACAGGCTTGCATATTTTTTGATATGGGCAAATGAGAACCAGTGGCAGGAGGCCTTTGTGGTGAATTTTTCTGTGATCTTTGTGTACTCTGTATAATGATCACCCACGCAGGCTTGGGGGCAGCACTTAACCTCACATTTCTTTCTTTTTTTTAATGATAGGGTATCTCTCTCTGCCACCCAGGCCAGAGTTCAGCTGATGCAGGGCAGGGGAGCCCCCAAGTGGAGCCTAGTGTGTCCGGAACTGGTGGGTTCTTGGTCTCACTGACTTCAAGAATGAAGCCGTGGACCCTCGCGGTGAGTGTCACAGCTCTTCAAGGCGGCGTGTCCGGAGTTCTTTCCTTCTGATGCTCGGATGTGTTCAGAGTTTCTTCCTTCTGGTGGGTTCCTGGTCTCGCTGGCTTCAGGAGTGAAGCTGCAGACCTTCAAGTTGAGTGTTACAGCTCTTAAGGCTGCATGTCTGGAGTTGTTTGTTCCTTCTGGTGGGTTCGTAGTCTCACTGGCTTCAGGAGTGAAGCTGCAGACCTTCGCAGTGAGTGTTACAGTTCATAAGGGCAGTGTGGACCCAGAGTCAGCAGCAGCAAGATTTATTGCGAAGAGCAAAAGAACAAAGCTTCCAGTGTGGAAAGGGACCCCAGTGGGTTGCCACTGCTGGCTGGGGCAGCTTGCTTTTATTCTTTTATCTGGCCCCACCCACATCCTGCTGATTGGTCCATTTTACAGAGAGCCGATTGGTCTGTTTTACAGAGAGCTGATTAGTCCGTTTTGACAGGGTGCTGATTGGTGCGCTTACAATCCCTGAGCTAGACACAAAAGTTCTCCAAGTCCCTGCTAGATTAGCTAGATACAGAGTGTCCATTGGTGCATTCACAAACCCTGAGCTAGACACAGGGTGCTGATTGGTGTGTTTACAAACCTTGAGCTAGATACAGAGTGCCGATTGGTGTATTTACAATCCCTTAGCCAGACATAAAGGTTCTCCAAGTCCCCACCAGACTCAGGAGCCCAGCTGGCTTCACCAAGTGGATCCCGCCCTGGGGCCACAGGTGGAGCTACCTGCCAGTCCTGCGCCCAGCGCTGGCACTCCTCAGCCCTTGGGTGGTCTATGGGACTGGGTGCTGTGGAGTAGGGGGCGGTGCTCACTGGGGAGGCTCAGGCCGCGCAGGAGCCCACGGTGGGTGAGGGGGAGGCTCAGGCATGGTGGTCTGCAAGTCCCCAGCCCTGCCCTGCGGAGAGGCAGCTAAGGCCTGGCGAGAAATCGAGCACAGCAACTGCTGGCCCTGGTGCTAAGCCCCTCACTGCCCAGGGCCGGCGGGGTCGGCTGGCCGCTCCGAATGTGGGGCCCACGGAGCCCACGCCCAGCCGGCACTCGCGCTGGCCCGCAAGCGCCCTGCCCAGCCCCGGTTCCCGCCAGCGCCTCTCCCTCTACACCTCCCCACAAGCTGAGGGAGCCGGCTCCAGCCTTAGCCAGCCCAGGAAGGGACTTCCACAGTACAGCAGCGGGCTGAAGGGCTCCTCAAGTGCTGCCACATTGGGAGCCCAGGCAGAGGAGGTGCCAATAGTGAGCTCCAGGGCTGCCAGCACGCTGTCACCTCTCAATAGCACATGAGGGTTCTTGCCTTTGCCCAGGAAAGAATTCAAGGGCAAGCTGGAGGTATAGAAGAAAACAGCTTTATTGAAGGGGCAGCGTTACAGCCCTGTGACTGCTCCTGTAGGGCAGGGCTACCCTGGAGTCAGAGAGTAGCGGAAGAGAGTTTGCAATCACGTTTATACCCACTTTTAACTGCATGCAGATTAAAGGGCAGTTTATGCAGGAATTTCTAGAAAATTGGTAGTAACTTTTGAGTCATTGGGTCATTGCCATGGAAAGGGGCAGTAACTCCCGGGTGTCGCCATGGCAATAGTAAACTCACATGGCACACTGGTGGGCATGTCTGATGGAAAGCTGCTTCTGCCCCAGCCCTGTTTTACCTAGTCCTCAGTTTGGTCTGGTGTCCAAGCCCTGCCTGTGAAGTCAAGTCCTGCCTCCTATCTCACAGTGGCGTGATCATGGCTCACTGCAGCCTCAACACCCCGGGCTCAAGCAATTCTCTCACTTCAGCCTCCTGAGTTGCTGGGACCACAGGCACGTGCCACTACGCCCAGCTACATTTTTTTTGCATTTTTTGTAGAGATGGTGTTTCACTGTGTTGCCTAGGCTGGTCTCAAACTCCTGGGCTCAAGCAATCTACCTACCTTAGCCTTCTAAAGTGCTGGGATTACAGGTGGGAGCCGCTGCACCCAGCCCAACCTTACATTTTTAATCTCAAGTCACTTCTCTCTAGGTTTCAATTTCTTCTTTAGAATGGTGGAACTAAGAGCATCTATTTTATAGGGTTGTTGGGCAGGCAAAATGAAAGAACTGCTATTCAATGTTTAGTGAAGCGCTATGCACAATTTTGAATAATGAAGTTGGTGTTTATTTTTTATTGTTTATTTATTTTTTAGAGACGGGGCCTTGCTCTGTTGCTCAAGCTGGAGTGCAGTGGTGCAATCACAGCTTACTGCAGCCTTGACCTCCTGGGCTCAAGAAATCCTGCCACCTCAGCCTCCTGAGTAGCTGGGACTACAGGCATGCATCGCCATGTCTGGCTATTTATTTATTTGTTTGTTTTTTGTAGAGATGGGGGTCTCCCTGTGTTGCCCGGGCTGGTCTTGAACTCCTGGCCTTAAGCAATCCTCCTGTCTTGGCCTCCCAAAGCACTGAGATTACAGGTGTGAACCACCATGGCCAGCCTTATTTTTATTTTTAAATCAGCCTTGTCAAGTTGAATTGGTTATTAATCTTGTATAATGGTAATTTGGGGCAGCATTGGTTGGGCGGGGGGTGGGGAACATTTAGGACCCTGTGGGCTACAACTCGTAGTGTGTGCACTTATTTTATTTTATTTTGTTTTGTTTTGTTTTATTATATTATATTTTTTGAGACAGGGTCTCACTCTGTTGCCCAGACTGGAGTGCAGTAGCATGATCTTGGCTCACTGCCACCTCTGCCTCCCAGGTTCAAGCGATTCTCCTGCCTCAGCCTCCAGAGTAGCTGGAACTACAGATGCACGCCACCACGCCCAGCTAAGTTTTGTATTTTTAATAGAGATGGGGTTTCACCATGTTGGCCAGGCTGGTCTCAAACTCCTGACCTCAGGTGATATACCTGCCTCAGCCTCCCAAAGTGCTGGGATTATAGGCGTGAGCCACCGTGCCCGGTTGTGCACTTATGTTTGATTTTTGCAGAACCACCCTTCCCTAATGGTTGTCTCCTAGATCCAAGGTGACTTTATTCATTTTAGAATGAACTTACCCCATTGATACTGTAACCAGAGTTGGCATACATCACGATTGGCAGAACTTGGTCATGTTTAGCGAGACGGAAGTGTTCTGGAAACTCCTCCTTATAGACGTGGAGGTGACGGTGCGCATTCTTCAGTGCCTGGTAAAGGGCTTCCTCTTGCCCCAGTTTGGGTAGGGGCATCCCAAAGCCACCGTAGCCCACAATATCAAACTTGACCAGGTCCCTGAACTTGACGTAGTAGGACAAGGGGATCTTGTTGACATTGGGTCTCTTCTTCATGGTTGTCATCCCATGGCCTCATGTGATGATGACACTGAGGTGCTCTGCAGGCTGTGCTTCTCTGTGGCTCCTACCAGATACCCGATGGTCCTGTCGATTTGCTGAATCATCAACTTCCTGTTCTCTGCCTCTGGCCCGAATCGATGTCCCACGTTATCTGGCTCTCTGTAGCACAGAGTCACAAAGTCAAAGTCTTCCTTGGTGAACCAGTTCATGACGGTATCGATGTTCTCCCTCCACTCTGTCTCGTTGCTGTTTGGGTGAGTGTAGGACTCCACCAGGGACCGCTTGACAGCCTCACCGTCGTATTTAGCACCTCCCCTGGAATAGTGGGATGATGCTGCTTTGTTCCCCTGCAAATACAAGAAGAAAATTCCATCAGGGCCATTTCTCATACCTTTCTCACAATCAGCAAAGCTCAATTGTCTACATCTGTGCCCCAGTCCAAAGACATAGAAAATATGGGGTCTTTGGAGTCAGACAGGGTGGAGTTAGATTCTGGGCTTCCCCAGGATCTCATAGCATCTACAACACTGTTAGTTACAAGATGTGCTATTATTTTATGGGCTACTAAGCAGAAAAATGCTGCCAATGAGACCGTGACATTCCAGTGATTGTAAGGTGTATTCCAACTTCAGAGATGGCAAAATGAAAAATAATTCCTTAGAATAGAGGGAGATGGTAATTTCTGAGTTTTTTGTGGTGAATCTGTGCATGTGTGTTTTTTATATATATATGCATATATATACACACATATACATATATATATATGTGTATATATAGACATACCTATATACATGTACATATATATATGTGTATATCTAGTAGTGCAGTGGTTCAATCATAGCTCATTGCACCCTTGAACTCCTGGGCTTAAGCGATCCTCCCACCTCAGCCTCTTGAGTAGCTGGGGCCACAGGCATGTACCACCATACCTATATATATTTTTTTTTTTTGAGACACGGTGTCACTCTCTCACCTAGGCTGGAGTGCAGTGGCATGTTCTCAGCTCACTGCAACCTCTGACTCCTGGGTTCAAGCAATTCTCATGCCTCAGCCTCCCAAGTAGCTGGGATTATAGACACGTGCCACTATGCCCAGCTAAGTTTTGTATTTTTAGTTGAGATAGAGTTTTGTCTTGTTGGTCAGGCTGGTTTCGAACCCTTGGGATGAAGTGATCCACTTGCCTTCGCCTCCCAAAGTGCTGGGATTACATGTGTGAGCCACCGTGCCTAGCCCTAATTTTTTTTTTTTTAAATATTTGTAGAGATGAGGTCTCGCTTTGTTGCCCAGGCTGGTCCTGAACTCCTGGGTTCAAGTAATTCTCCTGCCTCAGCCTCTCAAAGTGCTGGGATTACAGGCGTGAGACACCGCGCCCAGCTGGTGGTGAGTTTTAAAATTTCCCAGTGTCTAAGTGTTTCTACCTGTAGAATGCCAAAAAGTAGATGGCATCTTTGTGAGGATTAAGCCGGCTAGCTTCTTTTTGTTTTTGTTTTTGTTCTTTTTTTTTTGTTGTTGTTGTTTGTTTGTTTTTGATACAGAATTTCTCTCTTTTCACCCAGGCTGGAGTGCAATGGTGTGATCTTGGCTCACTGCAACCTCTGCCTCCTGGATTCAAGTGATTCTCCTGCCTCAGCCTCCCAAGTAGCTGGGATTACAAAGCCAGCTAGCTTTAAGATACAGTGTTGGGCATCACATTTTGGCATGGAGCAGGCACTCTTTTCTTTGCCCCCAGGTGGGACTAAGCCACCACAAGCCTTCCCTGGTGTGTGCAGTGGGTGATGAATGCTTGCCTGCTCAGCACCCACTACCTGCTGGGCTGGGTCACATTACTCTGACTCCCCCTTGAGCTTCAGTCCGCGCCTGGTTCAAGATGTATTGACTCAACCTGAGGATCCAGAGGTGGGGTGTGGCTCTGGCCTGGCCAGAGGACCGAGGATGCTGCATGCCATGGCTACAGCAAGTGGTTCAGTTTTGGGCTCATGTCCTAGTCAGAGCCAATGAGATGTAATCTTGGAATATCAGCTGGGCTGTTGGGAAGGGGACAGGCTGCCCTGCTCATCCCCATTCCTGATGCTGAGGGATCTGAGAAAATCACTTGTAAAATTTGGGGGTGTTTGGAAGAAGGGGAGACTGATGTCTCCTTCTCTCTACAGACATCTGATGAGCTACAGAGCTTGACTAACCTACCCAGAGGCAGAATGATATGGTGGTTAAAAGTGTGCTCTGGGCTGAGATCTTGCCACTGCACTCCAGCCTGGGTGACAGAGTGAGACTCCGTCTCAAAAAAAAAAAAAAAAGTGTGCTCTGGGCTGGGTGCGGGGGCTCACGACTGTAATCCCAGCACTTTGGGAGGCTGAGGCAGGAGGATCACTTGAAGTCAGGAGTTTGGGATCCGACGCTATCTCTAGAAAAATGTTTTTAAAAAATTAGCTGGGTTGGTGGTGAATGCCTGTAGTCCCAGCTACTCGGGAGGCTGAGGCAGGAAGATTGCTGGAGCCCGGGAGTTCAAGGCTGCAGTGAGCTATGATCAGGCCACTGCACTCCAGTTTGAGGGACAGAGAGAGACCCCACCTCCCTAAAGAACAAAAAAGTGTGCTCTGGTGCCGCACTGCCTGGTTAGATCCTTTGTCCACCAGTTAGATGCATGTTATATAAATGCTCTCCTCAGTTTCCTTGTCTGTAACTTGGGGATGATAATGCTGCCCCATGAAGTGGTTGTGAAGACTAAATGCATGTGGGCACATTGGGAAGTATTCAACAAGCTTGATTTTTCCTGGAGAGGGAGAAAGAGCATGCAGTGAGGTGGCATGGTCAGGTGCATTGGGGCAAGGATTATTTCCTCTGGCTTCTGCCTCCTGGGAGGTACTAAGGATGGATCTGAAATGTGTCTGCAGAACCCAGAGTTAGGGACCACAGAGGGAAATTGAGATCAGGGACCCCAGTCTGGCAGAAATGGCTGCAGCATGCATGGGGCATTGGGTTCCTTCCATCAGAGGCATGGGGTGTGTTGCAGACAGTCATGAGATGTGGCTGAATCTTGCAAGGGAGCCGCGGTCCTAGGGTTGCTGTTTGAGACAAAGACCGCCGTCAGTGGAACCTGGTGACGTTCACCCTTCTGTGTCAGGCTGCAGACAGCAAGAGATGGCAGCAGATTACACCCAACAGGAAAAGGGCCATTGCTATCCCACAGGTTGCCATAGGAGGAGATGACATCTCTTCCCTCTCCTCCTCCAGCAGTGTCAGCTGGGGAAGAGGTGGGTGGGTGTACACGAAACAGTAGACCGCAGACCATGCTCCTTCTCCTCCAGTCTGCTGGGGCCCCGAGAGAGTCTGCAGCCCTTGGCCAGGGACCGGCTGACACAGGAGAACAAAAGACCTTAGGCTGGGATAACATGGTGGTGCAGTTCATCCTCTGGAGCTCCCTGTGAGATCAGACTGGAGCCAGTCTCCAGCTCAGACCACATCTCACTTAGCTCCTTCCCTGCCATATCCTGTTTTCCTTACTCCTATCTCCTGAGAGTTCTTCCTGAATGAATTACATGCACTCAATCCCTGCCTCAGGCTCTGTTTTTAGGGAACTTGACCTAAGACAGATATCTTCGTGGTAAATACTTTGCAAGGCCTCAGAAGCTCTGCTGTCCACAGGCAGGTGAGATATTACCTTCCCTACCACCTGGCAGTCATAGTCTAGGATGCGATTCAGCTTTGTGGAAGTGCTTCTCTAAAGAACTTCCCCCAATTTAAGATGATCTTAATTTGCTTACTTGTTTACTGTCCATTTAGCTGCTCTAAAATGTGAGCTCCAAATCAGGGGCCATGTCTGGTTGGTTGCCCATTTCCTGGGACCTAGAACGGGCCTAGCTCAGAGCAGGTGCTCACTATTGATGGAATGCATGTTGAAAGAATGCGTGAATCTCATCTCCTTTTGTGGGTGATTCCTGATTAACTTTCTTTCTTTTTTCAAAATGGAGCCGTGATCTGTCACCCAGGCTGGAGTGCAATGGTGCGATCTCGGCTTGCTGCAACCTCTGCCTTCTGGATTAAAGCAATTCTCCTGCCTCAGCCTCCCCGGTAGCTGGGATTACAGGTGCACGCCACCACGCCTGGCTAATTTTTTGTATTTTTCATAGAGACAGGGTTTCACCATGTTGGCCAGGCTGGTCTCGAACTGCTGACCTCGTGATCTTCCTGCTTTGGCCTCCCAAAGTCCTGGGATTACAGGCATGAGCCACCGTACCCAGCCACTCTTGATTAACTTGATGGAAATATTTACAGAGATTCTTTCTCTTCTGGGTTCTAGCATCTTATCTGTAACATCTGCAGGTAATACATTTTCCTTCCTGATGATAGCATTTCTATGGTTGCTTTCACTTGCAAATCCTCTAATACTTATTTATTCCATTTCTGATTGGCATTAGACATAATTCTCAATTTTTAGTGACAGCACTTTTGTTAACTTACATATAAATCGTCTTTGCCTTGAAATGTGACATTGACTAGAAGGATGAAACTTCTAATATGCTGTAGAACATAGTTTGACTGGCTAATTTATTATTGAGAAAAAGCTAATATTGCCATTATGAGGGACTTAGGTGGCTCTGAAGAAACAGTTGTATTTCTGATGTTTGCAATGTTAAATCACAGATATTGCCAACGTGAAATAGTTTCCGTATGCTGTGTTCTCAATACACACCTTTTCCAAAGATATCCCAAGCTGTAGTCTTAGGAAACTGTGATTTTTCTTATTTGGTCTCATAGGAATTTGGGGAGCTATGCGGGATCTCCATAAAATGAGCTCCAGAAAGACACATGTGTGCGCGCGCACACACACACTCACACATGTACCACACCACACTTGACTCTGTTTATTTGGGACCCATGATTATCAGAAGTGCTATTTTCAACAAACACTTCTGAGAAATAATCTGAACACTTAATTGGATGCAAAAGAGTGGGTATTTACTATTCTACCCTTTAATTAGCATAATCAGTGTTTCCAGCAGCAAAAGCAATTGGAAAATCGCTAGTTTTATTAGGTTCATTATTCTCCCTTAGCGTAGTGTGGCATCAGCATGGTTATTATTCTTAAATTGCCTCTTTAAAACAAGGGCTGGTGCTTCTTACAGGCAATTCCTAACTCTTGGGTTTTGTAGAGAGTCCAAAACTCTTTAGAACCTATAATTCAAGGAAAGGCTCCACTTTGGTTTTACATTTTGTCTGGTCTCTTTGGGTGACAGAATTTATGTCACAAGGCGCACGTGTTTGGGGGAGGCTCATGGACAGCCCATCGTGCTTGTGCTTTGGTAGGAAGTACGTGCAGTTAAGGGGAAGGAGTTAGTTACTCACCTAGGGAACAATTGGGTAGAAAGAGATGTACTCCCTGTATTTGAAATTCAGAACTCAAGCTTGGCTCTAAGTGTTTCCTTGCTTTGCTGTGCTCCAGGGGAGTCACTGAGCAGAAGGAAGCGAGTTGCCTGAGATTCTTCAAAGCCTGCAGCCCTTTTGGAGGTTACATTTTTATTCTCAGAGCCTTTACGATGCATAATAAAGACCTAGCTTGGACCAATAATTGGATGAGTTATCTTGCTATTAACATTCTTTTAGGAAGAAGTTGCTGGTCCCATCTTGCTCACAATCCTCCAAAGTTTGAAAGTTATTTTCCAGGAGACTTAGCTTGCACTGAGAGCTGCCCTCCCACCCTCTCTCCAAATTTCCTCTTGGGAGTAGCCTAACAAGGTGCTGTCACAGACCCTTGCCAGCCACGATGACCCCACCCAGACCATCCCTCTGCTGTTTCACTCTTTGATACTCTCTGGAGCTCTCTGGGGAGGGGTGAGACCTGCCGTCTGGTTTGTATGGTTTGCCCAGGTCTGGCAGTCATGGCTGGCTGCCTCTCTCTGAGAACTGAGACTCCTGAACTTGGTGAAATACCTCAGTCATCGATCGTGTTGAATTATCGGGGACAGTCATTTAAAATCCGAGCCTGTTCCAGATGGACTCTCTCTGTTTCTGCCCTGAACGTGAGAGAAGCCCTGCTGGACGGTGGAGATGCTCGTGGGTTGTGAGCAAGGGATGGAAAGGCTGCCGGGAATCCCATCTTTCCAGCATCATCTGCCAAGGCACATCAGTTCCTGGGTATCTTGATGGGTTCTGGCAGCATTACTGTCATTGAAGGAAAAATTTTAGCCATATTAAAGGTGAATGCAGCAATCCCCACACAGGCTGCCTGGAAGGGAGGCGGGACAAGGGTAGGTTTTCCCTGTGACGGACAGGAGGCAGGCGGCCCTCCCACAGCCCTGGTGGCAATGCAGATGTGTCCCCAAAGGTACTGGGGGCCAGCTGGAGTGCTGTGCCGAGGCGGGCTCACCCGGGCCGTGGGTTCGCTCTGATTGCAGCGGTTTCCCACCAGCTCTTTGGAGAGCTGGCAGATGGCCCAGCCCCACCGCAGGAGCCACGAATGGCAGAACAAGATACAACAATTTGATATCCACTTGCCAGACGAGCCGGGTGTCGTCAGTCGCCTGGCTCTGTGCCCAACCTCTTTTTGCATAAACACTTATGAGTTCAGCCAGGAGGAAAAGCACTCTGATTATGAATTGAGCAGAAGGAAACAAAGTTTTGCAGATAAACACCAATGAGACAAAAAACCACGAATAAGAAAAATGACAGAAAAGGAGAACCTTCCCAGAAGCCTCCTGCCAGTGAACGGCCACCAGAGCAAGAGCATGGAGGCCCTGGGTTTTGAACTGTGAGATAAGGAAGATGATGAAAACCTCCCTAGCAGCCAGACAAGCACAAGATTCCTGTGAAATCCAGGTCTAAGTGTTTTGACCACAGAAGTAATATTATGTCATAGGTGAGAGCTGTGAGTTGCTGAACCCAAAGTGAGTTCAAATCCGGGTTCTGCCTCCTGCAACCTGTGTGACTTTGAGAAGTTCCAGCACCGCTTTCTGCCTCAGTTTTCTCATCTGTTAAATGGGCATAATCACAGCTCCCGCCTCAGAGTTGTTGTAAATTAATACATGTAAAGCACTGAAATCAGCCTGGTATACAGTAAGTGTTATGAACGTTATTTTCTTGGAAGGACAGAACTTATTTTCATGGTCTAAGCCTGAAAATCTAAAAAATGTGAGAGAAGAGGAAAGAATCTAGAGTGTCACCATGAGGGGGAAAAGTCCACTTGAAGCAGGACAGGGTCATTGACAATTTCCTGTGATTCTACAGCTGCCTTGTACACTATGGTAGCTCCTAGCCACTTGTTGTTTAGATTTTGTGATTTAGAAATGAATTAAGGCTGGGTGTGGTGGCTCATGCCTGTAATCCCAGCACTTTGGGAGGCTAAGGTGGGCAGAACACCTGAGGTCAGCAGTTCAAGATCAGCCTGGCCAACATGGTGAAATCCCGTCTCTACAAAAATACAAAAATTAGCCAGGCATGATGGCGGGTTCTTGTAATCCCAGGTACTCAGGAGGCTGAGGCAGGAGAATTGCTTGAATCTGGGAGATGGAGGTTGCAGTGAGACGAGATTGTGCCACTGCACTCCAGCCTGGGGGATAGAGTGAGACTCTGTCTCAAAAAAAAAAAAATTAGTTAAAATAAGAGAAAATTGAAAATTCAGCTCTTCATTCTCACCAGCCACATTTCAAGGGCTCAACAGCCCATGTGGGTGGCTAGCAGCTCCCCTGTTGGACAGTGCAGAGTAGAGCAAGTCCGCCATTGCAGAATGTTTGATTGGACCGTGACTGAATAGTCTATTGCAGTGGTCCCCATTTTTTTTTTTAGCACCAAGGACCAGTTTCCATGGATTTGTTGGGGGGAAGTTTCGGGATGATTCAGGTACATTACATTTATTGTGTACTTTATTTCTATTGTTATGAAAATTATAATATATAATGAAATCATTATACAACTCACCATAATGTAGAATCAGTGGGAGCCCTGAGCTTGTTTTCCTGCAACTAGATAATCCCATCTCAGGGTGGTGGGAGACAGTGACAGATCATCAGGCATTAGATTCTCATAAGGAGCACACAACCTAGATCCCTTCCACATGCAGTTCACAATAGGGTTGGTGCTCCTATTAGAATCTAATGCCACTGCTGCTCTGACAGGAGACAGAGCTTAGGTGGTAACACTAGCCAGGGGGATCAGCTGTAAATACAGATGAAGCTTCACTCGCTAGCCTGCTGCTCACCTCCTTCTGTGCAGCCCAGTTCCTAACAGGCCACAGACCACTACTGGTCCATGGTCTGGGGGCTGGGGACCTCTGGTCTATTGGATAACCCTGGCTTTGAGCATTCTGATCAGCCAAAGAAGCGCTGAGATGATTTGGCCTCCATTAGTAAGAATGATGGACTTTTTTTTTTTTTTTTTTTTTTTGAGACAGAGTTTCACTCTTGTTGCCCAGGCTGGAGTGCAGTGGCACCATCTCGGCTCACTGCAACCTCCGCTTCCCAGGTTCAAGCGATTCTCATGCCTCAGCCTCCCAAGTAGCTGGAATTACAGGTGCCTGCCACCATGCCTGGCTAAGTTTTGTATTTTTAGTACAGTTGGGGTTTTGCCATGTTGACCAGGCTGGTCTTGAATTCCTGACCTCAAGTGATCCGCCTGCCTTGGTCTCCTGAAGTGCTGGGATTACAGGCATGAGACACCGCACCTGGCCAGATGGACTTTTTTTGAGCATTTACTTCCAAGCACTTTCCCTGCACTTTCTCAGTTAATCCTCCCAGTGACTCTTTGAAGCAGGGACTGTGACAATCTTCATTTCACAGATGGAGCAACTCAGGCACAGAGAGCAAGTCATTGGCCACGGTCACCCAGCTGAGGAAGGATGGAGCCGGCTGAGATCCTGTTCTGGGGATCTAACTCTGCAGCCTGCATTCTGGGCTGCTGTATTCTGCCATGTGCTATCTGACGAGCACAGCATGGGCTCAGAGTACAGAGAGGAGGAACCAGGTAATAAGGAGAGGTCTGGGGCAAAGGCTGGTGCCTTGGGGAAGAAGAGAGAGGCCCCATTCTAAAGGGAAGCCATTGGAAGCTCATAGTGATAAAGCAAAGCCAACAGGTTTTGGGGCTGGGAGTTAAACACACAGCTCTGGTTTCTGCCTTTTCACAGTGGTGATGAATGGGCACTGAGAGCCTCTCAAGCTAAAGTTGTCGTCACTGCTCTTCATAGTCTGAAGGTGCATGAAATGGTCAACTTTCTTCCAAAGGGCTTTTATGCCTAAGTCTGTGGTTAGTGTATAAACAGATATTTACTGAAGTCCTGCTGGGTGCGGACACTGTGGCCAGCCCTGAGGCTGCAGTCAAGATGAAGCCAGTCTCTGTCCTCATGGAGACCTGTCTATTGATAAGAAAAGTGAAAGCTCACTGAGCATTGACCCTGTGCCCACTGCTTTTGATGCATCTCTCACTTAATCCTTCTATCAAATCTGTGAAATATATAAAAAACACCACCATCATCCCTATTTCACATTTAGGGAAACAAATGCTTAGAGAGGGTAAGTAACTTGGTCAAGGTCGCACAGCTTCGAACTCTCATCCCACCGGCGCAGGAATGAGAGGCAGCAGCCGGGGAAGCCAGGGTCTCCGGCAGTCCTTGTCTCTGGGCGGTGATCCAGAGAGAGAGAGAACACGACTGTCTCAGCACTGGGTCTTCTTCTGAGTCTTGAAGGAGCACTTCCAGAGCGTCTCAGTGTTAAACATCATGTTGTGAATGACTCCGTGAGCTCTGACCCAGTAACCTTGGGGATAAAGGAGGGGAGGTACGGATAAGCTCTTTGAATGGATGTTGCCGGGGTGTCAGGGTTCTTTGAGGGCACAGACTATGTGTCACAAAGAAAGAGCCCAGTGCCTTTTCTCATTGCTCAAGAGATTGAAGGGGTAGGAAGAAAAGATGTTAAGTTATAAACATGTTTCAGTTTTGGTACCAGTTGAACCAATTACATTTTGAAGAGGAAAGAGTCTTGCCTACAAAGTCAGCCCCCGGGTTTTCCTTCTGCTTATGGAATCCAGGCAATGGGCAAAGAGAAAAAGAAAACTAAGGAATCAGCCAGGTGCAGTGGCTCATGCTTGTGATCTTGGCACTTTGGGAAGCTGAGGCAGGTGGACTTCTTGAGTCCGGGAGTTCAAGACCAGCCTGGCCGACATAGTGAGACCCCGTTTCTACAAAAAATACAAAAAGTTGCTGAGCATGGTGGCGTGCACCCGTAGTCCCAGTTACTTGGGAGGCTGACGTGGGACAACTACTTCATCCCAGAGGTTGAGGCTGCAGTGAGCCATGATCATGCCACTATACTCCAGCCTGGGTGACAGAGTGAGGCCCTGTCTCAAAAGAAAACAAAAGGCCGGGCGCGGTGGCTCACGCCTGTAATCCCAGCACTTTGGGAGGCCGAGGCGGGTGGATCACGAGGTCAGGAGATCGAGACCATCCTGGCTAACACGGTGAAACCCCGTCTCTACTAAAAAATACAAAAAATTAGCCGGGCGAGGTGGCGGGCGCCTGTAGTCCCAGCTACTCGGGAGGCTGAGGCAGGAGAATGGCGTGAACCCCAGGGGGCAGAGCCTGCAGTGAGCCGAGATTGCGCCACTGCACTCCAGCCTGGGCGACAGCGAGACTCCGTCTCAAAAAAAAAAAAAAAAAAAAAGAAAACAAAAAAGAAAAACAAAACTAGGGAATCTAGACAGAGTAAGTTTATATATATAATAAAGAACTGAGATAGAACTGGGTTGACTGAGTAATTATTTGAATTGCTTTTGACTGAATTTTTCTTATTGGAGTCTACCTTTGTTTGTGTGTGTGTGTGGTTTTTTTTTTTTTTTTTGGTTTAGTTTTGTCTTTGTGTTTTTTTGAGACTGGGCCTTGCTCTGTTGCGTAGGCTGCTGGAGAGTGGTGGCGTGATCTCAGCTTACTGCAACCTCTGCTCCTGGGTTCCAGCAATTCTTCTGCCTCAGCCTCCCAAATAGCTGGGACTACTGAGCATGTACCATCAAGCCCAGCTAATTTTTGTGTTTTTAGTAGAGATGGGGTTTCACCATGTTGGCCAGGCCTGGTCTTGAACTCCTGGGCTCAAGTGATCTGTCTGCCTCGGCCTCCTAAAGTGCTGGGATTACAGGTGTGAGTCCCTGTGCCCAGCTAGAGTGCACCTTTCTTTGAATTCGCTGCAGTGCAAAGACTGGGACATGTGGAACTCCAGGTGTATATGGGTTACATAGAGATGCTAGGGGCTGATTAAGGAAGGAAAGATATGAGAAGCCTGCAGAACATGCTTTCCCAGACTGTATGGGCCCTGGGAAAGGAGAAGTGGACAGAAAGGGAACACTGGATGCCCTGGAAGAGAAGATTCATCCAAGTCATCAGGGAAGTTACTAATGCAAGGGAAGAAATGCAGAGACAGGGCCAAACACGCTTCTTCCAAGTCCTTTCTGTGCGCTCTGTCACCTCTATGCTTATTTTTCTTCTTTCCTCTAAGTAGTGTCATGCGTTTTCTTCCCATTCCTAGTCACTCGTAATCAACTAACTCCTCTCTTTACCATCTTTTCATCAGAACTTGAAACCTCCTCTCCTTCATATATTAGTGATCATGTTTCTCCATAATACAGCTAGAAACAAGAATTGAAACCTGGAAAACCTGCATTTGAGTACCAGATCTGCCTCTGCTAGCTATTTGAGAAGTTATTTTGTTCCATTCTTTTTGTTGTTGTTGAAACAGGGTGTCACTCTGTCGCCCAGGCTGGAGTGCAGTGGTTCAATCTTGGCTCACTGCAGCCTCAACCTCCTGGGCTCAAGCAATCCTTCCACATCAGCCTCCTGAGTAGCTGGGACTACAGGTGTGTGCCACCACACCTGGCTAATTTTTAATGTTTATTTATTTATTTTTGTTTACTTATTTGTTTTTGTAGAGATGGGGTATTGCTATGTTGCACAGGCTGGTCTCAAACTCGTGGGCTCAAGTGATCCTCCTGCCTTGGCGTCTCAGATAAAATGGGAAAAGTTCCCTTGTCCCCCTCGAAGGGAATGCGATGGGGGTGTGGTTCACTTCATCAGTGCCCCACTGCTCAAACCTCTAGGGGAGCACACAGACAGGCAGGGAGCCCCATGGCAGTGTCTAGGGGTGAATGTTTATAGTTGAAGCCCCAGTGGGCGTGTGTTACAGGGTGCTCTTTTAGTTTAACCATCCGTAGGTAGCTTGTGTTAGTAAGCTCAATTAGACCCCCGCCTTATTGCAAGGACAGAGGCTCTCTTTGTCCCGGAGTTCTTGCCTTGGTGTACCGGAAGTAGTGCAATCTCAGCTCACTGCAAGCTCCGCCTCTCAGGTTCACGCCATTCTCCTGTCTCAGCCTCCCGAGTGGCTGGGACTACAGGCACCCGCCACCACGCCCAGCTAATTTTTTTGTATTTTTAGTAGAGATGGGGTTTCACCGTGTTAGCCAGGATGGTCTCGATCTTCTGACCTCGTGATCCGCCCGCCTCGGCCTCCCAAAGTGCTGGGATTACAAGCATGAGAGTGCAAGGTTTTATTGAGTGGAAGTAGCTCTCAGCAGATGGGGGAGCCAGAAGGAAGATGGTTTTCCCCTGGAGTCGGGCGAGTGGCCCGACTCTTCTCTGACTGTCCCAGCCAAACTCTGGGTTGTTCTGCCAGTCAGTGGCCTGCGGTGTGCCGGTGCCCATTGGTGCGTTCCTCTTGACGTGCAGCGCACATGTGTTCCTCCGCTGATGTGCTCCTCTTGAAGTCCAGCCGCCTGTGTGTCTGCCTGCTACGGTCTCAGGGTTTTTATAGGCGCAGAATGGGGGTGTGGCAGCCAGGGTGGTCTTGGGAAATGCAACATTTGGGCAGGAAAACAAAAATGCCTGTCCTCACCTAGGTCCGTGGGCAAAGGCCCTGGGGTGGAGCACTAGCCAGCGACCACACCCTCCTCTACCCAGTACTTCCCTTCCTCACTTCCATATCATTTAAAGGGACCACATTCTTCCCTTCCAAGCACTTCCCTTCTGTATCACAAAGTGCTGGGATTATAGGCATGAGCCACTGGTCCCAGCCAATTCCGTTCTTTTAATGCAAACTAGAAAACAGGTGTTCAGAAAGGCCTGCCCTATCCATCTCAGGGAGTTGCTATGAAGATCAAATTAGATCATGTGCAACAGAAGTTCAGAAAAGATTCCAAAAGCACTGCACAATGGGAATGTATTTTGACACTCCACTGAGTGGACTTAAAACTATGGTTTTTTTCTTTCTTTTTTTTTGTTTGAGACAGAGTTTCACTCTTGTTGCCTAGGCTGGAGTGCAATGACGCCATCTTGGCTCACTGCAACCTCCACCTCCCCGGTTTAAGTGATTCTCTGCCTCAGCCTCCCGAGTAGCTGGGATTGCAGGCGCCCACCACCATGCCTGGATAATTTCTTTCTTTCTTTTTTTTTTTTGTCTTCTTAGTAGAGATGGGGGTTTCACAGTGTTGGCCAGGCTGGTCTCGAACTCCTGACCTTAGGTGATCCACCCACCTTGGCCTCCCAGAGTGCTCGGATTAAGGCTTGAGCCACCGCACCCAACCTGTGTTTCTTTTTTAAGCAAGAAAACAAATGCCTCTCCCCAGCACTCACTAAACCAATCCCTCTTTTTTTTTTTTCCATAGGATTCTTATCCTTCTTGCCCCAGTTCAAACAATCTATTTTCTTTTGGCCCTTCTGTCCATCTGTGAAAGGGTCAGGCTTTCTAGCTAACCCTTAATCAAATATTTTTGATGACCACAGTCAAGACAGTAGTTATTATTTTTTTTGAGATGAAGTTTCGCTCTCGTTGCCCAGGCTGGAGTGCAATGGCGCAATCTCGGCTCACTGCAACCTCTGCATCCAGGGTTCAAATGATTCTCTTGCCTCAGCCTCCCAAGTAGGTGGGATTACAGGCACGCAACACCACGCCCAGCTAATTTTTGTCTTTTTAGTAGAGATGGGGTTTCTCCATGTTGGCCAGGCTGATCTTGAACTCCTGACCTCAGGTGATCTACCCACCTCGGCCTCCCAAAGTGCTGGGATTATAGGGGTGAGCCACCCTGCCTGGCCAAGACAGTGCTTATTAATGCCTGAGATGCATTCAGGAGCACATGAGCTGGCTGTGACTGTTCTAACAAAGTTCCCCAAATGGGTGGCTCAGGACAACAGAAAGTCATTCTCTCCAGTTCCAGAAGCTTGATGTCTGAAACGGGCAGGGCCGTGCTCCCTCTGAAGGCTCTAGGGATGAATCCTTCCTTGCCTCTTCTGGCTTCTGGTGGTTGCTGGCAATCCTTGGCTTGTGGCCACATCATTCCATTCTCTTCCTTCATTCTCATGTGGCCTTCTCCCCTGCGTGTCTCTGTCTCTTCTTCTCTTCCCATGAGGATGCCATTATTACTCCATTTAAGGTCCATGCTATTCCAATATGACCTCTTTGTAATTAGATCTGCAGTGACCCTATTTTCTTTTCTTTTTTTTGAGATGGAGTCTTGCTCTGTTGCCCAGGCTGGAGTTCAGTGGCACAGTCTCAGCTCACTGCAACTCTGCCTTCTGGGTTCAAGTGATTCTTCAGCCTCAGCCTCCGAAGTAGCTGGGATTACAGGTGCACACCACCATGCCTAATTTTTGTGTTTTTAGTAGAGACAGGGTTTTGCCATGCTAGCCAGGCTGGTCTCGAACTCCCGACCTCGAGTGATCCTCCTGCCTCAGCCTCCCAAAGTGCTAAGATTACAGGCATAAGCCACCATGCCCCACCCCTATTTTCTAATAAGGTCACATTCTGGGATTTCTGGTGAATGTGAATTTTTGGAGGACAGTATTCAGTCTAGCAAAAGGCAGGGCATCCTCATTTTCTTCCCTACCTCAGAAATAAGGAAGTTAACTTCAATCCCTCGGAGAGAGAGAGAGAGGCTTCCTGAGCTTCCAACAATCAATTATCCAAATATTAGTCGCGGATGAGCACTAAGGGTTGTGCACAGCACAACCTGTGGCCAGCCCGTTCTCAGAGTCTGTCAAGTTTAAGGTGAACGCTAATCCTGAATGAGTTTTAAAATGTATTTGGCATTTCCTCGTCACTGTAAAATGTTCTCACATCATGATGGCTGGGGCTTCCCTCTCAGGTGTAATCTGTGAAGTCAGACGTGACACAGCCTGGGTGAGGTGGGCCAAGCTGGGAACTGGGTTAGGAGGGAAGCTGGGGAATGAGCTCCAAGGTCTCAGATCCCAAACTGGCTTTAGCCTGATTCACCCAGACGGACCTGGTAAAAAATACACATTCCAGGGCCCACCCCAGACCTAATGAATCAGAATTACCTGGGAAGGAGCCTGGGGAGCTCTGTTTTCAGAAGCAGCCCGGCAGAATCCTACCGTCAGACAGGGCTAGGAAACCGAGCTCAGTCTAGGGCAGTAGTTCCCAAACTCGTCTGTGCTTCAAAAAATACAGATGCTGATGGCCAGGTGTGGTGGCTCACGCCTGTGATCCCAGCAATTTGGGAGGCTGAGGCGGGAGGATCACTTGAGCCCAGGAGTTTGAGACCAGCCTGGAGAACATAGGGAGATACTGTCTCTATAAAAAAATAAAAAATTAGCCAGGCATAGTGGTGCCTGCCTCTGATCCCAGCTACCCTGGAGGTTGAAGTGGGAGGGTTGCTTGAGCCCAGGAGTTGGAGGCTGTAGTGAGCTATGATTGTGCCAGTGCCCTCCAGCCTGGGTAACAGAGCAAGGCTCTGTCTCAAAAACAAAAAACAAAAACCAGATGCTATGTCCCATTCCAGAGGTTGAGGTTTAATTGTTCTGGGGTGTGGTCTGGGTTTTGGAAGATTTAAAAAAAATCCCAGGTGACCCTAAAATGTAGATGAGTTTGGAAACCACACACCTAAGGCACAGTTGAATGGGGGAGCAGTGAGGTGGTGTGGGCTGGCCGGCCAGAACGCAGGGGTGGGGCAGTAGGAACCAGCACTGCAGAGGCCATGAGGGCTGGGAAGCATAGTGTCTGGGGCCCATAACAATGCTTGGACATGAATGCTTTAGACCTAAGACAATTGGCTCCTAAATGTGAAAACTGCAAGGCTGAAATGAATGCATGTTTAATGCTTTGCAACATTGTCAAGTGGTCAGCTGCAACTCCGTTCTGAGGGCGTGATGCCTGAGAGATGCCTGTCATGGGGGTTGATTTTAATGAATTTAACATGGTGTGGAGTGGGCCCTTCAAGAGTGAAAATGTCAGTTCTAAGTTGGTTGCGGGGGTTTGGGCAAAGGTCTTAAAACCCCATGGTGAGCAGATGGCCAATCCTAAACACCCCAATTTTAAAACAGGGCCTTTTTTCCAAGAGGCGTTTTGAAAATAGCTCCTATTTTGAGGGGAGGAACTCTGGCGGGCGAGAGCCAGGGTTAAGCCCAGCTGAGAGGGCAGGCAGGGCTGCCTGGTCCTCACTGAAACTTGCTACTCAGGGTGAGCTTCCTAAAGCAATGCACATTTGCTGGCCGACTGAGCCTGCCAGATGAGAACCTGCATTTCAACAAGGTCCTCAGTGCAGCAAAGTTTGAGATATACTGGGCTAGAACACCCAGGGGACACAAAGGTTCTCTGAAAACTAAGGAAAATAGGCAGGGTGTGGTGGCTCACACCTGTAATCCTTGTATTTTGGGATGCCACGGTGGGTGGATCACTTGAGGTCAGGAGCTCGAGACCAGCCTGGCCCAACATGGTGAAACACCATCTCTACAAAAGATACAAAAATTAGCCAGGTGCAGTGGCAGGTACCTGTAGTCCCAGCTACTCGGGGGGCTGAGACAGGACAATCACTTTAACCCGGGAGGCGGAAGTTGCAGTGGACCGAGATCGCACTGCTGCACTCCAGTCTGGTGACAGAGTGAGACTCCATCTAAAAATAAATAAATAAATAAATAAAAAATAAAAATAAATACTGGGCTAGAAGACCCAGGAGACCCAAAGATTCTATCAAAACTAAGGAAAATAATCCAGGTCACAAATATATTCTCTTTCTCCTCCTCCCCATCGCCCCCCTCCGCCAGTAATCTTTATAGACTCAAATAGAGTTGATGTTCTACAGTGAATTCCAGTCACTTTTATTTATATTTATTTATTTTAGAGATGGGGTCTCACTGTGTTGCTCAGGCTGGTCTCAAACTCCTGGGCTCAAGTGATCCACCCACCTCAGTCTCCCAAAGTGCTGGGATTACAGGCATCAGCAGCTGCACCTGGCTGTTACTTTTATTTTTGATGTTCAAATTATCCCTAACATGGCCAGTGGGAGCTAATGCCTGTGAGACCATAGATTCTTTTTATGCACTCAATACATTTTTGTGTTTACCTTACATCTTTATTATGGAAAAGATTCTGTTTTTTCCACTTGTTTCTATTTGATAATGAACCCCTCTGTGCCTATCACCAGCCTCAGCCACCATTATCTCATTACCAAGCTGGGTTATTTTGAAGCAAATATCTTCTAATATTTAGCCAGGGTTCAAATTTCCCCAACCATTCTAAATGAGTGTTTAGAGTAGTTGTTTCATTGGAAACAAGGTCAAAACAAGGACATTTTATGTTTTTAGATCAGTCTTGAAAGTAAGTGTAAAACCATATGTGGGGGAGGAGGTGGGACTAGCCTCTCAAGGCAGGGCCTGGATACCAGACCCAACTGAGGACTAGCTAAGACAGATTCCATAATGAATAATACCAGGAGGTGGGAACATTAAGGTCCATTGCGAAGGTTGGCTACCACAATTATTTGATCAACTAGTTATCAACCCTGACTGCAGCTGAGAGAGATTTGTTTTTGCTTTTTTTTTTTTTTTTTCAGAGACAGGGTCTTGCTATGTTGCCCAGGCTGGACTCAAACTCCTGGGCTCAAGTGATTCTTCTGCCTCAACCTCCCGAGTAGCTGAGACTACAGGTGTGTGCCACTGTGCCCAGCAAGATTTTAAAAAATACGTATGCCCGGACACCACTCTAAACCAACTAAATCAGAATCGGTTATAGTGAAGTCATTAATCATTTTGCTCCTGGGTCTTTATGACAGTTTTGCTCCTGGGAAACTCCTGGGTATGTGGTAGAGAGAGAGAAAGAGATGGGAAAATAAGATTTTAAGAAGTGTTGCTATGCATTTTGAAAATAATTTTTCTTTGGTGTTTGTCTTGAGGGACGGCGGTAAACATTTCAATTGCCTTTAAGTATGTTTGGATGCTGGAATGATGGTTTTTTGAGTGCAGCATCGAACTGGGATCGGGCCACATGGCAGCCAGCGTGAGGCTTTATGCCACATTTATAAAACATGAATGTCATGAGCCCACTCTCAGGGACCTTACAATTTGGAGGGTTAGGTCAGATCCACAAATCTCTTGTATCTCATGGTAAAGGAAACCTGGCGTGTAGCAGGAGGTGGTGTGATAACCATAACATATTGCATGATCAATATTTGTATTCTTCTTAGCAATATCAAACTTTTTGACCCCCTCCATTGTGTCATCAATTTGCTTAACACAGTTACTGCCTCAGCGTTGGTTTTTAGGCCTGGCATAAGCTGTTTGAAACCCAGGCACGTATCCCGCCCGTTGTCTTTGGCCTAGTTAACACCTCCCCTCCCTGCGTGGTGGTTTGGAGAACCTGCTTGTTCCTCATCCCACTGATCCCAAACCCATGACGCCCCACAGCTGCTGACCGTGATTAAACCTAATGGAGATTCAATGCCTTTCTTTTGATTCTCAGGAACCGATGTTCATTCATTTCTTAAATACTTGCAGAGTCGGCCAGGCATGGTGGCTCACGCCTGTAATCCCAGCACTTGGGGAGGCCGAGGTGGGTGAATCATGAGGTCAGGAGTTCGAGACCAGCCTGGCCAATATGGTGAAACCCCATCTCTACTAAAAATACAAAAATTAACTGGTTTGGCGGTGTGTGCCTGTAATCCCAGCTACTCAGGAGGCTGAGGCAGGGGAGTCGCTTGAACCTGGGTGGTGGAAGTTGCAGTGAGCCAAGATTATGCCATTGCCCTCCAGCCTGGGCAGCAGAGTGAGACTCTGTCTCAAAAACAAACAAAAAACCCAAAAACTTGCAGAGTGAATTTAGGAAACCATGAAGTCCAGAGTTTGATGCAATCCCTTCCTTTTTCTCTTTCTCAAATATTTTGAGCCAGGTACTATCCTCAATTGTCTTGTGATATTTACAATCTAGAAGGCAGGAGAGAGAACTAAGAACAGAGAGCGTGTTCTGAGATGTCTGCTGTGATTGCAGGTACCTTCCCTCAATTTCCCGACTCACTGGCCATGCTGGAAAGCAGGTCTTGGCGCCATATTTGTGCCATGGTTCTCCCCCTCCCTGTACTCAATTGGTTGGCCAGAAGCCCAATTCTCTCTCTCTCTCTCCCCCTCTCTCTTTCCCTCTCTCCCTCCCTCCCTGTCTCTCTCTTTCTTTCTCTCTCTCCCTCTCCTTCTACCAAGACATCCAGTTACTAACAGATCAGCTGGTGGTGGGCTCTGCTGGCTGCCATGATGGGCCACCAGCAAAAAGGGAAAATTGGTTGTGAGTGAGAGAAGCAGAGATAAGAAAGTCCACAGGGCTGTTAAGAAAGACCAGGGGCAGCTGGGCACGGTGGCTCACGCCTGTAATCCCAGCACTTTGGGAGGCCAAGATGGGCAGATCACGAAGTCAGGAGATCGAGACCATCCTGGCTCACACAGTGAAACCCCCATGTCTACTAAAAATACAAAAAATTAGCCAGGCGTGGTGGTGGGTGCCTATAGTCCCAGCTACTTGGGAGGCTGAGGTGGGAGGATGGCATGAACCCTGGGAGGTGGAGCTTGCAGTGAGCCGAGATCATTGCACCACTGCACTCCAGCCTGGGTGAAAGAGCGAGACTGTGTCTCAAAAAAAAAAAAATAAAATAAAAAAATAAAAAAATAAATAAATAAGACCATGGGCTTCTGAGAGTCAGAAAGAGGAATTTTGGTTTCTGTAACTGCAGTTTCCATTCTCTCATGGCCTCTCATTTGTTTCCCATGCCCATGAGTTTGCCTGTTAGAGATAAGGTGTGCTCCTTTCCCTCCAGCTCATGCAAATGGGTTTCTGTTTCTTACAATCATTGTTCCCAGGTACAGATGGTGACTGATGCTCTACTAAATGCTGAAAAAAAGCAGAGCGGAAGCACAGAAAAGAGGGCTTCTCTAAGGAGGTGACATTACAGCCCAGTTGGAAGGCAGGAGTAAATGTGCACCATGATTTTTTAGGGTTAAAACCAAGTGTCTCACTGCTTGGGCACATGTAGATAGAGGTGATTTAACAGTAAACTATCCCCGTTGTACCCATTGTCAGTTACCTCACCACAGGGATTATGTAGCCCTGAGTTTGCTTAGTGCTTATTTATTTTAGGTTGTTGTTTATCCAAACCTCTTAAATGATATGCACTTGGAACAAGTGACAGCATTGTTCATTGATGATGTGGACAAACCACTGTTTATTTTATTACTCAAAACTGGGTAAATTATAAAGAAAAAGAGGTTTAATGGGCTCATAGTTCCATGTGGCTGAAGAAGCCTCAAAATCATGGTGGAAGGCAAAAGGCACGTCTTACATGGTGGCAGACAAGGGTAATGAGAGCTATTTTGGTCATTGTTCGCTGGCCATAGAATTTGCTTCTATATTTTGAACTAACACGAGAGCCAGGCACACAAGATGGTTACAGGTCTGTCTTTTGTTTTTGATGATGATGATGATGATGATGATGATGATGAAATGGCTGACATGGTTCATGACTTGCTTTTTCTCATCATCTCAGACCTAGATTTTTGGCTGGACTATTGGCTTGGGATAGATGAAAATCATTCCTTGTATCCCCTGATCTTAAAGTCAAGACTGAAGCAGCCTCCAGATGCATGCCTTCATGGGGCTTCAGATACCATGAGGAATGGGCATCCCTGCAATATTGTCATGGCTGTCAAAATTGTTATTGGAGCTGGGCAAGTGGGCGCTCTCCTGCCATTCCATCCTGCTTAGATTTCCCATTCAACACCAATCTTATTTCCTTTGTTTTTTTTGACAGAGTCTCGCTCTGTCTCCTAGGCTGGAGTGCAGTGGTGGGATCTCGGCTCACTACAGTCTCCACCTCCAGGGTTTAAGTGATTCTTGTGCCTCAGCCTCCCAAGTAGCTGGGATTGCACGTGCACACCATCAAGCCTGGCTATTTTTTTTTTTTTTTGTATTTTTAGTAGAGACAGGGTTTCACCATGTTGGCCAGGCTGGTCTTGAACTCCTGACCTCAATTGATCCACCTACCTCGGCCTCCCAAAGTGCTGGGATTACAGGTGTGAGTCACCACATCTGGCCCCATTTCCTCTTATACCATAAGTCATTGCCTGCAGATGTGTTTTCTCCATTAGTTTGCAAAAGCTTCCTGAGAGTAGGTCTGTGCCTCATTTATTCTGGAATCTCCCTGGCATGAAGCACAGGGTTTATCCTCAGTAGGCATTCAACAAATGTTTAATTTCACTCAACAGCTCCTCTTACCACTGCCCCCACCTTATCTGCAGGTGGCTAAGTACAATCAGAACAAGTAGGTATCATAAGATTTAGTCCAGAGTCAATTTGGGAAGAAATTACTTTAGTGATATGAAAAGAAACCATGCTATTTAGTCAGAATACTTCTGAGAGTATCCCCTGTCCAAGCATTTGCTGAATTTCTATCTACTAATTTTCAGGTGGAACAGTATGGTTGCAGAGAGTCCATTTGGACACAGATACACTTTCATGCATTCATGTCTTTAACAATAATTTGTGGCCCTACTGTGTTTGTTCACTAACTCCTTCGAACCTGCCATATAAGTTATATCTTTACTTTCCTTGTAATTTGGGAGGTCCAATTCTTCATTAAGCTCACATGCCTGAAACTAATGAAGAAAATAGCTCGTTAACCAGCTAGTATAAAAGTAGCCACCAAATCAACTCAATCACCTGCCTTAAATCAGCCCAGTACCCCATCTTGAGCGGAGAAGCCCATTCTGAATCACAGTCAAGACATTGATGGAAAAACAGCTCCCTCTGGGGATCAAAACCACGCTAGCCCCAAATCCTCCTCCCCAGAGTTTTCCTCATTGCTCACCCACTGAACCCAAAACAAACCAGAAGTGCTTAAAATGAGGACGGGTAGCTCCGTGTACCAATCAGAATTTAAAACTGTATCAATTCCTGCTATAGAAAGAGGCTTCTCCCCAGGACCAGGATTCCACGAAGGCAGCCCTTTTCTAGATGGAGAAAATAGAACCTGAAGGCAGCCGTTTCCCTAAACTGCTCTCGCTCATGTGTAAGTACAAATGAAAAATGCTGACGCTGCTTCTGTTGGCATTGCTTTTTAATTACGGCCATCAATAAATCATTTTATCCTTGAACAAGACTTGAGAATGGCCCGAAGGCAGAGGCACGATTCCTTAGGAATTAGGCCAACAGAAAATGGGCTATCTCTCTTCCCACCCCTTCTCTTACTCTGCTGTCAGAAACGGAAAAGTTCTCTGTGAGTAGCTGGGAGGAGACGGCCCCACTTGAGTTCCATCTGGGGGTTCTGTTGACACAGTTTTACCCCAGCCTGCCTTGATGGCCACTGCCACACAAGCTGCATCTGTTCTTTCTTCTGCGCCTTTTGTTAGTTCGTTTTTTTTTCCTCTTTCTAGTGTAGTCAGCTGAATGGTGGCTTCGCACAAGATATATCCAGATCCTTGTGCCTAGACTCTGTGGAGGTGGCATTATTTGGAAAAAGGGTCTTTGCAGATGTAATTAAGTTAAGGACCTTGAGATGAGATTCTCCTGGGGTATGTTAGGTAGGCTGTACATCTAAAGACAAGTGTCCTTATAAAAGGACACTTTTGTCTGGGTGTAGTGGCTCATGCCTGTAATCCCAGTACTTTGGGAGGCCGAGGAGGGTGGATCACCTGAGGTCAGGAGTTCGAGACCGGCCTGACCAACATGGAGAAACCCCAACTCTACTAAAAACACAAAATTAGCTGGGCATGGTGGCACATGCCTTCAATCCCAGCTACTCTGGAGGCTGAGGCAGGAGAGTTGCTTGAACCTAGGAGGAGGAGGTTGCAGTGAGCTGAGATCATGCTATTGCACTCCAGCCTGGGCAACAAGAGCGAAACTCCATCTCAAAAAAAAAAAAAAAAAAAAAAAAAGGACACTCTTCCTCTAGAGGAGGAAACCCACCCAGACAGAAGAGGAGGAGGCAAGGTGATCACAGAGGCAGAGATTGTATCATGCAGCCACAAGTCAAGGAATTCTAGTAGCTTCTACAAGCTGGAAGAGGCAAGGAATGGATTCTTCCCTAGAACCTCTTAAGGAGCATGGTCCTGCTGACACTTGATTGATTTTGTACTTCTGGCCTCCAGGCTTTTTTTTTTCTTTTTTTTTTTTTTTTTAAGATAGAGCCTTTCTCTGTTGCCCAGTGTGGAGTGCAGTGGCACGATTTCGGTTCACTGCAAACTCCACCTCCCGGGCTCAAGCCATTCTCTGCCTCAGCCTCCCAAGTAGCTGGGCTACAGGTGCCTGTCACCATGCATGACTGATTTTTGTATTTTTACTAAAGACAAGGTTTTGCCATATTGGCCAGACTGGTCTCGAATTCCTGGCCTCAAGTGATCCACCCACCTCAGCCTCCCAAAGTGCTGAGATTATTTAGGTGTGAGCCACGGCACCCGGCCCAGACATTGTTTGAAGCCACCCATTTCATGGTTCTTGGCTGCAGTGGTTGTGGAATATGAATGCACTCATGCTGTTGGTTGGACTTTGCTGACCTTGTGTCTGTTATTCCCTGGCAGTTCTCCAGGGCCTGGAGCTGGTATGAGAAACGTCCCTTCTTTCCCAAATGGTCCCCAGCTTCCCCTTTCACTGAAGTCCCTGCAGTCAGGAGCAGTCAGGACCTTGCACCCAGTTGCTGTGGGTGCTGGGCCGACCCAATCCTTTCTCTTGTGTGATCCATGGACTCGCAGCATTGCGTCACCTGTGAGCTTTTGGAATTGAAGACTTCCAGGGCTCACCCGGGAGGACCTGCTGGGCCAGAATCTGCATTTTAACAAGATGCCCAGGTGATTTGCATACACGTTCAGATCTGAGAAGCGCTGGTAGGAGAGGCTTTAAGGTGGTAATTAGATCTTTTCTCCACCTGCAAGAATCTTAGTTTCATTCTATTAACTGTGGCAATGGCATGGGGGTTATGAAACAAAACAAAATCCTTACATCAGGAATGCACCCTGGCGTGTTATGGATGTGGGTGAAATGAAATGTCTGGAATTTGCTTTAAAATATTGTAAAATAGCCAGAAGGAAAAGAAAAGCGGGAACTGGAATGAGATTGGCGAAATGTTGACAAGTTTTCGCAGTGGGATGATGGGTGCGTGGGGGTTCATGGTGCAATTCTCTCCCCGCTTTTTGTGCATATGGGAAATTTTCATAATGAAAAGTTAGAGGTCGGGCACGGTGGCTCATGCCTGTAATCTCAGCATTTTGGGAGGCTGAGGTGGGTAGATTGCTTGAACCTAGGAGTTCAAGACCATCCTGGACAACATGGCGAAACCCCATCTCTACTAAAAATGCAAAAATTAGCCAGGCATGGTGACAACATGCCTGTAGTCATGTTGAGGCATGAGGTTGAGGCATGAGAATCGCTTGAACCCAGGAGGCGGAGGTTGCAGTGAGCCGAGATCGCACCATTACACTCCAGCCTGGGTGACAGAGTGAGACTTGGTCTCAAAAAAATTTTTAATTTTCTTTTTTTTTTTTTTTGAGATGGAGTCTTGCTCTTTTGCCCAGGCTGGAGTGCAGTGGCGTGATCTTGGCTCAGTGCAAGCTCCACCTCCCGAGTTCACTCCATTCTTCTGCCTCAGCCTCCAGAGTAGCTGGGACTATAGGCACCCACCACCATGTCCGGCTAATTGTTTGTATTTTTAGTACAGATGGGGTTTCACCGTGTTAGCCAGAATGGTCTCAATCTCCTGATCTCGTGATGTGCCCACCTTACCCTCCCAAAGTGCTGGGATTACAGGCATGAGCCACCGTTCCCGGCCTTAATTTTCTTTAATTTGTTTCTTTTTTGAGACAGGATCTCACTCTGCAGCCCAGGCTGGAGTGCAGTGGTGCGATCCCAGCTCACTGCAGCCTCTACCTCCTGGGCTCAAGTGATCCTCCCACCTGAGCCTCCTGAGTAGCTGAGACCACAGGCATGTATCACCACACCTGGCTAATTTTTTCACTTTTTGGAGAGGCAAGGTCTCGCTGTGTTGCCCAGGCTGGTCTTGAACTCCTGAGCTCAAGCAATCTTCCCGCCTCAGCCTGGGAGTAATCCCAAAGTGCTGGGATTACAGGTGTGAGTCACTCTACCCAGCCTGAACGGTTTTTCGTGACTCCACTTTTTCTCCCCTCTTGGAAATGAGTAGTCTTTGAGGGAATGTCTTTTTCGTCTCAATCTCTGGTTTCTTTGCTCAGTGCGCTTGTGTTTGGGGCTTTGTTGATCTCCAGGCCTTTTTCAGCAGTGTCGTCCCTGGAGAGCAGGATGGGAGCTGATGGCTTCTCAGCATCTTTTAACTTAGTTTAAAGATGACTGTCAACAACATCTAGTCGGCATCTGTTGCTCTCGGCAGCTGCGACTTCATTTCCTTTCTCTTTCTCCATCTCTCTAACCTGTTTATGACTCTGTCTTTGTCATGGGTACAGCATCACCTGTGTGGCCCTTAGGCTCTCTTACTTACATGTGATCTGCATATTATGTCTTTACTTCAGGGCTTCTCAACCAGGGGGTGCTTTTGCCCCCCAGAGAACATGTGGCCATGTCTGGAGACAGTTTTGGTTGTTGCGGCTGGAGGAGGTGGTGCTCCTGGCATCTAGTGGGTAGAGGTCAGAGATGCTGCTGAACATCCTACAATGCCCCGACAACTCCCACTAAGACAGAATAATGATCCAGCCCCAAATGTCAATCGTGCTGAAAGTGAGAGACCCTGATTCCATCTTAGAGATCATCCAAACACATTTGGCCAAATTGTTTTTGCTGCTGTCCCATGAAGAAAAGGCAGACCCTTGACTGATGGCAACATCGATGGGAATTTTGTTTACCCCTTCTTGGTGGACTTTGGGATACGATGACTTACCATTTGTGCAAGTTGTGCATTGCACACCTCCAGGAGGTGCCACCCACATATTTATGAAAATGCCACCCCAGGAATTGCACAGTATATAGTCTACATGGCTATAAGCAGTTGCTCTGGTTTTGGGGTTGCCCTGGGGTGCTCTGGAACTGGGAGGAACTTTATTTCTGGCCATTAGAGGCCCTGAGCAGGACATTGAGTATCCTTTCAAGAAAAGAGAAATGTTGAACAGATAGGACCTCATTTTTATAACTCTTGACCATCATCTAGTTACGGAGCATCCACTTTTCACCCCTGGGCCATATCCATTTGAAAGATGTAAAATCATCAAATTATAATATCATGGCTTACACTTTTGATAGCTTCTGCTCAGAACATGGCGGTGAGAGCTTCTCATTTTCAATTGATTCATTGGGGGAGAAAATATACACGGCTGCCCTAAGACTTTCTATTACACACCAT
The DNA here is from genome assembly GCF_000001405.40 of Homo sapiens. NCBI lineage: Eukaryota > Metazoa > Chordata > Mammalia > Primates > Hominidae > Homo > Homo sapiens. The sequence goes on from NC_000016.10 coordinate 5,137,667, forward strand.
TTGCTTGACGGGATTTCTTTAGTTTCTGTAGCATAACTTATTCTAACTGGTCCTCAATCACTTTGCAATAAAAACTGAGATTGTGAAAATGTTCATTGTCATTACCAGTGACAGAGCATTAAGTACCGAGTTCTAGAAAGGGAAGGAACCGAGAGATTTAAACTAGCAGAATGAGCCGCTCACCCTCAGAATTGCTTTTAATCTTGGTGAGAACTGAGGGGAATTTTGACAGGGCTCAGGGGGACTGCGGAGAGTGGGGCTGGGAGGTGGCTGTTTGCATGTGTGGTCAGCAGATCCAGTGGGGGTCCATGTACTGTGGGCAGGCCCAAGATGGAGTTGGGATTGCCCTGGACTGAGTACTGGGTCATCAGATCGCAAACTGCCGTTCTCAAGACATCGAGGCCCAGGCTGGTGCAGGAGATACATTGCAGTGTGTCAGCCTTTCTTCCATCGCTCTCCTCCAATGACAGTCCCCAATTTTCCACCGAGGAGTCACTAGTTCCCCACGGCATCTGTGTGACTGGCCACTTCCCAACCTGACCTGGGGCTGGGGCATGTGGTCCCAGCCTGGATGTCAATATCCTTCCACCACCCTGGCCACAGTGATTGGGTCTGAGAAGCAGATTAGCCAAAGGAGAGACAATCTTGGGAATTTCATGTTCATGCTGAAGAAAGTAAAATGGAAAGTGGGGGGAGAGTGAGGGGTTATTCTGATGATATAGTTTGAGGACCTGGATGTAGCCACACCTGTAGCTGTCAACTCTGTGCCATAGTACTGCTTTTTTTTTTTCCTTCAAATTTAAATACTTTCTAGAGGCAAGGTCTTGCTATGTTGCTTAGGCTGGTTTTGAAAAGTCCCTTTTGGGGGGATGCTTTCACTGCTTCACCTTTCTATGACAGCTCAGGGAATCAGAAGACAAGGGAGATGACTTTTTTTTTTTTTTTTTTGAGACAGGGCTTGCTCTGTTGCCCAGGCTGGAGTGCAGTGGTGCAATCACAGCTCGCCACAGCCTTGATCTTCTGGACTCAAGCGACCCTCCTGCTTCAGCCTCCTGAGTAGCTGGGACTATAGGCGGGTACCACCATGCCCAGCTAATTAAATTTTTTTTTAGAAACGAGATCTCACTATGTCACCCAGGCTGGCCTCAAACTCTTGGGCTCAAGTGATCGCCCTGCCTTAGCTTCCCAGACTTACAGGTGTGAGCCCCCACACCCAGTCAACGCTGTGTTCTTATGCACCTGGTGTCCCCCCAGGCCCTGAGCAATGATCCTCCTGCCTCGACCTCCCAAAGTGCTGGGATAACAGATGTGAAGTACAATGTATGGCCCACATAGTATTCTTATGGGTTAAATTGAGTCCTCCTCAAAAGATGTTGAAATCCTAAATTCTAGTAGCTCAGAATGTGACCTTATTTAGAAATAGAGTTATTGCAGGCTGGGCATGGTGGCTCACACCTATAATCCCAGCACTTTGGGAGGCCAAGGCAGGTGGATCACCTGAGGTCAGGAGTTTGAGCAACCAGCCTGACCAACATGGAGAAACACCATCTCTACTAAAAATACAAAATTAGCTGGGTGTGGTGGTGCATACTTGTAATTCCAGCTACTCGGGAGGCTGAGGCAGGAGAATCCCTTGAACCCAGGAGGTGGACATTGCATTGAGCCGAGATCGCACCATTGCACTCCATCCTGGGCAACAAGAGTGAAACTCTGTCTCAAAAAGAAAGAAAGAAAGAAAGAAACAGGGTTATTGCAGATGCTATTGATTAGGATGAAGTCATCCTGGAGTAGGCAGGGCCCTAAGTCAATGACTGGTGTCCTTATAAAAGAGGAGAGGACATGCCGAGTCACAGAGACACAGGGAAGAAGGCCATGGATCGGACGGAAGATTGGACTGATGTGTCTGCAAACCAAGGAACACTGAAGACTGCCAGGAGACCACAGGAAGCTAGGACGAGGCAAGGCAGGACTCCCCGAGAAGTGCAGGAGGTAGTGCGGCCCTGCTGGCACCTCCATTTCAGATTGCTGGCCACCAGAGCCACAAGACAATCAATTTCTCTTGTTTCAAGTCACCGAGCTTGTGGTACTTGGTTGTGGCAGCCTTAGGGAATGAATATACGTACTTTTTTTTTTCTTTTTTTGAGACGGAGTCTCGCTCTGTTGCCCAGGCTGGAGTGCAGTGGCATGATCTCAGCTCACTGCAAGCTCCACCTCCCGGGTTCATGCCATTCTCCTGCCTCAGCCTCCCGGGTAGGTGGGACTACAGGCGCCTGCCACCACGCCCAGCTAATTTTTTGTATTTTTGATAGAGATGGGGTTTCACTGTGTTAGCCAGGATGGTCTCGATCTCCTGACCTCGTGATCCACCTGCCTCAGCCTCCCAAAGTGCTGGGATTACAGGCGTGAGCCACTGTGCCCGGCCGAATATAAGTACTTTTAAATTAACTCTCCTCTTCTCTCCATCTTCTTCTAAATCATCATTTTTGCCTAAGCAACAGCTAGGGTCTAATACGGATGTGATGACTCACTTCAAAGTAGGGGAAGCCAGTCCCCATGTGCGCCCAAAGCTCCTGCTGCCTTGGCCCTGGGCTCAGAGACTGGACCATCATTCTAGGGGCTTGCTGGAGATCTGAGCCAGGGCACCATTCTCTGTTGCCTTTAAACAAAGGCTGGTGCTCGCCCAGGCATGTGAGCTCTACCGAGGATCTATTTGGAAGGCAGAATTCTGAGATGACCCCTTAGGTTCTTGCCCTGGATAAATGCCAGGTGTAATATTCTCTCCCCTGGAGTGTGGGCAGGACCCGTGGCTTGCTTCTAATCTATACCTAGGGAAAAGTTGAAGGGATTTTGCAGATGTAACTAAGCCCCTAATCCGTTCGCTTTGAGTTAATCAAAAGGGAGATTATTCAGGGTGGGCCTGACATCTTCAGGTGAGATCTTCAATGAGGGTCTGGAGGAGACAGACTCCTTCCTCCTGGTTTTTGCTTTTTGTTTGTTTGTTTTTGAGATGGAGTCTCACTCTGTTGCCCAGGCTGGAGTGCAGTGGCACGATCTCAGCTTACTTCAACTTCTGCCTCCTGGGTTTAAGTGTTTTTCCTGCCTCCGCCTCCCAAGTAGCTGGGATTACAGGCATGCGCCATCGTGCCTAGCTAAGTTTTGTATTTTTAGTAGAGACGGGGTTTCACCATATTGGCCAGGTTGGTCTCAAAATCCTGACCTCAGGTGATCCACCTGTCTCGGCCTCCGAAAGGGCTGGGATTAGAGGCATGAGCCACCACGCCTAGCTGGTTTTGAAGAAGCCATATGAGTTCCACAGTTGCATGGAAATAAATTCTGCCAACAACCATGTGAGGTTGGGAGAAGACCCCAAGCCTCATATGAGACACTAATTCCAGCCGACTCCTTGATCACAACCTTGTAAGAACCTGAGCAGAGGACGCAGCTAAAGCTGCACCCCCAGACTCCTGACCCACAGGAAAGGAGAGGTAATAGATGGGTGTTTTAAGCTGCTAAATTTGTGTTGATTTGTTATGCAGCTTAGAAAATGAATACATCATTCCATTTTTTAAAATCAAAAGCTAATCACACCATTCTTTTTTTTTTTTTTGAGACAGTCTCACTCTATTGCCCAGGCTGGAGTGCAATGGCACAATCTCAGCTCCCTGTAACCTTTGCCTCCCGGGTTCAAATGATTCCCTTGCCTCAGCCCCCTAAGTAGCTGGGACTACAGGCATGCACCCACCACACCCAGCTAATTTTTGTATTTTTAGTAGAGATGGAGTTTCACCATGTTGGCCAGGCTGGTCTTGAACTCCTGACCTCAAGTGATCTGCCTGCCTCAGCCTCCCAAAGTGCTGGGGTTACTGGTATGAACCACTGCACCCAGCGTGACACACCATTCAATTTTAAGGAACTTCCAGGTGCTGTGGTCAAGCCCCTCTTGTGTGGCATGGAGGTGGGGAGAGATGGGTTGGAAGATGACTGTATGGGGGCATGGAGCTGGTGGGAAGAGGAAAAGTGTCTTGAAGGAAGTAAGTCCCTTCAGATAAGGAAGGGAGATGCTTGATCAATATGCAGACTTGCACAGTCCTTCAGTCCTGGGGATATTGGAGGAGAGACAGGTCTTGCCTTGTAATGGAGAGTTACCATCCCAGGCAGAGGCCCTACTTCCACCTTGTTGCAGGTAGGGCTGGGGGGCAAATACTTAGAGGAGAAACGAACACCCTTTGGAAGCATGCAGAAAGTTTCTGGAATGGAGAGATGATGAAGCAGGATATTTGGAGTCAACAGCCAATGTTTTTAAAAATCCTCTCTCCCTGAGCCTTTCCCTCATTCAAACGGCTGGCACCCTCAGCCTCCTTGCTTCTAGGAAAGAATGTGCTGGAGGAAAACAGAGACTCCTCCTGGCCTGGGGCTTCACAAGCTTAGCTCCTTCCAGGAGCCACAGAGGAGTTGGGACATTGGGAAAGTCTTGGGGGATACCAGGTGAGGAAGAACACAGTCTTGGCTAGGTGTGGGGGCTCATACTTGTAATCCTGACACTTTGGGAGGCCAAGGCGGAAGGATCACTTGAGTCCAGGGGTTTGAGACCAGCGTGATCAACATAGTGAGATCCCATTTCTAAAAAAAAAAAAAAACTAGTTGCGCGTGGTGGTGCACACCTGTAGTTTCAGCTATTCAGGAGGCTGAGGCAGGTGGATTGCTTGAGCCCAGAAGGTCAAGGCTGTGGTAAGCTGTGATCGCACCACTGCACTCCAGCCTGGTCAATACAGCAAGACCTTGTCTCCAAAACAACAACAACAACAAAACAACAACAAATGTCATCTCCCTTGTCTTCTGATTTCCTCAGCTCTCAGAGAAAGGAAATGAAGCAGTGAAAGCATCCTCCCAAAAGGGACTTTTAAATCCTTCTACCTGGGCTGAACTACAGAGAAAAGGAAGCTATTCTCACAGAAAGATCTATGGGATCACAGAGTGGAGGGGACCTGAGCCCCATGTCATGGGACAAGCCCTGGGAAGATGGCACCATTCCCAAGACACATGAGTTCTATCGTTTGCCACCATTTCCACTGCCTGGACCAAAGTAGATGCTCAAAGAGTATTCCCCGAGTGAAAGGAGGAATACAGCATCGGCCCTCTCAAAGAACTCTCCAGGAAGACTTTCCTTCATCAGCAGCAGGGAAAGCTAATGAGGGTCATATCATCCTGCCTCCCAGGTGAGGTCTGAGATGTCTGCACTGTGCACCTCCGCAGGCACGTGGTGGGTACCACCGGCTTGGCTTTGCAGAGATACCATGTGCCCCAGGGAGAATCTGGGCAGTGAAGTCAGCTCTCTGTCTTAGGGAGTCTCTCCCAGAAGGGCTGTTGTGCCAGGGGGATTGGACTCTGCCGGCTTTGTTTCCTGCTTAGGACCACCAAGCTCGTGGTACCCCCAGGACTCTTGGAATCCTGTCTAGGCAGCTTGGAGGGCTGTCTACGTGGCTTCTTGGACCTGAACCCTAACTGGACCTGTGCATGGTTTTGCAGCCCAGATGTGAAACAGGGATCATCCCACCTCACCAGCAATCCCCCTTGTTTTAAACTGCAGTTAATAACTGGCTGGGCTGAGGGAGCCCCCTTTATCATAGTTTACGTGCAGCCTACCCCCTGGAATCTGATAAGGTCTTTGGGTGCTGGCAGTACCAATTTTTATCCATTATTTTTTCTATTACGGATAATTCCTTTCCACACTGGAGTCACCCAGAGGTTGGCTTGAGCCCAGCCACATGAAGACAAATGCCAGTGGTTTTGCCGGGTCCCGGGTGCCCTCTGTTTCATTAAAGCAACATATTCGGGATATATATCTGTTGCCTGGAAGCTTGGAGCTGGGTGAAATTCATAGGGGTTTGTAATGATGACTCAATTAGAACCAAAGACACATGAGGGCTGAGGCTGGAGGAGGGCGGCGGGGGGGTGGCAGGGGCAGGGATGGGCCACCCAGTTGCTGGAACCATCCAGGGCTAAGTTGGAATCCTGCCCTGCCTCTCCCCACCTGTGTGACCTCAGCCTGTGATTTCTCACCTTTAAGGAAGGAACCTGCCTGACTTGCTATCAGTGTTTAGAGAATTGAAGGGGAGCTGATTGTGGAACCTGCTAGACATTTTCTGAAGCCTGGTACTGGGTTCATCATGGTGTATAGTTATCTCAAGGTACTGATTCTCAAATGAGGGTGAATTTGCCCCCCAGCAGGCACTTGGCAGTGTCTGGAGATATTTTTGGTTGTCACAATGGGAGCGGGGGTGCCAATGGCATCCATCTAGTCAGTAGAGGGCAGGAAAGCTGGTAACATCCCACAGTGCCCAGAACAGCCGCATGCAACAGAGAATGATCCTGCCCCAAATGTCAGTAGTGCTGAGGTTAAGAAACCTATTTCTTGGTTTGGAAGTGGGGGCAGGGTCTCACTGCATTGCCCAGATTGGAGTGCAGTGGCACAATCATAACCCACTGCAGCCTTGACCTCCTGGGCTCAAGCAATTCTCCAACCTCAGCCTCCTGAGTAGCTGGAACCATGGGTGTGCACCACCACACCTGGCTAACTTTTTATTTTAATTTCTTGTAGAGATGGGATCTTGCTATGTTGCCCAGGCTGGTCTTGAACTCCTAGGCTCAAGCAATCCTGCTGCCTTGGTCTCCCAAAGTGCTGGGATTATAGGCATTAACCACAACCTGTGGCCAAAAAGCGGTTGTAATGTTGAAGCAGAGTAAATGTTCCCCAGCTCAATACATGGTATATCTGGTTATAAATAAGAGGCGCACACGAACATGTTTCCACAATGAGTGAACCAAAAAGATTTTATGTTGCAACAGTTTGTTATTTGTAGGCAATGAATGGCTTTGTATGTACTTCCCTTACCGCTAAGCAAATATGTCAGCAGGACAAAGTCCTACAAGTGGAATCGCCAAATAAGAAAGTTCATGCATTAAAAAAGAATTTTTTTTTGAGACAGGATCTTGCACTGTCACCCAGGCTAGAGTGCAGTGGTGTGATCACAGCTCACTGCAGCCTCAACCTCCCAGGCTCAAACAGTTCTCCCACCTCAGCCTCCAGGGTAGCTGGGACTACAGATGTGCACCACTATGCCTGGCTAATTTTTGTATTTTTTGTAGAGATGGGGTCTCATCATATTGCCCAGGCTGGTTTCAAACTCCTGGGGTGAAGTGATCCTCTCCCCTTGGCCTCCCAAAGTGCTGGGATTATAGGTGTGGGCCCCTGTGTCCAGTGCACTATCTGATTTTGCCAAATTACCCGTCACTGAATCCATACACATGTCTTTTCTTTCTTTTCCTTTTTTTTTTTTGAGTCGGAGTTTTGCTCTTGTCGCCCAGGCCGGATTCCGATGGCACAATCTTGGCTCATGGCAACCTCCACCTCCTGGGTTCAAGCAAATCTCCTGCCTCAGCCTCCCAAGTAGCTGGGATTACAGGTGCATGCCATCATGCCCAGCTAATTTTCTATTTTTGGTAGAGATGGGGTTTCACCATCTTGGCCAGACTTGTCATGAACTCCTGACCCTCAGGTGATCCACCCTCCTCGGCCTCCCAAAGTGCTGGGATTATGGGCATAAGCCACCGCGCCCAGCCTGAAGCCATACCCATTTCTATGCCCCTGGCAGTGAATGTAGAAGAGCCGTGGGGTGATTCTGTAATTTTAAAAATGTGCTCTCCCTGTTTATATCTTCTCATCAAAATCTGGGAATAAATAAAAGGTGGGCACGCTTTATGATAGTTTGTGCCCATCGTATTCTCAGCCTTCAGGGATCCATCCAGGATCTGCCCACGGGAGATCTTTTAAGTGTAATGAAGTTAACGCTACTGGGAAGTGGCTTCCCCTTTCTCGAGAAAAGGCATATTTGGCTCCTGCTTCCTGACACTAAGAGCCCCCAAATGACTTGCCTGTCAGAGTTTGCATGTAGAAAAATCTACCTCAGCAAATCTTCCTCTGAGTGGTTGTTCAGCTTTGTTTTTTCAATTTCTATTCTTTTTTTTTTTTTTTTTTTTTTTTTAATTTTAAGATAGTCTCACTCTGTCACCCAGGCTGCAGTGCAGTGGCACAATCTCAGCTCACTGCAGTCTCCGCCTCCCGGGTTCAAGCGATTGTCATGCCTCAGCCTCCTGAGAAGCTGGAACTACAGGCGTGTGCCACCATACTTGGCTAAGTTTTGTATTTCTTTTAGTAGAGATGGGGTTTCACCATGTTGGCCAGGCTGGTCTCGAACTCCTGACCTCAGGTGATAGGCCCGCTTTGGCCTCCCAGAGTGCTGAGATTACATGTGTGAGCCACTGCACCCAGCCTATTTTTTAAGTTTCTGATTCAAGGACCCCTTTGAGGGTCTGATGAAAGTGATAAGCCATCTCCCCAGAAGAACGCAGCTGTAATTTGCCTGGAATCTCCAAGGTTCCAGAAGCTTTCCTGGACCCCTGAAGAAGTGGCTGTGTGGATGGAGTGAGGCTCATGCCACCAGGCACTCTGCCTTGCCTCGCCTTTCTCTGTTTGAGGTGCACTGCATGAGGGGGGCCTGTGGTTGGACTTCCAGGCTCAGAAAACAATGTAGAAAGAGTTCCATGTGGCCAGGGACGCCCCAATTCCAAGTCTGTCTTCCCTACCTTCTAGCAGAGCAACTGGTCAGTTATTCAGAATCTGTTTTTGTTTTTGTTGTTTTTGACACAGAGTCTCGCTGTGTCACCCAGGCTGGAGTGCACTGGCATGATCTCAGCTCACTGCAACCTCCACCTCCTGGGTTCAAGCGATTCTCCTGTCTCAGCCTCCCATGTAACTGGGATTACAGGCATGCACTACCACAACTGGCTACTTTTTGTATTTTTTGTAGAGACAGGGTTTTGCCATGTTGGCCAGGCTGGTCTCGAACTCCCAACCTCAGGTGATCTGCCCACCTCGGCCTCCCAAAGTGCCGGGATTATAAGCTTGAGCCACTGTGCCCAGCCTGTTCAGCATCTCTGAACCTTAGTTTTCCGATCTGTAGAATGGGACACTGACTTTGCTATCTCCGTGTATCAGAGATCATGAAAGTGAAGGACTTTACACAGTGCTGGCACCAAGTCTGTGTATGAGGAACGGAAGCTAGTGTGATTCTTACACAGAGTCCTTTGCTTTCCAGCAGCCTCCTCTCCCTCCTTTTTAGGTTGGAATCCCTCTATTTTAGTGGCCACTGGGATTCTGAAATGACCAGGTCTTTGTTTCAGAGACCTCACACATGCTGTTCCCTCTGCCTGGAACACTTTTCCTTGCTCTGGTCCCCTGAGATCTCTTTCAGCTCAACTTCCCCATGCTCAGAGAGCCCCTTTCTCCCTCTCTAGTTTGAAGCGAACTTACCCCTGTAGTCTGTGCCTGGAAAACTCGTTTTCCTCCTTGGTGCCTCCTGAGTTGTCACGGGATGTATGTGCCTGTTAGGGTGTCTGGTGTCTGTCTCCCCGACTGGACTGCATGCTCCTGGTGAGCTGGAGGGACTGGACTAGCACAGGCCAAGGCCCTGGGGCTGGAGAGAGCAGGGCAGAAAGCACAGGCAAAAGGCCTTTGTGATCTGGAGGGAAGTGAAGGAGAGGGAGAGAGATGAGAGAGGCTGGCAGAAGATGGGCCAGGGGCCAGGCTGCGTGGTATCTTCTGGGCCACAGAAAGACATTTGAATTCTCATGTAAGAGAACCAGGACACCATTGGAGGGTATGAGTCACTTCATCTAACTGAGCTCTGTAAATGTCAATGTTTTATTATTTTTATACAATTCTTTAGAAGTGATTTTAATTATTTACCTTTCTATTTTAATTATTTTTATTTTTTTTGAGATGGAATCTTGCTCTGTTGCCCAAACTGGAGTGTAATGGCACGATCTCGGCTCACTTCAACTTCCACCTCCTGGGTTCAAGTGATTCTTCTGTCTCAGACTCCTGAGTAGCTGGGGTTATAGGCGTCTGCCACCACGCCCAGCTTGTTTTTGTATTTTTAGGAGAGACGATGTTTCACCATGTTGGCCAGGCTAGTCTTGAACTCCTGACCTCAGGTGATCCACCCACCTTGGCCTCCCAAAGTGCTGGGATTGCAGGGGTGAGCCACCATGCCCGGCCTTATTTACTTTTTTAAAAAAGATCAGGCCAGGCACGGTAGCTCATGTCTCTAATCTCAGCACTTTGAGAGACTGAGGTGGGATGATCACTTGAGCCCAGGAGTTCAAAACCAGCCTAGGCAACATAGTGAGACATCCCCTTCCCGAATCTCTAAAAAAATGAGAAAATTAGGCATGGTGGCTTGTGTGTATCCCCAGCTACTGGGGAGGCTGAGGTAGGGAGGACTGCTTGAGACCAGGAGTTTGAGGCTCCACTGAGCTGTGATTATGCCACTGAGCTGCAGCCTGGGCAACAGAGTGAGACCCCATCTCAAAAAAATGCCACATTCTTTTAATTACTTACTTTTACAGAAGACCACTGGTCCTGGTGGGGAAGGGCCTGGGAGCAGGGAGACCCCTCAGGTGGCTGCAACCCCGGTCCTGGTCCTGTCTGCAGGCTGGGTCTCGAGGCCCAAGTGACGGCCCTGCACCCCTGCACCCCCACACCTCACAGTGTATTCTGACCTGGTGCTGCTCCTGGGGCATGGCGCTGGGCTGCAGGAGCCGCCTCAGCCTCTCTAGAGCTGACTGAGCTTTTGCTTCTTATTCCGGGGAATGATGGGCGCTGGGGCTTTGATGGGCATCGGGTGAAATGGGCAGAGTGGTGCTTACCCGGGATGGCGGTGAAGTGGGACGGGGAGGTCATCGTGACAAAGGGCGGCATGAGGTACTTGGCCTTGACGCCCTCCCCAGCCAGACCATCCAGGTTGGGGGTGTCCACATCCTGATCCTAGTCTCAGTGGAAGCCCTCAAAGGAGATCAGTAGCAGCCGTGAGTGCTCTTCCTCCCTGGGACGGGGTGGCCGCCCAGCAGGACAAGCGGTGGCAGCAGCAGCAGCTGGAGGGCCCCGAGCCCTGTCATCCCACGAGCACCTGTCATGCACTCCTCAGAGTTCATGGGCTTCTCCCTCTTTAGTCCGTTGTTGAAAAAAGTCCACATTAATAATTCAGCCCAGCTCTGTTGTGGGACAAACAACCCGGAGTGTAGCAAGGTGCCGCATATTTGCAGGACAGGTTGAAAGCGTTCTGGAGATGGATGGGGGACATGGCTGTACAACGTGGTGGATGCACTTAACACCGCTGAATTTTTCCTTTGAAAATGGCTAAAATAATAGATTTTGTATGTATTTTACCACAATAAAAAATCAAACTGGCCGGGTGTGGTGGCTTACACCTGTAATCCCAGCACTTTGGGAGGCCGAGGCGGGTAGATCATTTGAGGTCAGGAGTTCGAGACCAGCCTGGCCAGCATGGAGAAACCCCATCTCTACTAAAAATGCAAAAATTAGCCGGGCGTGGTGGTACATATCTGTAATCCCAGCTATTCTGGAGGCTGAGGCAGGAGAGTTGCTTGAACCCGGGAGGCGGAGGTTGCAGTGAGCCGAGATTGTGCCACTGCACTCCAACCTGGACGACGGAATGAGACTCCGTCTCAAAAAAAAAAAAAAAAAAAAAAAATCCTTGTGAAATATTTTGGACTCTTATACTAATTCCAACATTTTGAAGATCTGGGGAGAACAAACTAGATTGGTGCTTTCCTTGGCTTAGTATGTCCTGTTTTTATAGGGAGAGCAAATTATTGTTCACCAGCACTATTAAAGTGGCTACAACAGGATGGGCACGGTGGCTCACACCTGTAATCCCAGCACTTTGGGAAGCTGAGGTGGGAAGATCGTTTGAGCCCAGGAGTTCGAGACCAGCCTGGGCAACATGGTGAGACCCTGTCACTACCAAAAATACAACAACAACAAAAATAGCTAGGTGTGATTGTGTGCACCTGTAGTCCCAGCTACTTGAGAGGCTGAGGTGGGGGGATCACTTGAGCCCAGGGGATTGAGGCTGCAGTAAGCCGTGATTATGCCACTGTACTCAGCCTGGGTGACAGAGTGAGACCCTGTCTCAAAAAAAAAAAAAAAAAAAAAAAAAAACTGCAGTGGACTCAGTGATCATGAGGCCAGGCACTGTACACATGTACATCATCTCATTTAATTTTTCCTCTTGTTTAAAATTATTTTTTCCTCTAATCCCCATGTTGATCAACATTTTTTTAATCCTAGGAATTTATTACTTGAAAATTTCGCATAAGAATTAAAAATTGCCTGGCGCGATGGCTTACATCTGTTATCCCAGCACTTTGGGAGGCTGAGATGAGAGAATCGCTTGAAGCCAGGAGTTTGGGCCAGTCTGGGCAATATACTGAGAATGCAACTCTATAAAAAAATTAAAAACCCTGGGTGTGGTAGCGTTCACCTGTAGTCCCAGCTACTTGGAAGACTAGGTGGGAGGATTGCTTGAGCCCAGGTGGTAAAGGCAGCAGTGAGCTATGATTGTGCCATTGCACTGCAGCCTGGGTGACGGAGTGAGACTCTGTCTCTAAAATAAATGAATAAAATTGTGGTATAATATATGCAACATTTACCATTTTGTACAGCTGTAAGTGTACAATTCAGTGACATTCTGTACAATTATCATGTTGTGCAATTATCACTACTTCCTAGTTTCAGAGCTTTTTCAACACCTCAATTGGAAGCCTCATACCCGATTCAGCAGTCACTCTGCATACCCCCTCCTGCAGCCCCTGGAAACCTCTCATCTACTTTCTGTCTCTGTTGATTGGCTTAGTCTGAGCATTGCATATAAATGAAATTGTACAATATATGACCTTTCATGTCTGCTTCGTTCAGTGAGCAGGTATTTAACGTTCATATCACACCATGGATAAGTTTTATTTTCTTTTTAGACCCTAACTAAAAAGAAAAAAATTGTAAAAAACAAAAACAAAAACAAAAAAAGAATATAGGATGGAGATCAGATGAGTCCTGCAAAGCTGATAATATTTACTGTCTAGCACTTTACATAGAAGCTTGCCTACCTCTGAATGATATGCAGGTACAGGGATGACATTTATCTTGGCACTTATAGAAAGACCTGTACGTTGTATAAAGATGTCATCATTGGATTTCTAGTAACAAGAAGCGGCAAGACATGACGGTGTGTCCAGGTGTTCAGGTGAAGTTTAGGGAAGGTCTTGTCTTGACGAGGTCGGATGTGAGACCCAGATGAGATAACCCCATTTCCCCTGCTGAAATTGCCTGAGAATTTCTTCCAGCTATTTGTGTGGGTAGATTCTTTCGGTGGGGGTGGGGTGGGTGAGGAGGTGAAGTGTCAGGGGAGTTCTATTGTGTATTTGCACAACTTGGCTTTCTTTTCACTTGGTGTGGTGTTTTGCTGTATGAGGAATTTCGTAGAATTTTGTGATGAGTATGCAGCGTAGTGGTTTGAATCCTGCCAGGCCGAGGGTCATATGTCAGCTCTGCAACTCATTATCTGTGACGCCTTGGGGCAGGTCCGATCACTCTCCAAGCTTCTGTTATATATTCCATGGGGTTGTGAGGTTCAGATGAAATAATGCATGCTGGCAGGAATGGTTACTGCTCATGGGATTTCCATGTGCTCCCCGTATTCCCCAGATCTCCAATAGTTAGATGGATCCATGCCAGGGTCCAATGCTCTATAAGTGGAAGTCACTGACATCACCTCTAGTGTACAGCTTTTGAGGGCTTGGGAATAACTATCTCATTCTCTCATCTCCTGGTGCAGTAACTATGGGAGAATCCCTGCATTAAGATGGTAGAATTTCCATCATTCTAGGTCTTTGAGGGGCCATATGGAGGACACCATACCCAGCCAACCCATTGTGGACATGGTATGTAAGAAATCAACCTTGGTTGCTAAGCTGCTGAGACTCTGGGGTTAATTTGTTACTGCAGCATAACGTAGTCCATCCTGACACATGCAGCATGCAAACCACTTACGTTGTCCCTTAGTCATGGTAAGTGCTCCACAGATGTTGGTTACTTTTGGTAGGAAGATAGATTGCCTCTGAAAGTTTTGTTAGCTGATCTCATGATGCCAATGTTGCTATTTTGTAATTGGATAAATTGGACTTGGCTCTCCTTCCAGCATGTGGGAGAGACAGATGACTGAGAGACAATAAAGCACTATTATCTTCAGTTTGTGTCCTTGGATACCCTTGGTGGCAATGAACAATGTATGCTCCTCTGAGAAAACTGGACCTAAAGGAGAATGGGAGGTGATACCAGAATTGGGAATGTCCAAGGCCCCAGGCATTCCCTGGTCTGGAGACCACTTTGAGTCCTTGGTGGGAAGATTCTCAAAGGGAACATAAATGCTTTTACTATCTAGTTTGTCTCTTTGAGAATTAAAACTCTCTTTTTTTTTTTTTTTCCTTCCAGTAGCTTTTGGGGTAGAGTTTGGCTCTTTGAGAATTGCACACTAATTAATTTTAGGGGTCATGCGTACACATCTCTATATTCCTGAAACAGTAGAAACAGCCAGCAGTCAGGCAACCATCTACCATGACCACTAAAACATCCTCAAAGTGAAACACCAGATGTGATCCGCTAGGTTTAGTGGACGTGGCTGGCTCGAGAGTTGATTATATTCATTATCGTCACTGTGGTGATTGTGGCCACAACATTGTGATGCGTCTTGGTCTTCTTTTGGTGAGTTGCAGTTTGAAAGGAATAAATCCATTATTCTTTTTTTTTTTTTTTTTTTTTTTTTTTTGAGTCTCGCTCTGTTGCCCAGGCTGGAGTGCAGTGGTGCCATCTCAGCATACTGTAAACTCCGCCTCCCAGATTCAAGTGATTCTCCTGCCTCAGCCTGCCAAGTAGCTGGGATTACAGGCGCCAACCACCACACCTGGCTAATTTTTATATTTTTAGTAGAGACGGGGTTTTGCCATGTTGTCCGGGCTGATCTTGAACTCCTGACCTCAGGTGATCCACCTGCCTCAGCCTCCCAAAGTGGTGGGATTACAGGCGTGAGCCACCATGCCTGGCCCCATTATTCATTTAACCAATATCTATTGAGCACGTTCGGTGTGGTGGAGGATGGACTGCAGGGGAGGGAGGAAGCCTCGTCCTGCCACTATGTTTTCAAGTTGTCCTAATACTCCACCATGGGACACACAGGCTTGTGGGTCCCAGAGCTCCAGAAGCATCTCCCAACCATACCATCCTGACCCAGATTCTACCAAAGAATACGTGAGTCTAGCAGAGCCATCTCTGACACTTCCCTTCTTTTGAATGGCTGATCTGTCAGTCATGGGGATCCCTTATGAAAGTGCAGTGTGCTTTGTGAAACTTGAGGTTGATCAAAGAATACCAATAAACTTTGTTAAGAAATCTACATATTGATGACATAGGCAGTGGGGTAGAGGTGGGGAAATTCCCAAATACATTTTAGAAATTATCTCAGAGGGAGGTAATAGTCAGAACTCTTGGTTGCCAGTGACAGAAACTCATCTTACTAGTGTGGAGTGGAAAAGGGATCATGTTTTGGTCTGCACTCCCCAACCCCAACCCCAAGCAGATCCTGAAAGAGGGACAGGATTGCAAGTGGATTATTTAGGAGATGATTCTAGGGAACACCAAAAGGGGAGTGAGGAACTGATTCATGGAAAGGCAGGAGGCCACAGAGGGGGCTTTAATGAGCAGCTTACCATTCCAGGCAACTAGGATTTGACCCCACTGGGGACCTCGGGGAGGTGATGTGGAATACATTTCAAAGTTGTTCCATCCAGGGGGCAAAGATACTGAAGCATTTATAGCCTGGCTCCCATCTGTCACTGGCTGAGGAGTGGTCCCAGGGCATCAACTTTCTGGCTTTTCTTTTTTCTTTTTTTTTTTTTTTTTTGAGACATAGTCTTGCTCTGTCACCCAGGCTGGACTGCAATGGCATGATCTCGGCTCACTGCAACATCTGCCTCCCAGGTTCAAACGATTCTCTTGCCTCAGTTTCCTGAGTAGCTGGGATTACAGGCGCCTGCCACCCTGCCCCGCTAATTTTTTTATTTTTTGTAGAGACGGGGTTTTGCCATGTTGGTCAGGCTGGTCTCGAACTCCTGACCTCGTGATCCACTTGCCTCGGCCTCCCAGTGTTGGGATTACAGGCGTGAGCCACTGCGCCCGGCTTCTGTGGCTTTTCTGACATACTCCATGCCTAACTTTGAGAAGGCCCTCAGGTGAAAGTCTTGGTTGTATGCAGTAGCAAGCATGTACTAGAATGATAAAAACCAGGGGGCTTACCACAAGATCTCTCTCTCCATCTCTGGATGGAGACACCATCAGATCTCTCTCTCCATCTCTGTTTCTAGCTTTGTCTGCATACTGGCTTAATTTCTTCTTACTCAAGCCTTTTCTCCATAAGGCAAGAAATGTGGCCACAAAAGCTCCTGTATTTCTCACTACACACAGTTCCTGTCATCACAGAGAATGATTAACTTGGTCTAGTGCCAGTTTGGAAAAATATTCAAGGGAAGAATTCTGATTGGCCAATTTAGGCCAGATGCTCATCCCTGGACCAATCAACTGAGGCCAGAGGGGTGGAGTCATGTGAGAACATGGCAGCCCCCATGACAGCCAAGTGACTGGAGTAGGAAGTGTGAGTCTCCATAGAGGGGAGGGCTGCTAGGCTGAAAAAGCAATAGATGTCCGCAGTGAAAGGAATAGATTAGGAGACACATTCTGTTAAACCTGTTAATTATTAAAAAAAAAACTTTCAATATACAGTTACAGTATACGTGAGCCGGTGGCTCACGCCTATAATCCCAGCACTTTAGGAGGCCGAGGTGGGCAGATCAGAGGTCAGGAGTTCAAGACCAACCTGACCAACATGGTGAAACCCTGTCTCTACTAAAGAAAATACAAAAATTAGCTGGGCATGGTGGTGCGTGTCTGTAATCCCAGTTACTCAGGAGGCTGAGGTGGGAGAATCGCTTGAACCCAGGAGATGGAGATTGCAGTGAGCTGAGATCACACCACTGCACTCCAGCCTGGGCAACAGAGTGAGACTCCGTCTCAAAAAAAAAAGTTACATTGTGGTTCCCTCAGCACGATTTATCAGAAAGGAGAAACTTACTATATGTATATTTCCTATGCACAGGCTACTGCTATGAATTCAAATTCTTAAATTCCAAAGATTAATTACAATGTTTCTCAAGACACATAAACTGTGTTAGAGTCTGCTTATAATGAGGCTGAAGTTGAGTAAGAAGAGAACTGGCATTTAGGACACTACTTTTCTTCTGTCGAGTACTGTCAAGTTTAGGTTCTGCCTGGAAGTAGATGCGCCTCAAGGGAGGGTTGCATGTAAAGGGGTGTGTGTGTGTGTGTGTGTGTGTGTGTGTGTGGTAGTTTCCAAAGATGGGTACAACTTTCTGCAAACGCTCGTGCAGTGTAATTGAACCAATCTTTTCTTTAAGAGGTAGAGTTTATATTCCTCTACATGAATCTGGGCTGCCTATGACTTGCTTTGGCCAGTGGAATGCTGCCAAAGTGATAGTGACCAACTTCTAGCCGTGAAAGGAAAATAAACCTTGGGGCCCCAAGATCACTAAGCTAGGCCAGGCTTGGTGGCTCACACCTGTAATCCCAGCACTTTGGGAAGCTGAGGAGGGCAGATCACCTGAGGTCAGGAGTTCAAGACCAGCCTGGCCAACATGACGAAACCTTGTCTCTACTAAAAAATGTGAAAATTAGCCAGGCGTGGTTGCAGGCGCCTGTCATCCCAGCTACTCGGGAGGCTGAGGCAGGGAAAATTGCTTGAACCCTGGAGGTGGAGGTTGCAGTGAGGCCGAGATCGCACCACTGCACTCCAGCCTGGGCAACAGAGTGAGACTCTGCCCCGCCACCCCCTCCCCGCCCAAAAAAAGTTACTAAGCTAGAGAAAAGTCAAGCTGGGAACTGCTCAGGGCAAACCTACCTCCCATTCTATTCAAAGTCACCCCTTTGCTCACTGAGATAAATGTATATCTAATTGCCTCATTTGGAGAGGCTAATCAGGAACTCAAAAGAATACAACCTATATACCATGGAATACTATGCAGCCATAAAAAATGATGAGTTCATGTCCTTTGTAGGGACATGGATGAAATTGGAAATCATCATTCTCAGTAAACTATCGCAAGAACAAAAAACCAAACACCGCATATTCTCACTCATAGGTGGGAATTGAACAATGAGATCACATGGACACAGGAAGGGGAATATCACACTCTGGGGACTGTTTTGGGGTGGGGGGAGGGGGGAGGGATAGCACTGGGAGATATACCTAATGGTAGATGATGAGTTAGTGGGTGCAGCGCACCAACATGGCACATGTATATATATGTGACTAACCTGCACCATGTGCACGTGTACCCTAAAACTTAAAGTATAATAATAAAAAAAATTATAGAACTAAAAGGTACAATAACAAAAATTAAAAACTTGCTAAAAAAAAAAAAAAAAGAACACAACCATTTGTCTCTTAACTACCTATGACCTGGAAGCCCCTCCCTGCTTCGAGTTGTCTCACCTTCACCTGGAGTTGTCCCGCCTTTCCAGACTGAACCAATGTACATCTTACACATATTGTTTGATGTCTCATGTCTCTCTAAAATGTGTAAAACCAAGCTGTGTCCCTACCGCCTTAGGCACATGTTGTCAGGACCTCCTGAGGCTGTGTCACAGGCGTGCATCCTCAACCTTGGCAAAATAAACTTTCTGAATTAACTGAGACCTCAGATTTTTGAGGTTCATATAGTCTTAGGCCTTGAGAGCCCTCTCGTAGTTTCCATATTTTTGCCCTCTTGGATGCTGGCACCAAGCAAGCCTTGACTATCCTGCTTAAAGTGCCATTTGGAAAGGGGCTCTGGAGGGCGAGGGGCCACATGGAGGAAAACAAGGCTCCCCGGCTGACAGCCAGCACCAACTGCCAGGCACATGTGTCAGGCTGTCCTGGGTGTTCCGCCCAGCTGGCCCTCCAGCTGCAGGTAGCCACACAAATGAGCCCAGGTTAAACCAGCCAGGAATTCCCCATGCAACTCACAGGGTCATGAGCAATAATGACTTTTGGTGGTTTAAAGTTTCTAATTTTAGGTGCAATAGGTAACTGAAATAGCCCACAAGGGTGTGAGCCTGTGGAGGGTGCATTTCCCACCTGCTGAAGCTTCTCAATTCCCAGGATCCAATCCGGATAAGACTCTTGTTCTCAGTGTCCTTGATGGAAATGGCAATGAACTTTTTGCTGATTGGACCATCTCAGGGGAATCCCAAAGATTGGAAACTATTTTCTTTCTTAGAATCTTCCACACAGCATTGAGCCTTAGGAATTTGTAAGAAGGATATGGAATGAAAAACATCTTTTGAAAAGGTATTTGTGTAGCTTCAGTTCAGCAAGATTCATGGTGGGTATTAGACTAAGTGCTGGTGTTAAGCCAAACCGTGTTTTTCAAAGACTCATCTGGCCTCAAGGTTGGCAGGATCAGAGTGGCCTCCCAGGATCTATCACATCCTCAGAAGGGTGGGTTCAACTGGCATGTACCCAGATCTCTGTCAGCTAGTATGATACTCCCTTGAGTCAAAGGCTGCCACATCACATCTCCTTTAAGTCCCTCTCAGTACGACCCCAGAAACATTGACAAAATGTGCTATTAGTAAAGATTTCAGGAGGACATAAATGAAGAGATTATATTGCAAGGTACCAAAACTTCCATCTTTGCTAAAGACCCTCATCCAGGCTGGGCACGATGGCTCACGCCTGTAATCCCAGCACTTTGGGAGGCTAAGGTGGGCGGATCACCTGAGGTCGGGAGTTCCAGACCAACATGGAGAAACCCCGTCTCTACTAAAAATACAAAATTAGCCAGGTGTGGTGGCACATGCCTGTAATCCCAGCTACTAGGGGGGCTGAGGCAGGAGAATCGCTTGAACCTGGGAGGTGTAGGTTGCGGTGAGCTGAGATCGTGCCATTGCACTCCAGCCTGGGCAACAAGAGCAAAACTCCATCTCAAAAACAAACAAAAAAACAAAAAACCCTTATCTAATGGTCATGCCACTCTATCTGGCCATGTAATTTCTCCTCCTGGCTTTCTGTAGCAACAGCCTTCTGAGGAACCTCACTCTGCCTTTCAAAACCGCTTCAACTTGTACCCTTCATCAGCAAAGTATTTAGCTCAACATGTATGCCTCTGGGGGAGCTCATCCACATGTCATTTAAGGATATTTCCAGCAACATCATCTTCACTACCCCGGGACAGTCTTTTAGAGTGGATTATGTGCCTGTTGGATGGGGTCATCCTTATATTCAGCACAGTGTTTGTCCTGAAACTTTAATGGAGTGCTCCTAGTTTGATAACTTTTGCCATGACAAATAAATTGAATTTCTCTGTCTTAACAACAGATGTTTGAATACGGCCCCATGTCCCTCTCTGCTCCTTCCTGCCTTACTCCTCTCCTCTTCCTTCCCTTCCTTTTCAAGAGCAGGGTTTGTAAACTTTTTCTTGAAAGCATCAGATAGTAAATGTTTTAGACTTCGTGGGCCATACAGTCTCTTGTAGTAGTTTCTCAACTCTGCCACCCATAGCATGAAAGCAGCTGATATAGTTTGAATATGTGTCCCTGCCCAAATTTGATGTTGCAATGTAACCCCCAGTGTTAGAGGTGGGGCCTGGTGGGAAGAGACTTGATCATGGGGGTGGATTTCTCATGAATGACTTAGCATCATGCTTTTGGTCCTGTCCTTGCAATAGTGAGTGAGTTCTTGCAATATCTGGTTGCTTGTGAGTGTGTAGCACCTCCCTCCTCATTCTCTTGCTCCCGCTTCACCTTCTGCCATGATTGTAAGTTTCCTGAGGCCTCCACAGAAGCTCAGCGATGTCAGTGTCATGCTCCCTGTACAACCTACAAAACTGTGAGCCAATTAAACCACTTTTCTTTATACATTACCCAGTCTCAGGTATTTATAGCATGAGAGAACAGCCTAATCCAGCAGCCACAGACAATATGTAGCAAATGGGCATGGCTGTGTTGCAATAAAACTTTATTGACAAAAACATGTGCAAGCAGGTCAGATTTGGCCCATGGGCCGTAGTGTCCCAACCCTTGCTCTGGAATATTCTCTTCAGCCTGGATGGACATCTCTATGTGTTTTTTTTCTTTTTTTTTTTTTTTTTGAAACAAAGTCTCACTGTCGCCCACACTGGAGTGCAGTGGTGCAATCTTTGCTCGCCGCAACCTCTGCCCCCTGGGTTCAAGCAATTCTCCTGTCTCAGCCTCCCAAGTAGCTGGGATTACAGGCATCTGCCACCACACCTGGCTAATTTTTGTGTTTTTTAATAGAAATAGGGTTTCACCATGTTGGCCAGGCTGGTCTCCAACTCCTGACATCAGGTGATCCGCCCACCTCAGCCTCTCAAAATGCTGGGATTACAGGCGCCTGCCACCACACCTGGCTAATTTTTGTATTTTTAGTAGAGATGTGATTTCACTATGTTGCCCAGGCTGGTCTCGAACTCCTGATCTCAAGCCATCCACCTGCCTCTGCCTCCCAAAGTGCTGGGATTACAGGTGTGAGCCACTGCAGCTGGCCTCCAGATTTTTTTTTTTTTGACGATTGCTTATTTGTTTTGACTTTCATTTTCTTCCCCATCGTGGTAGCCATTTTCTGAATGCCTGTTAGTTTGTCCGTCTCCCTCCTCTGTAGTCCCTAGAGTCAGATGAACTCCTCTGCAGATGCAATGGTGTAACACTCTCTAGTGCTGAATTTTGAGCAGGAGAAAGAGAGCAAGAGTGACCAGCACCCTTGGAAACTGGCCTCCTGAGAATTTGGAGTCTTCTCTGCAAAGGTTGCAAACCTGTTAACCCACAGGCCAGAGAGAGAGAGAAGCCAGAAGCATGATCTGTTAAGCTTGAGTTTAATATTTGATGCACAGAGATCACTGAGTTTTTTGATAAGAATTAGAGGAGAAGACACGGCCACAGAGAACAATTTCTATCCCCAGGTGAGGATTCAGGAGATAATTCTGGGAACAGAACTTCCTGAGAACTGAGATGGGGGAAATCGCTGGTGTTAGAAGGGTGAAAAGGTCAGTAATTAAGCCTACGACTGTGCTCTGAGAGGCGAAAGAAGAAAATGAGACTGCCAGGCAGGAATAATGAGAAATCTTTGATGGAATTAGCCGTGCAGAACAGATACTAAATGCATCCTCATTCCTCTCATAGTCAAAAGTTTTTGCTTAAGCTGGATGGGAAAAAGAGAATCCCTTTTCACTAAGTATAAAAGAGAGGATTTTAGAGAAGGTCTCAGAAGAAAGAGATGTGGGGGTTTGGTGAAACTCACCAGAGGCTGAACCCTCTCCAGCATAACACAGGGATTGCGAGGAGCGGGGTAGCATTAGGCCAGGTGCATAGCCCAGTGCTGCTCTCTCTGGACTTTCTGCTCTCTCTGGACTTGTTTGCTAGCTGAGCTCATCCATTTGCATAATTTTCAGTTCCATTTCTCAGCTGATGAGTCCTGAACTTTTCCCTTGAGGCTAGACTTCTCCTTCAAGCAGCAGTCTTAAACACTCAACTTCTTTCTTGTTTTTTCCACTTGTCATCTCATGAACACCTCAACCTTGTGACATCCAAAGCCAAACTCGTGGCTTGGAGGAGTAGGTGATGGCTGTAATCCCAGTGGTATGAGAGGCCGAGGTGGGAGGATTACTTGAGGCCAGGAGTTTGAAGCCAGCCTGGGAAACACAGTGAGACTCCCTGTCTACAAAAAAAAAAAAAAAAAAAAAAAAAAAAATTAGCTAGGCATGGTGATGTGCATCTGTAGGATCTGGAGTCCTGCTACTTGGGAGGCTAAGGTAGGAGGATCACTTGAGCCCAGGAGTTTGAGGCTGCAAAGAGCTCTGATCACACCACTGCACTCCAGCCTGGGTGACAGAGCCAGACCCTGTCTTAAAAAAACCCAAAGCCAAACTCTCCTTTTCCTCCTCCTTCTCCATGGGCTCTGTCTGTGCCATCTCTGTTCTGTAAATGGCACCACCCCCTGCTCAGCTGCTCAAGGTGGTCATAACTCATGTGTTGTGCTAACTCTGCTTTTGCCCTCTTCTCCAGTCAGCAAGTCCTGTGATTCTAAACTTTATCCAACTTGTCCACTCTCTCTATCTTCACTGTCGTTATCTTTGCCTAGGACACCCTTATCCCAGCTGGGCTACAGCAGCAGCCTCCTAACTGGTCTTAACTGGTCCTCTGCACCTGCCCTCCATGCTCAGCAATCCATTTCCCACCTGGCAGCTTCACTGATCTTAAGGTTTCCATTGATTCTCATCCCTGCCTTTCCTGCCCATGGCACATAGAATAAAATCAAGACCCCGAGTCTTCTGCCTGTTCCTGCCACATCTCCAGCCCTCTCCTATCTCCTCCCCTTGGCCTACTCTATTTCAGCCACTCTGGCCTTCTTTTGTTTTCTTGGACTTTCAAATCTTTCTCCACAACAGGGCCTTTGCACTTGCTGCTTCAGCCTGGAATGATTTTCCTCTGCACCTCCCCAAATTAGACCATCCTTTAGGTCTCAGCTAAAATGGTGCTTCCACAGAGAGCTCTTTCCTGACTGCTTTGTAAAGTGGACTTCCTTGCTCTTCTCCACCTTAACCTCTATTATTTCTTGTTGCAGGAAGTCAGGGACCCCAAATGGAGGGACTGGCTGGAGCCGCGGCAGAGCAACATAAATTGTGAAGATTTCATGAACATTTATCAGTTCCCAAATAATACTTTTATAATTTCTTATGCCTGTCTTTACTTTAATCTCTTAATCCTGTTATATTTATTAGCTGAGGATGTACATCACCTCAGGACGGCTGTGATAATTGTGTTAACTCTAAAAATTGATTGTAAAACGTGTTTCAACAATATGAAATCAGTGCACCTTGAAAAAGAAGAGAATAACAGCGATTTTTAGGGAACAAGGGAAGACAACCATAAGGTCTGACTGACTGCAGGGTCGGGCAAAAAGAGCCATATGTTTCTTCTTGCAGAGAGTCTATAAACAGACGTGCAAGTAGGAGAGATATCGCTAAGTTCTTTTCCTAGCAAGGAATATTAATGTTAATACCCTGGGAAAGGAATGCATTCCTGGGGAGAGGTCTATAAATGGCTGCTCTGGGAATGTCTGTCTTATGCTGTTGAGATAAGGACTGAGATACGCCCTGGTCTCCTGCAGTACCCAAAGGCTTACTAGGGTGGGGAAAAACTCCGCCCTGGTAAATCTGTGGTCAGACTGGTTCTCTGCTCTCGAACCCTGTTTTATGTTGTTTAAGATGTTTATCAAGACAATACGTGCACCGCTGATCATAGACCCTTATCTTCTGCTTTTGCCCTTTGCCTTGTGATCTTTGCTGGACCCTTACCAGTAGTTCTGCCTTTGCCCTTTGTCCTGTTCCCTCAGAAGCATGTGATCTTTGTTGGACCCTTATTAGTAGTCCTGCTTTTTGCCCTTGGAAGCATGTGATCTTTGTACCTACTCCCTGTTCTTACACCCCCTCCCCTTTTGAAACCCTTAATAAAAACTTGCTGGTCTGAGACTCAGGGGGCATCACTGTCCTACCGATATGTAATGTCACCCCCAGCGGCCCAGCTGTATAATGCCTCTCTTTGTACTGTCTATTTCTCAGGTGGCTGACACTTATGGAAAATAGAAAGAACATACGTTGAAATACTGGGGGCAGGTTCCACCAATACTTCTTTCATGGATTTACTTATTTTTTGTTTGTCTCCCTCCATATCCTAGAAACTCCTGGAGGGCAGAGTCGTGCCTGCCATCTTCATCATTGCATTACCAGCACCCAGCACAGTGCCTGGCACAAAAGAGTTGCTCAATAAATAAATAAGGATGAATGGATAAATACACGGATAGGCACTTTGAACTACAGATGAGCTTAAATACTTTGTGTTTTTCTTAGGCAAACATGTGCAATTAAGCATGTGATAAATGATATGACCACACCTGTGTCTTGCCTGATGTTCTTTGCAATCACTATATGAAGTCAATTGTGCCTGTTTTCACAGTTCTGTTTTTAACCTAATGATCTGTTTCTTTTAACTTCTGGCATTTGCTTTGTTTGGCCTTTGTTACTTTGTCACTTTGTTAGCCTGACAAAGTGACAGATATTGGTATTTACTCTTTGGTTTAAATGTCATGAACTTTAAAAATGCCTTTGCTTTTGGTAAGAAACCCTAGTTAGGACAGTCTAGCGGTCGGGATGATTTGGGTTCTGCTGCAGTAACAACAATCCCCAAATCTCAGTGGGTTCATGCAGTGAGGTATTTGTTTGTTTGTTTTTGAGACAGGGTCTCACTCTGTCACCCAGACTACAGTGCAGTGGCGCAATCTCAGCTCACTGCAACCTCTGCCTCCCAGACTCAGTGATTCTCGTGCCTCCTGAGTAGCTGGGATTACAGGCCCGTGCCACTATTTTCTGGCTAATTTTTATACTTTTGGTAGAGAAAGGATTTCACCATGTTAGCCAGGCTAGTCTTGAACTCCTGACCTCAAATGATCCACCTGCCTTGGCCTCCCAAAGTGCTGGGATGACAGGTGTGAGCCACCGTGCCTGGCCACAGTGAGGCTTATTCTTGGTCACGTTGCATATCTGGGCTGTGTTAGGGCATTGTGGGGTGGTCTGTTCATTGTGTTCACTCAGGGATCCAGGCTGACAAAAGCCCCATCTCTGCATGTGTCATTGATCACCACTTCAGGGGAAAGGGAATGTGGTGGATCACAGAGCCTCTTAACACTTCCACCTGAAGGTGACTCAAGTTGCTCCTGCTCATGGTTCATTGGACAAAAAGGATCACAGAGTCACGGGCAACTTCTCTGTTTCTGGAAGGGGAACCAAAATGTGAATAGCTACATTGATTTTCCCTAGCTATTACACAGAAGGCCTCATTTAAACACAGCTACTTATTTGTGTTTTGAAGCTAATTGTAGTCTATCAACCTTCACAGAAGGTATGTGCACTTCCAAGCTATTATTAAGCACAGTTTTTTTTTTTTGAGACAGAGTCTCACTCTCTTGCCCAGGCTGGAGTGCAGTGGCATGATCATGGATCCCTGCAGCTTCCGCCTCCTGGGTTCAAGTGATTTTCATGCCTCAGCCTCCCATAGTGCTGGGATTACAGACACCTGCCACCGTGCCTGGCTATGTTTTGTATTTTTAGAAGAGATGGGGTTTCACCATGTTGGCCTGCTTGTCTGGAACTCCTGACCTCAGGTGATCCACCTGCCTCTGCCTCCCAAAGTGCTGAGATGACAGTCGTGAGCCGCCGCACCCAGCCTTGAGTATGATTTTTGATTCGGAAGGTCAGAGTTAGGGTTTTAGTCTGAGGACAGTATGGTGTGAAGGTGAAAAGCAGAGCTTGGCTGTGAGTTTGCTGGGATTCCTGTGCTGCTTCTACAGCTCTTTCGCTGTGTGACCGTCACCTTTGGCAAGTTCCTTTACCTTTCTATGTGTCGGTTTCCTCATCAATAAAATGGAAAAAATAATCGTAATCATAACATCTATTGGTGTTGGGATAGCCCAGCGGTTGACACATAAGGACTCAAAAATAGTTTTTTGTTTGTTTGTTTGTTTGTTTGTTTTTTTGAGACGGAGTCTTGCTCTGTTGCCAGGCTGGACTGCAGTGGTATGATCTTGGCTCACTGCAACCTCCGCCTCTTGGGTTCAAGTGATTCTCCTGCCTCAGCCTCCCAAGTAGCTGGGATTACAGACGCCCACCACCACTCCCAGCTAATTTTTGTATTTTTAGTATAGATGGGGTTTCACCATGTTGTCCAGGATGCTCTCAATCTCTTGACCTCATGATCCACCCACCTCAGCCTCCCAAAGTGTTGGGATTACAGGCATGAGCCACTGTGCCTGGCTCAAAAATACCGTTATTAATTTTTGGGGGTAGTTACTATATTTTGTCAAAATCAGAGTTCAATACCTTGTAACACTGGGTTGGGAACTATCCCTGAAGGAACAGGCTTGTAAAGAGGAAGGCTTGGAGAGAGGGGCACAATTTTAGTGGATGTTGTAATGAGTTTAGGTATATGGACCTGGGGCTGAATTCTAGCTGGGGCCACCAGGTAGCAAGATGGACTTTGCTAAATTCTATCACTTTCCTGGGCCTTGGGCTCACTTGTTACAAATGGGGTTAAAGCAACCCTCTTTCAGGGGTAAGATAAAGATGATTAAGTAAGAGGGAATGAAAGCAACTTCCATCAGTGGTCAAAAGTGTTTGTTTAACTACTTCTTTTTTTTTGAGATGGAGTCTCTCTCTGTTGCCCAGGTTGGAGTGCAGTGGCATGGTCCTGGCTCACTGCAACCTCCACCTCCTTGGTTCAAGTGATTCTCCTGCCTCAGCCTCCTGAGTAGCTGGGACTACAGGTGTGTGCCTCCACGCCTGGCTAATTTTTGTACTTTTAATAGAGACAGGGTTTCACTATGTTGGGTAGGATGGTCTCGATCTCTTGACCTTGTGATCCACCTGCCTTAGCCTCCCAAAGTGTTCGGATTACAGGCATGAGCCACCACGCCTGGCCCGTTTAACTTCTATATTACTTTCCTGTTGGTGGATTTACCAGTGCAAACTGAGCAGCTTAAAACACCACCCAGTTATTATCTGTTTTCATGAGCCAAGGGTCTGGGTGGGGTTTAACTGGGTCTTCTATTCAGGGTCACAATACTGCAACCAGAGTGTCAGCTGGAGCTGGGGTCTCATTGGATGCTCAGGGTTCTCTTCCAAGCTTATTCAGCTTGTGGAGTGAATTCAATTTCTTGCAATTGTTGAACGAAGGCCCTCAGCTCCTAGAGCTGCCACCTCCAAAGACAGCTCACAGCATGGCCATTTGTGTCTCCTTGGAGGCTAAGAGTTGGATCTCTGAAACTTCACCTTTAAAAGGCTCACCTGATTAGGTCTGGCCCACCTAAGATCATCCTGCTTTGGATGAACTCAAAGTCAGCTGAGCAAATGTACTTAACAAAGCAAGTGTGACCTTAATCACATTTGCAAAATTCCTTCCCCTTGGCCATATCACAAGCTCTGGACACACTCAAGAAGAGGAGATGATACAGGGAGCAGATACAAGGGAGGGGGTCTCTTGGGGGCTGTCCTAGAACTCTGCCCATTACAACTTCCTTTCTCGAGGAACAGCAGGCCTGGGGACCGATGATCACGGATGAGCGCAGCCCACAGGTGGTGAGCACCTGGTGCTGGGGTAGGATGCAGGGGGTTGCTAAGCAAGTATGAAAAGCGTTCTCTGGGCCGGGTGCAGTGGCTCACGCCTGTAATCCCAGCACTTTGGGAGGCCGAGGTGGGCGGATCACAAAATCAAGAGATCTAGACTATCCTGGCCAACCAACATGGTGAAACCCCATCTCTACGAAAAATACAAAAATTAGCTGGGCGTGGTGGCTCACGCCTGTAGTCCCAGCTCTTTGGGAGGCTGAGGCAGGAGAATTGCTTGAACCTGGGAGGCACAGGTTGTAGTTAGCCGAGATCGTGCCACTGCACTCCAGCCCGGGTGACAGAGCGAGACTGTCTCAAAAACAAACAAACAAACAAACAAAAAACAAACCTTGTCCATTTTGTGGTTCTGTTGGGGCTGTGCCTTCGCAATCAGCCAAGACCAGGGTAAGACCAGGACGTTTGGATTCTTTGTCTCCTGATACAGTGCCTGCAGGCCCCCTGCTATGCCAGCTTGAGACCCACCAGCTGTAAGTCGGAATCACCTGGTGCCACCGTCAGAGATATAGGTGAGCAGTCGGTGGTGGGAGTTACAGTAGCTGAACAATACCCAGGATGATTCTTCTAGTGGCTCTGCAGATGCAGGCAGGCAGGCAAAGGAAAACAAACCTCCAGTAAAATCAACCCTAGGGAGAAAGTGAATTTTAAGGGGTGATGTTTTTTGTCAGAATCTGCCAGCTGTTAGAGGCTCTTTGAAACAAAACGAGTGCTGTCTCGGCTCTGCAGAAGGAGGCCCAGGGAGGTTGCCGTGATGTGCCAAGAGTCAAATTACCGAGCACTTGTGCGGGAAAATAGCCTCTTCTTATTTACAGGGCTGTTGGGTACACTTGATAACAAGCAAGATAGAAGTTAAGGTCGGCCAGAGACACAAAGCCACTAATCCTGAGGTCTCTTGGTCCCTTTCAGCAAAGCCTTGAGCATAACAGGGTCCCTCCTAGGGAGTGAGCTGAGAGGGTCACTGTGAGGTTCCTTTCAGAGGGGTTGTGACAGATGCCCACAGCTCTCTTAATGGGACTGCGGTGGAGGAAGTACCTGGGGAGGTCACACCCTCAGCAATGAAGCTCCATTCTGCAGGTACACTTTGCTCCCCATACCTGTCAACATCTGCCCTGCAGAAGGGAAAGCAACTGCCTGTCTGTACATCACTGTCAGGCAGGACAGAGAAGAGCCCTCCTCCGGCAACAAAAAGGCTAACGTGAGAGCATAAGCTGGAGTATTCGTTTTGATTACTGAGGATTCTTAGAATCAATCTTATTCCAACAGGGGAGGGGGTGCTCTGGCCAGCCTGGGTTTGGAATGATGTCAGTCAACCCACAGATAATGGGATACAGGCGAGAAGGAACCCTTTGTTCTCACCCAAGGCTTGGTGGGCTGCTGGGGAGAAGAACTGAAATGGAGAGTCAGTAAACAGTTGTAAAAGACTGTGTGCCACTGAGTGTTCTTGATAAATGTTAATGAGACAGGAGCAGGCATTGAGATTGGGCAGTATTGATTATGAGCAGAAATAAAATGAGCTGAACAGTTCTTCACAATCAAAGCCATGACTGTGTTGTGTTTTGAGTATCTCTTGCCGGAGTGTGCGTCCTAATAAATCTCGGGTGTGAAATACGCTGTTTTCTCCTTTCTTTCCTCTCCCGCTTCCACGCATTCATTCTTCTGCTCATTTGTTCTTGCATTCACTCATTTGTTCATTCATTCACCAAATGTTTGAGTGCCCACTGCGTACCCACACAGAGCTAGGCACCAGAGTTAAACTGGGGCATAATTAGACACAGTTGTTTTCCTCTCAGAGTTTATGTACGGCAGTGCTGGGAGAGAGGCTTTAAAAGGTAATTTCAGCTGGGCATGGAGGTGCCTGCCTGAGGTCCCAGCTACTCAGGAGGCTAAGGTGGGATGATCACTTGAGCTCAGGAGTTTGGGTCCAGTCTCTTAAAAAATAAATAAATAAAGCAGTTTCAAGGTATGGAGCTAGATGTGGCAAAAGACAAGGACCTCCTAGTGGGGGGAGGGGGAGGGGGAGGGGAGGCTTCCCTGGGGAAGTGATGGCTGGGCTGAGACTGAAGGATGAGCAGCAACCAGACGGGGCTAGGAAGAAGACTGTCCCATACGAGCTAAACTGTATCCCTGCGAGGGCAGTGGGGGGAAGAGTAGAGCTTCTAGGGCTGTGGCATGGGCAGTGGGCGAGGGGCAGAGAGAAGAGGAAGAAATGAGGCTGGAGGTAAGAGTGGTGGGGATATTGTGGATTAAATCATGTCCGCCTGAGACACATGTTCAGGTCCTAATCCCTGTACTCATGCATGTGACCTTATTCAGGAATAGGGTCTTTGCAGATGGGCTCAAGTTAAGATGAGGTCATACTCATATGAAACAAGTTCATGGATTGAGATGGCCCTAAATGTGATGACTGGTGCCTTTATAAGGCAAAGAAGAGGGAGATTTTTTAAAATTTAAATTGCAATAGTTTGGGGTACAGGGGGTTTTTGGCTACGTGGGTAAGTTCTTTAGTGGGGATTTCTGAGATTTTATTGCACCTTTCACCCAAGCAGTGTATGCAGTACCCAGTATGTAGTCTTTTATCCCTCACCCCCATCCCAACCTCTACTCACCACCTAGTCCCCAAAGTCCATTATATCATTCTTTTTTTTTTTTTTTTTTTTTTTTTTTTAACAGAGTCTCACTCTGTCGCCCAGGCTGGAGTGCAGTGGTGTGATCTCAGCTGACTGCAACCTCTGCCTCCCGGTTCAAGCAATTCTCCTGCCTCAGCCTCCCCTGTAATTAGCTGGGATTATAGGTGTGAGCCACCATGCCCAACTAATTTTTGTATTTTTAGTAGAGACAGGGTTTCGCCATGTGGCCAGGCTGGTCTTGAACTCCTGACCTCACGTGATCTGCCCTGATCGACCTCCCGAAGTGCTGGGATTACAGGTGTGAGCCAGCACACCCAGCCAGCCTCCTCATTTCCAACAAGCTCCTGAGTTGCCGATGCTGCTGGCCTGAGGACCTCACTTGAAGCAGCAAGGTGTCCAAGGATCTGTGATACCTCCAAGCACATCAGAAGAAAATTTCCCCAGTCCTGACATTGATTGCATCTAGCCTGTCTGCCCAGTATATGGGGATGGATGGGGGAAGCTAAAAAGGAGAGCTGGGAGCCCCACTGACCTTCACCTTTAGAAGCTGGGAACACAGAGCCCCACTCCAGGGCACAGAAGGATTTGGGAAAAGTTCCTCTTGAAGTCTTTGGCTCAGCTCAGTGCATGGAGTGGGAAAAGGACTGAAAGGAAACAAAGGCTTCTGAAGAACCAGGTGCTCTCTCCCCACCAAATTATAAGCTCCACCTGGTAGAGCCCTGCCATCTCTCCTCACCCAGGCCCGCGGCATCTGGTCTCCCATCTCGTGCACATTTTTCTTTGCACTCCTGGAAAAATTGAACCCATAAATTTAATCTACCTTCAGGCAGTTTAACTTGCATGGCCAGCACTTACTCAGCAGATAACCACCAGCCTCATTAACCTTGGCTCATTCTCAAGAGTTTTTTTTTCTTTTTTTGGCTGGGGGGCGGGTAGGGAGCTGGTTGTGGTGGTGGTAGAGCTTATGAATTATTCTTGGATGATTTCTGGAGTATTTTAGGGGCACAGTCATTTATTTCATGTTTAAACATACTGGCGTTCCAAGCCCTCCTTGTTGGTATTGTTACGTGTGTATGTGTGTGTAGTGTGTGAGTGTTCACGTACACCCATTTTAAATGCTGACTTGTTCCAAAACCTCTCCCTGAGGGTGTCTCTTACCCACCTAGTATTGCCAAAAGACCTGCAAAACCATTGTCTTGGGTTTTGTTAGACCCATGTTTTCCAACATGTCATCTTTTGGCCACCTACATCAAATCACTTGGAGAACATGTTAAAATGCAGCTCTCTGGGTCCCGCCATGCACTTGCTTTATTAGACTCCCTGGAGCTGGGGCCCAGGATCCTGTGTTTTTATTAACTCTCCCTGGTGACCTTAACACACAGGAACGTGGGGAGTCATTGCTGTGGACGTGGCTCACAGGGTCCTTTCTGCCCATTAGCTGGGTCATCCCACCTGTCTTTGGGTTGTTGCCTTGTTGATAGAATCTAGTTGAATTTATATCACAAAGTACTCCTGCTTCTCAGGCACCACTGGTTGATATTTTATTTTATTTTAGTTTATTTATCTTTTAGAGACAGGGTCTTGCTCTGTTGCCCAGCCTGGAGTGCAGTGGTGCAATCATAGCTCACTGCAGTCTCAAACTCCTAGGATCAGGCAACTCTCCTGCCTCAGCCTCCTGAGAAGCTGGGACTACAGGTATGCCCCACCACACCTGGCTAATTTTTATACATTTTGCAGAGATAAAGGTATTGCTGTGTTGCCTAGGCTGCTCTTGAACCCCTGGTCTCAAGCAATCCTCCCACCTTCCAAGTAGCTGGGATTACAGGTATGAGCCAACACACCTGGCCCGGGCTGGCATTTTAAATGATGATCATGGCCTAGTGCAGTGATGTTTGCTGATCACCTATGTTTCCTCATTGATATGGTTTGGCTGTGTCCCCCTTCAAATGTCATCTTGAATTCCCACATGTTGTGGGAGGGACCTGGTGAGAAGTAATTGAATCATGGGGCCAGATCTTTCCCGTGCTCTTCTCGTGATAGTGAATAAGTCTCACGAGATCTGATGGTTTTATAAAGGGGAGTTTCCCTGCACAAGCTCTCTCTTTGCCTGCTGCCATCCACGTAAGACATGACTTGCTCCTCCTTGTCTTTGCCATGATTGTGAGGCTTCCCCAGCCATGTGGAACTGTAAAGTCCATTATACGCATCTTTTGTAAATTGCCCAATCTTGGGTATGTTTTTATCAGCAGCGTGAAAACGGTGCACTCATGTACTCATGTTCTGCCAACAGCCCCCATTTTCATCTGGGGCCCCTGGACTGAGATATGCTCTATGTGATCTCTCAATGTTTCCCTGTGGGGTTGAGCCCCAGTCGCCCAGAGCACAGACCTCCCCATCCCGCCTTTGGTACTGGTTTCCTTCTGTTGCTATTTCACTGTTCCTCTCCCCATTGGAGCCTCTTAGGATCCCCTCCCAAGTCCACTTGTACCCAAATCCTGATCTCAAGGGGTCTCCTGGGACATAATATGTTTAACTTCCTTGTAGCTCATCTCATTCAGTCTTCACATCAGCCTGGCCATGTAGGAAGTATCAACAGCCCCATTGTATAGATTTACAAAGGGAGCCTTGGAGAACAGAAGACACTTGGCCAAGCTTAAGAGCCAAGAAAAGACTAGAACCTAGGGGCTGGGTGTGGTGGCTCACACCTGTAATCCCAGCACTTTGGGAGGCCGAGGCGGGTGGATCATGAGGTCAGGAGCTCAAGACCAGCGTGGCCAAGATGGTGAAACCCCATCTCTACTAAAAACACAAAAATTAGCCAGTGATGGTCGTGGGTACCTGTAATCCTAGCTAGTCAGGAGGCTGAGGCAGAGAATTGCTTGAACCTGGGAGGTGGAACTTGCAGTAAGCTGAGATCACAACACTGCACTCCAGCCTGGGTGACAGAGCAAGACTCTGTCTCCAAAAAAAAAAAAAAAGACTAGAACCTAGGTCTGCTGGTGCCAATGCCCAAGCTCTTAGCCTCTGCTTTCTATGCTAAGCCAGGGCGCACACCTCCAGGCCTGGCTGGCTTGTGAACAAGACTTTTGACAACAATCTCAGCTAAACTTGGCAAAGTGAACCCCAGCCAAGAGAGATGCTTTTGGATGGAGCCTCCTTGCCCCACCGCCCATCCCCAGCTGGCCCAGACCTAAGCAAAGCCCCATGTAAGCTGACCTCTGGGTCCCAGCAAAATGCCTTTTTCTTGGACTTTTCCTGATGGGAAAGCCTTCCAGGGTTTTTACATTGATTAATTTCAAGTCTGTGATCTTGTTTGCATTGCCTTAATATTATAAAGTTGCACTAGTGCCTACAGGCCATTCTGCCAGGAGCAGAATTTCTATTTTAAAAGAAGAAGTAATAAACCACTCTGGAATGGTGATAACTTCATAGCCTCGTTAGGTCCAGTGTCTCACTTGTTCATTTGGTAAATGCAGAGAGTTCTTGGGTTCTGTAGGCAGGAAGAAGTGAAGTCCAACGTGTGCCTGGCGAACACTTTTTGAGTGATTAATATGCACAGGCCTGGGAATGTGTGATTGGAAGTGTGGGAAGTGTATTGTGGATAAGAAATGGTGATAGGAGAGAAGAACAGCAGGCCAAATCTTATAACCATGCTTTTGGTTTGTTGTACAGTCTTCTAGATTATTCTCTGTACTTACATTCATATATTAATTAAAACACATGTGTCAGGCCAGGCGTGGTGGTTCATGCCTGTAATCCCAGCACTTTGGGAGGCTGAGATGGGCAGATCAGTTGAGGTCAGGAGTTCGAGACCAGCCTGGCCAACATGGAGAAACCCCGTCTCTACTAAAAATATAAAAATTAGCTGGGCATGGTGGCAGGTGCCTGTATTCCCTGCTACTCAGGAAGCTGAGGCAGGAGAATCGCCTGAACCCAGGAGGAGGAGGTTGCAGTGAGCTGAGATCGCACCATTGCACTCCAGCCCAGGTGACAAGAGCAAGACTCTGTCTTAAAAAAAAAAATACAGCACACACAAATGGGATTACACTGAATATATTATTCCTCAACTTGCTGTTTCTCTTCAGCATCTTTTATGGGCCTCTTTCTGTGACAGTATATATGAACTGCCTCATTTAAAAAAACTCCTTATGGTGGAAACTTAAAAATATATTCAAAAGTAGAGAGAATGGTATAATGAATCCCCCCAACTTCAACAATGGTTGACTCTTGGCCAAACTTAATTCATCTAGATCTGTATTCCCCTACCCACATCTGTTTACCCCTTCCTACATTATTTTGAAGACAATCCCAAACATCGCTTACTGCATTTACAAATCTTAGTGTGCCTTATCCCTTTTTAATCATTGTATAATGTTCCACGATAAATAGACCACAATTTGTTTATCCTGTTCCCTACTGATGGTCCATTTTCCAGCTGTGTTTAATATGGGTAAAGATGGAACTTCTTAGCTGTAAATCCAGAACTGAATTTAAGATTTTTTTTTATTCCTCAAGGAGACCTTTGTGCTGAGGACACCAACTATCTAGACTTGAGTGAAATGAAAGCCTGCTTCATTGCTGCTGTCTGCCACTTCCAGACCCAGTGGGAAGAAAGAGATGGGTCTCTGCACCAGGCAGGAGGGGATGGGATTTGCTGTCCATGGGTTGGGGTGGGGTGGTCATCTCCACAGCCTGAAAGGCCCCAGAAGGAGGGCAAGTCAGACTGTCTGGTCAGGGAGGTACAGTTGTTTTACAGGAGGGTTTCAGCAAGCATAAGGGCCACAGAACAGGCTGGAATGAAGACTTCCTTTCCTAGGGGTGTTGTGACAATGACCACACCTTGATGGCTTAAAACAATAGAAATATATTCTCATCGTTTTGGAGACCAGGAGTCTGAAGTCAAGATGTTGGTGGGGTCATATACCCACTGATGGCTCTAGGGGAGGAGGCTTCCTTGCCCCTTCCAGCTACTGGCATTCCTTGACTTGGGGCAGCATCATGCCAACCTCTGCCTCCATCTTGGCATGGCTTTGTACTCTGTGTCTCTGTGGTCATCTTTCTGTCTCTTACAAGGATACTCGTCATTGGACTTAGGACCCACCTAATCCAGCATGATCCCATCTCCATCCTTAACTAATTACATTTACAAAGACCCTGTTTTCTTCCTTTTTTTTGAGACGGAGTCTCACTCTGTCACCCAGGCTGGAGTGCAGTGGCATGGTCTTGGCTCACTGCAACCTCTGCCTCCCAGGTTCATGCCATTCTCCTGCCTCAGCCTCCTGAGTAGCTGGGATTACAGGCGCCCGCCACCACGCCCAGCTAATTTTTTGTATTTTTAATAGAGACAGGGTTTCACCCTGTTAGCCAGGATGATCTCGATCTCCTGACCTCATGATCTGCCCACCTCGGCCTCCCAAAGTGCTGGGATTACAGGTCTGAGCCATCATGCCTGGACTACAAACACCGTGTTTTCTAATAAGGCCACATTCTGAGGTACCAAGTGGACATAGATTTTTGGAGGACACTATTTATCCTATACTGGGAGTGTCCTGGTACTTCCAGTTGCCCCAGGCAAAAGGCTAGGCCTTCTCTCCTTTTTCTGATGCTGAATGTGTTTAGCTATGGCAGCCACGTAGTCACATTGTAGGCCATGGAGAAGTTATAGTACATTCACCTGTAAGTGACTGGGAACCCAACTCTCAGCGGGTGAAGAGTGGGATGATCCACAGGAAGCCTGGAGGGTGGGTGGTGTTTCTGGGGTTGGTTCATTAACTGCATGGGATCAGGGCTCTGGGTTGTGGACTCTACAATTCTCTTGGTTTTTCCTTCATGGTTGCAAAATGGCTGCTGAGATCTAAACAGCGAATCATTACCCACCTCCAGCCAAAGGCAGCTGGGGGTGGCCAAGGTGTTTGTTGTCTTTGTTGTTGTTGTTGTTGTTGTTGGTGGTGGTGTGTGTGTGTGTGTGTGTGTGTGTGTGTGTGTGTGTGAGAGAGAGAGAGAGAGAGAGACAGAGAGAGAGAGATTCCTATGAGGAAGGAGACATCTTTCCCAGAATTTCCCAGGAGTCCTTCCTTTGTGTCTCATTGGTCAAGACTGGGTTACATGGCCACCTCTAGCTGCAAGGGAGGCTGGGAAAACAAGCATCTCTTTTGTTCAGCCTCTGTACAGGCAGGTGAGAGAGAATGAAAGAGCTCAGGAGGAAGGGGCTTCAATAACCTATGGACAAATAGCCCTGCAACTCTTCCCTGTCCATCCCAAATGATCCATATGCTCTTCCATTTCATTACATTCAAACCCTTGCACTGCCAAGTCTCATTATCTTGTTTATCATTCAAGACCTAGGTGCATCAGCTAATGCCAGGGACAGTCTCATTTCAAGGCAGTGTTTGGAGGGCTTGTTCCCCATGAGAGACTTTCTAGAGAAACACTATTAAATCCTTTATCCCTCTGCTGTCCCCACTGCACAATTACAGCAATGCTGAAATGAACAACCTGGTCCATAACTATTTGTACATCCACGCCTATACTCTGGTAGGTTGGACTTTCTGGATGTGGGATGGCTATGTTTGAAAACCCCATACATGCTTGTTGGGAGCTTTCTCTAGGGTGGTGTGAAGATCCCACTTGCTCATCTTCAAGCTGACGGTAGCTCACAGTTTTCAGGCAAAACTGGGCAGGAATATGCATTTCTATCCCTTCCCCCTGTAATCCACTATCTCAGCCCACCGTGCTGTCCCTGTTTTGGCAGTTAGGTTCTCTGATGACTGTTGGGCTGTTGTATACATTATTCATATGTCTTTTTATATCACCTACTGGGGCACCAGCTGGGGCCAGCAAATACTACAAACATGGCACCAATAAAAAAGAATGTGTAATCAGTCTTTAAAAATTCCTTCTTGTCTGCCAAGAGCGGCACGTGGGGGTGGGGAATGAGCAGCTGGCCAGTCCTGCTAATTCAGAGGCGGCTTTTCTCCGAAAATCATGGCTGCTTCACTACCAGCCTCTCCCCAACCCCTGGAAAGAGCAGATCCCAGGAGCCCTGGCTGATTTTGTGAGGGAAGGAGTGTGTGTCTGATGCTGCAATGGAGAGAAAAATAATTTTTTTTAAATGCATTATCCTGCTTCAATAAGTGGGGGGAATTATTTCTGGCTCTGTCTTTCAGAAGCTGAAAAGAGGAGGAACTTGTTGGTTGTTGCTTATTTATTTTTTTCCTCCCATTTTGTTTTATTTTCTAATTCAGGTATAACCTTTATTCAGTAAAATGTATTCATCTTAAAGGTGCAATTTGTGGCGTTTTCTTTAACCTATGTATACACCTGTGGTTGTGAGTGGAATTTGTTCCCCCAAAACATGTTGAAGTCCTAACCCAGTGCTTCAGAATGTGACTTATTCTAAAACAGGATCATTGCAGACACAATTAGTTAAGATGAGGTCATCCAAGCTTGGTGGCTCATGCTTGTAATCCCAGCACTTTGGGAGGCTAAGTTAGGATGATCTCCTGAGACCAGCCTGTGCAACAAAGTGAGACCCCATCTCTACAAAAAATTAGCCAGGTGTGGTGAAGCACACCTGTAGTCCCAGCTACATGAGAGGCTGAGGCAGGAGGATCACTTGAGCCCAGGAGTTTGAGGCTGCAGGGAGCTATGATCTTGCCACTGCACTCCAGCCTGGATGACAGAGCAAGACCATGTCTCTTTAAAAAAAAAAAAAAAAAAAAGAAAAGAAAAAAATGAGATCATACTGGATTAGGGTGGGTCCTAGGCTTAATACAACTGGTGTCCTTATAGGAAGAGGAGAGTAGGACAGAGTCATACGCACAGGGAGAATGCCCTGTGAAGATGAAGGCAGAGATAGAGGTCATGCATTTGCAAGTCCAGAAAACCTAAGGGTTGCTGGACATCACCAGAAGCTGGAAAAGGCCAGGAAGAACTTCTCCCCTAGAGCCATCTGAGTGAGCATGCATTTGCCAATTCCTTGACTTTAGACTTTTAGCTTCTAGAACTGTGAGACCATAAATGTCTGTTGGCTTAAGCCACCTCGCTTGTAGTACTTTGTTACCTGTGTGAAAAGGCCCATGTAACAAGTGCCGAGATCCATATGTGGAACCTTTCAGCACCCGGACAGCTCCCTGGGGCCCCTTCCCC
Source organism: Homo sapiens (assembly GCF_000001405.40). Classification (NCBI taxonomy): domain Eukaryota; kingdom Metazoa; phylum Chordata; class Mammalia; order Primates; family Hominidae; genus Homo; species Homo sapiens. Next base: position 5,176,717 of record NC_000016.10, read on the forward strand.
GATGACAGCTCCTTCCCCACCTGGAGTCACCATCTGTTCTGGTTTCTGTCTTCACTGATGGATCTTGCCTAATCTTGAGCACCACATAACTGAAATCATCCAGTTGGAACTCTTCTGTGCCTGGTGTCTTTGATCAATATCCCATGTGAGATTCCTTCCTTGTGTTGCCTGTGCAAGATTACTGTTGATTTTTTTCCATAAACATTGATTAATCACCTGGGATGTGCTAGGTGTGGTGTTAGGCCCTGGGAACACAGAGGATCTAGGGGTTCCCTGTCCAGTTTGGAAGAGAAGATGGTAAATTGAGACAGGAATACTATAGGGAGGTTGCAGGAGAATAGAAAATTCCAGGCAGCAGTTTCACATGACTAGAGGCTGTGGGCTAAGACCCTGAAAACCAGGTTGTGGGCCAAGCTGGCTGAGACCAAATGGATCCAACATGGTGCTGGATTCAACCAAGATTTTACCCAGGACCTCATGATACACGCATTAACATCTTAAACCACACACCCACCAGCACCATGACAGTCCCAAGAACACCTGTATGTGGTATAAAAATGGGTGGCACCACATTTTCAAGAAATCTCCACCTTTTTCCAGGAATTTCCATGAATATCCCACCCCTTGGTCAAAGAAACCCCTAAAGGTGGAAACCCCAAACCTCTTGGCACATCTCTCTTGAGTGCACCTGCTCTCCTCTTTCTGGAGTGTGTACTTTTTGCTTTGCAATAAATCTCTGTACTTTCACTATTTTCTGAGTCATCCTTGAATTCCTTCTCACAATGGTGTTAAGAATCTGGATACTGGCATGTTTGGGACCTTCCACAGCTCACTGGTATCAGAACCACTCCCCATGAGATGGTGTAGACATGATCTGATAGAGCTGCAGGCTGTGGGAGCTTGCAGAGCCTGGGGAAGTCAAGCCAGTCTTCATAAATGAGGCAGGATATTCATGCTGGCAGTTCTGGGAGGATAGACTAGCTTGAGTCTAGCTATAGACTCAAGTCATGCTAGCTATAGACTAGCATGGAGGTGTGGGGGTGCAAGGTTGTGTGCAGGGGAACCGCGAGGAGTCTGCGTAGCCTAGGAATAAGCCCATAGGCCAAATCTGGCTGACCACCTGCTTTTATAAATAAAATTTCACTGGACTACAACCATGCGCACTCCTTTATATACAGCCCATGGTTGCTTTTTTCATGCACATTCCTTTATATATGGCCTGTGGTTGCTTTTTTTTTTTTTTCTTTGTGAGGAAGTTTTGCTCTTTTTGCCCAGGCTGTTGTGCAAAGGAGCAATCTCAGCTCACTGCAATCTCTGCCTCCTGGATTCAAGTGATTCTCCTGCCTCAGCCTTCCCAGTAGCTGGGACTATAGGCAAGCGCCACCATACTCAGCTAGTTTTGGTACTTTGAGTAGTATCGGGGGAACCAGCCCCCAATATTTCAACGTACGTTCTTTCTATTTTCCCTAAGTGTCAGCCAGTCTGAGAAATAAAGAGTACAAAGAGAGGAATTTTGCAGCTGGGCCGCTGGGGGTGACATCATATATTGGTAAGTCTGTGATGCCCACCTGAGCTGCAAAACCAGCAGGTTTTTATTAAGGACTTTAAAAAGGGAGGGGATGTACGAACAGAGAGTAGGTCACAAAGATCACATGCTTCTGAGGCCAATAAAGATCACAAGGCAAAGGGCAAAATTAGAATTACTGATGAGGGTCTAGGTTCAGCTGTGCACATATTGTCTTGACAAACATCTTAAACAACAGAAAACAGGGCTTGAGAGCAGAGAACCGGTCTGACTTCAAATTCACCAGGATGGGATTTTTCACCACCCTAGTGAGCCTGAGGGTACTGCAGGAGACGAGGACGTATTTCAGTCCTTATCTCAACTGCATAAGACAGACACTCCCGGGTGGCCATTTATAGACCTTCCCCCAGGAATGCATTCCTTCCCCAGGGTATTAATTGTTAATATTCCTAGCTGAAGAAAGAATTCAGCGATATCTCTCCTACTTGCACGTCCATTTATAGTCTCTCTGCAAGAAGAAAAATATGGCTGTATTCTGCCCGAAACCACAGGCAGTCAGACCTTATGTTTGTCTTCCCTTTTTCCTTGAAAATCACTGTTATTCTGTTATTTTTCAAGGTGCACTGATTTCATATTGTTCAAACACGTTTTACAATCAATTTTTACAATAGTGGTCCTGAGGTGATACACATTCTCAGCTTACGAAGATAACAGGATTAAGAGATTAAAGTAACACAGGCATAAGAAATTATAAGAGTATTATTTGGGAACTGATAAATGTCCATGAAATTGTCACAATTTATGTTCTTCTGCTGCGGCTCCAGCCAGTCCCTCCTTTCAGGGTGCCTGACTTCCTGCAACATTGTAGAGGCGGGGTTTTGACATGTTGGCCAGGCTGGTCTCAAACTCCTGTCCTCAGGTGATCTGCCCACCTTGGCCTCCCAAACTGCTGGGATTACAAGTGTGAGCCACTGCCCCTGGCAAACCTGTGGTTGCTTTTTAATGACAATGTTTAGTAATTATGACAGAGACCCTATGGCTCACAGAGCCCAAAACATTTACTATTTGGCTATCTTGGTCCGTTTGAGCTGCTATAATAAAGTACTGTAGACTGGGGAGCTTACAAACAACAGAAATGTGTTTCTCACAGTTCTGGAGGCTGAAGGTTTGAGATCAGAGTGCCAGTATGGTTGTTTCTGGAGATGGTCCTCTTCTGGGTCAAAGACCGCCATCTTCTCATCATACCCTCACATGGTGGGAAGAGGATGAGAAAGCTCTTTGGGGTCGCTTTTATAAGGGTATTGATGCCATTCATGAGAACTCCACCCTTATGCCCAAATTGTCTTTTGAAAGCCCCAGCTTTGGATACCATCACAATGGAGGTCAAGATTTTAATGTATGAATTTTGGGGGAATACAAATATTTAGTCCATTGCACCTGCCTTTATACAAAAGTTTGTTTTGACCGCTGGTCTAGTGTATTTCAAGAAGCTATGCTGGGTGCTCTTCAGTTGTATTCCCATGTAATAACCACAGCAACCCTGCAGGGAACCATGATTGCCCTTACTTTACAGATGAGGATCTTCAGGCTCAGAGAGGTGAAGTGATTTGCCAAGGTCACACAGTCAGTGAGAGGAGGAGTCAGGTATGTCTGAGTTGAAAGGACCTTCTCCGGACTAACTGGAGTTACTCTAACAATGGTACAAGTAGGCTGAAGCCAGATAGTGGAGAATCGTGCAAACATTTTGATCTTTGAAGAACAGGGAGCCACCAAAGGCTCTTAAGAAAGACAGTGGCATGATCAGACTGGTTGGAGGCTGTCCCATCCAACCTCTTTGCTGGACGTGGGATCCTAGTGGGGTTTTTACTCACCCAAAGAATTCTTTTAAAAATCGTCATTTAGGCTGGGCGCAGTAGCTCATGCCTGTAATCCCAGCACTTTGGGAGGCCGAGGCGGGCAGATCACTTGAGGTCAGGAGTTCAAGGCCAGCGTGGCCAACATGGCGAAACCCCATCTCTACTAAAAATACAAAAATTAGCCGGGCGTATTGGCACACACCTGTAGTCCCAGCTACTCAGGGGGCTGAGGCAGGAGAATTGCTTGAACCCCAGAGGTGGAGGTTGCCATGAGCTGAGATCGTGCCACTGTACTCCGGCCTGGGCGACAGAGCGAAACTCAAAAAAAAAAAAAAATCGTCATTTATTTGGGAAAGTAGAGAAAGTTTGGACCAATCTCCTGTGAAAGGAAAATATACTGGGCTCCTCAAATCACTATGGTAAAGGGAAAAGTCAAGCTGGGAACTGCTAAGGGCAAACCTTCTTCCCACTCTATTCAAAGTCATCTCTCTGCTCACTGAGATAAATGCATACCTGATTGCCTCCTTTGGAAAGGCTAATCAGAAATTCAAAAGAATGCAACAGTTTATCTGTCACCTACCTGTGACCTGGAAGCCCCCCACCCTGCTTCAAGTTGTCCCATTTTTTTTGCTTCGAGTTGTCTTGTCTTTCTGGATGAACCAATGTTCATTTTACATATGTTGATTGATGTCTCATGTCTCCCTAAAATGTATAAAGCCGAGCTGTCCTCTGACCACCTTGGGCACATGTCATCACGACCTCCTGAGGCTGTGCCACGGGCACAGATACACCCTCGACCTTGGCAAAATAAACTTCCTAAATTAACTGAGACCTGTCTCAGACTTTCAGGGTTCACACTCTCATATTTCAGCTATGGCTGGGGAGCTGGGCTCTCTCTTGACACAACCCTGAGGATGAGTAGTAGAGAGGAGGGGTGCCTATAAGCCCCCTGCCTAGATTTAGATCTGAGCACATAGTGTGTACCAGTGTGTGTCATACGAACATAGCACATAACATATATAGATACATACATGCATAGTGTGTGCCACTGCAAGTTTATAAACATGATCTCATCTCGTTCTCACCCAGACTAGTGAGGCAGGCACTACTATTAGCTCCTCTCCACAGGTGAGGAAGGTAAGATAAGAATCTTGTCCTTCCCAGCCAGGCACGGTGGCTCACACCTGTAATCTCAGCACTTTGGGAGGCTGAGGCGGGCAGATCACCTGAGGTCAGAAGTTCGAGACCAGCCTGACCAACATGGAGAAAACACATCTCTACTAAAATACAAAAAAAATTAGCTGGACGTGGTGGCACCTGCCTGTAATCCCTGCTACTCTGGAGGCTGAGGCAGGAGAATCGCTTGAACCTGGGAGGCAGAGATTGTGATGAGCTGAGATTGCGCCATTGCACACTCCAGCGTGGGTACCAAGAGTGAAACTTTGTCTCAAAAAAAAAAAAAAAAAAAAAAAAAAAAAAGAATCTTTTCCATCCCAAAGTACATCAGCAGTTTCCAGGGGCTACAGAAAGGGTGGATGGGGAGTGACTAAAATAGGCATGGGGTTTCTTTGTAGGGGGAGTAAATATTCTGGAATTAGATAGTGGTAATGGTTACATAACTTGTGAATATTCTAAAAAAAGATTCTCACTTGTGAATATTCTAAAAAAAGATACCATTTCATGCCCATGAGGATGACTGTAGTCAAAATATAGACAATAACAAGTGTTGACGAGGGTATGGAGAAATTAGAACCCTTATGCACTACTGGTGGGAATGTAAGATAGTGCAGCCCCTATGGAAAACAGTCCTGCAGTTCCTTAAAAAGTTAGCCACATGGTCGGGTGTGGTGGCTCACATCTGTAATCTCAGCACTTTGGGAGGTCGAGGCAGGTGGATCACTTGAGGTCAGGAGTTTAAGACCAGCCTGGCCAACATGGTGAAATCCCGTCTCAACTAAAAATACAAAAATTAGCTGGTGTGGTGGTGGGCATGTGTAATCCCAGCTACTCAGGAGGATGAAGCTGGAGAATCCCTTGAACCGGGGAGGCAGAGGTTGCAGTGAGCCAAGATCGCGCCATTGCACTCCAGCCTGGGTGATGGAGCAAGACTCTATCTCAAAAAAAAAAAAAAAAAAAAAAAAGTTAGCTATGGAGTCACCATATAACCCATAATTTCACTCCTAGGTGTAAACCCAAGAGAAGTGAAAATTTATATCCACAGAAAAACTGGTGTACCCATGTTTATAGCAGCATTATTCATAATAGCCCAAAGTAGAGACACCTCAAAATGTTCATCAACTGATAAATGGACAAACAAAATGTGGCCTTATTCATACAACGGAATATTATTTGGCCATAAAAAGGAATGAAGGACAGCCAGCCCCACATATTCATGGGTTCTGCATCTGTGGATTCAACCAAACTTGGGACTGAAAATATTCAGGGAAAAAATGTTTGCATCTGTACTGAACATGTGCAGACTTGTGTTTCTTGTCATTAATCCTTAAACAATACAGTGTAACAACTATTTACGTAATACTTACATTGTATTGGGTATTCAAAGTAATCTAGACATTTAAAGTATACAGGATGATGTTTGTAGGTTCTATGCAAATACTGTGACATTTTCATGTCAGGGATTTGAGAGCAGTGATTTTTGGTATCCGAGGAGGGTCCTTGAACCAATCCCCCAGGGATACCAAGGGACAACTATACTGACACATGCTACAACATGGATGAATCTTTAAAACACAAGGTCTTCAAGAGAGAAGGCAGGTGTGAAAGGTGACATACTGTATGATTCCATTATTGTGAAATGTTCAGGATAAGCAAACCCGTAGAGACAGAAAGTAGATCAGTGGTTGCCTGAGACTTGGGGGAAGGAGTAGAAAGTGACTGCTAATGGGGAGGGGATTTCTTTTTTGGGGTTAAAGAAATATCCTGAAATTAGATAACGGTGAGAGTTGTGCAACTTAGTGAATACACTAAAAACCACCAAGCTGTATACTTTAAGAAGTCAAATGGTACGGCATTTGAGTAATATCTTAACAATAATATAGGCTGGGCATGGTGGCTCATGCCTGTAATCCTAGCACTTTGGGAGGCTGAGGCAGTCGGATCACTTGAGGTTAGGAGTTCAAGATAAGCCTGGCCAACATGGCGAAATCCCATCTGTACTAATTACATAGCACATTTTAGTAGAGACAGAGAAATCCCGTCTCTACTAAAAATACAAAAATTAGCCGGGTGTGGTGACTTGACATAGCTTGCCTTTCTATGTCTGCAGCTCGATTTGACAGGCTGCTCTTTGTTAGAAAAGGAAAGGATTTTGGGGCCGGGTGTAGTGGCTCATGCCTGTAATCCTAGCACTCTGGGAGGCCAAGGTGGGTGGATCACCTGAGTTCACGAGTTCGAGACCAGCCTGGGCAACATGGTGAAACCCTGTCTCTACTAAAAATACAAAAATTAGCCAGCGTGGTGTTGCGTGTCTGTAATCCCAGCTACTCAGCAGGCTGAGGCAGGAGAATCTCTTGAACCCAGGAGGTGGAGGTTGCAGTGAGCTGAGATCACACCACTGCACTCCAGCCTGAGCGACAGAGCAAGACTCCATCTCAAAAACAAAAACAAAAAAACGAAACAAAGCAAAAAAACAAAAAACCCAACAACGACAACAAAAAATAATTTTTAGAGCCTATCATCCATAATGACACAAGGAACACAGTCCAGTCCAAGGTCAAACCCAGGCTGTCTGCTACCCCAAGCTCTGGATCCCAACCTGCCAGGCCCTTGCTTATTCATGGACCTCCTTGTCTATGTCCTTCCTGAGAAATCAGAAATTTCCAGTTTTCTATGCTTTAGAGGGGAAAGCATAGTGATTCCAGAGGATCACACACTGATCTCACAGTGGGTGTGGTGTGACAATGGGATCGAATTGCTGGATGGAATCCCTTATCTGCCGCTCATTAGTTGTGCCTTGGTTTCCCAATTTGTCTCTCGAAGTGTGGCTCTGAGGAGTAAATTAGTTAACACACACAACATATTTTGAAGTGTGTCTGGCTGATCGCAAGAGCTCAGCAAGTGCTTTCCTGAGTCCTAACGTAACCTCCCAATGGGTTTACCTTGCCCGCTGTTTAGACAGAGCCGATTTATCAAGATGGGAGCTGCAATGGTGAAAGAGTAATTCATGCAGAGCCAGCTGTGCAGGAGACTGGGGTTTTATTATTCTTCAAATCAGTCTCCCCAGGTATTTGAAGATCAAAGTTTTTAAAGATCATTTGGCAGGTAAAGGCTTGGGAAGTGGGGAGTGCTGATTGGTCAGGTTGGAGATGGAATCATAGGAGGCTGAAGTGAGGTTTTTGTGCTGTCTTCTGTTCCTGGGCACGATGGCAGAACTGTTTGAAGCAGATTACCTGTCTGAGTGGTGTCAGCTGATCCATCCAGTGTGCAGGGTCTGCAAAATATCTCAAGCACTGATCTTAGGTTTTACAATAGTGATATTATCGCCAGGAGCAATCTGGGGAAGTTGAGACACTTGGAGCCAAAGGCTGCATGACCCCTAAACTAATTTTTAATCTTGTAGCAAATTTGTTAGTCCTGCAAAGGCAGATTGGTCCCCAGGCAAGAAGGGGGTCTTTTCGGGAAAGGGCTATTATGAATTTTGTTTCAGAGTCAAACTATGAACTGAATTCCTTCCTACACTCAGGACTGAACAAAGACAGCTTAAAGGTTAGAAGCAAGATGGAGTCTGTTAGGTCTGATCTCTTTAACTGCCATAATTTCCTGTTACAATTTTTGCAAAGGCGGTTTTGAAGGGTGTCGTTGTCCAGGGTAAATACTCAAGGTTCGTTGTCTTACGCCAAGGAAATTGTGAACACTGACACACGAGAAGTGGGTTTAAGGGTGGAGGGTTTTTTGTTTTGTTTTGTTTTTGAGCTGAGTCTCACTCTGTCGCCCATGCTGGAGTGCAGTGGTACAATTTCGGCTCACTGAAACTTCCGCTTCCGGGGTTCAGGGGATTCTGCCTCAGCCTCCCAGGTAGCCTAGATTACAGGCGCAGGTCACCACGCCCGGCTAATTTTTGTATTTTTAGTAGAGACAGGATTTTGCCATTTTTGCTGGGCTGGTCTTGAACTTCTGACCTCAGGTGATCCATCTGCCTCAGCCTCCCAGAGTGCTAGGATTACGGGCATGAGCCACCACAACCAGCAGAGGAGCAGAGGTTTAACAGGCAAAAGAGAGGCCGGGTGGTGCCTCATGACTGTAATCCCAGCAATTTGGGAGGCCAAGGAGGGCGGATCACAAGGTCAAGAGATCAAGACCATCCTGGCCAACATGGTGAAATCCCGTCTCTACTAAAGATACAAAAATTATCTGGTCAAGGTGGCGCTTGCCTGTAGTCCCAGTGTGTCCAGAATTGGTGGGTTCTTGGTCTCACTGACTTCAAGAATGAAGCCGCGAACGCTCGCGGTGAATGTCACAGTTCTTAAAGGCGGTGTGTCCGGAGTTTGTTCCTTCTGATGTTCGGATGTGTTTGGAGATTCTTCCTTCTGGTGGGTTTGTGGTCTCGCTGGCTCAGGAGTGAAGCTGCAGACCTTCGCCGTGAGTGTTACAGCTCTTAAGGCAGTGCGTCTGGAGTTGTTCGTTTCTCCCGGTGGGTTCGTGGTCTCGCTGGCTTCAGGAACGAAGCTGCAGACCTTCCGGTGAGTGTTACAGCTCATAAAGGCAGTGTGGACCCAAGGAGTGAGCAGCAGCAGGTTTTATTGCAAAGAGCGAAAGAACAAAGCTCCCACAGTGTGAAAAGAGACCCCAGCTAGTTGCCACTGCTAGCTGGGGCAGCCTGCTTTTATTCTCTTAACTGGCCCCACCCACATCCTGCTGATTGGTAGAGCCCAGTGGTCTGTTTTGACAGGGTGCTGATTGGTGCGTTTACAATCCCTGAGCTAGACACAAAGGTTCTCCAGGTCCCCACCAGATTAGCTAGATACAGAGTGTCGACATAAAGGTTCTCCAAGTCCCCACCAGAGTAGCTAGATACAGCATGTCCATTGGTGCGTTCACAAACCCTGAGATAGACACAGGGTGCTGATTGGTGTTTTCATAAACCTTGAGCTAGAGACAGAGTGCTGATTGGTGTATTTACAATCCCTTAGCTAGACATAAAGGTTCTCCAAGTTCCCACTAGACTCAAGAGCCCAGCTGGCTTCACCCAGTGGATCCCGCACCGGGGCTGCAGGTGGAGCTGCCTACCAGTCCCGCGCCATGCATCCGCACTCCTCAGCCCTTGGGTGGTCGATGGGACTGGGTGCCCTGGAGCAGGGAGTGGCGCTCGTTGGGGAGGCTCCGGCAGCACAGGAGCGCACGGAGGCGGCGGGGAGGCTCAGGCATGGCGGGCTGCAGGTCCGGAGCCCTGCCCCGCGGGAAGGCAGCTAAGGTCCGGCGAGAAATTGAGCACAGCACCTGCTGGCCCAGGTGCTAAGCTCCTCACTGCCCGGGGCCAGTGGGGCCTGCCGGCCGCTCCGAGTGCGGGGTCCGCCGAGCCCACAACCACCCGGAACTCACACTGGCCGGCAAGCACCCCGGCAGCCCAGGTTCCCACCTGCGCCTCTCCCTCCACACCTCCCGGCTAGCTGAGGGAGCCGTCTGCGGCTTTGGCCAGCCCAGAAAGGGGCTCCCACAGTGCAGCGGCGGACTGAAGGGCTCCTGAAGTGCCACCAAAGTGGGAGTCCAGGCAGAGGAGGCGTCTAGAGCGAGCGAGGGCTGTGAGGACTGCCAGCACGCTGTCACCTCTCACCAGCTATTTGAGAGGCTTAGGCAGAATTGCTTGAACCCAGGAGGTGGAGCTTCCAGTGGGCCGAGATTGCACCACTGCACTCCGGTGTGGGCAACAGAGCGAGACTCCATCTCAAAAAAAAAAAAAAAAAAAAAAAAAAGAAAGAAAAAGAAAAAAAAAGGAAAGGAGAATAGCCTTATCTCCTGCAAGAGAGAGGGGGGCGCCCTAGTGGGATTTCTGGTTTTGCGGTGAAGGGCACGATTTTTTTTTGTTTTTTTGTTTTGAGATGGAGTCTCCCTCTGTGGCCCAGGCTGGAGTGCAGTGGCCCGATCTTGGCTCACTGCAAATTCTGCCTCCCAGGTTCAGGCCATTCTCCTGCCTCAGCCTCCTGAGTAGCTGGGACTACAGGTGCCCGCCACTAAGCCTGGCTAATTTTTTTTTGTATTTTTTAGTAGAGACAGGGTTTCACCGTGTTAGCCAGGATGGTCTCCATCTCCTGACCTCGTGATCCACCCGCCTCGGCCTCCCAAAGTGCTGGGATTACAGGCGTGAGCCACCGTGCCCAGCCGAGCACGGGTTTTTATAGACTGGTTTGAGGAGGCGGTGTCTGATTTACATAGGACCCAAAGATTGGTTGGACCAGATGTGATATTTACATAGCACTTTGGGAAGCTGGCTGTCCCACCCTAATCTACCATTATGTAGATAGGGTCTTTGCCAGGCCAGAGCCATGTTGCCTGCTCCTTACTGTGTACACGTGGTTTACAAAGAAAAGGGAAGATGGAGCCGCCATTTTGAATATGCTTACTCCCCAGGTAGCCCATTTCCTGTTGGCACAACTGCCCGTATTAACCTGCACAAGCTTCTGGGTTGCCTTTCTATGTCTGCAGCCTGATTTTACAGGCTGCTGTTTGTTAGAAAAGAAAATGATTTTGGGGCCGAGGGCGGTGGCTCACGGCAGTAATCCCAGCATTTTGGGAGGCCAAGGTGGGCGGATCACCTGAGTTCAAGAGTTCGAGACTAGCCTGGTCAACATGGTGAAACCCTGACTCTACTAACAATACAAAAATTAGCTGGGCGTGGTGGGACACACCTGTAGCGCAGCTACTCCGGAGGCTGAGGCAGGAGAATCACTTGAGCCCAGGAGGTGGAGTTTTCAGTGGAGATTGCGCCACTGCACTCCAGCCTGGGTGACAGGGCGAGACTCCATACCAAAAAAAAAAAAAAAAAAAAAAAAAGAAAATGATTTTGGGGCTTTTTATTAAAAGAGAAACCTTACCGAGGACTTTGTTACCCTCGCTATCTGCCTAAATAATTTCTTCTTAACTCTTGTAATAGTGTTGGTAATAACGTTCAAAATCCTAAGGAAATTGAACACTCAAAGGATTTTTAGCAAAGAGATTTTACTTCTGCGCAAAGGGGTGCTTCTCCTTGGCCAGTCGCCATGAGAGTACACCTGAACAAAGAGGCACTAGAGCCTTTATTCCTGACGCAAGTCCTGCCTCTGTACCCTTTCCCCATTGGCCGGAGTCGGGTTGTACAGTCTAAACTAATCCCCGTTGGCTAAACATTTAAACTTTTTTTAGATAAGGTGGGCACGTAAGGGAGAGAGGGAAAGGGGAAGGGGTGTCTGCAATGAGCTAGAAAGCTAGTCTTCTTTCCAAATAAGGAAAGGAATGTGAGTTGGTACTGATAACGCCTGGTACTGTGGCGTGTCTAGGCATATAACCAAGGCAGAAAGGAAGAAAAAAAGAGAAAAAGGAAAAAGGGGTGGAGGGGGTACTAGGAATTAAAAAATAAAGGATTGATCAGGCTATTTAAAGAGAAACCTCATCATATCCCACAACAGTTTCACTAGTTCTCAGCTGCCTGGATGTGGACCCTGGCTCACCCCCTTTGAGCTCAGGTGGGTCTGGGCTGCCTCACCTGGTTATCCTGGAGATAAGTGGTGAGACCTGGCTGATGCTGTGCTCTCGGTCCAAAGGTGAGAAAACACCCCCCTGGACTGATGACATTGAGTTCAACCTTTGTTCCTCGTATACTCGGTGTTTTGAATTCTTTACATCCCTGATTTTGGGCAAAGTGTAACTAAAGCTTTAAAAGGTCTGATGGTACATGGGCCACATAGTAATCACTGTGAGTTTTAATATTCAAATTAGAATCTGAGTGAACTTGGATAATCAAAAACTTTTGAATTCTACTCTCCATTCTCTGCTTGGTCTCCTCAAGGCTGAATAGCTTTGAAATGGCCATAAATTTGCATAATGGCTTGCATAAAGCTAATCACTTTAGGTCTGGGAGCATTTTTGCCTGGGGCTGTCCTAGTCCTCTTCTGCTTCCTTAGCCGACACATAAAATGAAATAATTGGGAGTTTTTTTAGGTAGAAGAAGGACTGTTGAAGAGTCTAGCCATGGCCTATTTGGAGGATCAGAGGACAGACCAGGCTTCAGAATGAGACTGTGTTGGAATCTGTTCCTCCTGGCTGTTTTGGGATGTGTTGGGTGAGGGTGTGGAATCCAGAGAAGACTAGAGAGGCTTCCATATTGATGGGAAGAAACTTCCTCTCTGAGTCTGCCTTGAAAGGGGGCACTGGCTGACTCCCTTTGGGCTGGTGAATGCCATGTAGCCAGTGAAATCCAGGAAGGTTTTCCAGACATTTTTGTGTGTTCTTCTCAGGTGCCCCAAGTTTCCCAGGAGTCCAACCACTGGAGAGCGGTCGTAGTGACAACTCTATTTCCATGCTACTTCAGTTTAGACATTTTATTTTAATTAATTAATTAATTATTTTTGAGACAGAGTCATGCTGTGTCCTCCAGGCTGGAATGCAGTAGTGTGAACACAGCTCTCTCTAGCCTTGGCCTCCTGGGCTCAAGCGATCCTCCTGCCTCAGTGTCCTGAGTAGCTAGGACCACAGGTACATGCCACCACACCTGGCTATTTTTTTTTTTTTTTAGATGGAGTTTCGCTCTTTGTTACCCAGGCTGGAGTGCAATGGTGCGATCTTGGCTCACTGCAACCTCTGCCTACTGGGTTCAAGTGATTCTCCTGTCTCAGCCTCCTGACTAGCTGGGATTACAGGTATGTGCCACCATGCCTGGCTAATTTTTTGTATTTTTAGTAGAGACAGGGTTTCACCATATCGGCCAAGCTGGTCTCGAACTCCTGACCTCAGGTGATCCACCCGCCTTGGCCTCCCAAAGTGCTGGGATTACAGGTGTGAGCCACTGTGCCTGGCCCACACCTGGCTAATTTTTTGATTTTTGTAGAGATGAGGGTCTTGCTTTGTTGTTCAGGCTGATCTTGAACACCTGGACTCAAGTGATCCTCCTGCCTCAGCCTGCCAGAGTGCTGGTATTACAGGCATGAGCCACTGCATCCAGCCCTATACATTGGTTTTTTTGAGACAGAGTCTCTCTCTGAGACCCAGGCTAGAGTGCAGTGGCATGATCTCGGCTCACTGCAACGTCCGCCTCCCTGGTTCAAGTGATTCTGCTGCCTCAGCCTCCCAAGTAGCTGGGATTACAGATGCTTGCCACCATGCCCAGCTAATTTGTCTTTTTGTATTTTTAGTAGAGACGGGATTTAACCATATTGGCCAGGCTGGTCTTGAACTCCTGACCTCAAGTGATCTACCCGCCTCAACCTCCCAAAGTGCTAGGATTACAGACGTGAGCCACCACGTCTGGCCAAAGCCCTATACATTTTAAATAAAAGAGTCTTGAAAATATGTATGTCATGGTAATGGAGGAAGGAATGTTGTCATTGAAATTTTACTGTTTTCACTAGCCAGTATATTCACATGATGCAAAAACCAAAAGATACAAAGAGGTACACATTGGAAAAGACATTCTTACCCTCCTTTACTCCCTCCGCCAGCTCTCATCTCTGCAGGTCACCAATGTTGCCAGTTTCTTGTCTCCTTCCATAAAGTATATCTGTACGTCTACATCTGTATCTGTAGCAGCATCTGAATCTGTATTTACATCTATCCATCTTCTGTAAACGATAGCTTATGATAAACACTTTTTAAAAAAACTTTTGGCCGGGCATGGCGACTCATGCCTGTAATCCCAGCAGTTTGGGAGGCCAAGGTGGGTGGATCATCTGAGGTCAGGAGTTCGCCATCAGCCTGGCCAACATGGTGAAACCCCATCTCTACTAAAAAAACAAAAAAATAGCCGGGCGTGGTGGTGGGCACCTGTTATCCCAGCTATTCAGCAGACTGAGGCAGGAGAATTGCTTGAACCCAGGAGGCGGAGGTTGCAATGAGCTGAGATCACTCAATTGTACTCCAGCCTGGGTGACAGGGCGAGACTCTCTGTCTCAGAAAAAAAAAGAAAAAGAAAAAAACTTTCAGACAGAGTCTCACTCTGTCACCGAGGCTGAAGTGCAGCGAGGCCATCACAGTTGATATGGTTTGGCTAAGTCTCACCTTCAATTGTAATAATTCCTACATGTCCAGGGTGGGGCCAGGTGGAGATTGAATCATGGGGGCAGTTTCCTCCATACTGTTCTCATGATAGTGAATATGTCTCAGGAGATCTGATGAGTTCCCCTGCACAAACTCTCTTGCCTGCTGCCATGTAAGACGTGTCTTTGCTTCTCTTTTGCCTTCTGCTGCAATTGTGAGGCCTCCCCAGCCATGTGGAACTGTGAGTCCAATAAGCCTCTATCCTTTATGAATTACCCAGTCTCGGGTATGTCTTTATTTGCATTGTGAGAACAGACTAATACAACAGTTCACCATGGCATCAACCTCCCGAGGTCAGTCAGTCCTCCCATCTCAGCCTCCCAAAGTGCTGGGATTACAGGCATGAGGTACCACACCCAGCTGATAAAGATGTTTGCATACTGCTTTTTCTCTTTAAATTATGTATTAGTTTCTTTTTTTTTTTTTTGAGACGGACTCTCACTCTGTCGCCCAGGCTGGAGTGCAGTGGCATGATCTCAGGGCTCACTGCAAGCTCCGCCTCCCGGGTTCACACCATTCTCCTGCCTCAGCCTCCTGAGTAGCTGGGACTACAGGTGCCTACCACCACGCCTGACTAATTTTTTGTATTTTTAGTAGAGATGGGGTTTCATTGTGTTAGCCAGGATGGTCTTGATCTCCTGACCTCGTGATCCACCCACCTCGGCCTCCCAAAGTGAATTATGTGTTCGTTTCTTATTCCTGCAATAACAAATTACTACAAATGTAATGTCTTAAAACAATGCAAATTAATTCTTTCCCCACAGTTCTGGAGGCCAGAGGTCCAAAACGTGTCTCACTGTGACATCAAGATGTTCCCTTGCCTTTTACAGTCCTGCAGGCTGCCTGCATTGCTTGACTCATGGCCTCTTCTCTCTGTTTGAAGCCAGTAGGGTGACATCTTCAAGTCTCCCTCTGATTCTGATCCTTCTCCCTGTTTAGAGACTCTTGTGATTACATTGGGTTAAACTGGATAATCCAGGGTGATGTCCTCATCTCAACACCCTTGACTTGATCACATCTGCAGAGTCCCTTTTGTCACATAAGGTGACATATTCACAGGAACACAGAGCTCCTTGGGGGACCACGATTCTGCCCACTTCACTCTGCCTTGGAGGTTGTCACATGTCAGGCCATGTCCTTTTCCTTTTATCAGCGGCACACACGCGATTCCTCTGTGCTATTGTTTACTTAGCCAGTCCCCTCTTGTTGAACATTTAGCTTGTTTCCAGCCTTTTGCTCTTATGAGTGTGGTAGGAACAATGCTTCATGTGGTACTTTTGCTGGTGTATCTGCAGGATGAATTTGAAGAAGTGGAATTGCTGAGTCCAAGGGTATGCACACTTATTGTCATGCACATCCATGTGAAGAGACCACCAAACAGGCTTTGTGTGAGCAACAAGGCTGTTTATTTTACCTGGATGCAGGTGGGCTGAGTCCGAAAAGAGAGTCAGCGAAGGGTAGGGGGATTATCATTAGTTCTTATAGGTTTTGGGATAGGCAGGGGAGTTAGGAGCAATGTTTTGCGGGCAGTGGGTGGATCTCACAAAGTACTTTCTCAAGGGTGGGGAGAATTACGAAGAACCTTCTTAAGGGTAGGGGAGATTACAAAGAACCTTCTTAAGGGTGGGGGAGATTACAAAGTACATTGATCAGTTAGGGTGGGGAAGAAACAAATCACAGTGGTGGAATGTCATCAGTTAAGGCTATTTTCACTTCTTTTGTGGATCTTCAGTTGCTTCAGGCCATCTGAATGTATATATGTGCAGGTCACAGAGGATATGATGGTTTAGCTTGGGCTCAGAGGCCTGACACTTATCATTTTATTAGCTATTGCCAACTTGCTCTGAGGGTGGTTTTTTATATATATATATATTTTTTGAGATGGAGTCTCGCTCTGTCACCCAAGCTGGAGTGCAGTGGCATGATCTCGGCTCACTGCAACCTCCGCCTCCCGGGTTCAAGTGATTCTCCTGCCTCAGCCTTCCACGTAGCTGGGACTACAGGAATGCACCACCACACCTAGCTAATTTTTGTATTTTTAGTAGAGATGGGGTTTCACCACATTGGCCAGGCTGGTCTCGAACTGCTGACCTCAGGTGATCCACCCGCCTTGGCCTCCCAAAGTGCTATGATTACAGGCATGAGCCACCGCGCCCAGCCTAAATATTTTTTTAATTATAGAAAATTTCGAATATATGAAAAGCAGAGAGACTCGTTCAATGCATGCTGTGTACATATCATTCAGCTCCAGTAAGGACAACAACCAACTCATGGGTATTGGGTTTCATCTACGTCTCCATGGGCTCTTTGCAGTAGCAGTACCTTGGCTCTTGAGGAAGAAAACTCAGACATCCTTTATTCCAAGGGAGAGACTTAAACATTTTAAACATAGCAGCATCTGTGAATGAGATTCTTGTGGCAGGAGTGAATGAAGAGGAGAATCCTTTCCAGGGTGTTGCATTTGGAACACTTGTGTTCCCTTGGGACAGCGACCCTGCACTTGGGAGAGCCTGAGCACCTGCTATTTGCCACCATTCTTTGCTTTTTTGTGGAGGTAGTGACCCACCCCACCCTGCCACCAGGAGACAGTTCCTTTTTACCCAGAGGATAATCTCAGAAATTAGCACTGCACTGCAGGTTTGCGGAGATGATGTTCTGAAAGGTTGAATGGTTAGGAACCGGCTGACTCAGCCAGCAGCTGTGGAACTCTGGTACGAATCGAGAGCCCCAAAGCAATAAAAAAGTACTTTTCGACTTGCCGTATCTGCACGTTATCAGCAAGCGAGAGCGCTCTCTGTGACACGCCAGAACTTTGATATCTTGCCTTATCAAATTTTCACACCACCTTTCCAAGAGTAATAAAAAAGGATCTGAGTATGGATGGGCTTTCTTGGAAGACGGGCTCTCTGGGGGAGGTGGTGGTTTTTTCACCACTCATATCTTGACAAAGGATTTATTCTCTGTTATTGAATCTGAGGATGCAGCATTGATGACAGTATCACCTGGAAAGATAAGCTGCCCTCCTCTTCAAGGTCACCAGACTTAGCTCCTCCTGTTAGAGTCTCACCTGCTTTGTAAGTCATGGAATCTAACAACACATCCTAGGGAAGTGGGCAGCTGTGTGCACAGACCATCACCCAGGGGTGGCTCATGTTATGCTCCATTTCAACATGGAGAAAAAGGAGGCACAGGGATGTGAAGGGACAAAGCAAAAACGTAAAAATCACTCTAAAAATTCTAACCCCCTTCAGCCCCCATCCTAGCTGTTGTTTGCACCCTAAGGGGTTATTGAGCCACCTCTGGCTGGCGTCCTGTTTCTGTGCTTCCTCTTCATGCAGCAGTCAGGGTATGTCACTCAGGTGCTCAGACGCCACCAGTGGCTCCCGTCTCACTCTTTTTTTTTTTTTTTCTGAGATAACGTCTCACTCTGTTGCCCAGGCTGGAGTGCAGTGGCACAATCATAGCTCACTGCAGCCTCAAACGCCTAAGCTCAAGCAATCCTCCCATCTTGGTCTCCTGACTTGCTGGGACTATAAGCGAGTGCCGCCATGCTCAACTTATTTATTTTATTTTCCTTTTGTTTTGTTGAGACAGTCTTGCTATATTGCCTAGGCTGATCTGGAATGCCTGGCTTCAGGGGGTCCTCCTACTTCTGCCCCTCAAAGTGCTGGGATTACAGGCATGAGCCACTGCACCCAGTCTGGTCTTCTTCAGTGTCCACCCAGCTGGGACTGCAAACCACCCCTCGCCCCCCTGTTCTCCTTCCTTGCTTTACTTTCCCCGCTTAGCACTTATAACTAATAACAAACTAATTAACATATATATGTAATGTGTTAATGTATAGTTATATATGTGTATATACACATTACTATATATTAATTAGCTGTAACTATATAGTAACACATTACATAATGATATGTTAATATGTTTATGTATTTAAAAATAGATTTAAATATATAGATTAAAATATATGTGTGTATATATATATTTTTGGGACAGGTCTTATTCTATCATTGAAGCGCAGTGTTGCGGTCATAGCTCACTGTAACCTTGACCTCCTGGGCTCAGGTGATCCTCCCTTCTCAGTCTCCCAAGTGGCTCGGATTATAGGTGCGTGCCACCACATCTGGCTAATTTTTTGTAAAGATAGGTTTTCACTATGTTGCCCAGGCTGGTCTCAAACTCCTGGGACTCAATCCTCCTGTCTTGGCCTCCCAAAGTGTTAGGTGGCCACTGTGCCTGGCTGACGTGTGTTAATATATTGACTTGTTTTCCTTGTTTGTCATCTGTCTCCAACTATACCACAGGCTCCATGAGACCTGTGATTTTTGTCTTTTTGGCTCACTGCTGTATTCTTAGTGCATGAAGCCATACCCAACACATGGTAGGTGCTTAATAACCATTTCTTGAGTAAGCTAACGACTAGTTTTAAGGCTAGAATGATAATACCTGCCTTGAAAGATTCCCAATTCACATTGAAATCTGTGATGAACTTTGGAGTTTCAGATGTGAGAGGGGAAGGTTCTTGAGCTTTTCTGCTGTCCAAGAAGGATCAGAGGTTGGCTCTGTTATTTTCCAGGGTTGATACAGGGATAGGGGCTGCAGCCATGCTCCCTCCAACCCAGGATGAAACAAGGGTGGGTGGAGGGGTGCAGAGAGCCTCCCTCAGGGTGCCGTTATTCCAGGGCAGCTGGGTTTGCCTGGCATCCTGCAATGGGGCACAATGAAGCTGCTGTCATCCTTCTGGGTCTACATTTCATCTCCCCTTTGTGCTTCACATGAGCAGAACCTTTGGTTGTAGCGTCAGCCACGGAATTTAAAAACACATGTCAAACCAGATACTCCAGACTTCACCTCTCTTCTAGAATTTAACTCTTGGCCAGATGTGGGAGCCCTGGGGACTGGGTGTACCTGCAGCAGGATAAGTGGAGCCGCATAAGGTATCTCCCTGGGAGCCTCTTCTTTGAGGAGTTCTGAATCTAGTTTTCAGCTGCGTTCCCAGTGGGGTGAGCTTTTAGCTTTTCAGTAATGTCAAAGTCAGACCGGATGTTGCCTTGAAGGAGGTTTAGATGTTTCTGTAAGTTTGTTTCCCTTGTAATTTATTAGTTTCTTTTTGACTGTGCAATATTTCAAACATATAGAAAAGGATTGGCTGGGTGTGATGGCTCATGCCTATTATCCCAGCACTTTGAGAGGTGAAGGCAGGAGGATCCCCTGAGGCCTGGAGTTCAGGACCAGCCTAGGCAACAAAGCAAGACCCCATCTCTTAAAAAATTTTTTAAAATGAGCAGAAAATAAGAAAAGACCCCACCCTCCCAATTAGCAACATAATTGTGCAGTATTTGCTTCAGACCTTTTTGGGTTTCTTAAGAAACATCATCACAGATACAGCTAAACCACTGCTCTCCATCACATCTCCCTATTTCCTTACCTCCCCCCTTGGAGAACCACTGCCCACAGCTCCTTCCTGCACACCTCTGTCTCAGGGCATGAGTGCCGCACAGGGTTAACCCTCTGACAGTGGCTTCTAGGAAGGGTCTGGAGTTAGGAACCACATCTGGGACACTGGACCCCAGAAGGAGTTCATGCTTTGCCTCTTGGCATATGGTAAGACATGTGCTGTTTGCTGTAGAGGCAGATGTTAATTTCACCTCCCGTCATAGCCAAGAAGCTATATGGAGCTGTATGGAGACACCTCTGGAGAAGCCCGTCCTGCTCAGAATGATCCGTGTTCTCTGTGCTCTCTCTCCCCTCCCTGCCCCTTGCACAGATGGACTGTGGCAGGTGTATTTGAACTCAGCCTTCACAGTGCAGGCTTGTCCCAGGGCCTCTGTTCAAGTATTACCTTGTAGTAGGTGGCGTAATGCCCTTCTCCCCTGACGATGTCCATATCCTAATCTCTGGAACCCGTGGCTATGTTATGGTGCTTGGCAAAGGAGAATTCATATTGTGCATGGATTAAGGTTGCTAATCCGCTGACTTTGAAATAGTGTTATTCTGGTGGGCCCAGTGTAATCACAGGACCTTCAAAAGATGGAAGGGGGAGACAGAAGAGTCAGAATCAGAGAAATGCAATGTGAGAAAGACTCAACCCATGACTGCTGGCTTGAAGGTGGAGGAAGGGACCATGAGCCAAGGAATGTGGGGGGTCTCTAAGAGATGGAAAAGGCAAGGAAAGGGCTTCTCCCCCAGAGCTTTTGGAAGAAAAAGAGTCCTGCCAACACCTTGATTTTAGCCCATCTTGGATTCCTGGCCTACAGAACTACAAGGAAGTAAATGTACATTGTTTAAGCCACCCAGTTTATGATAACTGTCACAGCAGCCATAGGAAACTAACATATGCCTCCTCGGGAAGGCTGTCCTTGACTGTCCCATCCCATCTTTCTGTATCTCTCTGTCTTAGTCAGTTTAGGCTGCTATGACAAAAATGCCGTACACTGACTGGCTGAAACAACAGATTATTGCTGATGGTTCTAGAGGCTGGAAATTCGAATATCGAGGCACCAGCTGATTTGGTATCTGGTGAGGGCTGGCTTCCTGGTTCACAGATGGTGCCTTCTCAGCATGCCCTCATGTAGTGAAAGGGGTAAGGCAGCTTTCTCAAGTCCCTTTGACAAGTGCACTAATCCCATTCATGAGGGTCCCACCCTCATGACCTAATCACCTTGCAAAGGCTCCACCTCCTGATACCATCCCCTTGGGGTTAGGATTTCAACATATAAAATTGGAGTGGGGGCCGGGCACAGTGGCTCATGCCTGTAGTCCTAGCACTTTGGGAGGCCGAGGCGGGCGGATCACGTGGTCAGGAGATCGAGACCATCCTGGGTAACACGGTGAAACCCTGTCTTTACTAAATATACAAAAAATTAGCCAGGCAAGGTGGCGGGCGCCTGTAGTCCTAGCTAATCGGGAGGCTGAAGGCAGGAGAATGGTGCAAACCCGGGAGGTGGAGCTTGCAGTGAGCCACTATCACGCCACTGCACTGTAACCTGGGGGACAGAGCAAGACTCCATCTCAAAAAAAAAAAAAATGGAATGGGGATACAAACATTCAATTTATGACACCATTTATTCTGTTTCATTTTTTTGTAGCATTTCTTATGTTCTGGAGCAGTGTTCAGCAGGTAATAGGGGCTCCAGTTCCCAACCATAGGGTCCTCCTCTTGGCCACAGCAGATGAAGATCTGGGTGGATATCTGGCCTGGCTTGGCTGATCAGCTTCCCTCCTCTGGAAATCTGGTGTTAGGGGTGAGAGATTCTCAGCCTGTCTTGGCAGTGCCTGCGGGAAAGGGAAAGGCTCAAAGCCTGGGGCTGCCACCTTGCACCGCATGTGAGAGGAGGCTGGGAAGGGTGGGTGCTTGGGGCAAGAGGGAAGAGGCATGCAAAGGGAAGCAGGGAGGAGAGACGTGGCGAGAATCCCACAGGGGTCCCACCTCTGTGGCACCTGATTCCAGGGCTGCCAACAGCTTCAGTCTGCCTGGGACTGAGGGGCTTCCTAAAATGCAAGAATAAAACAGAGAAGGTCCTGGGCAAGCTGGGATGGTTGGTTACCCTACTGTCATTCTTAGATTTCATGAGACACTCTGATGTTTATCCAGTAAACATCCTTTTCAGCTGGCATGAGCTACCTTCAGCCAGTTTCTATGACCTGCAGTGAAAATCACCCCAAGACCTGCTTGCCTCTGCTTAGCTTTCACCTGATCTCCAAGAGCTCCTCACTGGCTCTGGATCTGTGAACCGGGTCATAGGTGTCACCCTCTCATCGGCAATGGGCCTCTTGGCACTGGTCAGGGCAAAGGGCTGAGATGTCTCTGCATCAGTTATTCTTCATCCAAGAGCTCTCAGCCAGAGCTGGGCAAAGGCCGATCCTCTGTTCCCCCATCCTTTGAGCAGGGAACCACTGTGTACTCATAGGAGTGCCTGACATTTCAGAGGAACTCAATGCGTTTAGCTGCTCTTGTTATTGTTTTTCCTGACCCAGCTGGACCTTGTAGAAAGCCAGCTTCTGAGGGCCAATTCATCTGAATAGAAATGAACAGAGGTTGATTATTCTTATCCTGTAAGTCACACCCTAGCAAAAACCAACAGTTAGCAGCATTTATTTTGTACTTAGAATGAGCCAGACTCTGTGCTAGATGCCTACATGAGTTAGCTCATTTAGCCTTACAACAAACCTGTGCACCACGGGCATGCACCAGCATTCCCATTCTACAGATGAAAACATTGAGGCAGAGAGAGGATACAGAATTTAACCAAGGTCACAGAGTGCGATAAATGGGTGACTTGTGCCTTATAAATTTTCATGACAAGCTCTATACAAGCACCACAGAACACTTGAAAAAGAAAAACAACCCACTCGTCACACCCTTCCAGACCATCAGAGTAGAAATTGCCATTTGTTGAGAACATATGGACCCGATCCAAGGATAGGTGGGCCTCCTGCATTCCCTTTAATTCTCAAGGAGTCCATAGGCAGACTGTTGTCTTAGTCCCTTTTTTGCTGCTGTAACAGAAGACCTGAGACTGGGTGATATACAACAAACAGAAATTTTTCTGGAAACTGGGAAGCCCAAGATTGAGGCACTAGTGTCTGGCAAGGGCCTTCTTGCTGCATCATCACATGACGGAAGACATGAGGACAAGAGCATCTGAGAGTGAACCGACTTCTGCAAGCCCTTTTTTATAATGGCATTAATCCATTCACGAGGGTAAGGCCCTCACAACCTCAACACCTCCCATTCGGCCCCACCTCCTAACATGGTTGCATTGGGGATTGTTTCTGACACATGAATTCTAGAGGACACATTTTGACTATAGTGACTGTGATGCTTGCTGTGCAGACAGAGAAACAGGCCCAGCAGACAGGTGAGCTCTGCTGCCTGGGTGACTCAGCCAATGGGTGATGGAGCCTGATGTCTCATCTGGACACTAGTCCCTGGCTCCCCTGCCTGTACCATTCTCAGCATGAGCCCTACAGGCTGAGACCAGGCTGTGACAGCCTGAGTATGAGTCAGTCCATTTCCAACTGTAGCATCCCTACCTGTCCCCATGCCATGACAGGCTGGGCCACCCTGTCCATTGTTGCTAATGATCTCAAAGTGGATTTCAGTGACTCACAAGTGCAAATGCACACATGTGGTTTTAAGGTTTTGGAGGAATTTAGTGATAAATACTGTCTTTGAACCGTCTTTGGAAAAATGGATGGGGCAAATGGCATTTTCCTCAAGGTTTTACGCACACGTACATACACAGTGTGTATAGCAGGTGCCTCACACTTGGGTGTGTGCATATCAACTTGGTGCTCATAGGGACAGGCCCAGTGCATCCTGGTGATTCCTTTACTTATATATTAAAACAATGTCATCTTGTATCCTAAAAAAATTATTTAAAGGTAATATGACACCAGTGTGGTGGCTCATGCCTGTAATCCCAGCACTTTGGGAGGCTGAGGTGGGTGAATCACCTGAAGTCAGAAGTTTGAGACCAGCCTGGCTAACATGGTGAAACCCCATCTGTACTAAAAATACAAAAAATTAGCTGGCATGGTGGCACGTGCCTGTAGTCCCAGCTACTCGGGAGACTGAGGCATGAGCATTGCTTGAACCCAGGAGGCAGAGGTTGCAGTGAGCTGAGATCATACCACTGCGCTCCAGCCTGGGTGACAGAGCAAGACTCCACCTCAAAGTAAAACAAAATAAAAGTAATGTGAAACCATTAAAGATATTTGAAAGATATTGAGACTTTCCATCTCACTGCAAATAATTTTGTTGTTGTTTATCTGATGTAATCACTGTCCAAGTCTACTCATAATTCTCAGTTCTTTTTGCTTCGCATTATCCTTTTTTTTCATATTCTCCCTGGCTTTCATACTTATGACTTTTCATAACTGCATTAGGTTTAACTTAATGAATGTGCCATCATTTATTCAACCATTCCCCTATAGTTGGACATATAAATTGCTTCCATGTTTTGCTATTTTAAATAATGCAGTAATAAATGTCTTTACTTACCAGGTCCAGCAAGTAACATGAAGGTAATTTTTTTTAACTGCCTACTTTTATGGAGGCCAAGTTTAAAACTTGGTCTGTGAAATGTAATTTAGAACTGAGCTGTGACGTATTATATAAATTGAGGAAACACTTGTCATCTACAAAAACTGATACATATAATTTTTTTAGAAAATCTACTCTACAGATTTTCTTTGCTATTATCTTGCAGAAATTTTAATGATAAAAATTCTAGAAAAGAAACTAAAATTCAGGGCATCACAACAATTTTCAAGGATCAATGTGAGAACAATTAATTAGTAATGAAAAATTTCTCAATACTTTTTAACCAAAATTATTATTATTAGTAGTAGTAGTAGTATTTTTTTTTTTGACTTCTTAATCTATTTATTTATTATTTCTTTTTTTTTTTTTTTTTTTTTATTGATCATTCTTGGGTGTTTCTCGCAGAGGGGGATTTGGCAGGGTCATAGGACAATAGTGGAGGGAAGGTCAGCAGATAAACAAGTGAACAAAGGTCTCTGGTTTTCCTAGGCAGAGGACCCTGCGGCCTTCCGCAGTGTTTGTGTCCCTGGGTACTTAAGATTAGGGAGTGGTGATGACTCTTAACGAGCATGCTGCCTTCAAGCATCTGTTTAACAAAGCACATCTTGCACCGCCCTTAATCCATTGAACCCTGAGTGGACACAGCACATGTTTCAGAGAGCACAGGGTTGGGGATAAGGTCACAGATCAACAGGATCCCAAGGCAGAAGAATTTTTCTTAGTACAGAACAAAATGAAAAGTCTCCCATGTCTACTTCTATCCACACAGACCCGGCAACCATCCGATTTCTCAATTTTTTCCCCACCCTTCCCGCCTTTCTATTCCACAAAACCGCCATTGTCATCATGGCCCATCCCCAATGAGCCGCTGGGCACACCTCCCAGACGGGGTCGTGGCCGGGCAGAGGGGCTCCTCACTTCCCAGTAGGGGCGGCCGGGCAGAGGCGCCCCTCACCTCCTGGATAGGGCGGCTGGCCGGGCGGGGGGCTGACCCCCCCACCTCCCTCCCGGACGGGGCGGCTGGCCGGGCAGAGGGGTCCTCACTTCCCAGTAGGGGCGGCCGGGCAGAGGCGCCCCTCACCTCCCGGACGGGGCGGCTGGCCAGGCGGGGGGCTGATCCCCCCACCTCCCTCCCGGACGGGGCGGCTGGCCGGGCGGGGGGCTGACCCCTCCCACCTCCCTCCCGGACGGGGCGGCTGGCCGGGCTGGGGGCTGACCCCCCCACCTCCCTCCCGGACGGGGCGGCTGGCCGGGCGGGGGGCTGACCCCCCCACCTCCCTCCCGGACGGGGCGGCTGGCCGGGCGGGGGGCTGACCCCCCCACCTCCCTCCCGGACGGGGCGGCTGGCCGGGCGGGGGGCTGATCCCCCCACCTCCCTCCCGGACTGGGCGGCTGGCCGGGCGGGGGGCTGACCCCCCCCACCTCCCTCCCGGACGGGGCGGCTGGCCGGGCAGAGGGGTCCTCACTTCCCAGTAGGGGCGGCCGGGCAGAGGCGCCCCTCACCTCCCGGACGGGGCGGCTGGCCGGGCGGGGTGCTGACCGCCCCCCCCACCTCCCTCCCGGACGGGGTGGCTGCCGGGCGGAGACGCTCCTCACTTCCCAGACGGGGTGGCTGCCGGACGGAGGGGCTCCTCACTTCTCAGACGGGGCGGTTGCCAGGCAGAGGGTTTCCTCACTTCTCAGACGGGGCGGCCGGGCAGAGACGCTCCTCACCTCCCAGACAGGGTTGCGGCCCAGCAGAGGCGCTCCTCACATCCCAGACTGGGTGGCGGGGCAGAGGTGCTCCCCACATCTCAGACGATGGGCGGCCGGGCAGAGACGCTCCTCCCTTCCTAGATGGGATGGCGGCCGGGCAGAGACGCTCCTCACTTTCCAGACTGGGCAGCCAGGCAGAGAGGCTCCTCATATCCCAGACGATGGGGGGCCAGGCAGAGACGCTCCTCACTTCCCAGACAGGGTGGCGGCTGGGCAGAGGCTGCAATCTCGGCACTTTGGGGGGCCAAGGCAGGCGGCTGGGAGGTGGAGGTTGTAGCGAGCCGAGATCACGCCACTGCACTCCAGCCTGGGCACCATTGAGCAGTGAGTGAACGAGACTCCGTCTGCAATCCCGGCACCTCGGGAGGGCGAGGCTGGCGGATCACTCGCGGTTAGGAGCTGGAAACCAGCCCGGCCAACACAGCAAAACCCCGTCTCCACCAAAAAAAAAAACGAAAACCAGTCAGGCGTGGCGGCGTGCGCAAGCACTCGGCAGGCTGAGGCAGGAGAATCAGGCAGGGAGGTTGCAGCGAGCCGAGATGGCAGCAGTACCGTCCAGCTTCGGCTCGGCATCAGAAGGAGACCGTGGAGGGAGAGGGAGAGGGAGGGGGAGGGGGAGGGGGAGGGGGAGAGGGAGAGGGAGAGGGAGAGGGAGAGGGAGAGGGAGAGGGAGAGGAGAGCGAGAGCTATTTTTTTTTTTTTTAGAGACGGAGTCTCGCTCTGTTGCCCAGGCTGGAGTCCAGTGGTGTGATCTTGGCTCAGTGCAAGCTCCGCCTCCCAGGTTCATGCCATTCTCGTGCCTCAGCCTCTCGAATAGCTGGGACTACAGGTGCCTGCCACCATGCCCAGATTTTTTTTGTAGTTTTAGTAGAGATGGGGTTTCACCGTGTGAGCCAGGATGGTCTTGATCTCCTGACCACGTGATCCACCGCCTCGGCCTCCCAAAGTGCTGGGATTACAGGTGTGAGCCACTGAAACAGTCTCCCTCAGTCACTGAGGCTGGAGTGCAGTTGTGTGATCTCCACTCACTGCAACCTCTGCTTCCTGGGTTCAAGCGATTCTTGTGCCTCAGCCTCCTGAGTAGCTGGAATGACAGGCACCCACCACCATGCCCGGATAATTTTGGTATTTTTAGTAGAGATGGGGTTTCACCATGTTGGCCAGGCTGGTCTCAAACTTCTGACCTCAAGTGATCTGCCTGCCTCGGTCCCCCAGAGTGCTGGGATTACAGGCATGAACCACTGCACGTGGCCCAGGATGGCCTTCTGTAAGAGCTGCAATGTTTTACGTCATCATAAGCCATGTATGAGTATATCGGCTTCACCTCACCCTGGGGAGAAATTTTATATTAGCATTTAAACATATTTTAAAATTTAATATATGAAAAGGTTATCTCTTGTTTCATTGAAATTTCTTCTGTTATTCTTCTAGATGATTTTGGATGTTCTGTTGGTTTAGGGTAATTCTCATGTGTTTCAGAAATATGTATTCTGTCTTTTCAAGTAAATCATAAATTTACATAGAGATTTGTTTAAAGTTCCTGCATGGTGCCTAACATTGTGTTGGGCATATGGTGAACACTGAATACATTTTCTTGCCGTAGTGGGAAGAGGTCGTGTGTTCCAAATCTGTTTCATTTTGCTCCTGGGCACTCTGCTAGATTATACATCCCAGTCCCCTTGTGTTCAGTCTGGGGCCATGGGATTACATTTTGGCTAGAGGAATATGAGTGAGAAGCAATAAATGCCTATCTTTATACTTGACCATAAAAAAATCTCTCCTGCAGGATCCTGTGCACTTTATTCTTCCCTACCAGCCTCAGAAGCCACGTGCTGAAGACAGTGAAGTTCTGTCTGGGAAGAAGCATCGATCCCTAAATGACTGCATGGAGCAGAGCAGAGGTACCCTGCCCCTCCCCCATGCATACCACCCATGACATCAGCAATCAACAGATCTCGATTAAGTTAGGCCTCTGAAATTTTGGGGTCATTTTTTACAGCATCTTGTTTTTGTTATTCACCCTATTTATTAGTCTGTTTCCACACTGCTAATAAAGACATACCGGAAACTGGGTACTTTATAAAGAAAAAGAGGCTTAGTGGCATTTTCAGGATGCCGCTTGGTTCCACATGCCTAGGGAGGCCTCACCGTCATGGCAGAAGATGAAGGAAGAGCAAAGGGACTTCTTACATGGTGGTGGGTAAGAGAGAAATTGTGCAAAGGACCTCCTCTTTATAAATCTGCCAGACCTTGTGAGATTTATTCACTATCATGAGAACAGCATGGGAAAGACCCGCCCCATGATCCAGTTACCTCTTGCTGAGTCCTTCCCATGACACTTGGGAATTGTGAGAGCTACAAATTGAGATTCTGGCAGGGACACAGCCAACCCATATCACCCTAATACGCATACAAACCCATAGCAGTTGGCGAGCTCTAAGTCTCTACTTCCACTTTCAAATTACACTTTCAAGCCTAAATTTACAAGTATACCCAGTTTGATGTTCCCTTAATATATCATTGAAAGTTCTTTGGACGTAGACAGTAGAAAACTACTTGCATATTTGAAGAAAAAGGGACTTTATTGGAAGGCTGTTGGGGAACTGGCAGAAATAAGGTCCTCCTGAAGAACAAGGCTTGCAGCAGACAGGAGTCAGGTAGTTTCAGAGGACCTTGACAAGTGCAGTGTAGAGGTTAGGTGCAGGAGTCAGCCTGGGTTCATGTCTTTCACTCTACTACATGGGGCAGGCTATTTAACAGCTTTCTGCCTCAGTTTTCTGATCTGTAAAATGGTGATGATATTACTCATCTCAGTATTACTGTGAAGTTTAAATGAGTTGGTATATAAAAAGTACTTGGGGCTGGGCGTGGTGGCTCACATGTATAATTTCAGCACTTTGGGAGGCCGAGGCAGGTGGATTCCTTGAGGCCAGGAGTTTGAGACCAGCCTGGCCAACATGGTAAAAACCTGTCTCTACTAAAAATACAAAAAAAAATTAGCCAGGAGTGGTGGCACGTGCCTGTAATCCCAGCTACTGGGGAGGATGAGGCAGGAGACTCCCTTGAACCTAGGAGGCAGAGGTTGCAGTGAACCGAGATCGCACCACTGCACTCCAGCCTGGGCGACAGAGCGAGACTTTGTCTCAAATAAACAAATAAATAAAAATTAAGAAAAAAGTGCTTCGAAGGGCTTGGTAAACTTCAGCCATTAGCTCACCTACCACTTTAGAAGGACAGACCTTCAGTCACTTCACCCTTGAATCCCTTTGCTCAAGACCAAAGTTCTGAGAGGGAGTCTACTTGGCTGAGTTGTGACCATTTGGGCAATGCAGGAAAGGATGCAGTGGGAGGCGTCTCCAGGGACATCTTTGGCTTCCATCATGGGGTAGCAGATGCCTGGATTATCCGCCCTAACAAATCTGGACAAAGGAAAACGAGGTTCTCTGAGGAGGGAGACATAGAGCCCAAGGAGCTAACAAAAAGACAAATAGTCATTCGGTCTTGTCATTTTCTTTTACACATGTGTGTACATTATCTTATACTTACCACTTTGTTTCCTTTCTCACCTCTAATTGCAACCTGCTGCCAAAAGTTAAAATAAAATGAAAGTATTGAGATAGCTCAGTAACTGACTTTTGGTCAATTGACTTTTCATATAGTGAACAGCTGCCCAAACAATTGCCTCTGTCAGTGTGCAAATTTGCAGCTGTTTGCATGATCACTCCCAGTCCCCCAACACAGGGCTGTGTTGCAGCACAATTTAGTTCAGTGTTTTGCTCTTTGCAACAGGGAGATTCTCATCCATTACAGGTTGCAGTAAAAACAGGGGTACCATAAGCAACCACCGCTTTCCTCAATGATGTGATGAAAGCAAAAGCCAAGTAGCTTGATGTATCCAACTTAAAAATATAAAAAGTTACACCCGTGGGCTGCAGTTGGAGCTATGGCGGCGGCAGCTGCTGCTGGACATAGCCCGGGGTCTGGACCTGGGGACTCCCCAGAAGGGCCCGAGGGGGAGGCTCCGGAGCGTCGGCGGAAGGCACACGGGATGCTTTACTATGGCTTCTCGGAAGGGGAGGCGGCGGGACGCCCCGCGGGGCCCGAACCCCTGGACACGACTGATCTGAACGGGGTGCACTTCGACCCGGAAGTTTACCTAGGCAAGCTGCGTCGAGAGTGCCCTCTGGCCCAGCTGAGGACAGTGAGACAGACATGGTGCGGCAGATCCGGGCTCTAGACAGCGATATGCAGACCCTGGTCTATGAGAACTACAACAAGTTCATCTCAGCCACAGAAATGGACAAACAGCATAAAATTGTATGAGGAATTGCAGGAGACCCAGAATTTCCCAAATAACCTTGTAAAAGAAGAACAAAGTTGGAAGACTCACACACACACACAATATATATATACATATATATATATGTATATATATATACACATATATATATATAAAGTTTTGTTTTCGTTCAGTTGTAAATATTTAGTAATTTCTATTGTGATTTTTCCTTTAACTCATGAAAGGATATTTTTAATTTTCCAAATTAAAGATAGCTTGTGTTTAGCTATCTTCTTTCTGTTGACTTCTAATTTTGTTGCATTATGGTCAGGAAAATGTGGTCTGGACATTGTCAATCGTATAGTGGATTTTGTTGAGACTTCTTTATGGCCTAATATGTGGCTGTGGCCAGTTGTTGTTGTTGTTGTTGTTGTTTTTTGCAAATGTGCCACATGTGGTTAAAAGGAATGTGGATTATTTGTTTTTTTAAGAAGAGTTTTTATTTTTAAATAGATAAGATTCTCAGTGTAACTGGAATCTAGCTTCAATTAGCAATATGCTAGATCTCTCAAACCTTAGGATGTTAGTCAGTGTAACACTAGACAATGCTGCTGAGACGAATAAACCCTGAACTCTCAGTGGGTTGACACCCATAGCATAGTCTGGTGCAGGGCAGGTGTTCTCCTTGGGGGCCCTTGTCCAACAGTGATTCACAGATCCTGGAGGTTTCCATCATTTAATTCTGCCATCTCAGAGTTTTTCACTTGTAGCCATGTGGATGGGAAGAGAGGAAACATAGCTCACACTTGCCTTTGATAACCTTGGCCCTGAAGTGATTTCTTACATTCCTATTGGTGGAAATGCAGTCACATGGTTCTAAACTAACTGCAAGGGATGCTGGGAAATGTAGTCTTTCTGCATGTCCAAGAAGAGGAATGGTGTGAACACAGCATTGTCTTTGACACACTGAGCATGTGCTAAAGAGTTCTTACTCTTATAGGAGGTTTGTCTGTCCTGTGTAACTTTCTCAGTTTTTGCTTAGATAGTTTCAGGCAATGTTGTTTGTTGCATTCAGCTTGATGATGATTATGTCCTCTTGGCAAAGTAGTCAAGATTCCCATCAGTTTGAATGAAAGTGTTTTACAGATAGGTCAGGAAATGTTAATACTTTAAAAGGCCCTTCTATTCCTCCACTTTACAGATAAGAACAACAGAGTCCTAGAGAGAGGAGGTCATGGGTCTCACTCATGAGTGGCAGAATTGAAAGCAACATGGCAGTAACTTTGCCTTTCCTCCATCGTGTTGTTGTCCCTCAGTTTTCACTCTGCTGATTTCTTCACTTGCTCCATACATACCTCCCAGTACCAAGTATATAAGGAGTGATTAATCTGAGCTTCTCCAGAAAGTCCATTCCTGGTAGGCACTGGGAATAAGAAATCTCAGAGTATAAAATAACATCAAGTGGTAGCACTTTTGTGAATGGCTCCCAAATTAGTTCCTTTACCTTTTTTTTTTTTCTTGAAGTGCAGTTGCACAAAACACGCTTAGCCTGAGATGAAGCACATATTAGAGAAAGGTTCTCTCTATAGCATTATCTATTACTCTAATGAGCATGAAAAAGAAGAGAGGGGACATGCTCTCTCTAGCTATTATTACCTCCACTATAGAGTTGACATACACAAGCTCATTATTGCATTATGTTTTATTCAACAAAATAACTTTAATGTTGTAGCTTAAATTGAATTCGCTAAAACATCTTTATCTCCAGCATAATGTGCCTCAAGTGTCTTCTTGGTGCCTGAATTTTCTCCAGAATTATAGTGCTGAAGCTATGAAATGGTGAAATTATATGCAATCTGCAAAACAATGTGGCTATAACGTGGTAATTGGCCTTGCACATAATTAAAGGAACATTTCCTTATCAGAGCTGTTCCATCAGAGACCCAAAGGCTATCGTTGTACAAATCACCCACTTAGGAAAACCTTTATCCCCAGTAGCCTATAAAAATCTGGCTATGCAAACAGATTTGCTTATTCAGTAACATTAATGGCTTCTCATAGTTAAAAAGTCATCAAGGTGATTGACCTATAATCTGTTTCCTCTGTGACCAAGTGTCATTTTTATTTTGACAGTTAGGAGCCTTTTGACTCTTTCACAGCTGGCATGAAGGCACAGGAAAGGAAATCTCAAAAACCAACAACCTGTGTATTCCCAGCCTATTAATCAATAGAAAATCACTTCAACTGGATTAGGGTCTTGTACCTGGCAGAAAGGCTCTTATGGACATTGAAATTGGATTTTTACACTTGATATGACACCTCCTTGAGTCAGATCAGATTCGTGTTTGACAGACTCTTGCCGAAAAATTGCTCCAGGGTCTGTGCAGTAGCTAAAGCCTTTTTGTTGTTGTTGTTGTTGTTTTAAAAGCAGCATTAAATGTTTTCATGAAGACCTTCCCAGCAGTGATTTTATTGGGAATATGGTCTTTAGCTCTGGTCCTGAATAACTCACACTGAGGAAACCTCTAACAAGTGTTTTATTAGAAGATGTCTGATGGATGGTTGGTTTTAATAACAAATCTCTTCCCTTTTTCTGTCCCCTGTGTTCTATTCTCCTTTCTCTACACATTATTCTGGGAGGATTCACCTATTCCCAAAGTCCTTTCCTCTTTATTTTCATTCCAGACCTCTCTGTATAACTCCAGGCTGATGAATCCAACTGCCCACTGGTTATCTCCACTTGGCTGTCTGTCTTGCATTGACCTCATGTTACCTTTCCTCTCCTGATTTCCTCTTCTGCCTGGGCTCACCACATCAGATACACACCACCATCCACCCAGCTTCCAAAACACCTGGGCCTCATCCTGCATTCCTCCCTCTTTCTCAGTCAAGTTAGTCTACTGTCTCCTCTCCATCCTCACTGCCACAGCCTTGGTCCAGCCAACCATCTTCTCTCACTTGGTGTATTGCAGCCTCCTACCTAGTCTACTCACCTCCCACTGTCCTCCAGCCAGACTGCTCTTTTTATAGCACAAAGTGGATCATTACTCCCCTGCCTAAAAACATCTACTGTCTCCCTTAGTCTACAGGATAAACATGACAAAGAGCCTTTAAAATTTGGCTCCAACTTACCTCTACATTAGTCACTTTGTACAATTATATGAACATCTCTCAGCTCCTCACCCTCTCATGTCTCGATTTTTGCACATGCTCTTCCCTCTGCTGGGAATGATCTTCCACACCTCTCCTATCGACCTGGCTAATTCCTACCATTTTCTAGTCTTCAACTTAGGAGTCCTGTGATGGAGAAGGATTTCTGACCACCTGATATAGATTGGATGGCCACCCACCTCCTGGCTTTTTTTTTTTTTTTTTTTTTTTTTTTTTTTTTTTTTTTTGACAGAGTCTCGCTCTGGCCATCCAGGCTGGAGTGCAGTGGTGCGATCTTGGCTCACTGCAATCTCCACCTCCCGGGTTCAAGCAATTCTCCCACCTCAGCCTTCCGAAAATCTGGAATTACAGGTGCCCGCCACCACACGCGGCTAATTTTTTTGTATTTTTATTAAAGACAGGATTTCACCATGTTTACCAGGCTGTTTTCAAACTCCTGGCCTCAAGTGATCCACCCACCTCGGGCTCCCAAAGTGGTGGGATTACAGGCATGAACAACTGCACCTGGCCTATTGGGTGCCCCTTCTATGTGCTCCCATTGCCCCAGGCATGCTGTCACCACAACTTTTACCATTCTGAGTTGAAAATGATTTTTTTTTTTGCTTTTTATTTCTCTCATTAAATGCAAAGCTCATTGAAAAGAGGACGGTGGTTGTTCACTGTTGTACTCCTAACCTTTGACTCAGTGTCCTGAGGTCTGCTCTAGAGCTGTGCACACATGTTCAGACACTGGAGCACATCTTGTCTAGTGCCTCTTTTGAGGTGGCTTGGAGAAAAGTCAGTAGGTACTTCCCCAAGGATGAAACAGAAGTTTCACCTAAATCAGTAGTTCTTCAACTTCAGCCTGCATTGGAATCCTCTGAGAGCTTGTTAAAAATACAGTCTCCTAGAGCCCACTCTTCAAGAGTCAGTGAGTTGCTTCATCATTAAAATACATACAGAATCCAGCCGGTCTTCAGCGCCAGCCTGGTCTGAGCCACTGTGGACTCCCACCTGCAGAATCTCCCTGCTGGTCTCCTTGCTTCTGCTCTTACCTTCTTATCATCCATTCAAGTAGCCAGGGTGATCCTTTTTAAAAAAATTTTTAAATTTTTTTGAGATGAAGTCTCACTCCGTCACCCAGGCTGGAGTGCAGTGGTACTGTCTCAGCTTAGTGCAGTCTCTACCTCCTGGGCTCAAGCCATCCTCCCACCTCAGCCTCCTGGGTGGCTGGGACCACAGGCATACACTGCCACACTTGGCTAATTTTTGTATTTTTTGTGAAGACAGGGTCTTGCTGTGTTGCCCAGGCTAGTCTTGAACTTCTGTATGCGCCCACCTCAGCCTCCTGCATTTTTAGGAAGCCCCTCTTGTAGGGATTTTGATGCAGAGGCCTGGGTGCCTCATGTCTCCTCCCATCTCTCTCTGTCTCTTTCTCTCTCTGTTTGTCTTTCTCTTTGCCTTATAGCTGCCCTGGGGACTAGACTCTGCCTTAGGCATCCCTCTGACTCCTGTTTGCTTTTATCCTGAGGCTGCTTTAAGTTGCACCTTGATCTAAAGCCTTGGGGTTCTGTTCCTATTGCTTGCTTTTGTTGGAAGGGCGGTGCAGCTTCTTGACAAATTGCAAAGGTGCCCACGAGTTTCTAAGTCCCCAAGAACCAAACCAGATGACAAAGAGGGATGCAGCCCACAGCTGGGGAGACAGATTTCATGTCCACACAGAGACTCCAAGATGCTGAACTGAAATCCACCCCGAAACCTGTTTTCTCTCTCATTTAAGTTCAATGTCACCTGGGGGCTTGCAGGGCAGGGCTGGTGACCATTCACAGGGCAAAGATGCTTTGAAATGTCAAGTGAGAATGGTGTGGTGGTTGACAGATGGCACGTCAGAGCATAGATTAACATGGAAAGAGAAACTCACCCCTTGGGGGGAGTGTGTGAGGCTGGCAGCCACACAGAGGGCTTTTCCTGTGAGCTCTCGCATAGATGCAAACAGCCAGGAGGTTTTGCTTTCTGAGCCTGAGTGGAACCATGTTCCTCCCTGCACATTGCCGCTCTGCAGCAACTGTTTATTCCTGTTGCATTGATTAAAAGTGCTTACCGAAGGGGTTTGAGAGGAGTGGTGACAATGTGAGTTATGGCTCTGCTGGCTGCCAGTGGAGCCAGCCACTCTGCACAGCTGTGCAAGGGTGTTTTGAAAAGTGGCTCAGCCGGCCAGGAGTGACTGGGTGTAAATGTTGCTGCCACGTCTTGTAGCCTGATTGGGGCCATATTTGCAGATCCCTTAAACCACTACACTTGTTCAGGCTTAAAAATAAGCTTACTTTTTTTGTTTGCTTGGTTTTGTTTTATGAGACAGAGTCTTGTTCTGTCGCTGGGTTGGAATGCAGTGGCATGATCTCGGCCCACTGCAACCTCTGCCTCCCGGGTTCAAGTGATTCTCCTGCCTCAGGCTCCGGAGTAGCTGGGATTACAGGCGTGCGCCATCACGACCAACTAATTTTTGAATTTTTAGTAGAGACGGGGCTTCACCATGTTGGCCAGGATGGTTCGACCTCTTGATCTCGTGATCTGCCCACCTCCGCCTCCCAAAATGCTGGTATTATAGGTGTGAGCCACCATGCCTGGCCAAACATAAACTTACTTTCTTACCTCTTCTGCTGAACTTTATTTGCTTCTTTTCCCAAACGTCTCTATCCAGAACAGCTTTTAGCAACAAAGTTACCCAATGCCCTTCCCTAGTCTCTCCTTGCAACTGGCTCTCAGTAGGGGGTAGGAGGAAATCCTTGACAGAACCAATTTACATGACTGTTTGGAGGACTCTGGCTAGCCCCAGGAGGTGTTTGCATTTTTAAATTGGTTACTAGTTATCTCAAATGAGTTTCTAATTAGTAGAGCTTTAGGCATTATAAGGAAATGAAGTGAAAATATGTAAATATTGTGGGGGAAGACTTCCTCCACCATGCCTGCTCCACCAGTGGCGTTGACTTTTCCTACGTTCTTTTCTTTGAGTCCAGTGATTTTTCTTTTCTTTTTTTCTTTTTTTTTTTTGAGAAGGAATCTCACTCTGTCACCCAGGCTGGAGTGCAGTGGCGCAGTCTCTGCTCACTGCAACTTCCCCCTCCCGGGTTCAAGCGATTCTCCTGCTTCAGCCTTCCGAGTAGCTGAGACTAAAGACGCGTGCCACCATACCCGGCTAATTTTTTGCATTTTTAATAGAGGCAGGGTTTCACCATGTTAGCCAGGTTGGTCTCGATCTCCTGACCTCATGAATCCAGTGATTTTTCTAAACTTGCAATGGGGTTCCCAGGGGTGGTAATTTTAAAGTGGGGTTTGTAAGTTAGGACAGCCTGGTGAAGTCATACAATATGCTGTTTGCTGAGGCAAACTGTGTTCTCTGAAGATGGCCAAAATATCTCCCATCCTGTGGGCCCTTCTAGAAGCTTGTTTCACCCCCATCAAGAGGCGAAGTACAAATCTCCTCCTCTTGAATCTGAGCAGGATTGAGACTGTTTCCACAAATAGGATGTAGTGGCAGTGAGGGAAGAGAGAGACCCTCTCATATTGTTTTATATCGTTTTATACTCAGTACCTGTTTTAAGAAAAAACAAGGAAATAAAACCAAAGACAGGCAGCCCGGCGCCAGGCCTGAAACCAGGCCTGGGCCTGCCTGGCCTAAACCCAGTAGTTAAAAATCAACTCATAACTTAGAAACCGATGTTATTCACAGATTCTAGACATTTTTTAGAAGAACACTGTGAAACTCCCTGCCCTGTTCTCTCTGACCACTGCTGCATGCAGCCCTTGTCACATACTGCCTGCTTACTCACATTAATCACGACCCTTTCATGTGAAATCTTTAGTGTTGTGAGCCCTTAAAAGGGACAGAAATTGCACTTGGGGAGCTCGGATTTTAAGGCAGTAGCTTGCCAATGCTCCCAGCTGAATAAAGCCCTTCCTTCTACAACTTGGTGTCTGAGAAGTTTGTCTGTGGCTCGTCCTGCTACAGCAGTGGCTCTATGAGACTTCAAGGGCCAGGTTAGAAGACGCTGTGCAACTTTCTCATGGTTCTCTCATTCTTGGCACATAGCCACCATGCTGTGAGGAAGCCCAAGCAGCCCGAGGCAAGACCCCTGTGGAGAGGAACCAAGGCCCTCTGGTGCACAGCCCTGGCTAAGCTTTCAGCTGACACCGGCATCAACTCTTCAGCCGTATGAAAGATTCACCTTGGTTGGGCATGGTGGCTTACACCCTTAATCCCAGTACTTTGGGAGGCCGAGGTTGGTGGATCACTTGAGGTCAGGAGTTCGAGACCAGCCTGGCCAGTATGGTGAAACCCTGTCTCTACAAAAATACAAAAATTAGCCAGGCATGGTGGCAGGCGCCTGTAATCCCAGCTAACCAGGAGGCTGAGGCAAAGGAGTATCTAGTATTGCTTGAACCTGGCAGGTGGAGGCTGCAATGAGCCAAGATCTCTCCACTGCACTGCAGCCTGGGTGACAGAGCAAGATTCCATCTAAAAAAAAAAAAAAAAAAAAAAAAAGATTCACCTAGAGAGTGGTTCCTCCAGGCCCTGGGGAAGACTCCCCATTTGTTGCTGGGAAGAACAGAAATGAACCCTTTCCTTTGAACCCTGCCCAAAATACAGATTTATTAGCAGAACAAATGATGCGTTTTTTAAACCACTAAATTTTGGTTTATTATGCAACAGTAGATGATCAGAACCTCTACTTTGCAGAAAGCCCCTGCTCCACGGAGCAGCTAAGAGGGCTCTGGAGTCAGTATGCTCAGGTTCAAATCCCTTCCTCACCCTGCGTCTTCTAGGTGACTTATGGCAAAATCCTTAAACTCCTTGTTTCTCAGATTCCCACCTGTAAAACAGGGATGATAATAATAGCGTCCACCTCATGGGTGCCATGAAGATATCCACTGGACGGGTGATTGCATCCCATGAATTGTGAATTCCTTTACAAATATTTATGGAATGCCAATTACATGCCAGGCTATGCCAGGTACTGGGGAGTGACAAGTGAGCAAAACAGCCCTGTTCCCTCCCTTCTGGTGCTTACAGTCTAATGGGGGTATAAGGACCTTAAACAAATAGACAAGTCAACATATCATGACCAATTATGATAGCTGTTCAGCGGAAGTGACATTTAGGCTGAGACCTGGATGATGGGTGGGCTTTAGCCCAATGAAAAGACCAGGGAAAAATATATACAAAGGCCCTGAGATATGAAACAGAGGACTTAGATCCCAAATCTGGGCTTCAGGCGATACCTTGCTATCTTGCATCTTTCCTCAAGCATCTGGAAGTGCTTCTTCCTGACACACATCTAAATGGTTTCTGGTTTCTTTTTATAGAATTGCACCAGTGCCCACTGTTCGAAGTATCCTTGGGGCTGCTGGCTCTGAAAACAAAACACAAAGAACAAAAGGAAGTGTATATCAGTCAGGATTCTTGGCTGCAAGCCACAGCAGCTAATCCTATTTATGAAGGGAGGAGGGAGTTTCCTAGAAGGCTTTTGGGGGCTCACAGATGATCAGCTGCAAGATCAGGTTTGAGGAATGGGCAGGAGGAATGTGGGAGGGTTGGAGCCATCTGGTGGGAGCTATCCAGGCAGGGATAGAGCTGACTCCATCTTTGCAACTCTCTTTTGAGACTCAAAACCCTGGTAGCAAACATCTGACTGGCTGAGCCCAGGTCTTTTGTTCCCTCCCGTGGTACCAGGGAAGATCTTGTCCCTTTGGTTTCATGAGTATCTGGGGAGTGGAGCTGGTGGTGGAGAATGGGCTCGGGATTTGCACCCTGCCAAAGACTTCTCCAAGACAGATCAGGTTGCTAATGGGGATGTCAGCCACAGACCAACACATGCCACCCTGGCTTCCTCATGTTCCCCAGCCACCCTGATTTCCTTGAGAGAAGCAGTGACTCCAGAGTTCATTTTTGCTTGTTCTCTGTCTTCTTTTGCCAGTGGGAGGCTCCATCAGGGTCTGAGATCTCTGGCTGTCCTGGACACAAGTGCCAGCCCCATTCCCAGGCAGCGACACTATGCGAAGATGTTCTCACATGACATCAACACTTTGGACTCCATCCTAATTCACTTGTGGCTTTTATAGCCTTGGCTTCCTGACATGAGTGTACAGCATTTGTGGGACCTGCTGCAGCCTCAGGGCTGGCCCTCCTCATTTCTTCTCTGCTCTGTATTTACATTTTGTTGGAATCAAGCCAAAGTATGCTCCCCTTGGTGCCCATTACTCAGACCTTGGCTCCGAACTCAACATGGGCAACTCTGACCCTTTGTCAGTATGTGGGTGGGTTTGGCCATGACGCATTTTTGGCCTCCTTGGGATGGGTTGAAGGGGAAAAGCAGGGAGACTAAGCAGAGTGGGGTTGGAGAAACTGAGTCATCAGCTTCAATGAGCTGGCAGTTAATCCTGGCATTCTGAATTACTGTGCAAGAGCACATGGAGGATGAGAGCAAGCTTGGGGCTGGGGATCATCTCCAAGGTGGTCCAATCTCGTGGGTGGGACCAGCAGCCACAATTTCAGACAGTGCTCATCTCTGATCTTTGGTAGTCTGAGAATTGGGGAAATGTTTCCATCAGGACCTGAAGATGTGGGTGTGGATGACAGAGTCCACTCTCTTGGGGGAAGTCAAGAGAGTCTGGGCAGAGGAACATCCTGGCTTTGGAGTCAGAAAGAACTCATCTGGATTCTGGCTGGGCCGCTGACTTGATAAAAGTGACTTAATTTCTCTGAATCTTAGTTGTATCTGTAATATGGAGATAAAAATAGAATCCATGCTTCACAGGGTTATTGCAAGAATTAGATACTGTGATGCTTGCTGAGCTCTCAGCACAGTTCCTGGCACCCAGAAAGAACTCCAAGCATGAAAGCTATGTTAATAGAGACTGGGGAGGCTGTGGCTTGGTGGCCATGCAGGTGGGTCCCCGGGCTTATCCCAGGACGACTACAAATCATTCTATAGCAGTGAGGTGGGGTCTGGGAACCACACCTGGTACACCTGGGATTGCTTGTCCCCAAAGGTTTGATATCTTCAATGCCTATCCTGAGGCTGCACGTTCCTTCAACAATGGCTGCAATGACATCTCATCTTCACAGGCAGCACCCTCAGGCTCTCCCCATTCTTCTTCGAAATTTCCCTTCTCTGGGATCCTCAGATTATTTCCTTCTGCCTAGAGTCTTTGGACAACAGCCAGCTTGTTTTCCTGCCTCCCAGGAGGCTGCTTCTCTTTAGGTAGCCCATTGGCAATGGCACCCACCATTAGTGCCAAGCCCATGTTTCCAGACACCTAACCCCAGGCAGAACAAGAGGGGTGATCAAGTGCTCCCGATGGCCTGGTTTCCTGGGCTGGGGTTGGCTTAGAGGTAAGAGGAGTGGGGACAGAGGCTTCCGCAGTGCCTGCAACTGGGGAGGATGGGTGGCCGCAGGGCCCAACAGCTTTTCTTCTTGGCTGGTGAGATTCTTGGTTGTTTAGATTGCAGCATGTTCTTTGGAAAGTCTGGTTCTTATAGAGGAAAACTCTAGGAGAGAAGGGTGGTCTGTCAGCTAGGTAGGGTGTAGAGAATCAGTTAAATCAGTTAAAACATTTGAACGTTGACTTCAGTAAAGACCAGAGTGATGAGTGTCTTGTCTTCAACTCTTCTTCCAGGGTTCTGTGTTTAACTCATCGCATCAGAAAAGGGGAATGTGTGGGTTGACATAACTAGACTATGGGGTGGCTTTCTTGTGTCCATTTTCTCTCTCCCTCTCATCTCTATAACCTGGCTTCTTTCCTCCTACTGTAGATGGAATTTTTGTACACGGTGAGAATCTTGGCAGAAATCTCCTGGCCATTTATCCCTATGGCTTTGTTGCCAGAAAGAAAATGGACTTCCCTGTCCTAGCTCTTGTTTGAAAACTCCCAGGAAAGAGTTGTAATTGGCTCTCTTGGGTTACTTCTCTACCCTTAGACTGGGGGTTTGAGACACTACGATGGACTCAACTTGAGTCCTTCTACAGCTAAGAGTGGGGTTGGGTGCATCTGTTACCTGAAGAAGTGAGGGAGTTGGGGGCACAGACACGGCCACCAGAAGAAATCACTGTGAATTGAATCCACAAAATGGTTAATTCTGACAAAGCTATTTCCAATGCGCTATTTTCTTAGCCATTTTAAGTCCTCTTTGGAATAAGCCACGGTACAAAAACATTTATCAATAAAATATATGCTTTTGTTATAGCAGAAATGAGTGTGAAGTTGAAATAAAGAAACCCACCAAGAGTTACCAGCAACCCAGGAGATGACAAATAAATCAGTTTTGCCTGATTGTTCTTGATTGTTTGTAGTTCTGAAGGCATGAGTGAAGATGAGATCAGGGTGAGGGTGAGTTCACAGGCTCTCAGCCTACATAAAATTTGAAAATGGAAGCGCAGTACTTCAAATCACCATGGGAGCCTCTCCACAAACCTTAAATATTCAGAGGATACAGGCAGCATGGTCAATGAGGAAGTGATTCCAAGACCTGGGAAGATCTATGTACCAAATGAGGAGTGTATTAGTCAGGGTTCTTCAGAGAGGCAGAAACCATCATGTATAAATAGACACGCAAGAAGGGACTTACTGGGGAAATTGGCTCATGTGATTACGAAGGCTGAGAAGTCCCACGACAAACTTTCTACAAGCTGGAGACCTTGGGATGTTGGTAGCCTGGCTTGCGTCTAAAGGCCTCAGAACCTTGGAAGACCATGGTGTAACTCTCAGTCCAAGGACAAAAGCCTGAGAATCCAGGGGGCTGCTGGTGTTAAGCCCCAGAGTCCAGAAATCAGGAAGCCTGATGTTCTGATGTCCAAAGGCAGGAGAAGGAGAGTATGTCCCAGCGCCAACAGATAGAGACACATTTGCTTTTTTTCTATTTTTGTTCTGTCAGGGTCCTCAACTGATTGGATGGTACCCACTCACACTGAGAGTGGATGTTCCCTCTTTAGTCCACGCAGACTCTCACAGAAATCTCCTCTGGAAACACCTCCAGAGTGCTCATAGGCACACCCCCTAATAACGCTTTCTCTAGGTATTCCTTAATTCAGTCAAATGGACACCTAAAATGAGCCGTTACAAGGTGTCTTCTTTGGGATGCCTCAAGTTACAAGTATAGTCAAAACATTACATTTGAGATCCTTGCATAGAAATATTTTGGAAATATGTTTATTTTCTTGTCTGGACAATTCTATGTTGCTTTAGAGAATGGCCCGCATGGCTTTTAGCTTAGTGATATACAAGATGGGTCATGTTTGCATAGGGGTGAGGTAGTGCCACATTTTAAATTAACTATTGATTAGTGGGATTTGTGTATTGAGGTTAATCAGGTACAACAAGAACAGACAACTTTACTTGGATTCTTTTAAGCTCAAGTACATAAATTTAATGCAGGGTAACTGTATATTAGAAACAACATTTTTTTTTTTGTCTAGAAGTAATCAATGTAGTCTCAAAGCTGACAATAACAAGCAAAATTCAACCTTCTTCTATTTGGGCGAATATGGTTTTTATTTTCTTCTTAGGTTATGGAGCAAAGGGGACATATTTCTCTTTCTTGGAAAAATCTCACTATATATGGTGAGCAACAGCCCATTACCGTGGAAGGGACAAATGCAGTATTTTCCCAACAAGGAGTCACCTTGCATTCCCAGAGATAGCTGGAGCTGAAGTACAAGGATTTGTCAGGGAAGAAATATTGTTGAGCTTCCTACTAATTCAGGAGTGTCTTCAGGTTAAATTGGAAGGTCTTGTGACAAGGCTGAGAAAAATACACCAAGTGAGAGTTTTTGCTGAAAGATTACTGTTTCTTGATGCCAGATGTATGAAGCTATGATTGCATTTATCATGAGTGTGGGACCAAAGACTGAATTTTAACCACAGGGTTGCTTACCTGGCAGTCTCTCAAGAGATCCTGGAGTTCACATCTTTCTGAAATCAAAACAAACAAATAAACAAACAAATAACTCCCCCACCTGTCCTTTTAGAACTTGGAAATGGTTATAGTTCTTCAAGCCTGGACAGAGAAAAACTGAGGAGAGGGCACCTGAGTGATCAAGGTATTTTTTCTCTTGACACTCATGTAGAAGCTTTGGGGCCTGATAACATCAGTCTTTG
Source organism: Homo sapiens (assembly GCF_000001405.40). Classification (NCBI taxonomy): domain Eukaryota; kingdom Metazoa; phylum Chordata; class Mammalia; order Primates; family Hominidae; genus Homo; species Homo sapiens. Next base: position 5,220,729 of record NC_000016.10, read on the forward strand.
TGACCTCTTAGAATCCTTTGTGATTTCCTGGATTCTTCAGATTCTGTTTGTTGACCAAGGGGCACGCACCGTGGTCAGGCCAGCACCTCATCTTTTCTGCAAACCACTTTCTCCTATTTTCAGAACAGTATTATTCAGTTTATGTGGTTCAGGGAGGTCACATGACTCAGCCTTGTCCAATCAGAGGACTCAATCCTGCTGGCCACATTGATTGGTCCAGGAATGGATATATCCTAAGAATGGACCAATCACTACTTTCCATGAGTCTTTTCTCAGAGGTTGTGGGAAAGACACTTTCTCCTAAGCTGGTATTGAGGGCTGTGTGTAGTACACAGGCTTGAGACCGTGAACTGCCGTCTTGTGTCCACCTGGATAAAGCTTGTCTGATAATAAAGCAAAGTGGAGCTGAGGGATAAAGAGAGAGACATACAGAGGACCCTGATGACATTATTTGAACCTAGATGCAGCTAAGTCTGAAGCTAGTTGTCCGGAATTGGTGGGTTCTTGGTCTCACTGACTTCAAGAATGAAGCTGCGGACCCTCACGGTGAGTGTCTCAGTTCTTAAAGAGGGCGTGTCCGCAGTTTGTTCCTTCTGATGTTCGGATGCGTTCAGAGTTTCTTCCTCCTGGTGGGCTCGTGGTCTCGCTGGCTTCAGGAGTGAAGCTGCAGACCTTTGTGGTGAGTGTTACAGCTCATAAAGGGAGTGTGGACCTAAAGAGTGAGCAGCAGCAAGATTTATTGCAAAGAGCCAAAGAACAAAGCTGCCACAGCGTGGAAGGGGACCCCAGCAGGTTGCCACTACTGGCTGGGGCAGCCTGCTTTTATTCCCTTATCTGGCCCCACCCACATCCTGCTGATTGGTCCATTTTACAGAGAGCTGATTGGTTGGTTTTACAGACAGCTGATTGGTCTGCTTTGACAGGGTGCTGATTGGTGCGTTTACAATCCTTTAGCTAGACACAAAAGTTCTCCCCCTCCCTACTAGATTAGCTAGATACAGAGGGTGGACACAAAAGTTCTCCACCTCCCCACTAGATTAGCTAGATACAGAGTGTCGACTGGTGCATTCACAAACCCTGAGCTAGACACAGGGTGCTGACTGGTGTGTTTACAAACCTTGAGCTAGATACAGAGTGCTGATTGGTGTATTTACAATCCCTTAGCTAGACATAAAGGTTCTCCAAGTCCCCACCACACTCAGGAGCCCAGCTGGCTTCACCCAGTGGATTCTGCACCGGGGCCGCAGGTGGAGCTGCCTGCTAGTCCTGTGCCGTGCGCCCGCACTCCTCAGCCCTTGGGTGGTCGATGGGACTGGGCGCCATGGAGCAGGGGGCGGCGCTCGTCGGGGAGGCTCCGGCAGCGCAGGAGCCCACGGCGGGGAGGCTCAGGCATGGTGGGCTGCAGGTCCCGAGCCCTTCCCCGCAGGGAGGCAGCTAAGGCCTGGCGAGAAATCCAGCGCACTAGGACCATCCCCTCAAACTTGCGGGGTACATAAGTTGCCAGTATTTTAATGTAAGCTGGTTTGAATTGTGTTTCTGCTGTTTGCAAGTGAACTTATTGGTTAAATCTGGAAAGCTTCAGTGCATTACTCAATCCAGAGAAAGAGGGTGGTTTCAACACATAAGGCAGAAACATGGCATTGAATTGTTTTCATTAAAACAGAAATACCCAATAGCTCCAGTTAGAACATTTCTCAGCAAAACTAAGAGGGTGGTGGAAGGAGTTTGGTGGAAGCCTTAAAAAGCCCTTATCTTATTGAGGAGAGGCAGGCAGAAGAAGAAGGAATGATAACATTTGGTGAAGGCAGGGGTTGGCATCTTGTTTCCATAGAATGATAGAGAAACATATTTATGAATGCTTGGAAAGGGAAAGTCAATTCCTAAAGACAAGAGGGAGCAAACAAAAGCTTGTTCCAACCAGGGAAAAATGAAAATAGGAAATAAAGGAAAATAAATAACAAGCATGAAGCAGTATCAAAGGATCAAAATCAAGCATATCACTTACACTAAGTAGATTGTACTTTTTTTTTTTTTAATTAAAAGACAGTGACTGTCAGTTGGGATTAAAAAAACAAAATCCAAAATCTGGGTTTCAGTGTCATCTGTAAAATGTAGATATAATGACTGTGGTGAGTATCTGTGTGTGCATGTGTACATATGTGTATGAGTTTATGTAGGAGTACACATATACTTAGAAGCACAAATGAGTCATGCTCTATACAACATTGTGCAGCTCCTTTTTTACAGAAGCCACATGTCCTAAGGATCTCTCTATGCTGGCGCATAAAAGCTTGCTCCATTTTTTAGTAGCTGTGCATATTCTGCTTTATGGCTATACCATAAATTCATTTAGCCGAACTCCCATCAGGGACACTTCGGTTGTTTTGGTTGTTTGCTTTTCTAAACGATGCTGCAATAAAATTTCCTCATGTACCATTTGGGGTCACTCATGCAGTTGTATCTCGAGGATCAGTCCCCAGAAGTGAGATTGCTGGGCAGAGGGTCCGTGCACTTAACATGTTGAAAGATATTACCAAATTAGACAGTTTAACTTGCAAATGTGTCTTATTAGGAGAAATCTGTTAGATTAAGTCCACCTTGTAAATGTTATATTTGAGTAGTCCATTTATTAAATTGATTTGTGTTCTGCTTCTTCCCCAAAAGGGCTCAAGGAAGCTTATAGCAAGAGGCAAATCAAATAAGGCTGAAAATAATAAACATGCGGACAAAAGCCAGTATGGCAACAGTTTTTGAGCACTTACTACATGCCAGACACTGTTGCAAGTGATTTGTATATATAAACTCAACTAAACCGCACAATTCCATTAGGAAGGGATTAGCCTCTCCATTTTGCAGGTGGGGAAACCAAGGCACAGAAGGGTTAGATAACTTGTTCAATGTCACACAGTGAGTGGTGAAGCTGGGAATTGAACTCGGGCAGGCTGGATTCAAAGTCTTCCCTGTTAGCCATTATGATATACTACTTCTCCAAAATCAGGATTCTGATGAGGAGGAAGGATGAAGCTGGACACAGATAGGTGTTTTTTTGTTTGTTTGTTTGTTTGTTTGTTTGTTTTTTTGAGACAGTCTCATGCTGTCATTCAGCCTGGAGTGCAGTGGTGCGATCTCAGCTCACTGCAACCTCTGCCTCCCAGGCTTAAGTGATTCTCGTGTCTCAGCCTCCCAAGTACCTGGGATTACAGGCGCGTGCCACAATGCCCAGCTAATTTTTCTATTTTTAGTAGAGATGGGGTTTTGCCATGTTGCCCAGGCTGGTCTCAAATTCCTGGGCTCAAGTGATCTGCCTGCCTTGGCCTCCCAAAGTGCTGGGATTACAGGCGTGAGCCACCATGTCTGGCCAACAGATAGGTTTTTATTATTGCTGTGATCCAAGTATTCAACCCTTGATTCATTCAACCACCAGTGTATTCATTCAGTCATTCAACAGATGGCTATCAAGGGCAGCCCTTTTCCAAGAACACTGGGATAATAGTGAACAAAAGTCTCTGTGGTCCCCACCTCGACTTGCCTATGGGGGTCAAGTTGCTTCCTGAGTACACTCATCTGGATGCAAGGCTGTCCTTCCTTGGTGAATGGTGGGTCCCTCTGATCAATATGTTCATTCTTGCTGTAGGGAGAGAGGATTCTTTGAGCCCTTGGTCCTCAGCCTCAGCATCACTGACTTGGTGGCCCTCGCCTCATGCATTGTCAGCCAGAACTTTTGGTTTGCTCATTGCAACCCATCAAGATCCCCTGGGACGAGCAGGTGGGGCAAGTTTGCAGACAGCCCTATAAGCCTCATTCCCCAGACACTGGTCTGAGCTGCAACCTCCTCATTGCTGAGGTGTGGTGGCCTCAGCCAAGCTGGCAGGGACCTCAGCTGAGTCCCAGTCGTTCCTGAGGGCAAAGGGGCAGTTTGAGGTTTCTACTTCTCGTCCTCTGGTGGGAAAAACACTGCGTATGGGCTTTTGCCTTGCTTGGACACTCGATCAGCCAGGCTTGGATACATTGAGGTTTCCAGGCTCAGTTTTTTTCGTCTGTAAAATGATAAAAATCAATGCCATTTCCACTTTGTCTCTTTGAAACGCATATGAAGCAAACTTAACAAAACAAAGGAAATGTCCATTCATTCAACATACATTTTTTTTTTTAGTACCTATGTGTACCAGGCACTGAATTCGGCCCTGGGGCTGTCTTGATGAACAGGAGGACCAGGCTGTCAGCTCATGATGTGCACAGGCTGGTGGGGAGTAGAGGTAAATCGAACAGTCACAGCAGAAATAATAACAAACATTTACTGAGGACTCTCTACATGCCAGGTACATTTCGGAACCCTTGACAGGGTGTCAGCTCAGTTAATCCTCACTGCAGCCCCAAGAGGTGGGTGCTTTTATTTTTTTTATTTTTATTTCTTTTTATTTTTTTATGTTTTGAGATGGAGTCTCGCTTTGTCGCCCAGGTTTGAGTGCAGTGGCATGATCTTGGCTCACTGCAAGCTGAGGTGGGTATTTTATAATCCCCATTTTACAGGTGAGTAAACTAAGGCACAGAATGATTAAGTACGTGTCCAAGGTCCTCAGCTAATAAGAGGAGGAGCAGAGGCACCACAGGCCTCTGGCTCCCAAAACTGTGTCTCTGAATAAGACACCATCTTGCCTCTGTACTATAAAGAGATGTAGGAGCGAAAGAACAGGATGGTTTGAGAGAATAATAGTGAGAACCTCGTTTATATTGGAGTGTTTGGGAAACACCCGTAGGAGGAAGTGGAATTGGAAGAGATATGAAGGAGGAGAAGGAGCCAGGCTTACAGACATGGGCGTATGTGTAGGCGTTGGAGGGAGACAGAGGGAACAGGAGTCACAAAGGCCCTGGGGTAGACAAAACGTTGAGGGCATTTGCAGAATGGAAAGAAAACCCTTGTGTTCGGGATCGTTGAATTGGAGGTGCCCTTGAGACTTGGCACAGTGCTTGGAGTGTCGGAAAAGCTCAGTAGAGTTTAGCTGTTCCTGTGTCTTGAGAGAGGAAGAAGCAGGGAAACAGAAGTTTTCAGGGATAACATGCTTCCCTAAGCCTGCAGCTGAGCATAGCAGGTATCGGTATTAACATCAGGTGCAGATGAATCCCATTTGGTCACCTCTGGCCTCCTTCTGCAGGTGTGGGTCCTGCTAGTGTGGGTTCCCTTTGCTGGGGAATCCTTGGGTGGGGGGCTTTGGCTCCCTCCCACCCCTTCGAGGAATTCTCCTTTGTCAAATTCACTGAGTGTGCTTCCTTTTTCTCCATCAGTCTTGCTGTGGGAAGAAGGCAGCTCCAACCTGCTTTCAAAGCTGAGGAAATAAAGCTCTTTTACAATTGGTTCCATTGTAGAGACAGCATTAGACTGATTTATTCAAATCAATTCTGGGTAAAAGCCATAAAAGAGAGCTAAAGAATGAGCTCTGTTTCCCCAGGAAACCCAGCTGATGGATGGGCACCTGAAGTGGGGCGGTGCGTGGCTGGCTTCCGAAAGGAGTGGGGGGCTGCTTGCACTCTGGGCAGGCTCAGACAGTGTTTTCCTGGGGGACTGAGGTTAGACGCGGCCTCCAACGTTCCTTAAGCTCCTGGTGGAGATGAAATGGTCCAGTGTGTCTTTTTGTTTTGGCTCCTGAAGGGCAGGAGGCCTCATCGTACAGCAGCTTTTGGGAACATAAGCTGATGTCATAGCTGGAAGGATCATCAGATAACCTAATCGGAGCCCCTCCTTTTTGGCAGTAGAAGGGTGGGTGGCTAGAACCCAAGAAACTGGAGCAGCTTGCCCAAGGTCACCCTCAAATTAGCGGATTCAAATTTAAATTTAAATTTAAATTTAAATTCAAATTCAAATTTAAGTCTCCCCACTTCCTTCTCCTGTGCTGTTTGCATTACAGGAGACACATCCCAGTTTATAAACAAAATGTACCAACCACCTAACCCCAAATGACCCTGATGGTAAGGCCTGCCATTTATCCAACTAAAACCAAGTATGCTTTGATTTTTTTTTTTTTCCTTGAGACAGAGTCTCACTCTGTCACCCAGGCTGGGATGCAATGGCGTGATCTCGGCTCACTGCAACCTCCGCCTCCAGGGTTCAATCAGTTCTCCTGCTTCAGCCTCCTCAGTAGCTGGGGTTACAGATGCATGCCACCACACCCGGCTAATTTTTATATTTTTAGTAGAGATGGGGTTTTGCCATGTTGGTCAGGCTTGTCTCGAACTCCTGACCTCAGGTGATCTGCCCACCTCGGCCTCCCAAAGTGCTAGGATTACAGGTGTGAGCCACCATGCCTGGCCCATGTATGGTTTAATCGAAGTCACTTTCCTTTACTTTAGTACTTTGCCCACATAGAGAAGAAATAATCAGCACTGTCTTCATAAAAATTATTTGTTGAGATCAGAAGAGAGGGAAAATTAATCTCTAAATTTGCTGCACTCGAATTCATGTAACTTCTCAAACAGGATGAGTTTCTTTTCTTTATGTTGTGCTTGCCTTCTGTACCCTCATGCATATGTCTGCCACTTAGTAGCTGTGTGATCCTGATCCCTGATCGCATTACTCAGTCACTCTGAGCCTCAGCATTCTCATCTGTGTAATGAGAACAGTGCCTGCCTCATCAAGCTGTCATGACTGGATGGCATGAGGCATATAAAGCAATCAACAGTGCCTGGCCATATCAGTTGCTCACAAATGTTAGCTCTTTTTTGATATTTGCACAGAAGAAATGAATGAGCTCTTCCCCATTGGATAAATGTCTGCTGTTCTGTATTTCACTTTCAGACTGACCTTGCCTGCCTCTCATTTTACTACTAGGATTGTTCATGGACACCTCTCTCTGTCTAATCCCCACCCCTCACCTTCAGCATAAATGCACACACAGCACCTGTATGCACATTTGGGTGTACAAAACACAGACTCTCCTTTTCAAGTTGCAAGTAGGAGTAAGAGAGAGTAGTAAAATGTGGGCAGTAAGAAAGAATGTGAGTCCTTACTTTTTTTTTTTCTGTTTTTTGATGAGACAGGGTCTCCCTCTGTCACTCAAGCTGGAGTGTAGTGGTGCAGTCATGGCTCACTGCAGCCTTGACCTCTGTCGCTCAAGTGATCCTCCCAACTCAGCCTCTGGAGTAGTTGGGACTATAGGCACATGCCATCACATCTGGTTAATTTTTTTATTTTTTGTAGAGATGGGTTTTCGCCATGTTGCCCAGCTTGTCTTGAAATCCTGGGGTCATATGATCTTCCCACCTTGGCCGCCCCCCCACAAAGTTCTGGGATTACAGGCATGAGCCACTGCACCCAGCCATGTCCTTATTTCCTAGCCCTTTTATTCTCCAGTGTTTTCCCTGCCCTGGACTGGGGTAGGAAATGTCATGTTTTGAGTTAGTGCAGCTTGGGACCAATGTGTGTAGTGTGGACTTCACTATTGAACCCTTTTGATTCTTTGTCTCTTTTCCAGAGGCTTGGCGCCCAAATCAATCAGATATCAGAACCCAGACAAGGTGTTCCCAGGTGGCGCTTGTGCCTGGGACCCACATAAGCTGTGTTTTCTTGCCCAGCTGGATGGTGTCCCGGTATCTGTCATAGAAGCTTCCCTCCTTGGGCACAACCTTGTCATCACTACAGGTGTGTTCAACAGCACTAAAGAGAGAGGAGGAGAAGAGAGGAAGGAAGAAGGGGTAGAGAGGAGGGAGCAAGTGGGAGTGAGAGGGATGGAGGGGGAAGAGGAGAAGTCTCAGAAATCTGCAATCATCCACTGCCTGGGAGGGAAAGGGGAAATCTACTCTGGCCGTGGTGCTGAAGTACAAGTGCCCTGCAAAGGACTTCAAGGCAGCAACCAGGCCAGCAAGAAATGAGAGGGAGAGGGAGAGGGGGAGGGGGAGGGGAGGGAAAAAGGGATGGAGAAAGGAATGGAGGGAGAGAGATAGAGCGAGGGAGGGAGGAAAGTAGAAATAAAAAGGGAGGGAGTAAGAGAGAGGGAGGGAGGGAAACGGAGGAAGGAAGAGAGAGAAACAGAGGGAGAGAGAGAGAAAGGGAGGGAGAGAGAAACAAAGATGCAGAAGCAGGGAGAGAGAGAAAGAGACAAGGGAGGGAGGAAGAGAGCGAGAGAGAGAGAGAGAGAGAGAGAGAGAGAGAGAGAGAGAGAAAGGAGAGAAGGAGAGAGACAGAGAGGGGCTGATAGAATGCTAACCCCTGCCTAGATTAGGGGTCAAATGCCAATGCCACAGGTTCATGTTGGGGAGACACACTTTTTTTTTTGCCAGCATTTTTGTTCACTTCCCAAGGAGGCTTAAATTATGTGTGCATGTGTGTGTGTATGTGTGTGCATAAGAACAGGGATTATTACTATATGAATTTTACTCCATGTTGGAGGCATTGGTTGGGACATCATCTTACTTGTGCCTATAAAACAGCGGGGCGGCATAGCTGGGGCACGGACATAGGCAGCCCTGCCCATGGGGACACCATAGCTTTGCTCACAGTGCAGGAGGCCAGCAGCTCTGTGGGAGGGACAATGAAAGATGCTTCTGTTGTGTCTTCTGAGGCCTTGGCTTCTAGGTCAGCCCAAGAGGATGGGGGATTTTTTACTCTGTTTTGATGATCAAGGGTGTCTCCCAATCCCCGTGGTTGCCTATTTGGTTTGCTCTAGTTTAATCTTCTAGGGGTAACCAGGGGTTTGCTCTCTGCCTTCTGTGCCTCACAGGGACTTCTGGGATCTTGCTGGCTTCCATGAACCTCAGGGATTTCCATGCAGGAGTAGAAGATAATAGGCATGTGGCTGCATGGTGCCTCAGAGCTCAGGTTCAGGAGCCAGATATGCCTGCATTGAAGTCATTTCTGACCTTCACTGTGGTCTTGGATGTGGTCTCTTCTTGTTTTGTTACTGATGCAGAGATGGAGGCCCCTGGGTGGTGACTGGTATCTGAAGAAGAGAGAATGAAGGGGGTAAGGCTTTTTGTTAATGTCAACCCTGAAATTATTACACAATGCACCATGGTTCTTGCTGGTCCTAAGCAGTCAGCTTGATCTTATAGTGATTCCCCAGAAAGTTCTGGAAGGTAAGTGTCTTTGAGAGGTTACCAGCATGGGCTTGAGGCAGATCATTGAGATGCGAGTCCCAGCTCCATCCTTTACTAGCTGGGTGACCTTGGACAAGTTGTTGAACTTCTCAGAGGTTCATCTTCCTCATATGTTAAAAGGGAATAATAATAATATCCACCTCCATGGTTGTAAAAAAGATTATTTATTTTTATTTCTTATTGAGACAGGGTCTCACTGTCATCAAGGTTGGAGTGTAGTGATGCAATCAGCACTCACTGCAACCGCTACCTCCAGGGCTCAAGTGATCCTCCTGCCTCAGCCTCCCTAGTAGCCGGGACCACAGGTGTGTGCCACTACACCTGTGTAATTTTTGTATTTTTTTTTTTGTAGAGATGGGGTCTCACTATATTGCCCAGGCTGGTCTCAAACTCAAATTCCTGGGCTTATGTCATCCACTTGCCTTGGCCTCCCGAAGTGCTGGGATTACAGGCATGAGCCACTGAGCCTGGCCCTATAAAGAAGATTAAATGAACTAATATACACAGAATGTTTAGAACAGTGCCTGACACAGAGTAAGCTTTAAAAAATATCAGCTATTATTTTTTTCTTCAATTTTTAAGTTTCAGAGGTACATGTGCAAGACGTGCAGATTTGTTACATAGGTAAATGTGTGCAATGGTGGTTTGTTGCACAGAACATTCCATTACCTATGTATTAAGCCCAGCACCCATTAGCTAGTTTTCCTGATGCTCTCTCTCCTCCACCAACAGGTCCCAGTGTGTGTTGTTCCCCGCATGTGTTCATGTGTTCTCATCATTCAGCTCCTACTCATAAGTGAGAACATGTGGTATTTCGTTTTCTCTTCCTGCGTTAGTTTGCCGAGGATAACAGCTTCCAGCTCCAACCATGTACCTGCAAAGGACGTAGTCTCATTCCTTTTTATGGCTGCATAGTATTCCATGGTGTATATGTACCACATTTTCTTTTTTTTTTTTTTTTTTGAGACAGAGTCTTGCTCTGTCACCCAGGCTGGAGTGCAGTGGCTTGATCTCGGCTCACTGCAAGCTCCGCCTCCTGGGTCACGCCATTCTCCTGCCTCAGCCTCTCCAAGTAGCTGGGACTACAGGCGCCTGCCACCATGCCTGGCTAATTTTTTGTATTTTTTAGTACAGACGGGGTTTCACCGTGGTCTGGAACTCCTGACCTCATGATCCGCCCGCCTCGGCCTCCCAAAGTCCTGGGATTACAAGCGTGAGCCACCGCGCCCGGCCTATGTGCCACATTTTCTTTATCTACTCTATCATTGATGGGCATTTAGGTTGATTCCACTTCTTTGCTATTGCAAATAGTGAATATCACTTATTATTATTTTACTAATATTATTACTGTTGTGGCTCAGAAAATGATAACCCAAAATTTGGCACTTTGACGTGCTGAATGCTTTGAACTGAAATAGGAAGGCCTCAGAAATAAGTCTCAGAACCAAGGTCTCTCTGACCTTCCCCTGCTCCCCATCTCTCTATCTCTCTGATCCTCTTTCTTTTCTCAAGCACAGGGAGGGACTCTCTCTGAAATTTTCTTGTTTGACTAAAGAAACTTCTTTCCAAAAGAAATACGTTCGTCTTAAGACCCCCTCCCTAGGAATCTCATCGAATAACCACCAGAGAAGAGACTAAAAGTCGTCACCATGCTGAGACAGACTTTTCATCTATTCTTCTGAGGGCAGCTCTAAGAGATTACCTGGGAGACCTTATCTGCATAATAAGACAACCTTTGCTCACAGTAAAGTTCTGCCCCTTACCTTCCCACCACCTCCACCAGAGCTCTGAGGGATGTTGTCCCAGGCCATTGTTCTTTGGGCTCATTTATTTCCCTTAGAAATTATATACTACCCCTAAAATTACCTACAGGCCCTTTATTTACCTTCCCACTAAGAAAATAGTATTTAAGCCTCAACGACCTGGTCTCTTTTTGAGCCTCATATTTGCAGGACTCCGGCATCCATATACACACCAAGAAATCTGTATGCCTTTTTTTCTCCTGTGTATTGTTTATTTATCAGTCATTTCAGTGAACCTTCCGTGGGCAGAGAGGACACTTTTCCTCTGTCCCTACATTACCATGGCTCTTGTCAACTAGAAAGCATTAGGAACTAATGTGTACTTCCTGTCCTCAGTTTCCTTATCTGAAAAACGGGGCTGCTGATAATAGTCACTTCGGTAGCTCAAGAAAGAAATAAGAGAGATCACACAAAGTGCCCCCACACAGTGTAGGCACCCAAAATATGACATTTTCCCCTTCCTCCTTTCTTTGGTCATATTCAAGATCGAGGTATATCAAATATTGGCATAAATGCACAGTTTGGTGGTTCTTGCCTTTTTGAGGGGTCATGGGTCCAGAATCACATCTCCCTCTCAGGGTTCAATAATTCAATGAACTATAATGGGTTTTTAATCTTATTGCCCAGAAAAACCCATATTAATTGCTTCTTTACACAATACATTAAATACAATTTTCTAGGAAAGAAAATGTGACCGACAAAAGTGGGTTATTAAAAGTCAAACTCTCAGCCAGGCACAATGACTCATGTCTGTAATTCTAGCACTTTGGGAGGCCAAGGCAGGAGGATCGCTTGAGCCCAGGAGTCCAAGCCTTCAGTAAGCTACATTTGCACCACTGCACTCCAGCCTGGGTGACGGAGTGAGAACCTGACTCTTATAAATAATAATAATAATCAAAATTGGACTCTGGTGATGGTGAGATGTGGAGAGTCTGAGTGCTTGGCTGTGGATCTGTGCAGAAGCTTCTGAGCCCAGAATCTCTGCCGTTCTGGGACTCACTGTTGTCATCCTATGGCTGCCCTAGGCCCCGTTTGAGGCCGTCTGATGGCTGAAGACAGGATGGTGTTGGGTTGAAGGGGACTTCCTCCTTCCCCAGTGCTGTCTTGCACACACACAGGCTGTGTGGGCATTGCCTTTAACGTTCTCTTCTCTAAACTCTGCAATTTACGGTGCAGCCGCACCAGGGAGAAGGCAGGGATTAGTCTTTGTTGGAAGAGCTGTTGCATGTATTAAAAGGCTCCTGCAACAATCAGCACCCCACAGCAGGAAACAATGAGACACAGCCCATGCCCATTTCCTTCTTCTTCTTCTTCTTTTTCTTTCTTTTTTTGTTTTTTAAGACAGAGTTTCGCTCTAGTTGCTCAGGCTGCAGTGTAATGGCGGGATCTTGGCTCACTGCAACATCTGCCTCCCGAATTCAAGCAATTCTCCTGCCTCAGCCTCCTGAGTAGCTGAGACTACAGGCATGTGCCACCATGCCCAGCTAATTTTTGTATTTTTAGTAGAGAAAGGGTTTCACCAGGTTGGCCAGGCTGGTCTCGAACTCCTGACCTCATGTGATGTGCCCGCCTTGGCCTCCCAAAGTGCTGGGATTACAGGCGTGAACCACCACGCCTGGCCTGCCCATGCCCATTTCAGCAGAACAAGAGGAGGGGAGATTCAGATAATCGAGACAAATATACATGTGCCCAAATACCCAAGATGCCTCTCAGAAGGGCTAGCAGCCATGGTTTAGATAAATGCTGATGTCTGATGTTTGTTTTCTTGTCCCTGCAGATGTCTGCTCACTAAGTTGGTTCGAAGCTGAGGAGGAAAAAAATTAGGTGCTAGGATGCTGGAGAGATCCTCAGAAACCCCTCTACATGAATCATTTAAGTAGATGAAGAGCTAGATTGCAATAATCATTGGGAGGAGAAGAAGAATAAAACATGAGATTCCATTCACATCCCAGAATTAAAGGTAAAATGGGTAAAAAGTGACATTTTCAAACCTGGAATCACACTGGAACGTTATTTGCATCTTGATAGTTAACAATAAAATTTAACAATAAAAATAGGGCCAGGTGTGGTGGCTCATGCCTGTAATCCCAGCATTTTGGGAGGCTGAGGCAGGAGGATTGCTGAAGCCCAGAAGTTTCAGACTAGCCTGGGCAACACAGGGAGGGACCCTCTGTTTACAAAAAATAAAAAAAAACTAGTCAGGCATCCTGGCATGCCTCTGTGGTCCCAGGTACTTGGGAGACTGAGGAAGGAGGATCACTTGAACCTTAGGAAGTAGAGACTGCAGGGCTGCAGTGAGCTGAGATTGCACGACTGCAGTCCAGCCTGGGCACAGGGCGACAAACAGAGTGAGACCCTGTCTCTAAAAAAAAAAATCAATCAATTTCCAGCAGCACCATGGTTGGGCTGAGAGAAAGCTTGCTGATGACCCTGGGGAAGCTATAATCCCTGTGTAATTTACAGGTGCTGGCCACATAGAGACATACATGTTCCAAATGAGGTGGAAGTTGAGAAGCTATAAGCAGAGATAGGCGGGCATCTGGGAGTATGGGCTGGGAAGAGTGAGGCATCCTGGCCCCAGTAAGATGGAAAGTAAGATAGGACTCATGGAATTCTCAGCAGCAGTGCAGGGCTGCAGAAACCCTGACTTGTCAGTTCAGTATTTTGGGGGTATGGTTGGCTTTGGGGTCATGGCCAGCCGCTAACGACCACTGAGGAGGGGGTGTGTGTATGTGGGGGGTAAATTATTACCCCTGCTGGGATTTCCCATTGGAGAGGAAGCAGCGACACCTTGAGCTCAGGGGTGCCCTTATGGGGGCGCCTGTGTAGGGTGAATAGGCGGGAGCTCTGGGAGAGCAACTGTCTCATCCAGATGGAGTCTTGGGGACTCACCTGAGAATCTAAGGCAGGCGTTTGTGGGAAGAGGGTGGTTCTAACTGCTGGGCTCCTCCCCTCGCCTCCTAAATGGCTAAGTTTTCAAGAGGGATTTCAGCAGGGAAGCCAAGCCTTGGGGTTTATTTTCCTCACGCCCTAATTCACGATCAGCTTAAGATGTGGGTCTCGAAGCTTCTGACGGCCGATCTGGCTGCACAGTGAGCTGCGGCTGTTCCCCAGCCCTTGCCTCCAATGTCCCAACCTTGGCCCACAGTGTCATCAGCATTCAGGCTCCCACCTCTTCTTCACCAGGACCTCATCCAACTTCAGGGCTAGACTCACCTTCTTTTTGAGGGAAGTACGTGGGCTGGCCGGGCGCGGTGGCTCATGCCTGTAATCCCAGCACTGTGGGAGGCCGAGGCGGGCAAATCATGAGGTCAGGAGTTCAAGACCAGCCTGGCCAACATGGTGAAACCCCATCTCTACTAAAGATACAAAAAATTAGCCGCGTGTGGTGGTGCAAACCTATAATCCCAGCTACTTGGGAGGCTGAGGCAGAAGAATCTCTTGAACCCAGGAGGCAGAGGTTACAGTGAGCTGAGATTGCACCATTGCACTCCAGCCTGGACAACAGAGTGAGAGACTGTCTCCAAAAAAAAAAAAAAAAAAAAGTACGTAGGCTAATGATATTTAAAAACAAACACTTTTTGAACCCTTATTAGGTGTCAGGATTAGAGCTTTACATGCATAATTTTGTTAAATTCTCAAAACAATCCCACCAGGTACTGTCGTGATGCCCATTTTACAGATGAAGAAACTGAGGTTTCCAGAGGTCCAGTCCCTGCCTGAGCTGATGCAGTTACGAAGGCTGAAGCCCGGACTTGATTTGAGTTCGGCCTGCGGAGCCCCGGCTGAGCTACCTGCCTTCTAGCCCCACGGTGGAAAGGGAGAATCCAGACATCCTTGAGACCTACCCAAGGAGTTTCCCTGTTACTGCCCTGCCATCCTTCTGATGCCACCCTGTTCCGTATCTGGCTGGAGCCAGCGTGGTTGTGTCTGGGTTTGGCTCCATAGTAGATGTTCTCGGTGGCCTTACTATTCCTGTGCACGCCGGCCACTTTTGCCTGAAGCTCTCTGTGGCTGCCAATGCCCACTTTGTTGAAAGTACTTGGAAATTAAGACCCTCTAGGGAGTATCTCTGAGTTGTGCCTGGTGAGATTTCATGAAGGAATGGCCCAGCTCCTGCAGACCTAGGCGGGATGTCTGAGGTGCACCTTCTACACGCTCTTTCAGTTGGATTAAGTCCTAGGATGCCCACAGGGGTCACTGAGAGGTTAACAAACATTTTTTTTTTTTTTTTTTTTGAGATGGAGTCTTGCTCTGTCACCCAGGCTGGAGTGCAGTGGCCTGATCTCAGCTCACTGCAAGCTCCACCTCCCAGGTTCATGCTATTTTCCTGCCTCAGCCTCCTGAGTAGCTGGGATTACAGGCGCCCGCCACCACGACCGGCTAATTTTTTGTATTTTTAGTACAGACCAGGTTTCACCGTGTTAGCCAGGATGGTCTCGATCTCTTGACCTTGTGATCCACCTGCCTCGGCCTCCCAAAGTGTTGGAATTATAGGCTTGAGCCACCACGCACAGCTGACATTTCCACTTTTGTCTTTTGGCCCAGATGTTGACATTTTCTGAGCTCCCAAAGAATTTACAGACATTTTTCCTAGGTCAGAGTAAAAGGGATCCCCTTTGTTCTGGATCTTCTGTTGCCTTGATCATCAGATCAAGTTGAGGAAATGGTCCCTTGGGAAGCTAATCCCAGTGGCTTGGTAAACTTACACCCTTTCTTTTGATGTCAGGCCTTTTAAAACATCAGGGCCACTTTCCTTTACTTGTCCAGGATGGAAACATTTGGCAGCACTTTTTGCAATATCCTTCCATTCAACAGCCACATGCCCCAGCTGAGGGCTTGGCACCATGGAAAAGCAATGAAGATTCAAGAACGAACCAGCTTAGCACACGTGATTTTTAGGGCAGTGAGACTATTCTATGTGACACTGTAATGGTGGATCCAATGGTGGATGGTCACATCCATCCAAAGAATGTGCAGCACACCAGGAGAGAAACCTACACTATGGACTTAAGAGTAATGTATCAATATTGACTCATCAATTGCAACAAATGCACTACATTAAAGCCACATGTTAATAACAGGGGAAACAGGATGGGAGGATTTGAGGGCATATATGGGAACACTATACTTTCTGCTCATTTTTCTGTAAAGCTTAAGCTATTCTAAAGAATAAAGTCTATTCATTAAACAACAAAAATGAATGAGCCTTTGCCCTTACAGAATTCACCGTCAAGAGGAAGAGGAGGCTGGGTACAGTGGCTCACGCTTGTAATCCCAGCACTTTGAGAGGCCAAGATGAGCAGATCACTTGGGCCCAGGAGTTCAAGACCAGCCTGGACAACATAGAGAAACCATACCTCTACAAAAAATACAAAAATTAGCTGGGCGTGTTGGTACATGCCTGTAGTCCCAGCTACTCAAGAGGTTGAGGTGGGAGGATTGATGGAGCCCAAGAGGTTGATGCTGCAATGAACCATGATTTTGCCACTGTGCTCCAGCCTGGGCAAGAGAGTGAGACCCTGTCTGGAAAAAAAAAGAGGAAGGGGAGACGAGCAGATAAGCCGATCATGTCAAGGTATGCTGCAGACTGGGACACAGTCTGTCCAAATTAAACCTCAGGAAGGAAAATATTTATGATACACACCAGAGAGAGTCTATGACTAGCTGGTGGCCCATGTCCTTTTAATTGTCCCTAATTTTCCTGCCTAGTTTAAATGCTGCAAAACATGGGGTTGACACTCTGAACTTGGGCACCGGAATTGGGTCAGGCTGCGTGGGTGGGGACTGGAACCCTGAATTATAGTTTTCTTTCCAGAGATGTCAGAATGTTTCATGAATAAGAGCACAGCTTCTATGTTGGATACCCTGAATTTGAATCTCAGCATGGCCACTTTGTATATAACCAGAGGATGAATTGGGGACCCAATGGATCTACCATGACATGAACCTGCACCAACATTCACCTGACCTCCAAAATGCCTATTCTGACTGGTAGACCCTAGTCTCGCCCTAGTGCCAGTTCAGAGCCTGTGTCCAGTGATCCTGCACAGGTCCCATTAGTTCCTATTCCCCTGTTCAGTCATCCTGGTAAAAGGCTGTGTATTCCTGTGGGGGCAGGCTGGGAGAAAGATTGACAGTATAAATTTTTGGCAGTGGAGCAGAGTCCTTTCTGGAGGGGACCTGGCTTCACATTCAGACAAGGGACTCCTGGTCTGTGAACTGGCTTATGTCTGGGAATTGACTGGGGACTGTGACTCTGTTTTTATGATTCAGGTTAGACTTCTGCTCACCTGACCTAGAACTCTTCTGCAAACACAGATCAAGTAAAAATGTGGCAGGCTTCTTATCTATTTCACTTCTAGGAAAGCCACGATCAGCTGGCACCATAGGTCTCTGCGAGTCATGCTATTCTGCTTGCAGCTTTGACTCTGCTGTCCTTTATGGTAACTGCATCCACCTTGCCTTTGGGGATTGAGTGCTGCGGTCACTTGGCCCCGGCCCCTGTAGTGTGCCTATGTCACTTACCCTCTTTATACCTCAGTCTCCTCCTCTGTAAAATGGGCATCCTAATAACACCCACCGCCAGGGCTGCTGTGAGGTATAGATGGATTAGCATATGGAAAGTAATAGAAGAGGGTCTCAAAGCCCATGTGTCATTATCAGAATTATTTCATGACAGGGGAGAGCTGGAGGAGAGGGGAAGGTGCTGAGCAGACCCATGTGCTCTCCCACCAGTGTTTCCTGAGCACCTACTATGTGCTGCCCACTGTGAGAGCTGTTAGGGTTGAAATAGGGAGCACAGCAGGGTAGGGGCTGCCATCAGGAGCTTAGTGGGGAGACCATTGTGCAACATGGTTCCAGCGCTTGGGATGGGGAAGCTCAGGGAGTACAGGGGCCTAGGATCCTGGGCAGAATCATGGAAAGGACACAGCCTCCCCAGCCTCTCCTGCCTCCACTGTCTCCCTGGCCTCCTCTGCTTCCCTGGGCTCTCCTGCCTTCCTGGCTTCCCCTTCCTCCCCGGCCTCCCCAGTCTCCCCTGTCTCTCCTGCTTTTGAGGTAGGCCAGGAGCTGCGGGTGCTCACTTAGCCTGTCCTGGACTCTGGGTGTAGCACCTCGATGTCCAGAAAATACCCCCGGGTTCAGCTCATCACACAGCCAAGGAAGGAGCTCGCTCCACACTGACACTAACGGTGCATCCTGGGCTCATTCATCGGGCACGCCTCCAAAATATTTCTCTACGTCTCCTCCCTTTGCCCACCTGCATTGTCTCTGTGCCTGAGTCCTGGCTGGGGGCCTGCAAGGATCCCCTATCTCCTCTGTCCCTGCACAGCTGGGTTCCAGGCAATCTGTCTGCCCACCACACCTCTCTCCCCTTGCCCAGCATGCTCCAGCCCCACAGTCCTCTTTCTGCTTCTTTCCCAGCCTCTGGGCTTTTGCACACGCTGTTCCCTCTGCCTGAACACCCTCCACTGGGCTGAGAACAACTCTGAGACCTCTCTCAGCTGTTGCTTCCTTTGGAACAGCCGCTGCTGTTGTCCCTCTCGCAGCTCCAAGACCTGCCGAGCCTCCTGTCTTTTTCAGTTCCCATGCACCCAGCACTTCTCCTTGGCCTCCTTTTGCCCAATTGACAATGTCCATTCTCAATGCCTTCTCACCCAGCGCTGAGCCCCACTGGGTGAAGGCAATGCCTGTCATGTTCACCACAATATCCCCTCCCCCATCACCACGCCTGGTCCACAGTGATGCTCAAAAAAGATCTGTTGGTAGGCAATGGGAAGGTGCATTCATGTCATCCTGCAGGCGGAATTCTCCACTCGGTTTTCCCACTACCTCCAAATCATGCAAGACACAGGGTAAGAGCAAAGACAAGGTGGCTGTGGCCCATGTCCACCCTCTCGGGGCGTCCCTTCTCTTCTCTCCTCCTTGGGCAGGGAGACCATCGGGGTGCAACCTGGCTGGGGCGGGGAGGAGGTGCACGGCCTGGCCGGAGCGGGTCTGGCCACGGGTAGGGGAGAGCGACCGCCTGGGCCGGGGCAGGTGAGCGCAGCGCAGGCCCGGGCCCGGCGTGTCCGCGGTGCGGGCGAGCGGCCGGCAGAGGGCGCCAGAGAGCCAGGAGCGGCCCGCGGAGGAGCCCGCGCCGGCCCCGATGCCCAGCTCCGCGCCGCGCGGACCCACCGAGCCCGCGCTCAGACGCCCCAGCTCCGCCGAGAGGCCGCTCGCGCCGGGTCCTTCCTCTTCCCCAAGTGCAGGCAGAGCCCCCGGAGCCATGGCCAGCCCTTCCGGCAGCTCCGAAGCCACTGGCAAGCCCCGAGGCAGGGATGGCCGGCCCAGGAGGGAGGAGGACGACGTCCCTCCCGAAGAGAAGAGGCTGCGGCTGGGGCTGGAGGGGGGAAGCGCACAGCCCGAGGACTGCGAGGACGGGAAGGACGCGCCGCGGCCGGGCAGGGAGGAGACCGGCACCCAGACAGGTGGCGACGGCAGAGGAGTAAGTGACGCGGGCGCGGGGGTCCGGGGGTGCCGGGGGCGCGGGGGTGCCGGAGACGCGGGGTAGGGGCTGCGGGAGGCTCCGTGGCCGGCCCCGGGTTGAAGTTGGTAACTGAGTGGCAACTCCGGCGGGCGCGGAGTGACAGCTCGTGACGGCCTCCGAGACGCCAGCTGCCCCTTCTCGGCTGTGTGGCTTCGACTTCCTGATTCTCCCACGACGTCCCTGGCCAGGAGCCCCGTTGGACTCTGCGGCTAGCCAAAAGGGGAGGGGGAGCCCCGCGTCCTGGGGGCCCCCAGCAGGGGAAGGGGCGGGGGTTGCGCTGGGCATCCTGTCTGGGGCATCTGTCTGGGACTTTTGTCGGTCCCACCTGGCGGGGGGCTTATGGTGGGGGTAGAGGGGAAGTCCCTGGCGCCAGGCTTGGCCAAGCCCTGCTCTGCTGGGCTGCGGGCTGGCGGCGCTCACCCAGCTCCTCACCTGCCCCGCATCTTCCTGTTTTTCTTCCCTTTCTGGTTGGGCAGCGAGAGTTGAGAGGAGGCAGATGGCTTCCATCCCAGAAATCGCTCTCCTCTTTCCATCCCTACAGAGAGGGACAGAGAGGCAAAGTTCCTTGCATCCCTCGGGGCGCTGTCCCTGTGAGCTCCCGGTGTCCTGCACACGTGGGCCCCTGAGTGACCGGGCCCGTGTGCGTGGGATGGGGCTCCGTGGCCAGCCTGGCCTCCTGGGGTTCACTTTCTGCTTTCCTACCCCAACTCTTCCTGTGTGGCTTTGCTGGCCTTCCACTGGGGAGGCACGCGGGTTTGGAGGGCAGATGAGGGCCCCCTGGAGAGCTGTACCCCTCAGTGAGGGCCGCCACCTTGATGGTTTTTGATGGATAATGGGGTTGACCTCTTTGTTCCTTCCAAATGTTTTTATGTTTGACCATTTGCTCAGCTGAGCTTGTCTTAATAATTTGATTCGTGGTTAATGAGCCCCACATGGGAGAGAGGGCGGCCTTCATTCTGAACCCATTTGGGCAGCACGGGTAGCCGTCCTCGCCGTGGGCTGCCTCAGAGCCCCCCCTGCCCAGTCTTGGGGTTGCTCCCGGATGCTGTGTGGGAGGCTTGCTCCTGGTGACATCCTCATCTCCCCGTGCACGTTACTGCATTCAGAGCTTGGGTCACCTGGACACCGAACTCAGGTGAATTTTCTCTGAGATTCTGGGAGAAGGAGGACAGTTCTCTGGTAGGTTTTCCAGGGCCGATCACGGAAAGGATGAGACACAATTACGGTGGCAGTGTAACGCCAGGAAACTTTATTGCGTGAAGTCCCTCTCACTCCCTCTACCTCCCTCTTTTACGTGGACTCTGCCAAAGACCAGGATACTAGAATGCAGTGGAGTGACCAAGTGTAGTGGGACCTAGGGAACGTGAGTGTGGAGCCAGGCAGCTGGGGTTTGCATCCTGGTAATGCCCCTCCTTAGCTGGCTGACATGGCACACGCCAGTTACCCTGTCTGAGCCTTACTGTCTTCAGTGGCAAATGGATCTGTCAACAGGCCCCATTGCCTGGGGTTGTTACTGCTGAGATTAAGGGAAGCTCGTCCATAGAAGCACTTAGCGTTGTGCCTGGCACATAGTGTATGGTGGATAAATGGGACTTAGGACTGAAACTTACGCCTTGGTGTGTTTTGCAGTGATGTTTTGTTCTGGGGTGCATCACAAGAGACAAGGTTCTTGGCCGGGCGTGGTGGCTCAAGCCAATAATTCCAGCACTTTGAGAGGCCGAAGGGGGAGGATCGCTTGAGTCCAGGAGTTTAAGACCAGCCTGGGCAACGTGGTGAAGCCTCGCATCTACCAAAAAAAAAAATAATAATAATAAAATAAAAGCCAGGTATGGTGGTGTGTGCCTGCAGTCCCAAGTACTTGGGAGGCTGAGGTGGGAGGATTGCTAGAGCCTGGAAGGTCCAGCTGCAGTGAGCTGTCATCATGCCACTGCACTCCAGTCTAGGTGACAAAGTGAGACCCTGTTTCAAGGAAAAGAGAGAGAGAGAGAGACAGACAGACCCACAAGTGTCTTAAGCCAGAATCTCCATTAAAATGCTTTCTGGAGGCTAAAAGGATGATATATTGATAATGAAATATTTAAAAGGCAGAAACCCCACTGAATTTCTTGGTCCACAGAGGGAAATGTGAATTTCATGACCTGAAGGATGATGCAGGAACTGAACACAAACCATCCTTGTTTCCTGAATCTGAATATGCCACCCTCTTTTCATGGTGTCTGTATCTGCTCAGTCCGGCGGCCCCTCGAAAAGAGGGAATCTTGATTTTCAAACTTAAAATTTGGCCCAAAGCCCACTGCTGCCCACAGTGCCCGCCAGACACATTCCTCTTCCTTTTTAGTTTCTATGGGAATACTCTCTTTGAAGAACCCATGAAGCAGTGTCAGGCTGGTGTGAGAATCAGCAGCGATTTCTTTGAGGAGGAGAACCCGTTTCTTCACTCACAGGCCATGTCTGAGTGGATCAAGAAGAACAGAGTGCCCTTTTATGAGATTTTGTCTGCGTAGACCATTAGCTTGGTAAAAATGTCAAAACCATCCTCGTTCTTTAATAGCAGATTATTTTGGACTTTTCTCTGCAAGAAGCAGCATGGGCATTCAGATGCTTTTAAGGATAAAATGTTCTTTCTCATCACCAGGCCTGGTGCTCTGGATGGCTGAGGTTTTAATGTGACTGGGTGTCCCTTGGAGTGGCTCCCAGGCTGTGCTCTTGTGGTTGGGTGGCAAGGGGTTGCTTTATTTGGTGGTGGCTAGAGGATGTTTTAGCAGATAAATCGGGCCCCCAGGAGCCCCTGAGTGCCAAGTCCTGCTGCAGGGCATGTGATTATGGTGGGGACGTGGTGGGGGGTGGAGGGTGGAGGGTGGGGGGCATTGATTTCCTGCCAATATCAGAAGTTTCACTGGCTTCTTGTGTATCCACAAACACCCACCCCATTGAGAAGGCCTAGAAAACCTAGCCCTCCCCAAGCCTTTATTGACCGCTTGTGAATGATCCCAGGGTGTGTCTGACCCACAGCTGTTCCTGGAGGGAGAGAGAAGTCTCTCCTAGGTATTTGGTTATCAACCTTAACCATTTGTTGAGCCTTCCCCAAGACCAGGCACCTCGGCAGAGATTTCTGTGTTGTCAGGTGGAACCGAGCATTCAAGGGTAATAACTCACTGGAGTCACTGAAATCCCTGATGGACGCACCAGATAAAAGCATCCAGGGTTGAAACCAGATCAGGAAGGTTGTTGTCAGCCTGGGGCTCCTGTAGAGGAGCATCCGCGTTGCAGGTATTTTCCTTCTTGCTGAGGAGAAACCTGGGTTTCTCAGCTTTGGCACCGTCACAACACTTGGGGTGAGACCATTCGTGGTGCTGGTGGGGGCCGTCCCGTGTATTGTAGGATGGTTAGCGGCATCTGTGGTCTCCATCCTCTAGGTGCCATTCCCCCCTCCCAGCTATGGCTACCCCAGATGTCTCCAGACGGTTTCAAATGCCATGGAGCAAGGGAGTGGTACATGAGCAAAACCACCCCAGTTGAGAGCCATTGGTCTACACTTGTGGAAATGTTTGAGGGTGACAGTGTTGAGCTTGGGTCCCTGCTGTACCCTTTATGAGCCATGCGGTCTTGGAAAATTAATACTACTGCAGGGGACTCAGTTTTCTCATCTATAAAATGGAGATAAATGAGATACACTTTCATAGGAAGGTTATATGGGATTTACTGAGATAATAAGACAGTACATGGAAAATGCTGGGCATAGCATTTATTTATTTTTATTTTTTTTTAAGATGGAGTCTTACTCTGTTGCCCAGGCTGGAGTGCAGTGGCATGATCTCCGCTCACTGCAACCTCCACCTCCTGGGCTCAAGTGATTCTCCTGCCTCAGCCTCCGGAGTAGCTGGGATTACAGGTCCCCACCACCACAGCCGGCTAATTTTTGTATTTTTGGTAGATATGAGGTTTCACCACGTTGGCCAGGCTGGTCTCAAACTCCTGACCTGAGGTGATCTGCCTGCCTCGGCCTCCCAAGGTGCTGAGATCACAGGTGTGAGCCACCATGCTGGGCTGGGCATAGCATTGTAACACAGACAAAGCACAAAATACTTGGGCAATATCTTTACATTTGGCTTGTCTAGACTCCATCCTCCATCCCCTCATGCACTGGTGCGGTGCAGAGCAGAATATCACCCACCTAGACTGCAGAGTGGATTTGGGTGGCATCTTGGCTTTCTGCACAAGACTTGCCTGTTCCCCACCACATCCGCCTGGTTCTCAGGGTCCAGGATTCCAGGAGGCAGGGATGTGGGCAGGCAGGGTAGGTGGCCTACCCAGTTCACTCCCATACTGGGGACTTGCAGAGCCGACTCCCTGAGATAGGGTGTTTGGACCAACCTCTGGGTTTTTGGATTTCCATTTGAGCACAGCTGGACTACAGAGGCTGAAGCTCTCTCTGCTGAGATATAGATATTTCCCTGGCAACAATCTTTGAAGCTGACATGAAGACATGGCAACCCGCTGGAACGCGGTGTGTCTGCTGTGGCGCTCTTGTAATTTGTGAGGCAGGCTCCTGAGGAATGCAGTGCGTAAGTGGGAAATTTTGGGAAGTTCTCGCATCCCCCTTTGGCCGAAAGTGCTGCCTGCGCAGGTTGGTGGACGGTCCTTTGAGAAGGAAGAAGACACGGAGCACATTCCTGTTAGCTATGACAGAGAGGGGCAGGGTACACACTGGACATTTCAAGCCCCTGCAGGGAAGCAAGTCTTACTGTGCTGGGAGTACTTGTGGAGTGGGGGCTGTGTTGCCCTGGGCTTTAATTCTTTCAGGAACATTTAACCGCAGGGCTGGCAGGCTGGATCTTGATATGTGTTTCTCAGTTGGAAAGGCTTTGGACCATAGGGAAATGTCTTCTCAATTCTTTTAATTTCATTAAGGTGGTCATTTTTCTTCTTGTGGCCTCTGGAATGTGACACAGAACTCAAGGTACAGGATGAGTTGGAGGCTGGGACAGGGGTCCCTGCCAGGGATGCAGGCGAGTCACATGATGGTGTTGATGTGTGGAGTCCGGTGCCTGGTTTGGGGAATGTTCATGGGATATGTTCCAAAGGACTTACGGACCTATCAGGTACTGGAGGTGAATGGTCAAGTCTGATCTCAGGGCTGACAGTGTCAGGCAAGGACAGGAAGTTGACTTTGGACTCATTGGCTGAGGTTGCTTGGGACCCAGGGGGCAATGTGTGCCAGGACAGATGGGTCTGGGGCTAGGAAGGCAGGTTTGGGCTGGAGACTCGGGCTTGGGAGGCATCCCAGGTAGCCAGTGGTTGAGGCTGTGGAAATGACTGCGATTGCCTGGGATGAGAGTGGAGACAGACAAGATGGGGGTTTTGCTCTAAGCCTGGGGAACCCACCTCCCAGGTTCAAGGGATTCTCCTGCCTCAGCCTCCCAAGTAGCTGGAAATGCAGATGCGCACCACCATGCCTGACTTTTGTATTTTTAGTAGAGATGAGGTTTGGCCAGGCTAGTCTCAAACTCCTGACCTCAAGTGATCGGCCCACCTTGGCCTCCCAAAGTGCTGGGATTATAGGCATGAGCCACCATGCCTGACCATTTTTAAATATTAATTTTTATGAAATATTTTCAAACACATTTTACTATACATTGGAAAAGTCAATCATGATTTGAAAACTTCATCAAAATCCAATCAAATGTCAATTAACCATTTAATCGTGGATGGGTAAGGAGACTATTTTGACCAAAACATATTAGAGAAATTACCACTTATAGAAATAATCTGTGTTTTAATGTTTTAGTTGAATTAAGCAATCTTTTATATTCTGGCCGGGCCCAGTGGCTCACACCTGTAATACCAGCACTTTGGGAGGCCGAGGCCGTCGGATCACCCAAGGGCAGGAGTTCAAGACCAGCCTGGCCAACATGGCGAAACTGTCTCTACTAAAAATACAAAAATTAGCCAGGTGTGATGGCACACACCTGTAATCCCAGCTACTTGGGAGGCTGAGGCAGGAGAATCATTTGAACCTGGGAGACAGAGGTTGCAGTCAGCCGAGATCGCGCCACTGCACTTCAGCCAGCCTGGGTGACAGAGCGAGACTCTGTTTCAAAATAAGTAAATAAATAAAATTCTGAATTTTATTTTTAATAATTATTTTTGTAAAGAGAGTATCTTGTTTTTTGGAGTTGTTGAATTTATTGAATTGACAAAAAGTATGTACAAGAGGGTATACAACATGATGTGATTGAAGTATGTATACATTACAAAATGGCTAAATCAAGCTAAATAACATATCACCTCCTCGACTTATTTTTTTGTGGTGAGAACACTTAAAAAATCTACTCTCTTAGTGATTTCCAAGTGTATGATATGTTGTTATTAACTGTAGGTACCATGTTGTCCCATGGATCTCTTGAACTTATTCTTCCTCTCTAAAAATGACATTCTGTGTCCTTTGGCATCTGCCCACTTCCCCACCCTGACAACCATCATTCTACTCTGCTTCTATGAATTAAACTTTTTAATTTTCTTTTTCTTTCTTTTTTTTTTTTTGAGACAATCTCATTCTATTGCCCAGGCTGTAGTGCAGGGGTGTGATCTTGGCTGACTGCAGCCTTGGCCTCCCAAGCTCAATCAATCCTTCCACCTCAGCCTCCTGAGTATCTGGGAGTACAGGCATGCACCACCACGCTCCACTAAGTTTTGTATTTTTTGTAGAGATGGGGTCTTGCTATGTTATGCAGGCTGGTCCTGAACTCCTGGGCTCAAGCAATCTGCCGGCCTCAGCCTCCCAAAGTGCTGGGATTACAGACATGAGCCACCATGCCTCGCTGAGTTCAACGTTTTTAGATTCCACATATAAGTGAGATCAGGTGGTATTTGTCGTTCTGTGCCTGGCTTATTTCACTTAACGTAATATCCTCCAGGCTCATCCATGTTGTCTCAAATGGCAGGATTTCCTTCTTTTTGAAGGCTGAATAGTATTCCATTGTGTACATACACCACATTGTTGCTGGAAGTATAATGGAGGCCAGTTGGGGGAGGAGGGGGAAAAGATTCACTCTAAGTCTAGATGCTCTAGCACCCACCCAGGATGTGTGCAAGGAAGTGCAGGATGCTCCTGGTCTTGCAAACTGTGGTTTGTGGGACTCCAAAGCCCCTATCCTTCCACGATGCTTTCTGTCCTGTTATCACATTTCCTTGGAGGAGAATCCAGCCTTGGTGGAGAGCCCTGCCCTGGCTTTGTCCCTCCGCATGAGATGGCAAAGGATGGTGCTGCTGGGAGACCCTCACATCTGTGCACTGGGGGCTGCTTGCCTTCTCCATTCCTCCTTCAAGTATCTGAGCAGCTCCTGTGTGCCAGCTGCTGGTCTACAAGATGGATGGGTCCTTGGAGATCACGCTGTAGCAGAGGAGGCAGGCTACAGCCCACAGGCCAGAGACAGCCCCCTGCCTGTTCATACAAATAAAGTTTTATTGGAACACAGCCACACCTATTTCAGTGCATATTGTCTGTGGCTGCTTTCCTGCTACATTGGAGAGTTGAATAGTTGCGACAGAGACCTATGGCCTGCAATGCTGAACTATTTACCATCTGGCCCTCGAGAGAAACAAAAAAAATGCTGAGCCTTGTACCCCGACAGTCTTAGGTTAAGAGGACTTTGTACCACCCTGACATCCCAGGCGGCCATGAGTCCAGCCACCCTTGAAATGTACACAGGTCTGGGCTAGGGTTGGAGCAGGTGAGTCCCAATTCTGCAGGTCTTTGGTATCAGGGGCACAACCCAGGATTTTGAGTGGGGTTTCCTCACCATGTGGCTGGGCACTGGGCTAGGGTGCTTTTCGATTTTTGTATGGGGAAGAGAAAGGAGGGAGGAAATGGCAACTTGTTGCCCTGTTCTAACATTTTCCTAAGATGGGTCTCCAGGCAAGGGCTTGGGATCTCACCTCGCACAGCTTACAAAACCCAGTGAGGCCGGCTGTCTTGGCGCTGCCACTCTGAGGGATGGAGCCCCCAAATTACTAGGAAGGGAGATAAAAGAATGGTTTCTGCGAGCACAACAACTGGCGTTATGGAAATTAACATTTCCCCCAAGTTTTATAATGTCTAAGCATGCATATTTAAGTGTTTGCCTCAAAAGCTCTTGCTAATAACCAGATGGTGCATTTAATTTCCTTTTTTTGTTCTCTGAGCCACATGCAGCTTCCTGCACAGCCTTCCTTGCAGGCAACTGCACTGAGGTGACAGTCCTCCTGACTGCCAGCCCAGATCCCCAGGGCCTCTGAGAGCCCTGTATTCTGGGGGCAGCCTTTCCCCTTCTATTCGGCCGCAGCTGGAAGGGGGCAGGTCACCCACAGCCTAGCACAGGGTTCCTGCCTTAGCTTCTCTAAGGCTCCCTCTGACCCTCTAGACCTCACCAGCTGAGGATCAGAGCCCCGGGGCAGGAGCCAGGGCCGTGGAGCGCTTGGGGGGTGGTCTGAGAGTGCAGCTCTGAAAGGGGGTGCAGGGTGTGCCCAGGAAAAGCTGTTCGGGGGAGACTGCAAAGAGATGGCAGAGTTAGGACAAGAGGGCCGGGCACGGTGGCTCACACCTGTAATCCCAGCACTTTGGGAGGCCAAGGTGGGGGATCACCTGAGGTCAGGACTTTGAGACCAGCCTGGCCAACATGTTGAAAGCCTGTCTCTAATAAAAATACAATAATTAGCTGGGCGATGTGTGGACACCTATAATCCCAGCTACTCGGGAAGCTGAGCCACGTGAATTGCTTGAACCCGGGAGGTGGAGGTTGCAGTGAGCTGAGATTGTGCCAGTGCACTCCAGCCTGGACAACAGAGCAAGACTCCATCTCAAAAAAAAAAAAAAAAAAAAAAAAAGAGGACAAGAGGAGGAGGGAAGAGAAGGGGGCTGTGGGGCAGCAGCCAGGACCTTAAAGGCACGGAAGAGGAAGCTTGGATTTCCAGTTCCAAAGGACATGAAGACAAAGTCACACACCTTTATTTAACCTGCTCCAGGTGAGGCTGCGCTTTGTGTGTTTTCCTTTTCCTTGTGTTCAGGCTGTTGTAGAAACAGGTACGCAGGGGCTCTGTGTGGCACCCTGTTCTGGGGGCCTTCAGGAAGGATGGGGTGCCCTGGTTTCCTTGGCTTCGTGTCCCCCTTTCCTCCTGCCACCCCTGACTGTGCCCCCCACCTTGTCCCTCAGACCGTCCTCCTGGAGGGGCCTGGCCGGGGCTTGTGTCCTTGCTAGTCTCTGGGGAGGAAGACTCTGTGGCTTGAAAGCCTGTCGGCTTAAGTTGCAAGGTGTAGGTGCCTGGGAGGGGACGTGCACGGCCCTCTTGACTGATCCATTCATGTTTTTCTTTTCTGACTCTGTTCTATGTTGTCCTGATGTGGGGGTAAGCCCCTGCCTTCTGCCTTTCCTGCCTTGGACTCTTGGAATTGGGCCAGCTGAGAGGGTCTATGTGGTCTGAGTATAATTTGTTAGTTTTTGTTCTGCTTATTAAAAATACAAATTATTATTTGTTCATTTGTAAAGAATTCAAGCAATGCAGACCAGGTGTGGTGGCTCACACCTGTATTCCCAGCACTTTTGGAGGTCAAGGTGGGCGGGCCAGGAATTCGAGACCAGCTTGGCCAAAATAGTGAAACCCTGTCTCTACAAAAAATACAAAAGTTAGCTGGGCTTGGTGGTGCCCACCTGTAATCCTAGTTATTTGGGAGGCTGAGGCAAGAGAATCGCTTGAACCCAGAAGCAGCAGGTTGCAGTGAGGAGGAGGTTGCAGTGAGGAGGAGGTTGCAGTGAGGAGGAGGTTACAGTGAGGAGCAGGTTGCAGTGAGGAGCAGATTGCAGTGAGGAGGAGGTTGCAGTGAGGAGGAGGTTGCAGTAAGGAGGAGGTTGCAGTGAGGAGGAGGTTGTAGTGAGGAGGAGGTTGCAGTGAGCCGAGATTGTGTCCCTGGACTCCAGCCTGGGCAATAGAGCGAGACTGTGTCTCAACAAAAAAAAAAAGAAAAAAGAATTTATATAGAAAACAAAAAGCAAAACTTCCTTTTGATTTGCTTTTCTTGATCTTGCTTCTCAGAGGTAACACTGGGGAGGGTTGGGGTATACCTTTCCACATCTTTTTCTTTTCTTTTTATTTTTTAAGTTCTGGGATACATGTGCAGAATGTGCAGGTTTGTTACATAGGTATACATGTGCCATGGTGGTTTACTGCACCTATCAACCCATCATCTAGGTTTTAAGCCCCGCATGCATTAGGTATTTGTCATAACACTCTCCCTCCCCTTGTCCCTCACCCCCGACAGGCCCTGGTGTATGTTGTTCCCCTCTCTGTGTCCATGTGTTCTCATTGTTCAACTCCCACTTATGAGTGAGAACACACAGTGTTTGGTTTTCTGTTCCTGTCCACACCTTTTTCCTCTGTGCACGCAAGCACATGTATTTGCACATAAGTGCTTATTGTAACCTTTTTAAAAAAATAAAAATGGAATAATGCTATATTCATTCTTCGGAAAGCCTGCTTTTCAGGCAGCGTGTCTTTGACATTGTCTCACGTTGGAACCTGGGTATACCACCTTCTTCTCCCAGCAGGTATTCTGACGTGTGGATGCACCACGCTTCGTTTAACCAGCCCTGCACCGATACGTCTGTGGATGGTTTCCGCCTTTTCCCAGTCACAGACGGTGTTCTGATGAATTTCCTCACACACATCACTTGGTGCTCTGTGCCTGCATTTCTGTGAGATGTTCCTGGAGGTGGGCTGTCTGGATCAGAGGGGGATCTGTGCTCAATTTGCATCCTGTGCAAAATTCCATCCAGTCATCCGGCTCCCCCAGGGCTCACATGGTACTGTCCTCTGTAGACATCATCTTCTGCAGATGATGGCACGACCGCCCCTCTTTCTTTTATTCACACTAATCTGCACCTCGGTGTCCTGGGGTGGGGGGGTCCCAGCCCCTACCCACTTGTCCCCGCAGACCCTGCTAACGGTCCCCCCAGCCCCTGCTAACAGGGACTCTGGCTTCCGAGCTCTGGCAGACTGCCTCACTCTGGAGAAGTTTGCTTTCTCAAACATTCCTGGCAATGTTACTGCAGATCTCGAGGCCTGCCTTTGCCTTCTTCAGTTTCCTCAAAAGTAAAATGGGGATAATGTGATACTACTGTCTGCATCCTAGAGCTGCCATGAGGGTTCAGTGAGATCACTGTTGACAGCACGTTCACGGCGCCGGCCTTGTGCGCAGTCAGCACGTGTGGGGCAGGGCTGTTGCTGATACGTGGTTGACTGTCATTGCTAGACTGTGGCTTTACCGGGGGCATTGTCTTAGTGCCGAGCCCAGAGCCACCCCTAGTACCTGCTGTGTTTATAGAGTGATTGAGTGGCAGGGTCAGAGACTGGGGCAATGGCAGCAGAAACAGAGGAAAGAAGTGGGGCTTCTCAGACATAACATACTATCTAATTACTTTTATATTAAAGCCACTTCCAGGCAAAACTAGCATTTGATGATAGATACCAGAACAGTGGCTGCTTGGAGTGAGGGCGGGGAATTCAAATTGAATGGAAAAGGGGCCTGAGGAAATTTTCTGGGGTGATTGAAATGTTTTGTATTTTGATCTGGATGATGGTTGTGTAGCTGCAACATGTGTCAACATTCCTCATGCTGTATGTTTAGATTTGTGATTTTACTATATGTAAATTAATAGCTTAATAAAATACTATTATAAAATAAGCTATAAATTAAATGGAATTAACTTCAAGTTTAAAAAAAAAAAGAAGAAGTGGGGCTCCTAATAGGTCCTGAACCAGTGACCTTTGAGATGAAGTCTTCTTGCCAAGGTCTGGGGCTGTGCTGTGTATTCTAGGCCTGAGACTGGAAGCTAGGCCTGGCTGTAGCCCCCGCTGAGCTGGGGAAGTGCAGGTCAGCATCCTGCTTCATTAGGACACCTCCAAGCCCAGCTTAGACCTGGATGCCAGGTGACCCTCTGTTTACTCTGAGCCCAGACAGAGGACAGGGAAGTGTGGAAGGGTGGGGACCCTCATCACAGCCCTTGACTCTCTAAGGCATATGGGTTTGTGCACATGTGTGAGCACGGCTGTGGTTTCTCTGTGAGTTTCAAGCTCTAGGTTGTATTTATGCAGGGTTAGGCTTTCCAGGAGGTCCAGTTAAACCTGAATTTCTCATTAACCATTTCTTTGGGGGGCAAGTATATCCCATGCAATATTTGGGACCTACTTACCCTAAAAAATGATTTGTTGTTTATCTGCAATTCAAGTTTAACTGGCATCCTGTCTTTTCACTTGCTACGTATGAGAGTTCCGTGTGGGGGTTATCAGTGTGCATTTGTGAGTTCCCATGTGAAGGACTCTCTCCAGGTGTCTGTAGGTGCCAGGATGGAGATGGACAGAGAAGATCCTCTTGGGCTGCTTTAGTGGCACCTAGAGGCTGTGGGGTTGGACACTTCAGCCCCAGGGGCCTGGGCAGCACTGTCCAGCACCTGCCTGCTCCTGTCTTCTTCACGGGGGATGACTTCCCTGCCATCTCTCTCCAAATACGGTGGCAAGAGCTATCCCATCCGCCCCCATCTGGAGCTCGGCTGCCCAGCCAGACAAGATGGCAAACAGTGTGCAGATGGCTGCAAAGCTTTCCCCAGCTCCTTCTGCAAGGGGCCTGCAGATGAAACGGAAGCCCTCATCCCCACCACCTCCCCCTTCCAGAAAACCCAGGCAACAGCCACCTCTGAGTGCTGCTTTAGAAGCTTCTCCCTCCTGGTGATTAAACCACCCCAAACAAATAAAGCACTGCATTTCCACCATAAGCTTGTTCACATGCACGCAGCCAATTGTCTTGGATCCACCGCCGGTGTGCCTGATTCATCAGCGTGAGGGGTTCTCCTCTGAGGTGCTCGCAAAGAGCCGCTTAATTTTCATCTGAAAGACTCTCTGTAGAAACCAGGCTCAGCTTTGGAAGAAAGCCCTTTCTCCCCTTTAGCAAATGCTGTGTCATTCTTTTTTTTTTTCTTTCTTTCTTTTTTGAGACTGAATTTCACTTTTGTTGCCCAGGCTGGAGTGCAATGGTGCAATCTCGGTTCACTGCAGTCTCTGCCTCCCGGGTTCAAGCGATTCTCCTGTCTCAGCCTCCTGAGTAGCCGGGACTAGAGGCACCCACAACCACACCCAGCTAATTTTTTTGTATTTTGAGTAGAGAGGGAGTTTCACCATGTTGGCCAGGCTGGTCTTGAACTCCTGACCTCAGGTGATCCACCCACCTCGGCCTCCCAAAGTGCTGGGATTACAGGCGTGAGCCACCATGCCTGGCTGGAATTCTGTGTCATTCTGGATACTTATCATGACTTCAAGCATCTAGGACTCTGTCCTGGGTATACTGAGCCTGAGGGTGTATATGTGTCCAGCTGGCTTGGAGGTTGTCTACAGGCAGGTTGAACTTGGCCTCTGAGTCCGTGGCAGCCTCACGTGGGAAATACCACCAATGAGCCTCATCCTGTGCTTTTAGGAGATAGTTTCTATTTAGTCATTGCTGAATCTGTTACAGACAGGGTCTCAATTTCTTGCAAGTCCTGTATGAGGTGGGTGCTGTGATTATCCACATGTTCATTTGCTCTCTCTGGCCTCTTTCAGGCTCTTGCACTTCCTTTGCTCTTTTCCTGCCACAGGGCCTTTGCACATCCTGCTCTTGCTGCCTGGAAAGATTTTCCCTCTCCCTGCCTCTTCACCTGGTCATGGTCTCATCTGACAGTGGAGTCACTACATCCTCAGGGAAGCCTGGCCACACTGACTCAGTCACAGCAACCCCCTATTATCTGCTTTCATGACACCAGGTACCTCTCTGTGGTAGACACTAGCTCAGGTACAGCTTCCTACTTCTGTGTGTGTCATCCTTCCCCTTCAAGACTGTGGTCACTGTGAGGGCCAGGTCCATGCCTGTTTCTGATTCTCATTTGTGTCTCTAGTGTTTAGTATATGCTCACCTAGAATTTGATTAATAAAAGATGGCATGCCCATTTTACAGATGAGAAAGTTGAGGCTCAGGAACATTATGTAACTTGCTCAGTATTAGATAGTGATGGTTTGAAGCCACCTGGCTGGTCGCTGGGTGCACACTCTTAACCACTTCACCATGGTTCTTCTCTCACAGTAGTTCTCCAACAGCAGGAGTGAGAGACAACTTTAGGACAGGTGTACCCAGAATCCCAGGGGTTATGCTAGAAGATGGTGTCAGGAACATACTTGTCTGTGGGCCTTCTTACTGTATTCCATAAAATACCAGTTTTTCTGACTCGCCTTTAGTAAAGACCTTAGTTGTCAGTAGGAAAGGGTGGATGTTTACACTTTTTTAAAAAGGAGTCTGTATCATATTTATCTTGTGGTCTGCCATGCCCCCCGATCTTCAGCTTCAGTTATGCAAAATTAACACTTCTCTTGACTGCCTCTCTCTTACCTGTTCAGTTTCTTTTCTCTGTTCGAGATTGCTTAGAAATTTTCCCCATTACTACAGCCTGCTTCCCACCTGCATCCCCCACCCAGCTTGTTCTGGATTTTGTCAACAACAGTTCCAGCGTTTAGTGAGGGCTGGATTGAAGGACAGTGTTGGAAAAGGCTGTGTGATGACAGGTGAAGATACCCAGTGGGCAGGCAGTCATTAGGATTAATTCAAAGGCTGGAAGAAGGGCTGACCTGGAGGCCTGGAAATGTCTTTGAGCTGAAGGTCATGTGTAGGTGGAGCGAAGAGGGTGAGCCTTTTGGGGTGAACTGCAAGTATTTGATAAGATCTCTGTCCCCACTGTTGGGGAAGTCTTGATAAGCATCCTCAATGTGATGGAGGGATTAAGGAACCCCTGGCTCTACCTGCCCAGCATGGCAGTAACGTGACACAGCCAGTTGATTATTGGTTGCCCAGCTGTCATCAGATCAACATCTTCTGTTAGTTATAGCTGTAATTTGCATTAGTTGTCAATGCCAGTTTTGACTTTCCTAGTCAATAAAGTGTTCTGAGGGTGGTGACTAAGGCTGACCATTACCCATAATCATGAGTATTACAGAGGCAAGCCCCCTTGCCCACCCACCTGCAGGTGATGACACACCCTAGGAAAATCACTCAATTCTTTGGAGGACCCCGGATAAATGCTCAAGTCCACCTGCTCATCTGTCCGCCTATCCGTCCACACTTCCTTCCATCCATCCATCCATCCATCCATCCATCCCTCCATCCATCCATCCATCCATCCATCCAGACATGCATACATCCATCCACCCACCTACCCATCTATCCACCCACCCACCCATCTATCCATCCAATCCACTCTCTTGTGCACCCAGCTATCATCCACCTAACCACCTACCAAACCATCTATCCATCTACTTACCCATGCATCTATCCACCCATTCACTCATCTAACCATCTATCCACCCACCCGTCCATCCATTTATCTATCCCTCCACCCATTCACCCACTCATCCATTTCTCCACCCACTCAACCATCCCTTCACCGACTCAACCATCCATTCATTCGTCCACCTGCCCACCCACCCATCTATCCATCCACCCACCTATCTATCCATCCATGTACGTATCCATCCATCTGCTTGTACTTCTGTTCATTTATTCCACAAAGACTCGTTAACCACCTGCTAGATTCTGGGGAGGTATCTGCTCTAGTAATTGAGAACACGGTCTCTGGAATATGATTCCCTGGGCTCAAACTGAGCTGCCTCCTAGCTAGCTGCTTGGGTAAGTTACAGAAACTGTGCTTTGATTTTCTTATCTGAAAATTGGCTATTAATAGCTTCTAGTCTTGCAGATATAGTGAGGATTAAATAAGATGTCACATTAAAAGTGCATCATCGACACTCAATAGAGATTAGGTTTTACTATTCATTATTATTCTTGGCAGATGCTGCAGATAACGTGGAGAACATACGAAAGACACATATTTGAACCAGTAGTGACATACAGGTGCTAAGTTTTGCAGGAGGGGAAGGGCAGAGAGCCATGGAGAGGGCCTGGCCCAATCCTGGAGACTCAGAAAAAAGTTCCCCATTGAATTGCTGTTTTAGCTGAGACTTGTGGGATGGGTAGTAGTTGGAGATCCCAGACAGGATGTGACCGAGTTAGCCAGGGAAAAATTGGGTCCTGGCACCCATGGCAGAGTTGAGTGATCCAGTCCTTCTGTCTCCTCTGGCTGGAAGTCCACCAGATCTGGGAATGTCAAGTTCGGGGAGGGGGCTGACAATGACCATGACCTTCACCTGTCCTCACATGTCCTCTGTGTGTCTGCAAAGCCTCTGCCTCAGTCTCCTCTTCTGGAAAGTGGGATTGGAAACCACATCTGCTTCTCTCCCAGGACTGCTAGGAAGGCAAGATTAGATGGCAGATGAGAGCTCTTTGAAAATGAAAACATTCTGCTATTTGAATGCAAAGTGTTCTTCTTTGCCTGTGATGTTTCCTAATCTGTGAAATCATACTGGACCTCGAAGCTTTCTATTAAAAAAAATAGCTAAGTGGCTGGGCATGGTGGCTCATGCCTGTAATCCTAGCACTTTGAGAGGCTGAGGGGGTTGGATCACTTGAGGCCAGGAGTTCGATACCAGCCTGGCCAATATGCGAAACCCTGCCTCTTCTAAAAGTACAAAAATTAGCCCGGTGTGGTGGCATCTGCCTGTAGTCCCAACTACTCGGGAGGCTGAGGCACAAGAATCATTTGAGCTCAGGAGGCAGAGTTTGCAGTGAGCTGAGATGGCGCCACTGCACTCCAGCCTGAGTGACAGAGTGAGGCTCTGTCTGAAAAAAGAAAAAAAAAAAAGCAAAGTTAACACTTCCTCCATCTCTCTCCTGGGGGAGGCAATTTGTCAAAGATTGTTGTTGGATTTTACACACAGGGAAATCTAAGGAAGGTGTGGAAACCAGACCAGGACTCCAGACTCTGGTCTCCCTGTTTACAGGGTCTTAAATGGGGGAGCCACTTTGGGTTCTTTCCACAAGATTGCTTTGTAAAAAAACCAAGAAACAAACAAACAAACAGAAAACTCAAAAAAAAACAGCCCTGACCTAAATATTCACAAGGGACCTTAGGCAATATCTGCAAACAAACGTGAGTGATGAGTGGAATCTGTCATCTTTACAACTAAGACAGCTCCAGAGTTGAAGCAAGTGGAAATATCTCTAGAGACAGAGATTTGGGCAGGTTTTGCCAGTTACATGCTATGAGAACCTGGGCAGGTTTACCTCTCTGAGCTTCTGTGACCTTGTAAAGTAGGCTGCATTGCTGTAAACGTGCAGGAGGAATCCCAGCATCCTCCTGTGCACAAGGCTGGTTTCTTCCCATCCTTTTCCTTGTTCTGCCTCTCTCCTCCTCTCCAAGAGATGAATACGTTTGGACCCAGTAGGGGCCTGCGTTTGCAAAGGCTCGCAGGTGATTCTCATGCAGCCAGCCTGTCTCTGGCGCTGAGTTCTTGGACACTTCTGGAGGCGCATTTACTAGTGAGGAAGATCACTGTGTGTTAAAGGCATGACTCATCTTCCATTCCTTTCTTCCATGAAGCAAGGCGCATGGGTCGACTGAGCTGGGAGAGTCCCCAGTGTCAGCCTCCCCCACGCTTCCCTCCCTGCCCATTCCTTGTGTGTTGTACTTTGTCTCGACTTCCTCTACTCTGCACCAAGCCGGGAGACGGTCAGATCTCAAAAAAATCATTTTTTTGGGGTGGGGGGGAAATGGGATCAAGAGGGTTTTTGTTTGCTTGTTTCTTTGAGACAGGGTCTAACTCTGTCACCCAGGCTGGAGTGCAGTGGTGTGACCTTGGCTCACTGCAGCCTTGACCTTCTGGGCTCAGGTGATCCTCCCACCTCAGCCTCCTGAGTAGCTGGGACTGCGGGTGCACACCACCTTGCCTGACTAATTTGTCTATTTTTTGTAGAGATGAGGTTTCACCATGTTGCCTAGGCTGGTCTCAAACTCCTGGGCTCAAGCAGTCCTCCATCCACCTCGGCCTCCTAAAGTGCTGGGATTATAGGCATGAGCTGCTGTGCCTGGCCAAGGTTTTTTATTATTATTATTATGAAAAATTTTCAATATACATAAAAGTAGAGCGACTAGTTTAATGAGCTATCATATACCCATCACATAAGTATAAAAACTATTAACGTTTGCAATATTTACTCCATTTGTTTTTCTGAAGTATTTAAAAAATAGTTTACAGTAGTTATGTAATTGCTTCATGATATTCACCCCTATGTAATTTACTTTCCCTCTAAAAACATGAGGGCATTTTTTATATGATCATTGTCATACCTAATCAAATTACCAGTAATTCCTTAATATCCTCTAAGATCGAGTTTACATTCAGATGTCTTGTCCTCAAAATGTAAATTGTGATTATTTTTTTCTTTGAGCAAAGATAATAAGATCTCAAGATTTAATGACAGAGATTCCATATTAGCCCTGATGTCTAAGCTCTGTGGTCCATTGTGGCTTTACTTGAAAGTCTCAGGCTAGGCGTGGTGGCTCACACCTGTAATCCCAGCACTTTGGGAGGCCAAGGTAGGCGGATCACGAGGTCAAGAGTTCAAGACCATCCTGACCAACATGGTGAAACCCTATCTCTATTAAACATACAAAAATTAGCCGGGCATGGTGGCAGGCGCCTATAGTCCCACCTACTCGGGAGGCTGAGGCAGGAGAATCTCTTGAAGCCGGGAGGTGGAAGTTGCAGTGAGCTAAGATTGCACCACTGCACACCAGCCTGGGTGGCAAGAACGAATCTCTGAAAAAAAAAAAAGAAGTCTCTCACTGTGGTCTTATAATAAAAGCACACTCCATTTCCCATCTGGCCCCTGCTCCTTAATGTTAGCCCCCTCCTGTGGGGAGGAGGGGGTGACCTTCAGCGCAGGTTCAAGCATTCCCAGGGCTGGCTCTGATGCTGATAAAGCCCATTGTCATGAATGAATCCTTGCAGGTTATTGTAAGTATTGGAAATAGTGCACATGGAGTGTCCTCATGATGCCTGGGACAGTAATGAATATTTATAGGTTTCTTTTAGTGCCTTTTTTTTTTTAGTGTTTTCCATAGTTCCATGTTTCTACAACCCTTAGGAACATCAGAATTATGTGTGTGTGGGTGCTTATTAAATACACCAATTCCTGGAGCTCACTCCCAGACAGTTTGATGATTAGGGGCTCAGCTAGGACCTATGTTTGCAAAAGCTCCCAGCTGATCTCATGCAGCCAGCCTGGCTCTGGCTCTGGCTCTGGGAGCTGGGTTGGGAACTAGTCTTTGGTGCTATTCTGCTGAAACTTCAAGCTGGGCTCTTTGACTCCATCTTGTATTGTCATCACTTGCATTCAGGTCTGTTCTTCCCCTGGATTGTAAACTCCTTGATGTCTGGGTCATTTCAGCTTGTGAAGTGAGCTTTCAGTGGGTGCTCAGTGGAACAGGTGCTGAATGGAGTGAGGCTCTAGGGAGGCCAGCGTGTGTTGGTAAGTGAGAGACAAAAATCATTTTAAGAAGAATCTTTTTGCCCTTCAGTTGTGTTTGTCATGAGTTAATGTGATTTATTCTAGTGGAAGCCAGTGCAGCTTAAGTGGAGGTCTTGCCCTGAAATGGAGCCGGGTTATGGATCAGCAGAGCTGCCAAAAGCGTTTTGTGGGAAATGTTTCTGTGTCACCCTCAGTTGATTGAACTCAAGTTTTCACTCCTGTTTAACACCACGTGGGGGCCATTCTGACTTCTGCGGAGTGGGTATGATCAGATCTTCTGTAAAAGTGTAAGTGAGGAGGCTGGGCACGGTGGCTCACACCTGTAATCTTAGCACTTGGGAGGCTGAGGTGGTCAGATCACTTGAGGCCGAGAGTTTGAGACCAGCCTGGACGACATGATGAAACCTTGTCTCTACTAAAAATACAAAAATTAGTCAGGCATGATGGTGCATGCCTATAATCCCAGCTACGTGGGAGGCTGAGGCAGGAGAATCGCTTAAGCCTGGGAGGTGGAGGTTTGGTGAGCTGAGATCATACCACTGCACTCCAATGTGGGTGACGATTGTTTAACCACCACCAAAATGGGTTCTGAGTCCAAATATTAATATGAAGGACATTGGTGACATAGTCTCAAAAAAATTAATGAATACAGAAAAGTACAAAAAGAGAGAGAAATCACCCCAAATCTCACGACCCCAAGAAATAAACCTCCTAATATTAAGTGAGCAGCATTCCTTGCTATGCACAAAGATGGCTAGAGACATGAAGAGACACTTCTGATCACACAAAATGAGATTTTAAAAACAAGAAGTAGCAAATTGAATGCTGTGTAAATTTATCAGAAGAAAAAGAAATGGAAGTGAAACTGAAGGAACTGGTCAACTCAGATAAATGTAGTTTTTTCTTAGCAAAAATCAGTTTCTAGAACATCTAAGAAACCAAAGGTGGTGAAAAATATTAAGATGTTTTATATATATGTAGAAGTCTTTACAGTTGACTGACCATCTCATGAAAAATTTGTACAGTCACTGCAAATAAAGTCATTGCAAAATCTTTACTCCTTTTGCTTTTTGACAGCACCGACATTGGCCTTTGCAGTCTCTTGACGTCATTCTGCCCTTGCATTCCTTTTGCTGTTTTCTTGAGGTCATCTTCTTCTCATGCCAGCTGTGTCTTGCAAGTCTACGTTTGAGTTCATTTTTCTTTGCATAATTCAAAGAACCAGATAACATGCCAAAGCCCGTTGTTTAACCACCATCAAAATGGGTTCTGAGTCCAAATATTAATATGAAGATGACACCCATTGTGGTCTTGTACATTTAGTTGCCTTCCCGGGGTGAAGGACATTGGTGACCATTTGTTTCCTCTGGAGCGGTCGATTGGTCATGAACTTCCGGGTCCAGATAGTTACTTTGTCATTCATCATGGTGGCTGATCCTCAGGTAGTTAGGGAGGAAAATAAACAAGAAGTTATATATTTAAAACCACGTTTCAATTTTAGACCTGATTAATTGACTTAATAAAGGGCATTAGCACGTCTACTTCCTACAGTCCCTCCCTTTACCTCTGGAAACTAGTTATTTCTAGGTTGTTTTATGTTGTTAAGGTTGACCACCTTTTCTTTCTGTTCTGCAATCATAGTCCTATTTTTAAATGGATTCACCTCTCATCACTGGCCTTTTGTCATGGTCATTCAATTCACAAGTTGCTTATTTTTTAATTTCTTGGCTGACTAAATTTTATTATGAAGACTGTTTTTTTTAAAGAGCTCAGAAATACTGTATTCTCTAAGTTCTTGAACATGTGATAGTGTCTTTTGCCTATTTTGATTGGGCAGTAATTTAGTTGGCTATAAAATTCTTGGATTATATTCTGTTTTCCTTAGAAATTATAGGCACCCATCCACTGACATTTCACTGTGTGTATGGTTTTTTTTTTTTTTTTTTGAGTTGGAGTCTCTCCCTGTCACCCAGCCTTGAGTGCAGTGGTGTGATCCCAGCTCACTGCAAGCTCCGCCTCCCGGGTTCATGCCATTCTTCTGCCTCAGCCTCCTGAGTAG
Source organism: Homo sapiens (assembly GCF_000001405.40). NCBI lineage: Eukaryota > Metazoa > Chordata > Mammalia > Primates > Hominidae > Homo > Homo sapiens. Next base: position 5,261,681 of record NC_000016.10, read on the forward strand.
CTGGGACTACAGGCGCCTGCCACCATGCCTGGCTAATTTTTTTGTATTTTTGGTAGACACGGGGTTTCACCGTGTTAGCCAGGATGGTCTCGATCTCCTGACCTCGTGATCCGCTGGCCTGGGCCTCCCAAAATGCTGGGATTACAGGTGTGAGCCACCGTATAAGCCCAGCCTCATTGTGCTTTGTAGTAACCCCCTTTCCCTGGCCTCTTGCATCTTGTCTTCTTCTCTCCCAGTAGTTTCTTCATGAAGAGGCCATGTGCTATATTCCATGAGATATTTCACACTCAAAGAAGACTTCTTTTATACTCTTTTGATAATTTGTCTGGGAATCACTGTCTTGATTTATAAGGGAGTTTGTAATAAATACAGTAAAAGAAACACACAACGTATTTTGAGATATCAGAGAAGGGAGCAACTAATTCTATTAATATTTGGGGTTAGCAGGGAAGGCTTAGTTAAGAGGTAACATTTGAACTAAGCCTTGAAATAAGGGAAGGATTTGGACATGCAGTAACGGGGAGAGAGTAGAAGCAAGACATGATGGTTAGTGTTATGTATCAATTTGACTGGGTTGTGGGGTGCCCAGATATTTGGCTACACGTTATTCTGGATGTATCTCTGAGGTATTCTGGATGAGGATAACATTTAATTGGTAGACTGAATAAGGCAGATTGTCCTCCCCAATGTGGGTGAGCCTCATCCAATCCACTGAAGACCTGAACAAAACAAAAAGGTAGAGTCACAGAGAATTTGCTCTCTTTACCTGATTATATTTGAGCTGGGACATCAATCTTCTCCTGAGTTTAGATGTGGACTCGAGTTGGAACTATATCATTGGCTGTCCTGGGTCTCCAGCTTGCTGGCTGCAGACTCCAGGACTCCTTAGCCTCCATAACCATGTGAGCCATGCCTTACAACAAATCAATCTGTCTCTCTCTAGGTGTATAGCTCTACCTCTATCTCTCTGCTCTTTCTCTGGAGAACCCAGAGTAATATACAAGGTTATATTAGATAAGAGGATGACCCAAGGAAAAGCATGGAGGCAGAAAAGTGCAAAGAGGGTTTGGGAAGACTGGGGTGCTGATGGGGAGTTTGGATTTCACTGTGTGTAGCATGGAGAATCCTTGAAAATATTCAAGAGGTGAAAATTGTATTTCTGGAAGAACACCAGGAGAATGTGAAAAGAAAAACACTCACTCCATTGTAACTCCACTGAAGGGGGCATCAAAGGGATGCACTGGGGACATGGGTTGGAGGGTAGTTGAGGCCATATCTGGAGGATCTTTACTTCTAGGCTGAGTCTGAAGTTATCTTTCTGGGGAGTGGGAGATCATTACAAATCTTTGGGCTCCACTGAAGAGACGGTTTTGCTAACAATGGCAGGGTGACGGTGGTGGTGGTGGTGGTGGTGGTGGGAAACTTGTAGCATGAATTCTAATTGGGCTTCTGCTATTCTAGCCGAGAAAGGTGGGGAATGGACTTCCAGTAGAATAATACAGATATGGGAATCAACTGCATGGAGGAGGTAGTTATAGGTGATGAGATGACTCAGGGACAAAGTTTGGTAGAAGGAGAAAAGATACTTAACTGGTACAAAAATAATTGCTGTTTTTGCCATTACTTGTAATGGCAAAATCTGCAATTACTTTTGCACCAACCTAATGCGATGCAAACTTCAGAGCTGTCTGCAACAGAGGGATTGATGAAGATCAACAAAGTTTGGGAACACAGGAAAGGAGCTGGGAGGGTAATGACTTGAGGGCATAGCAGGGATAATCAAGGTTTTTCTTGTTAGCATGTGGAGACTTAAGTATGATTATGTGTTAAACGCCTGGCACATACATGGTGCAAAATATGAGTGAAATGAGGAGTGAAGGTGGTGAGTCATGGGAGTTCCAAGGGAATGGGTGATAAAGGCAGGTCTCAAATGAGGTGCAAGTGGAGAAGGTAGTTTGGGAAAGGAGAAGGATGCTTCTCCTTATGAGATGGGAAAGGCAGAGGAAGAGGGTCAAGGTACAGTGATCTAGGGGTGAGATGGAAGTGATTTGGGAGAACTCAACTCTGAGTGGGCTCTGAAACCCCTAGGGATGGGTTTGGGGGTCTTTGAGATACAGAAGAGGTTTAAAGTCAATTGTTACAGCAAATATGGTTTGGAATTTATTTGTGATGGTTAAAAATATTGCTGAAGAGAAGTGAAGTCTACCATAGAGTTGGATGGTGAGATTATTTAGTGGAACTACCATATCCATGTTGTGATTCTTTCCAGTATCATTCAGCAGCCCTTGGGCAGTTGCAAGGCAAGTCATCAATGGGGTATGGAGATTTTCCAGGTGGGTGTGGTTGAAGGCAGGGAAGAACGAGTTTAGGAGCACATTACAAGAAGAAGGTGACTGTAAGATCCAGGCTGAGCAGGAAGGTAAAGCAAGAAGGAAACATGAGGTTGTGAAGAGAAGTTTAGAGGGATGAGGAGGCAGGAGAGGTGAACAGTTGCAGGATGTAGCTAGAGTGGCGATGTTAGGTCTCGGGGCCAGAGAGCTTTACAGTGATGATGAAGATCAAGGGGCATTAGAATCAAGCTATAAAGAGCCACCGTTTGATGTTGGGATGTGAGGATGCTGCAGTTGGATGTCTGTGCATTGATGGTGAGAACGTGGTCACCCTGGCCCTGCTAAGGAGACTGTGCTCTGTTCTTGGGGCCGTTTTCATCACCTGATGAGAGCAGTGGTCCCCAAATGGTGTTCTTTGGACCGTCTGTATAAAATGTTCATGGGTCAAGGATAAAATAGAAAAACAGAGAAAATGTCACAGAAATCTGCCCATTGGTGAAAGACCACCAGCTGTCCTTTTTGGCGGATTGTTCTTTATTGTAAAAGTGTATATATTCTATTGTATTAAAACATTTTTGTATTTGCATTTTTTCTCTTTTATGAAATGCCATGGGGTAGAAATTTGTCATGTATCCAATTCTCCTGTCTTCATGCATTGCCCTGTGATGGGGGAGGGGATGTGGCTAGTACTGGCCAGTAGGCTGGGGGCAGAGGTGCAGTGTGAGACTTCTAGCTAGGAGCTTTTAATTCTTAGTACAGGGCTCTCTAGCATTCTTCTCCCTCTGTTCCCTGCTTGGTGATACTCCAGGTAATGCAACCCCCATTAGCCTTAGTCTTAGGGCAAGTTTGATGGGAAACAGAGCACCCCACACCTCCCTGCAGATGTAGCATAAGTGAGAAAAACAACTTCTAATGTTTGAAGTTACCAAGATTTAGGAGTTGTTATTGCAGCAAAACCTAACCTATTCTGACTGATCATGGTGGAATTTCTCTGTGTGTGTGTGTGTGTGTAAAACTGGTAGTTTAAAAAAGTTCCTTCTTACCAAAAAGAAAAAAAAATAGCAACCTTATGTTGGTTCTCAAATTAAAAAAATATTTTTACTGGTTTATAAAATAGAAAAAATCTGAGAATCTGTAGCTTAGAGAACTACAGTGTGGGATGTCTGTAAAGACCAGGTTATTTTATCAGCTCCTAACACCCCTTTATAGGAGCTTAGCCAAGACTTGGACTATTTCAGTCTTTCCCCTTCCACATTCCATGGACTCTTGAAGAGACATTGATAAAACGGTACAGCCATGAACCACCCTAACTCAATGCTAGTGGTAGAACCACCTTTTACTGCAGAATGAGCTTCTTGCTACAGTGATACTTGAACCCCTTAGATATATTCTGTACCAATTATATTAAAACACGACCAATGCTTTTGCTTTGTTGTCCCCCAAATTAAACACCTTAATCATGAGAACCCAGAGAATTGGATTTAGTGTGACTGATTCCCAACTATCAGTAAGAACATAATTAGATTATATTTTTCTCCAGTTCAAATAAAAGAAAATTGACAATAAAATGCTGATCAATATGTGTAGCTCAGGAGGTAGAGCTTGCTTTGAGATGCAGAAGTGTTTGTTTTTTTTAGATCTATATTCTTGAGTAAAGCAAAAATCCATCTCTCTTTCCTAGAGGGGAAGACTTTCAGAGCTGGGCTTGGCAACAGCCTGACTATCAGAGGCTGAATTAAACAAATAGGTACCTCTCTGGAGTGAATGGTGCGTTTCTCCTGTTCGGGGGACTGTGCTTTTATGGTGGAGTTTGCTTTTGTCTTGGTCTCCAGATGTGTGTATCTGTGGGTGGATGTCTGCATGTAAATGGCGGTGTATACCTGTGTGGGTGTGTACAAAATTCCCATGTGAATCTCAGCTTTGTGGGGATCTCCGGGTCTTGAGCCCAGCAGATGCCATTTCAAGAAAAATCACTTGAAAATGAGACAGAAAGAATGGAAACCAAATCCTAGCTCTAAAGGCACCAGGCTGATTAAAAAAAAAACTCTGGATTTTCTTTGTTTTGGACTCTACCTGCCTCCAAATGACATTTCTGTTTCCTATGAGATGACTAGAATGAAAGAGATCCTGAGCACGAAAGAGCAGATACTGTGTGATTGTGTGTATGTCAGGGTTTCAGCTGTGACACTGCTGACATTTTGGCTCAGCAGTTTCTCTGTTGTATGTGTGGGGGTTCCCTGTGCATTTTAGAATGTTGAGTGGCATCCCTGGATCCCTGGACTCACTGGATGCAGTAACACAACTCCCCCCAAGTACAGGCAACCACCAGTGTCCCCAGATATTGCCTAATGTCCCCCGGGGGCATAATAGCCCCCATCTGAGAACTGCTGCTCTCATAAAGGACAATGTCAGGTGAAATAGGTGGAGGTTGTTGGTAGTCAGGGGTTAGTAGAGATGGAAGAGACCCCAGGAATATCCTGGAAGGGGCTGTAATGTTCTGTTTCTTGAACTGGGTGTTGGTAATATGGAAATGTTCAGTTTTTTTTTTTTTTTTTGAGGCAGGATCTTTCTCTGTCACCCAGGCTGGAGCACAGTGGCACGATCATGGCTCACTGCAGCCTCTGTCTCCTGGGCTCAAGGAGTCCTCCCACCTCAGCCCTCTGGAGTAGCTGGGACTACAGGCATGTGCCACCACTCTTGCCTAATTTTTGTATTTATTTATTTTTTGCAGAGAGGGGGGGTCTCACTATATTGCCCAGGCTGGTCTCGAGCTGTTGGGCTCAAGCAATCTGCTCACCTCGGCCTCCCAAAGTGCTGGGATGACAGGCATGAGCCACTGCGCCTGGCCAGTATGTTCAGTTTGTAAGGAAAGTACTGTGTTGACCTCTTCTATGTGCACATTTCTTTAAGTAATAATTCAATAAAGCATTTAGAAAAATTGGTCATAATAGGAATGATTTGTAGAGTGATTGGCATGAAAGCTGATCACCTTAATTTGAACTACTCTGAAATGAGCACCAGGGGCCACTGAGAGGAGCCTTGCAAGGTGTCATAGCCAAGGAGAGGAGTGTGTTGTGTACATCTCTGCATAAAGGATTTGCTGGTTACATGGAAGGATGAAGCCTCCTTCTGAGGACAGAGGCAGCAAAGCAAGTGGAAGCCCAAAGCATTGAGCTTTCCAAATGGACTTTGCTAAAATCTTGTGGATGACTCATGCTCTTAACATACACCCATGTACATATTGTCCATATAAACATTAATTCTGTTACAAGGCCCACACATAAGGGTTTTTTTTTCTTTTTCTTTTGAGACAGTCTTGCTTTATTGCCCAGGCTAGAGTACAGTGTCTTAATCTTGACTCACTGCAACCTCCGCCTCCTGGGTTCAAGCAATGCTTGTGCCTCAGCCCCCTGAGCAGCTGGGACTACAGGTACACTCCACCATGCCTGGCTAATTTTTGTATTTTTAGTAGAGGCGGGGTTTCACCATGTTGGCCAGGCTGGTCTCAAACTCCTGGCCTGAAGTGATCTGCCCACCTCAGCCTCCTAAAGTGTTCGGGTTACAGGTGTGAGCCACTGTGCCTGGGCCCACACATAAGGTTTGAGTTGAGATAGGGAAACTCTGGCAAGATTGAGGAATTTGGCCACAGTCTCTGGGAAATATGCACAATTTCTGGAATCTTCTCTACTTCCAGAGTTCCCACTTTCTGTCTCCTGTTTATTCAACAAACTTGTGTGGAACCACAGTGTGTCAGAACTTGCCAGGTGTGGAGGATAAAAAGATGACTGAGGTCAGGCATGGTGGCTTATGCCTGTAATCCCAGCACTTTGGGAGGCCAAGGCAGGTGGATCACTTGAGGTCAGGAGTTTGAGCACAGCCTGGCCAACATGATGAAACATCTCTACTAAAAATACAAAAATTAGCTTGGCATGGTGGCACACACATGTAGTCCCAGCTACTTGGGAAGCTGAGGCAGGAGAATCGCTTGAACCCAGGAGGCGGAGGTTGCAGTGAGCTGAGATCACACCGCTGCATTCCAGCCTGGGAGACAGAGCGAGATTCCATGTCAAAAAAAAAAAAAGATGACTGGAATATAGACTCCATCAGAGTTGACTCTAACACAAATTTGGTAAGAGCCCAAGGTCTGGCTGGGCAAGCACCTTGATCGGCTTCATCCTGCAGCCTCTACTAGAATGAAGAACACTTTTTTCTTTACCCATGAAAATGTTTTGTGCTTCGTACCTACAAGTGCAATTTGTGTTAATTCTGCAAAATTTGCCGTATAACTGTGCCTGGATTCTTAGCATCTTTCGTTTGAGAGATTCCTCAGCACATCATCTTTGGAGTATGTGGAATTGGAAATTTACTTAGAGTCAACAACAAGTACAGGAAAGTCAGTTCTTAGTCAAGAGTTAGGATTTCAAAGACAGTGGATAAAATAAAAAATCTAGTACAGTCAAGATTATACGTGCAAATCCCCTCATCATTCATAAAGTTTAGCAGTCAGTCTTACTGTGGCTCACCAGGTCCAATCCACACTTCTTCCTCCACGATTGGAGCAGAGGGTGATTTTTTTTATGAGCAACTGATGAAGTCATTTAGAGGCCATTTGCACTGGGAGCCATGTGCACTAGAGACCAGTCAATGTGCCCTCATGGCACCATTTCTGCCTCTCTCCGTCTTTGTTCTTGCCAAGTACCCATAGTTCATTTTCCATAGATTAAAAGAGCCCAAGTTGGGCCTATACCTGGGAGTACAATTGCTGGGTCATTTGGTAACTCTATGTAGAATTGTTTGGGAAGTTGTTAAACTGTTTCTCACAGTGGCTACACCATTTTAACACCCACCAGCAGTGTATGAAGGTTCTAGTTTCTCTGCATCCTAACCAACACTTGTTATTTTCTCTATTTTTTTTTTTTTTTGAGACGAAGTCTTGCTCTGTCGCCCAGGCTAGAGTGCAGTGGCACAATCTCAGCTCACTGCAACCTCTGCCTTCCAGATTCAAGTTACTCTCCTGCCTCAGCTTCCCGCGTAGCTGGGATTATAGGCACCTGCCACCATGCCTGGCTAATTTTTGTATTTTTTTAGTAGAGACAGGGTTTCACCATGTTGGCCAGGCTGGTCTCAAACTCCTGGCCTCAGGTGATACACCCACCTTGGTCTCCCAAAGTGCTGGGATTACAGGCATGAGCCACCGCACCAGGCCAATTTTCTGTATCTTCAATTCCAGCCATCCTTATGGGTATGATGTGGTATCTCATTGTGGTTTTGATTTCTGTTTCCCTGATGATGAATTTCATTGAGCATCTTTTCATGTGCTTATTGGCCACTTATATGTCTTCCTTGGAGATGTGCCATATTTTCATATTCAAAAATGAAAGCACAGGTCCACACAAAAACTTGTACATGAATAATTACATTAGCATCACTCCTAATAACCCAAAGAGGGAGTTAATCCAAATGCCCATCACCAGATGAAGAGATACACTGAATGTTGTCTACCCACATGGTGGAATATTATTTGATCACAAAAAGGAGCAAAGCACATATGCTACAGCATGGGTGAACCTTCAAAACAGATGAAAGATCACATTCTACATGATTTCATTCAGATGGAAATCTATAGAAATAGGAAGTTGATTAGTGGTTGCTCAGGGTTGGTAGGGGCATGGGAGGATAGGGGGTGTTAGCTAAAGGGTATGAGGTTTCTTTTTGAGGTGATGAAATGTTCTAAAATTGACTAGTAATGTTTGTGTATATCTCTGAATATATTAAAAACCATTGAAATGTAAAAGATGCAAAGAAAAACAGCCCAAGTTGCAATTTTATTCAACACTTGATTGGCTTTAAAAATAGATTCCAGGCTGGGCATGGTGGCTCACACCTGAAATCCCAGTGCTTTGGGAGGCTGCGGTGGGAGGATTGCTTGAGGCCAGGAGTTCCAGGCCAGCGTTGGCAACATGGCAAGACCCTGTCTCTACAAAAAAGAAAAAATAAATAGCAGCTGGGTGCAGTGGCTCACACCTGTGATCCCAGCACTTTGGGAGACTGAGGTGGGCAGATCACTTGATATCAGGAGTTCAAGACCAGCCTGGCCAAAATGGTGAAACCCTGTCTCTACCAAAAATATAAAATTTAGCCTTTTGGTACTCTGAGCAGCACCATGGCGGTTGTTAAGAACAAGTGCCTTATGAAAGGTGGCAAAAAGGGAGTTAAGAAGAAAATACTTGATCCATTTTCTAAGAAAGATCAGTATGATGTAAAAGCACCTGCTATGTTCAATGTAAGAAATATTGGAAAGACTTGGTCACCAGGACCCGAGGAACCCAAATTGCATCTGATGGTCTCAAGGGTCTTGTGTTTGAAGTGAGTCTTGCTGATGTGCAGAATGATGAAGTTGCATTTAGAAAATTCAAGCTGATTACTGAAGATGTTCAGGGCAGAAACTGCCTGACTAACTTCTATGGCATGGGTCTTACCTGTGACAAAATATGTTCCATGGTTGAAAAATGTTCAACAATGATTGAAACTCATGTTGATGTGAAGACTACCGATGGTTACTTCTTTCATCTGTTTTGTGTTGGTTTTACCAAAAAACGCAACAATCAGATACTGAAGACCTCTTATGCTCAGCACCAACAGTCTGCCAAATCCAGAAGAAGGTGTTGGAAATCATGACCTGAGATGTGCAGACAAATGACTTGAAAGAAGTGGTCAATAAATTGATACCAGATAACATCGGAAAAGATGTAGAAAAGGCTTGCCAATTTATCCTCTCCATGATGTCTTCATTAGAAAAGTAAAAATGCTGGAGAACCCTTGGTTTGAAAGGCATGGAGCTTCATGGTGAAGGTAGTAGTTCTGGAAAACCCACTAGGGACGAGACACATGCTAAAGTTGAATGAGCTGATGGGTATGAACCACTAGTCCAAGAATCTGTTTAAAGTTCAGACTTATAACAGTGGCAAATAAAAAGCCCTATTTGTGAAAAACAAACAATAAACAACAATGAAAAAAGCAAAATTAGTCTGGTGTGGTGGTGCATGCCTGTAATCCTAGCTACTCAGGAGGTTGAGGCATGAGAATCACTTGAACCTGGGAGACAGAGGTTGCAGTGAGCCAAGATTGCATCATTGCACTCCAGCCTGGGCAACAGAGTGAGACTCTCTCCAAAAAGAAAAAAGAAAAAAAAAAGTATCCAGGCTTGGTGGCATGTGCCTGTAGTCTCAGCTACTCTGAAGGCTGAGGTGGGAGGATGGCTTGAGGCCAGGAGTAATTTGAGCCTGCAGTGAACTATGATTGTGACACTGCACTCCAGCCTGGATTGCAGAAGAAGACCCTGTCTCTTATGCATACATACATACACATACACATACATACATACCCAGGCTCTACCTCCGGTGATTCCGACTCAGTAGGGCTGGGTATCCCCTAGGGATCCTGCTGTTCAGCCTGGTCTGGGATCCACTTTTCACTGGGAACTGAGACACTGGCTGTGAGCCTTTCTGTCCTGAGATGTAGAGGTCATGGCGACGCAGGTTCAAGCTTAAGGAGACCTGACTGCGCGTTAGGTATTGTGCTGAACATCATCTCTTACTCTCACAGCAACGTCCTTAGAAGGTCGATGATGTGTCCCTGCTCTACAGTGAGGAACTGAGCTTTCAGAGGAGTTTAACTTGTTCAAAACTTATTCTTCCTATTGGAAACTTTGTACCCTTTGACCAGTGTCTCCTATCCCCTACCTTTCCTGCGCCCCAGCCCCTGATAACCACTGTCCTACTCTCTATTTCTGTGAGTTCAACTTCTTTAGATTCCACATGTAAGTAAAATCATGCAGTATTTGTCTTTCTGTGCCTGGCTTATTTCACTTAACACAGTGTCTTTCAAGTTCGTCTATGTTGTTGAAAATGACAGGATTTCTTTCTTTTTTAAGGGTTAATAGTATTCCGTTGTGTGTATATAGTACATTTTCTTTATCCTTTCATCCACTGATGGACACTTAGGTTGATTCTATATCTTGGGTATTGTGAATAGTGCTGCAGTGAACATAGGAATGTAGAGATCCCTTCAACATATTGACATCAATTTTTTCTTGGTCTGTACCCAGAAGTTGGGTTGCTGGATTATATGCTTTGAAATCTGTAGCACAGCAGCGTGACTATAGTCAATAATAAAGTACCTTTCAAAATAACTAAGAGGGTACATTTCAAATGTCTCATCCTAAAAATTTTCAGTAAATTAGGGGATGGACATGTTAATTAGTTTGATCTAATCATTCCACATTGTATACAGATATCAAAACATCACATAAATGTGTACAATTATGATTTGTCAATTAAAATAACGTTAGTTAAAAAAATAAGTAACTTGTTCAAAGCCCCATTTGGCATTGATGGAACTGGAACATGCACCAAGGCTGTTGCTCTCAGGCCCACAGAGTCCTTGGTCCACGAATGTTGAAGCCCTACCTGAGATTTCTACTGAGATCAGTGTAGGGATTCAATATCTCAGAATCGTCCCATCCTCCAGGGCCGACAAGTTCATGACTGCTGCCTCTACCGATACCCCACTGACGTGAAATGTGGCCCCTGCTTTCATTTCCGGGAGCATACAACACTTACAGCAAGAATTAATGGCTTTTGTTGACTTCATTTGAGATGTGGGGCCATGGAAAGGTTCCCATGATCCTTGCTTGGTGTTGGCCAACTCATTGACTTCCCTCCTTTGAGGTCCCCCTTCCCTTTTCTACTCACCTCCTCTGTCATGGATTGCTCTGGGAATTCTGAGCCCTGGTTCCTTTATTTTGCAGATAACCTTCACTCTTCTCTGCAACGAATCCCAAAAGTATGTAGTTGAGCTGACTGCAAGGTGCTTGAGATGCAAGAGACTCCACAAATGGGATTCAGCCTTTGGAAAGTCATGGTAGTTCCAGATTTATGTGGATGTTACTTTGTTTTTCCCTATAAAATCTATTCTTTAAACTTTCAAACTCTTGGCTCCTGGATGCAGTCCTTTGCTGGTGGCAGTGGGCTGGGTACTGCCACCGGGGAGAAATGCTGCCCACTTAGAGAAAGAGAAACTCGTTCTCTTTAAGAGGCAGAGGGAGGTTTCCAGTGCCAGCTTGTTTGGAGGTGAAATGGCTGTTGTATTAAAATTGCCCAAACTTGGGCTGGTGCCTTGTGTGTTTAGAGCTCAAAGCCACGATTGCTTTCAATTTTTTTTTTTTTTTGGTGGTCGGTTTTCCATCCTTTTGCTTGGCAGGTTTCTGCTAATAGCTTCAACCTCAAGAGTCCCATTATACAGACACTAATAGCACCTACTATGTGTCAGTCTTTAGTGCCTGCTATGTGCCAGGCATTGGAGATAATATAATGATGAACAAGATAAACATGGCACTTGGAAAAGAGAGTCTAGTTCCCACTCTCAGCCCACCCCAAAGAGAGGCTGGAATTGGGCTTCCAAAGATCTCAGATGCCCTTGCATCACCTCCCTGAAGAGGGCGGGTGAAGCTTTGGTGTCTGAAGAGAATTTGGCTGGACAATCCCCAAGGTTTGGAACGACGGGAAGGAGCTGCCATCTGTGTTTAAGGTGAGAAGCGGGGGAGTGGTGGATATCAGAGGAAGCCAAGATGAAGAGAAGGTTTTTGTGAGTTCGCATGCATAGTGAAGACCTGTTATAGTGAGGGTCCCTGGGGCTGAGTCTGTGGGTCAGTGGAATGATGCTGTGAGGAGGGTCTTGATATAGCAGATGGCCCAAAAAAGGCTGATGGATCATGAGCAGCTGGAAGAATGGAGAGTTCGGGGGATGTAGTTCCTACCTGGCTTTCCAACAGTGTGTGAGCCCAGAATTCTTACATAAGCCCATGGAGAAGGGAAAGGAATGCTGGTAATGACAAGATTGAATTCCCCACCTGCCAGGTATCCAGGGACTCGAGCAGATTTAACTGAATTTACAGAAATAGGAATGTGACATTTCCTACATCCGGGTGTGCTGGAGGAAAATGTATTCCCTCTCAGGTTTGTGGGGAAGGAGAATGCTAACAGACAAGACTGCAGGTTTTCGCTCTTAAACCTGGTACGTAGAAGTGCATTTTCTACTGGATGCAGACAGAAGCTCCATATAGACATATCCATCGCTGCATCTCTCATGCCTTGTGTTCTTCCTAATTTTCCCTTTTTAACCCACAGAAGAAGAAGGTTCCAGCATCACTTCCGGCCTCTCAAGAGTGAGTTAGGTGTTCAGGTGGGGTTGCTTATGCCTGTAATCTCAGCCCTTTGGGAGGCCGAGGTGGGCAGATCACTTGAGGCCAGGAGTTCGAGACCAGCCTGGCCAACATGGTGAAACCGTTTGTCTACTAAAAATACAAAAATTAGCCAGGCGTGGTCGTGGGTGCCTGTAGTCCCAGCTACTCTGGAGGCTGAAGCATGAGATTCGCTTGAACCCAGGGGGCGGAGGTTGGAGTGAGCCAAGATTGCACCACTGCACCCTAGCCTGCGTGATAGGGCGAGACTGGGTCTTAAAACTAAACAAAACAAAAACAAAGAAGAGTGAGTTAGGATGAAAGCTTCCAAGTCTCTCTGCCCCTTTCATACGTCTCCTCCCTGGTGAGCAGAAGAGTTGGCTTTATTGGCAAGACTGAGGAAATGCTGACTGTATTTCTGCCATGTTCACTTATTAGTGGATGGGTTATTTTGCCTAGACTATGGCCGCAGGAGCCACCTCTCAGTCCCTTGCATAGGCACCAGGCTTTTTTAGGGCAAGCAGGACAGGTAAGATCTGTCTCTGGCAGAGCCAGCCAGGTCTCCTTACCCTCTGTTTCCCTTTCTGCCTGTGACTGAATGGGCATGTCAGGGTCTAGTAGGGGATCCAGGAGGAGGAAGCCTCATTAACTTCTATTCTGCAGCAATTGATGGCCACCCAACTTGAACAGTGGGGGCTTATCACCTCATGTACTAAGACCGGAGATAGCTGATGCGAAGCTTGGGTAAATTAGTAGCTTGAGATGTTAGGTTCTTCATTTGAGGTTTCTATGCTGCTCTTGCCTTCTGCTTTTGGTCACAGAGGCTGCCACAATCCGCCTGTCAAGTCCTCATGTGACAATATCCAGAGACAGCAAGGAAGAGGTACAGTGTATTCCTGCATGTTTCTTAAAAATTTTTTTGATAGAGAATAATTGTACATATTTATGGGGTCCATGTGAGATTTTGGTACATTTGTGCAATGAGTAATGATCAAATCAGGGTCTTTGGGATATTGATCACCTCAAACATTGATCATTTCTTTGTGTTGGGAATATTTCAAAGCTTATTGCTATTTAAAAATATACAATAAATTCATTTATCAGGATACAAAATCTATGTACACAAATCAGTAGCAGTGCTATACACCAACAGCAACCAGGCTGAGAATCAAATCAAACCCTTTTATAATAGCTGTAAAAATAAAATACTTAGGAATATACCTAACCAAGGAGGTGAAATACCCCTACAAGGAAAACTACAAAACACTGCTGAAAGAAATCATAGATGACACAAACAAATGGAAACACATTCCATGCTCATGGATGGGTAGACTCACTATTGTGAAAATGACCATACTGCCAAAAGCAGTTTACAAATTTAATGCAATTCCTATCAAAATACCATCATCATTCTTTATAGAACTAGAAAAAACAATGCCAAAATTCATCTGGAAGTATAAAAGAGTCTGCATAGCCAAAGCAAAACTAAGCAAAAAGAACCAATCTAGAGGCATCACATTACCCAACTTCAAACTATATTACAAGGCTATAGTGACCAAAACAGCATGGTGCTGGTATAAAAATAGGCACATGACCAATGGAACAGAGTAGAGAACCCAGAAATAAAGCCCAATAATTAATAGCCAACTGATCTTAGACAAAGTAAACAAAAGCAAAGTAAGGAAAGTACACCCTATTCAACAAATAGTGCTGGGATAATTGGCAAGCCACATGTAAAAGAATAAAACTGGATCCTCATCTCTCACCTTATACAAAAATCAACACAAGATGGATCAAAGACTTAAATCTAAGGTCTGAAACCATAAAAATTCTTGAAGATAACATTGGAAAACGTTTCTACACATTGGCTTAGGCAAACAGTTCATAACCAAGAACCCAAAAGCAAGTGCAATGAAAACAAAGATAAATAGATGGGACTTAATTAAACTAAAAGCCTCCTGCACAGCAAAGGAAATAAACAGCAGAGTAAACAGATCACCCAGAGAGTGGGAGAAAATTTTCACAAACTGCATCTGACAAAGGACTAATGTCCAGAATCTACAGGGAACTCTAATCAGCAAGAAAAAAATAATCCCATCAAAAAGTGTGCCAAGGACATGAATAGGCAGTTCCCAAAAGAAGATACACAAATGGCCAACAAACATATGAAAAAATGCTCAACATCACTAATTATCAGGGAAATGCAAATCAAAACCACAATGCAATACCATGTGTAAAATAAAGAAAAATAGGGCCAGGCGCCGTGGCTGACGCGTGTAATCCCAGTACTTTGGGAGGCCGAGGCGGGTGTATCACGAGGTCAGGAGTTTGAGACCAGCCTGACTAACATGGTGAAACCCCGTCTCTACTGAAAATACAAAAATTAGCCGGGCATGGTGGCGGTTGCCTGTAATCCCAGCTACTCAGGCGGCTGAGACAGGAGAATTGCTTGAACCCAGGATGCAAGGTTGCAGTGAGCTGATATACTCCAGCCTGTGTGACAGAGTGAGACTTCATCTCAAAACAACAACAACAAAAAGCAAAAATTGATGTTGGCATGGACGTGAAAGAGAACGCTTTTACACTGATGGTGGGAATGTAAGCTAGTACCATCACTATGGAAAGCAGTATGGAGATTCCTTAAAGAACTAAAAGTACATCTACCATTTGATCCAGCAATCCCACTACTAAGTATCTACCCAGAGAAAAGGAAGTCATCGTATGAAAAAGACACTTTTGCACACATGTTTACATCAGCAAAATTCACATTTGCAAAACTATAGAACCAGCCCAAATGCCCATCAGTCAATTAGTGGATAAAGAAAATGTGTTTTTTATATGTATATATATATATACCATAGAATACTACTTAGCCTTAAAAAGGAATGAAATAATGGCATTCATAGCAACCTGGATGGAGTTGGAGAGCATTATTCTAAATGAAGTAACTCAGGAATGGAAAAACAAACATTGCATGTTCTCACTCATAAGTGGGAGCTAAGCTATGATGATGCAAAGGGACGAGAATGAAACAGTGGACTTTGGGGGCTCAGGTGGAAGTGGGAGGGGGTGAGAGATAAAAGACTATATACATTGGGTAAACTGCTCTGGCGATGGGTGTGCCAAAATTTCAGAGATCACCACTGAAGAACTTATCCATGTAACAAAATACCACCTGTTCCCTAAAAACTATTGAAATAAAAAAAAGAAATATACAATAAATTGTTAATAGTCACTTTCTATGATATTAAACACTAGATCTTATTCCTTCTATTGTATATTTTTACACCCATTAATCAACCTCTTTTCAAACCCCTCCTCTTCCCAGCCTCTGGTAACTATCATTCTACTCTTTATCTCCATGACATCAATTTTATATAGCTCCAGGGCACACAAGTCCATAACTGCGGTCTCTATCCCTGACCCTACTGACCTGATACATGGCCCCCACTTTGATTTCCAGGAGCCTAAGCTGCTCATATAAGTGAGAACATGCAATAGTTTTCTTTCTGTGCATGGCCTAGTTCACCTGACATTATGACCTTTAGTTCCATCCATTTAGCTGAAAATGACAGGATTTCATTCTTTTTTATGGCTGAATAGTATTCTATTGTGCGTATATTCCCATTTTCTTTATCCATTCATCCGTTGATTGACACTTAGATTGATTCCATATCTTGGCTATTGTAAATAGTGCTGCAGTAAATATGGGGGTACGGGTACAGGTATCCCGTTGATACACTGATATCCTTTTTTTTGGATATATACCCGGGAGTGGGATTGCTGGATCATATGGTAGATCTGTTCTTAGTTTTTTGAGAAATCTCTGTGCTTTTTAAAATAATGGCTGTACTAATTTACATTGCCACCAACAATATACAATAATATTCTTTTGTTCAGATACTTGCCAGCATTTGTTGTGCTTTGTCTTTTTAATAATAGCCATTCTAACAAGTGTGAGATGATATCTCTTTGTGGTTTTGATTTGCATTTCCGTGATGATTAGTGACGTTGAATATTTTTTCATAAACTTGGTGATTTGTGTATCTTCTTCTGAGTAATGTCTATTTTTTGATAGTTTCTTTTGCTGTGCAGAAGCTCTTTCATTTAATTAGATCCCATTTGTCAATTTTTGCTTTTGTGGCGATTGCGTTTGGCATCTTCAGCATGAACTCTTTGCCCATCACTATGTACCGGCTGGTATTGCCTAGGTCGTCTTCCAGCGTTTTTATAGTTATGGGTTTTACATTTAAGTCTTTCAGCCATCTTGAGTTAATTTTTATATATGCTGTAAGGGAGGGGTGTTGTCTTTTCACTGTGTTGATTGTTTTCTTTGATATGCAGAAGGTATTTAGTTTAATATAATCCCATTTGTCTGATTTTGTTGCTTGTACTTTTTAAGTGTTAGCCATGCAATCTTTGTTCTCAAGAGTTTCTCCTGTGTTTACTTCTAGTAGTTTTATAGTTGTGGCTGTTACGTTTAAGTCTTTAATCAATTTTGAGTTTATTTTTGTAAGTGATGAGAGATAAGGGTCTAGTTTTATTCTTCTGTATTTGGATATCTAGTTTTCCTGGCACCATTTAATGAAGAGGGTGTCCTTTATTCAATGTATGTTCTTGACACCTTTCTTGAAAATCAGTTAGCTGTAAATACGTGGATTCATTTCTGGGTTCTTTGGTCTGTTTCCTTTGTTTTTGTGTCTGTTTTAATACCAATACACACTGTTTTGGTTACTATAGCTTTGCAGTACATTTTTAAATCAGGTAGTGTGAGGCTTCTAGCTTTGTTCTTTTTGCTCAGTATTGCTTTGGCTATTTGGGGTGTTCTGTGGTTCCATGTGAATTTCAGGGTTTTTTTTTCCTGTTTCTGTGAAGAATATAATTGATAGGGATTATACTGAATCTCTAGATTGCTTCGGGTAGTATGGTCATTTTCACAATATTAGTTATTCTAACCCACGAGCATGAGATGCTTTTCCATTTGTTTGTGTCCTTCTCAATTTATTTTATCAGTGTTTTGTGGTTTTCATTGTCGAGGTTTTTTGTTTTTGTTTTTGTTTTTGTTTTCCCATCCTTGGGTAAGTTTATTCCTAGGTATTTTATTTTTGTAGCTATTGTAAATAGAATTTCTTCCTTGATTTCTTTTTTAGCTAGTTTGTTAGTGGTATATAGAAACATTACTGATTTTTGTGTGTTGATTTTGTGTCCTGAAGCTTTACTGAATTATACGTCCGTTTTTAAAAAAATTTTTTTTTATTTTTTATTTTTTGAGATAGAGTCTCACTCTGTTGCCCAGGCTGGAGTGCAGTGGTGCAATCTTGGCTCACTGCAACCTCCGCCTCTCGGGTTCAAGCGATTCTCCTGCTTCAGCCTCCCAAGTAGCTGGGATTACAGGCACCTACCACCATGCCTGGCTAATTGTTGTATTTTTAGTAGAGACAGGGTTTCACCATGGCGGCCAGGCTGGTCTCAAACTCCCAACCTCAGGTGATCCACCCACCTTGGCCTCCCAAAGTGCTGGGATTACAGGCATGAGCCACCTTGCGCAGCCTAATTTATCCATTTTAAGAGTTTTTTTGGTGGAGTCTTTGGGTTTTTCTGTTTACGAGTATAAGATTATGTCATCTGCAAAGTGAGCCAATTTGACTTCCTCTTGTCCAGTTTGGATGCCTTTTATTTCTTTATCTTGTCTGATCACTCTGGCTTGGATGTGCCATACTGTGTTGAATAGGAGTGGTGAAAGTGGGTATCCTTGTCTTGTTCCAGTTCTTAGAGGAAAGGCTTTTCAATTTTTCTCAGTGAGTAGGATGTTAGCTGTAGATTTGTCATATATGCCTTTTCTTATGTTGAAGTGTTCCTTGTATGCCTAATTTGTTGAGAGTTTTCATTATGAAGGAATGGTAAGTTTTACTGAGTGATTTTTCTGCATCTGCTGAGATGATCAGATAGTTTTTGCCTTTCATCTTGTTGATGTGATGTATCACATGTATTGATTTGTGTATGTTGAGCCATGTTTGCATTCCTGGGATAAATCCCACTTGATCATGGTATATTATCTTGTTCATTCATCATTAGATTCGGTTTAGTAGTATTATGCCGAGAATTTTTCCATCTGTGTGTATTCGGAATATTGGCCTGTAGTTTTCTCTTTTTGTTGTGTCCTTGTCTTGATTGGATATCAGGGTAGTGCTGGCCTTATACAATGAGTTAGGAAGAATTCCCTCCTCTTCAATTTTTGGGAATAGTTTGAGAAGAATTGGTGTTTGTTTTTCTTTATAAATTGGGTAGACATCAGCATAAAAGCTTAGTTTAGGGCTTTTCTCTTTTGGGAGACTTTTTGTTACTGATCCAAACCTGCTATTCATTTTGGGTCAGTTCAGGTTTTCTGTTTCTTCCTAGTTCAATCTTGGTAGGCTGTGTATGTCTGGGAATGTATCCCTTTCCTCTAGGTTTTCCAATTTGTTAGCATATGGTTGTTCATAATAGCCTCTAATGATCCTTTTTATTTCTTTGGTAACAGTTGTAACGTCTCCTTTTTCATTTCTGATTGTATTTATTTGGGTCTCCTTTCTTTCTTTTTTTTTTTGGTTAGCCTCACTAGTGGTTTATCAATTTTGTTTAACTTTTCAAAAAACCAACTTTTATCTTGTTGATTATTTGCATTTCTTTTTTGTCTCTGTTGCATTTGGTTCTGCTATGTTATTTATTTTTTCTTTCTAGTAATTGTGTGTTTGGTTTGTTCTTGCTTTTTGAGTTCCTTGAGGTGCATCATTAGGTTGTTTATTTGAAATCTTTCTACTTTTTTGGTGTAGGCATTTATTGCTATAAACTTCCCTCCTAGTACTGCTTTTGCTGTGTGCCATAGGTTTTGCATGATGTGTTTCCATTTTCTGTTTAAAAAATTTTTTTAATTTCCATCTTAATTTCTTCATTGATGCAATGATGATTCAATAGCACGTTTAATGTCCATGTATTTGTACAGTTTCCAAATTTCTTCTTGTTATTGATTTCAAGTTTTATTCCATTGTGGTCTGAGAAGATAATTTATGATTTTAATTTTTAAAATTTTGTTGAGCCTTGTTTTGTGTCCTAGCATATGGTCTATCCTGGAGAATGTTCCATGTGTTGATGAGATGATAGTGTATTCTGCTGCTGCTGGATGAAATATTCTGAAAATAACTGTTAGGTCCATTTGGTCTAAAGTGCAGCTTAAATCTAATGTTTCTTTGTTGATTTTATATCTAGATGAACTGTCCAATGCTGAGAGTAGGATATTGAAGTGCTCAACTATCATTATATTGGTCTCTATCTCTCCGTCTAGATTTCATAATATTTGCTATGTGTGTCTGTATGCTCTTATGTTGGTTGCATGCATATTTAGAATTGTTATATTTTGTTGCTGAATTGATCCCTTTATTACCACATAATGACCTTCTTTGTCCTTTTTACAGTTTTTGACTTAGTCTGTTTTATCTGATGTAAGTTTAACTACTCATGATTACTTTTGATTTCTGTTTGTGTGGTATATCTTTTTCAATCCCTTCACTTTCAGTCTGTGTGTGTCTTTACAAGTGAAGTGAGTTTCTTGTAGATGTTGTTGGATCATTTTTTATCCGTTAAGCCTGTCTCTGTCTTTTAGGTAGGTAATTTAACCCATATTCGAAGTTATTATTGATAGGTGAGGACTTATTCCTGTCATTTTGTTCATTGTTTTCTGGTTATTTTGTATATCCTTTTGATATGGTTTGGCTGTGTCCCCACTCAGATGTCATCTTGAATTCCCATGTGTTGTGGGAGGGACCCAGTGGGACGTAGTTGAATTGTGGCGGCAGGTCTTTACCATGCTATTCTTTTGATAGTGAATCAGTCTCATGAGATCTGAGAGGTTTTAAAAGGAGGAGTTTCCCTGCTCAAGCTCTCTCTTTGCCTGCTGCCATCCCTGTAAGATGTGACTTGCCTCTCCTTGACTTCCGCAATGATTTTGTAGCCTCCCCAGCAATGTAGAACTGTAAGTCCATTAAACCTTTATCTTTTGTAAATTTCCCAGTCTTGAATGTGTCTTTATCAGCTGTGTGAAAATGGACTAATACAGTAAATTGGTACCAGAAGTGGGGTGTTGCTAAAAGATACCTGAATACGTGGAAGTGACTTTGGAACTGGGAAACAGGCAGAGGTTGGAACAGTTTGGAGGGCTCAGAAGGAGACAGGAAAATGTGGGAAAATTTGGAAGAAATTTCCTAGAGCCCAAAATGCTGATAGTTATATGGACAATAAAGTCTAGGCTGAGGTTGTGTCAGATGGAAATAAGGAACTTATCAGGAACTGGCACAAAGGTGACTCCTATTATGTTTTAGCAAAGAGACTGGTGGCATTTTGCCCCTGCTGTAGAGATTTGTGGAATTTTGAACTTGAGAGAGATGATTTAGGGTATCTGGTAGAAGAGATTTCTAAGCAGCAAAGCATTCAACACATGACTTGGGTGCTGTTAAAGGCACTCAGTTTTATAAGGGAAGCAGAGCATAAAAGTTTGGAAAATTTGCAGCCTGACGATGCAATAGAAAAGAAAATCCCATTTTCTCAAGAAAAATTCGATCTGGCTGCAGAAATTTGTTTAAGTAATGAGGAGCCAAGTGTGAATCCCCGTCAATGGGGAAAATGTCTCCAGGGCATGTCACAGGTCTTCATGGCAGCCCCACCCATCAAAGGCCCAGAGGCCTAGGAAGAAAAGATGGTTTTGTGGGCTGGAACCAGGGACCCCTACTGTGAGCAGCCTAGGGTGCCTGAGTCCTAGCCACTCCAGCTGCAGCTAAAAGGAGCCAAGATACAACGTAGGCTGTGACTTCAGAGGGTGCAAGCCCCAAGCCTTAGCAGCTTTCACATAGTGTTGAGCCTGTGGGTACAAAGAAGTCAAAAATTGAGGTTTGGGAACCACTGCCTAGATTTCAGAAGATGTATGGAAATGCCTAGATGTCCAGGCAGCAGTTTGCTGCAGGGGCAGGGCACTCATGGAGAACCTCTACTAGGGCAGTGCGGAAGGGAAATGTGGGGTCGGAGCCCCCACATAGAGTCCCTACTGTGGCACCACCTAGTGGAGCTGTGAGAAGAGGGCCACCATCCTCCAGACCCCAGAATGGTGGATTCACTGACAGCTTGTACTGTGTGCCTGGAAAAGCTGCAAACACTCAATGCCAACCAGTGAAAGGAGCCCCTCCTTTCACCTCCTGGTTTTATTCCAGGAGGGGTGTTATACCCTACAAAGCCACAGGAGTGGAGCTGTGGCCTTTATTCTCCCAAGGCCATGGGAGCCCACCTCTTACATCAGCATGACCTGCATGTGAGACATGGACTCAAAGGAGATCATTTTGGAGCTTTGGGATTTTACTGCCGCACTGGATTTTGGGCTTGCGTGGGGCCTGTAGCCCCTTTGTTTTGGCAATTTTCTCCCATTTGGAATGACTGTGTTTACCCAGTGCCTATACCCCCATTGTATCTAGGAAGTAACTAACTTGTTTTTGATTTTACATGCTCATAGGCGGAAGGGATTTGCCTTGTGTCACATGAGACTTTGGACTGTGGACCTCTCAGTTAATGCTGAACTTAGTTAAGACTTTGGGGGACTGTTGGGAAGGCATGATTGGTTTTAAAATGTGAGGACATGAGATTTGGGAGGGGCCAGGGGCAGAATGATATGGTTTGGCTGTGTCCCCACCCAAATCTCATCTTGAATTCCCACATGTTATTGGAGGGACCTAGTGGGAAGTAATTGAGTCATGGGGGCATGTCTTTCCCATGCTGTTCTCATGATAGTGAATAAGTCTCGCAAGATCTGATGGTTTTAAAAAGGGTAGTTTCCCTGCAGAAGCTCTCTCTTTGCCTGCTGCCATCCATGTGAGCCATGACTTGCTTCTTCTTGCCTTCCACCATGATTTTGAGGCTTCCCCAGCTACGTGGAAATGTAAGTCCATTAAACCTCTTTCTTTTGTAAATTGCCCAGTCTCAGTCAGGTATGTCTTTATCAGCAGTGTGAAAACAGACTAATACACCCGTGTTCCTTTTTTCCCTCATTATTTATGGTTGCAGTTTGGTGGTTTTCTTTAGCGGTGACATTTGAATCCTTTCTCCTTTGTGTGTCTGCTCTATCAGAGAGTTTTATACTTTCATGTATTTTCATGATGGTAGATATTGTTCTTTTGCTTCCCAATGTAGGACTCCCTTAAGCATTTCTTGTAGGACCACAACAAACAAGACACAAACAAACAGTCTTTTGCTTATCTGGGAAATATTTTTTCTTTTTTTTTTTTTTTTTTAGGCAATGGAGTCTCACTCTGTGACCCAGGCTGGAGTACAGTGGCATGATCATAGCTCACTGCAGCCTTGAACTCCTGGGCTCAAATGATCTTCCTGCCTCAGTCTTCTGATTCTCTGGAATTGTATATGTGAGCCACTGTGCCAGGCTCCTTCATTTTTGAAGGACAGCTTTGCTGGGTATAGTAGTTTTGGCTTAGATTTTTTTTTTTTTTTTTTTTTTTTTTACTTGTAGTATACAGACCCTTTTCTCATAGCCTGTCTGCTGAGAAATCCCCTGTTAGCCTGATGGAGATTCTCTTATAAGGGACTTCATGCTTTTCTCTTGCTGTTTTTAGAATTTTCTCTTTGTCTTTTGACAGTTTTATCATAATGTGCCTTGGAGAAGACCTTTTTGGGTTGTATTTATTTGGGAATCTTTGAGCTTCCTGTATTTGGATCTATATCATTTGCAAGACTTAGGAAGTTTTCAGTTATTATTTTATTAAATAGGTTTTCTATGCCTTTACCCATCTCATCTCCATCTGGAACTCCAAGAATTTCAGTATTTGGCCACATATGTGTCCCATATGTCATGTAGCCTTGCTTCACTCTTTTTTCTTTCTTTTTGTCTGACTGGATTATTTTAAAAGACTAGTCTTCAACTTCAGAAATTCTTTGTTTTGCTTGATCTAGTCTATTGTTAAAGCTGTCAGTTATCTTTTGTATTTCTTTCAACGATTTCTTCTCTTCCAGGATTTGTGTTTGGTTCTTTGTTATGCTGTCTGTCTCTGTTGAATTTCTCATTCAGATCATGAATTGTTTTCCTGATTTTTTTGTATTCATTATCTGTGTTCTCTTATATCTCCCTGAGTTTCTTTAATGTCATTATTCTGAAAATTTTTTCAGGCATTTCATAGATTTTCTTTTTATTGGAATCTGTTGCTGGAGAATTATTGTGCTTCTTTGGAGGTGTTATGTTTCCTTTTTCATATTTCTTGCATCCTTATGTGACTATCTGTGCCTCTGACATAACCGTCACTTCTTCCAATTTTATGGATTCGCTTTTATAGGGGAAAGACCTTTTCTTATAGCTGTATCTACAATGTTCATTGGATATCACACTTTGGCTTTGATTCTGGGTAGGTACAGTGATATAGTCTGCATATGATTTCTTCAGCTGTAATTGGCATGAATGGTGTCTGTGAGTTATTCAGTGGCTTAGACTGCAGTTTTTTTTTGTTGTTGTCGTTGCTGAGATGGAGTCTTGCTCTGTCACCAGGCTGGAGTGCAGTGACATAATCTCAGCTCACTGTAACCTCTGCCTCCCGGGTTCAAGCGATTCTCCTGCCTCAGCCTCCTGAGTAGCTGGGACTACAGGCGCCTGCCACCACACCTGGCTAATTTTTATATTTTTAGTAGAGACAGGGTTTCACCATGTTGGCCGGGCTGGTCTCGAACTCCTCACCTCGTGATCTGCCCACATCGGCCTCCCAAAGTGCTGGGATTACTGGCATGAACCACCACACCTGGCCAGACTGCAGTTGTTATTGGAGGCTGTTGTGAGGTTTTGCTGAGGATGGGGATGCCAGGAAGTCTTGTCCTTCGGCATCATTGGTAGTGGTGGTGGACCAGGTGTGTCAATACTAGGGACCATGGGCAGTGTATGTGGGCACTGATGATAGCCTGTCTGCGTGGGCCAATCCCTGGGCCTCCAGGTGGCTTCTTTGGTTGCTGGCAGTGGCAGTACTGGGCCAGGTGGGCAGGTGCACCATTGGGCTCCTGGGTGGTGTGTGTGGCATTCTGATCTCTAGTTCTCCAGGTGATGTGTGCAGGTTCTCGTGGTGGGTAAGCTGGCGTTTCCTCAGGCCTCTCAGTAGTAAGTGTGAGCACTAGCTCTGGAGGCAGGGGAGTCAGTCTCCAGGCCCCCAGATGGTACATTCAGGCACCAGCATATTCCTATGCATTTCTAGATAAAAGTATTTTTCAGAAAACCTGAGCATATGTCCTATTAATACAACTTACCCTCACAGCTCTGCATGAGAAGAAGGGGGAATTCCCTCAGTAGAACAGTCAGAATGGAATCACAGACTTGTTTTGAGCCAGTCACTCGTAAGGGGGATTAGGCTAAAATGATAAGCTCAGAATCTAAACCTTAGACTAGGGAATGGCAAACTTTTTCCATAAAGAGGCAAACGGTAATATTTTAGGCTTTTGGTCTAGATAACCTCTGTTGCAGTGAAGCAGTGGTACCATCGTAGCCTAAAAGCATATGTAGACAAGGCATAAATGAATGGACCTGGTTTTATTCCAGTAAAATTTAATTTATACAAACAGTCAGAGGGCCAGATTTGGCCCTTGGTCTATAGTTTGCCAACCCTGTTCAGACCAGTCACAATTTATTCCCTGGGGCTGGGCCAACTTTTTCTAAAGAAAAAGAAAGCAACCCGCTGTCAGAATAAAATAGGGTTTCTATTTAAAAAGAAGAGGCTGGGTGTGGTGGCTCATGCCTGTAATCCTAGCACTTTGGGAGGATGAGGCAGGAGGACGGCTTGAGGCCAGGAGTTTGAAACTAACTTGGGCAATATAGTGAGACCCTGTCTCTGCAAAGAATAAAAAAATTAGCTAAGCATGGTGGCTCATGTCTGTAGTCCTAGCTATGTAGGAGGCTGAAGGGGAAGATCACTTGAGCCCAGGATTTTGCGGTTATAGTGAGCTCTGACTGTTCCACTTGTACTCTACCCTAGGCAAAGAGTGAGACCCCGTTTCAAAAAAAAAAAAGGTTGGTTGGGGCGGGTTGGAGAAGAAAGTATTTCTGAATTTCTGGGTAGGTAACTGGTAGTGTCAGGCCAAACTAGCTCTACAGTCTTATTCATTATAAATAAAGGCAAGTCAAAGATCTCCATCTAGCTATTAAAAATTGGTTAAAATCTACAGAGATAAAGGACGGTCGCCCTTGTATCCGTTAGTTGTTGTCAGAAAATGCTGCATAACAAGTCACTCCAAATCTCAGTGGCTTAATACAACAATCGTTTATTTTCATGGATCTATGGATCAGCTGAGGATTGGTTAATCTGGCATGAGCATGTCTGGGAAGCTCTACTTTGCTCTTGGTGTCTCTTATCTTCCGCTGGAAGCTGCAGGCTGGCCTGGGCTTGCTCTCATGGTGATAGCAGGAGTGAGCGAGCACAAATGAATGCACAGTTTCCAAGTTTTTGGTCATGCAGATTAATATTCCAGTGGCCAAAGCTAGACACAGGACTAAACCCAATATTAGGGGCTGGAGAAATATGCTCCGATTCTTCAGTGGGAGGAACTGCAGAGACAAATGGCAGAGTCTTGGATGCAGGGAGGACTTGGATCCATTAATGTACCTTAATCATCCGCAACCCTCTAACCATCAATGCAATTCAATAAGTATTTGTTGAATGCACTTTTGCCTGAATGCTTCTGGCTGCAGCCCAGGCAATGGGGGCCTGACTAGGGAGGTACCATAGCAGGGACTCGATGTCCTGCAGGTCTGCATGTAATTGTGTACGGCCGACTCCACATTGGTCATGGCTGACTTGCTTTGTCCTGCGTCCCCAAGGGACAATGATTGGCTGATTTTATTTCCGATCAATTTTGACAAAGTTGTTTTCAGGAGCCCAGGAAGCAAATCAGTTGTAGATTTGAATTTTACAAGGGGTCAGAATTGTTGAATATATATATAGTCTTTTACATGCTGATAATTATTTGCATACCACAAAGAAGGCCGGCTGTTAGGAGGCTGCTGTTCAATTCCTTTGCCCTGTGAGCTTATGAGCTGTGTCTATGTTGGGGGCACTCACTTGTTAGAGCTCTTTCCCTTCATAATAACATTAGCCAACATTCTAAATAAATGCAGGAAATTAAATAGTCTTCCCCAGACAGGTACTTTGCCCTTCTAAAGTGAATTACACATTGTAAAATAAAACACAGTCACATTAAAAAAACAAAAGGTCTTTGTGTCAGGTTGGTCTGGCTTCAACAAAGATAATATTTGCCTCCAGAGTAGAAGATCCTTGTAATCCCTGGTATTGGATATGGCAGCCCCACATCTTGTTTCCTTTCCTTTTCTTTTTTTTTTTAACTAAAAGAGTTGACAATTTTATTTTCACATTTCCCAATACAAATGAAAACTGCATGTTTTTTGGTCCCACTTCTCCCCTCCAAAATGATTCTCTTTGATAGGGCATGGGGGCAAGTCTTCCTTATGCTGTTAAGAAAACCCAGCATCACAGCGGCATGATCTCCTGGTGAAGGGAGCAGGTAACCATAAAACTCATATAGGCTGGGCGCAGTGGCTCACACCTGTAATCCCAGTACTTTGGGAGGCCAGGGCAAGTGGGTCATGAGGTCAGGAGATTGAGACCATTGCGGCCAACATGGTGAAACCCTGTCTATACTAAAATAAAAAAAATTAGCTGGGCATGGTGGCGCACGCCTGTAGTCCCACCTACTCGGGAGGCTGAGGCAGGGGAATCGCTTGAACCTGGGAGGCGGAGATTTCAGTGAGCTGAGATCGTGCCACTGCCCTCCAGCCTGGGTGACAGAGGAAGACTCTGTCTCAAAAAACAAAAAAAACACACAACAATAACATTAAAAAACCAACACTGATGTAATGAGGCCTCCCCTCTATCCTTATCTGTCTGGTCGAGTCATTCTGGGCTGACTGGGCACCATCATGAGACGGGCAGGAGGTTTCATCATTGGGCACCCAGGCATCATGGGCATGTGGCCTCCCATGGTCAGCCTCATTCCAGGAGCAGGTTCCACTGGCATCACCCCAGGAGGAGGAGGAGGGCCCATCATTGGCATCATGGGAGGGCCCCCATATGGGGTGCTGCCATCATACCGAGATGTGCGAGAAGTATCAAATACACATTAGATTGTGAAGCCTTAATATAAAAAGAAAGCAAAGTATTTTGTTAATGTTAAAATATTTTATACATGTAGACCTGGTATTTTGGATAGATTTGTCTAAATCTGTGGTATTATTCCAATTACCTTCACTTCTTTTGTTTTACTTTTTAAAACGTGGTTACTACAAAATGCAAAAGTAAATATGTGCCTTGCATCATATTTCATCACATTTAGTGTGGACCCTGAGGGTCTAGGGGAGTTATGAGCCTTAAGTTGAGGGTGACCCAGGTCAACGTGAATTGCTCTGAAAGAGAAGCAAAGGGCATAAAGAGAATGTATAAATGGAGAGAGGGAGCTCAGTCTCTCAGGGTGAGGAAAGGCTTTCTTTCTTACACAGTGTGGCACTTCTTCAAAAGCTTAAACACAGAGTTCTATGACCCAGCACTTCTACTCCAGTTTATGAAAGAAATGAAAATATATGTCCATGCAGAAAGCTGCACACAAATGCTCATAGCAGCGTTATTCATAATAGTGCCAAAGTGAAAACAACACAAATGCTTGTCTACTGATGAGTGGAGAGATGGAACATGGTTTGACCATGCAATGGAATATTATTCAGTCATCAAAAGGAATGAAGTACTAACACGTGCTACAACACGGATGAACCATGAGAATATTATGCTAAGTGGAAGAAACCAGTCACAAAAGGTCACATAAGATTTCATTTATATGAAATGTCCAGAACACGCAAATCTATGAAGACAGAAACCATTTCTCTACTAAAAATACAAAGATTAGCTTGGTGTGGTGGCAGACGCCTCTAATCCCAGCTACTTGGGAGGCTGAGGCAGGAGAATTGCTTGAACCCGGGAGGCAGAGGTTGCAGTGAGCCGAGGTTGTGCCACTGCACTCCAGCCTGTGACAGAGACTCTATCTCAAAAAAAGTAGATTGTCAGGGCTTAGTGGGAGGAGGAAATGGGAGGTACCTGCTAATGGATACAGGGTTTCTTTTTGGGGTGATGAAAATGTTTTAAAATTGATCCTGATGGTGGTTGCCGAGCTCTGTGAATGCACTGAAACCATTGATTTGTTCATTTTAAATGGGCAAATCATACGGTACCTGAATTATATTGTAATAGTTATATTAAACAAGTAAAATCTTCCTTGAAGAGATGACACTTAAGGAGAGGCCTAGGGGGTGGGATGAGTTCACTAGGTGGATAAATGAGGAACGGCATAGTGAAGTCCCTGAGGTTGATAGGCATAGAGCAGATTTAAGGGACTTTTTTTTTTTTTTGAGACGGAGTTTAGCTCTTGACGCCTAGGCTGGAGTAGAGTGGTGTGATCTTGGCTCACTGCAACCTCTGCCTCCCGAGTTCAAGTGATTTTCCTGCCTCAGTCTCCCGAGTAGCTGGGATTACAGGCACCCACCACCACACCTGGCTAATTTTTGGATATTTAGTAGAGATGGGGTTTCACCATGTTGACCAGGCTGGTCTCAAACTCCTGGATCTCAGGTGATGCACCCGCCTCAGCTTCGCAAAGTACTGGGATTACAGGCGTGAGCCACTGCGCTCAGCCAGATTTAAGGGACTTTCAAGAAGTTTGTGTGGCTGAAGCCTGCAGGGCAAGCGAGAGAATCAGGAAATGAGGCTGGAGAAAGAGAGGGGCTAGGTCATGTAGGGTCTCACATTAGGGTGTGGAAACTTCACACGAGTGGTCCCACCTTGGGCATCCCATGTAACTACTCTGTGTCCCAGCTTCCCCACTGGTGAAATAAAGGGCTGATGTAGGGATGGACTGAGATAGTGTGTGCTCAGTAAAGGTGACCTTTTATCATTGGTTTTTTTTTTTTTTTTTTTGAGACGGAGTCTCACTCTGTCACCCAGGCTGGAGTGCAGTGACGCGATCTCTGCTCACTGCAAGCTCCGCCTTCCGGGTTCACGCCATTCTCCTGCCTCAGCCTCCCGAGTAGCTGGGACTACAGGCACCCGCCACCACGCCCTGCTAATTTTTTTGTATTTTTAGTGGAGACGGGGTTTCACCCTGTTAGCGAGAATGGTCTGGATCTCCCTAATGTCATGATCCACCCGCCTCGGCCTCCCAAAGTGCTGGGATTACAGGCATGTGTCACGCGCCTGGCCGAGCTTTTATCATTGTTAACCCACAGAGCAGTGGGAGTCATTGAAAGTGAGTGATCTGTTTGGATGCACCTTCTGAAGTGATTGCTTTGGTCCCTGTGAGGAGTGCAGATTGTCACAGGGCCAGGGGAAAACACAGGCCAGTCAGGAGGCATTTGCAGTCAAACAGCTGGAGGTGATCGTGGCTTGGTTTATGGTGGTGTCAGGAGAGTGGCTGAGCAGTGAACGGATCTGAGAAGGATTTAGGAGGTAAAACCCACGTGACTTGGTCACTGAATGTGGGTTGGGTTGGCTGGAGGGAAGGTAAGAAAGAATGAGAAGAAAAGCATACTCAAGTGGGCCCTCCAGCCGAAGGTTACTTGGGGTCCCTTTGTGAAGAGGAATGTTTGTGTTGATGATGAAGATGTCTAGACTTTCAAAGGCCATTTGCAGTTACTTTTTTTTTTTTTCAACAGCCAACAACTCCTCCTTCCCTATGCCCTAAACATATGAATGTTTTTTGACCTAATTTATCACAGAGGGATGGACGTTCATTTGCTTTAATGAGAAATGCGGAATGCTATTAAGAAAGCATATTAAATTAATCTGCATTGCTGGGAGGGAGCTAAATCTGTTTAGATGTGCGCCAGTGTTACTATAATAGTTTGGTCTCAACCCATTTCTGGCCTGCGGCTGCAGGAGGTTGACTCCCAGCTTGCTTTCATTTGAAAGATCCCAGCAACAAGCACATTTGGCATTTCCAGCCAAACCCATTTTGTGCAGTGAAGGAAAAGTTGAGGAGTGCCTCTGTTGTTTTCCCCCAAATCAATTGGCAGAAATGTGGCTGGGAGCTTCATTGCTGATTTTTTTCAGTTTTAATGTTGCTGTGGAAAGCCTGTACCAACACTCAGCCATGTTGTTAATCCACAGCTCCAGTCTGGGCTGTGATTTGTTTTTCCTTTGAGTGACACAACCTTATTTTCCATTAAGACCCAATGCAAATAGGCACTCATGCACCGTCACCATCACTCCCCCTGATTGGTGGAGGGGAGTCAATGGAGTGATTCTAGTTTGGTGTTCATATCAGAGGGATTTATTTATTTATTTATTTAATCTCTCTCTGTCACCAGGCTGGAGTTCAGTGGCACGATCTCGGCTCACTGCAACCTCTGCCTCACTGGTTCAAGCGATTCTCCTGCCTCAGCCTCCTGAGTAGCTGGGCTTACAGGCATGTGTCACCACGCCCGGCTAATTTTTTGTATTTTTAGTAGAGATGGGGTTTCACCATGTTAGCCAGGATGGTCTTGATCTCCTGACCTCGTGGTCCATCCACCTCGGCCTCCCAAAGTGCTGGGATTACACGTGTGAGCCACTGTGCCCAGCCTGGAGTTTTTTTTAAAAGCACATTTCTCTCAAATTAACTCCGGGGTGTCCCACTGTGACTTGGGCAAAGGTTTGATTTTCTGGAGGTGGAAAGTCAAACTTCAAATAGAATTTGGAGGCTGGGCACTGTGGCTCATGCCTGTAATGCCAGTACTTTGGGAGGCTGAGGTGGGTGGATCATTTGAGGCCAGGAGTTCAAGACCAAACTGGGCAACATGACGAGACCCTATTTCTACTAAAAATACAAAAATTAGCCAGGTGTGGTGGTGCACGCCTGTAATCCCAGCTACTTGGGAGGCTGAGGCAGGAGTTATCGCTTGAACCTGGGAGGTGGAGGTGTCCTGTGTCCACACCCCATGAAGCATATTAGCTGGCTGAAGATAAAATCGGTCACGCTGTGTTGAGATTGGGGTTGCTGTTATCACACCTCATCCCCACCTCTGCTAGGCATCCACAAATAGTCATCTTCAATGAGATGTCCCTCCTGCCCTGGCTGTCTTATTTCATCTGCACCCAACCATATCCATTGCTTGTCAGTGGGTCTCAACCTTGGCTCCACCTTGGAATCTCCTGGGGAGATGAGACAATACCAAGGCTCTCTCTCACTTAGCATGATGTTTCCAAGGTCCATCCACATGTAGTAGGCACCAATACTTCCATTGTATGGATATAGCACATTTTGTTTATTCATTCATCAACCAAATGGCCATTTTGGTGATTGCTACCTTTTGGTTATTATGTATGTTACATGATTCCATTTATATGAAAGGTCCAGAATAGGCAAATCTATAGAGGCAGAAAGCAGGTGAATGGTTGCCAGGTGCTGGGGGAAAGGGGAGGGGATGGAGAGTGCTTGATGGATACAGGGTTATTTTTTGGGGGGGCGGGGGGTGTTAATGAAAATGTTTTGCAACTAGACAGGGATGATGATTGCTTAACATTGTGAATGTATTTAATGATACTGAAGTGTATGCTTTCACACAGGGACTTGTATGTTGTGTGAATTTTGCCTCAGTAAAAAGTACTGCCAGGAGCAATGGCTCATGCCTGTAATCCCAGCACTTTGGGAGGCCAAGGCGGGTAGAACACCTGAGGCCAGGAGTTCGAGACCTGCTTGGCCAACGTGGTGAAACCCTATCTCTATCAAAAATACAAAAATTAGCTAGGCGTGGTGGTGCATGCCTGTAATCCCAGCTACTCGGGAGGCTGAGGTAGGAAAATGGGTTGAACCTGGGAGGCAGAGGTTGCAGTGAGCTGAGATCACACCACTGCACTCCAGCCTGGGTGACAGAACAAGATTCTGTCTCAAAAACAAAAAACAAGAAACACACACACAAAGTCAAAAAATACTGATGCCCATGTTTCATCCCCAAGAGATTCTGTAGTAATTGATCTGGGTTGCAGAGCCTGGGCACTGCGGTTTTAAAATCTCCCCAGCTGATTGTGGTGTGCAGCTGTGGTTGAGAATCTCCTTCTGGAATGAACTTGTTCATGTTTTACTTGTGTCCTTTTCTAGCCTGCCTATGCCTTTCTGCTTACCTTCACATCTTTGAGGGGTAATTTTTACAATGCAGTCTAACAACCGGCTGCCTCAAAATGCACTGGGATCCCTCGTAACCAGGTAGCTCCCCATCTCCAACTCTGACCTGCCAAGTCAGAATCTTGTGGGTGGGGCCGAGGACTGTACATATTGAAACAGGCAGTGACCTAGGAACTATTTCTGAACACCCCTATGTTTCCCCTGTATTTGCCCTTTCCTTTCACATTTGGACCCCTTTGTGTGCTGACCACTGGGGTGTTGCACTTGGACATGGCATAAAAAAGACAGGCCAGGTGCAGTGGCTCACGCCTGTAATCCCAGCACTTTGGGAGGCCGAGGTAGGCAGATCACTTGAGGCCAGGATTTCAAGATCTGCCTGGCCAACATGAGAAAACCCCATCTCTACCAAAAATACGAAATTAGCTGGGTGTGGTGGTGCACGCCTTTGATCCCAGCTACTCAGGAGGCTGAGGCTGGAGAATCCCTTGAGCCCAGGAGGCAGAGACTGCAGTGAGCCGAGATCGCACCATTGCACTCCAGCCTGGGTGACAGAGTGAGACTCTTAAAAAAAAAAAAAAAAAAAGACAGAGTTGGTCCTTCCTTTATGGAGCTCTCAGTAAAACAAGAAAGCTCACGATGTCCTGGCATTTGTCAGAAATACATTTGGTATATGTAGCTGGGGTCACATGCTTGACATGCCTGTGGAAAGCTTCTGGGTAGGAAGAGAACAAACATCACAGCATCACAGCCTGGCATAACTGTCTCCCAGGACAGGTCTCCCTGGGGAGACTGAGACCAGAACTCTGAAATCAGAGCTCAAATCCAGGTTCTGCATTTCCCTCAGTAATGTACATGATGTAAGACAGTTTTTATATTAGTTATCTATTGCTGGGCAACAATATTACTGCAAACTTTGTGGCTTGAGACAGCACACAGTTATCACTGCACGGTTTCTGTGGGTCAGGAATCTAGGCGTGACTCAGCTGGGTTCAGTGCAAGGCTGCAGCCGTAGTGTCAGCCAGGGCTCGGTTCTCATCTGGAGGCTTGACGGGTGATTGATCTGCTTCCAGGCTCATCTGGTTGTTGGCAGCATTCAGTTCCTTGCAGGCTGCTGGACTCAGGGCCCCGGTTTCTTGCTGCCCTCAGCTTCTTGCCACGTGGGCCTCTCCATCTGGCCGCTCATGACATGGCAGCTCACATCTTCAAAGCCAGCAAGACAGACAGTCTCCTAGCAAGACAACTTAACATCCTATCTAACGTAATCACTACATCCCATCACCTCTGCCATATGCCATATTCTCTTGGTTATAAGAAAGTCATAGGCCCCACCCACATTAACAGGGAAGAGGTTGTACAAGGGTGTCAGTACCAGGATGGGAGGCATCTGGTTGCCATAGTTTTCTCTACATAGAATGGGGATAATTATGCTTCTTACCTCTAGGACTGTAGTGCATATTAAATGAGAGTATGCATGAATGCCCCTTATCAGAGAGTAAGGACTTCATAAATATTAACTTCACTGTTATTTATTATTACTACCATTGTTAATATCATCAGGTTGATACTGGTCATCGGTCTCCTGCCTGTGAAAGGCATCTCCCTCCATTGCGCCCGGGTTCCCCCTGAGCTTCTCCTGTGTTGTTCTCACAGACGCCTTCTTCATTCAGCCTTGGAGATCTAATCTTGAGCCCTGAATCTTTTTTCCAATCTGACTTGTCTGAAGCATGCACTAAGCTAGCTGGGCATTCAGACTCGGTGTAGCATTTTATGAAAAGCAGCATCTGCATCTGTGTAGATGCATCTTTGAGGGACTATGTTTCGGGTGGCCTCTCATGACTTGGTCTCTTCCTCATTTAGGATTCTTTGCTAGAACAGCAGGAGACAGCTTCCCACACTGTCATGTAAGTCTGCATCCTCACTGCATTCAAATTTCCCACTTGGGAGATGTTTACATCCCCAGAACCCATTGAGTCTATTTAATTGAAAAGTATGTGGATGTTCTGGGCCAGATACTGTGCTTTGTTCCAGGGATCTGAAAAAGTCAACGAGACAAATCCTTGGTTCTCAGCAGTTCAATAGAGGAATTTATTTTTTAATTAAAAAAAAAAAAATTTTTTTTTAACAATAGAGCTCTTGAACATTTTCCTCCTTTCTGACATTTTGTATTCTTTTCCCCTCCTGCTGCTCCTGCCAACCACCATTTTTTTTTCTCTGAGCTAAACTTTTTTTTTTTTTGAGATGGAGTGTCGCTCCGTCATCCAGGCTGGAGTGCAGTGGCGCGATCCTGCCTCACTGTAACCTCTGCCTCCTGGGTTCAAGCAATTCTCCTGTCTCAGCCTCCTTAGTAGCTGGGATTACAGGCACGCACCACCACGCCCAGCTAATTTTTGTATTTTTAGTAGAGATAGGGTTTCATCATGTTGGTCAGGCTGGTCTCGAACTCCTACCTCATGATCCTCCTGCCTCGACCTCCCAAAGTGCTGGGATTACAGGCATGAGCTACCATGCCTGGCCAACTTTTTTAGATTCCACATGTATTTGAGATCTTGTGGTTATTTGTCTTTCTGAGCTTGGCTTAGTTTGCTTTTCATGATGTTCTCCAGGTTCATCCATGTTGTTGCAAATGACAGGATTTTCTTCTTTTTAAAGGCTGAGTGGTATTCCATTGTGTATATATTCCTTATCCATTTATCTTTTGATGGATACTTAGGTTGATGCCATGTATTGGCTATTGTGAATAGTGCTGCAGTGAACATGGGAGTGCAAATATCTCTTCAACAGACTGACTTCAGCTTCTTCACCCAGATGTGTGACTGCTGGATCATATGGTAGTTCTACTCTTAATTTTTTGAGGAATCTCTGTACTATTTTCCATAATGGCTGTACTAATTTACATTCCCAAGACAGTATGCAAGCATTCTCTTGCATCCTCACCAACACTTGTTATCTTTCATCTTTTTTATCATAGTCGTTCTAATAGGTGTCAGGTAATATATCATTGTGGCTTTAACTTACATTTCCTTTATAATTAGTGATTTTAAGAATTTTTTATATACCGGTGGGTCATTTGTATGTCTTCTTTTGAGAAATGTCTACTTAGATCTTTTGCTCATTTTTTGAGTTGTTTTCTTACTATTGAGTTGAGTTCTTTATATGTTTTGGAGTTCCTTATATATATTCTAGCCTTATCAGATGTATGGTTTGCAAATATTTTCTCCCATCCCATAGGCTGTTTCTTCATTGAAGGAGTTTAGACTTGAGGCCAGTGTTTCTCAATTTAGGACAAATGTTACTGGTTGCATGTAAGATTTTAGGTAGACCAATAGCTGATTTTGGGCGCTACACCGACTTGGTATTAAATATTTCAGTCACATTATGAAACACTTATTCCCTTTTAAATTCTCTCTGATTTGTATGAGTAGGTCAGGAACAAAGTCTGTTAGGTATTAATGTCTTTAACATTTTGTATTCTCCCTTTTAAACATAGAAAGCAAGGTGTAGCCCAGACACTTTTGTAGGCAACAGTGTCCAGCTAGAATTGAACACAATGTTATTTTCCCATTGAATTAACTTTTTGCAGTCATAGTAGTAAACAGTGAGTCCTTTGGGAAGAAACGTATTTAAGTAAAAGATGTGATAACCTGCTCTTTGAACAAAAGGCAGCCACACCTAAGTGCCCATTGATGGTTGCTAGATATTCTGATGGTTTAAGAAAATTTGGAAGTTTGGATTTTTATGTGAAATTTTCTAATTATTACATGTTAGATCAAGTAAAAAATACCTTGTGGTTCAAATAAAATACATTGTAGGCAGTTGGTTTGTAAATTCTATAGTGAGAGGTGTAACAAGAGACTGTATTTAATTTTGAAGTAATAGTAAGATTAAATCTTGGGAGAGTGTTGGGGTAAATAAGTCTAAGAATGATGGCGTTTTGATTTCTAGAGCGCTCCAAAATAAACATCTCTCTCCCCTTCCCTCCCCTCCCCTCCCCTCCTTTCCCCTCCCTTCCCCTTCCCCTCCCCTCCCCTCGCCTCCCCTAACCTCCCTTCCCCTCCCCTCCCCTCCCTTCCTCTCCCCTCCCTTCCCCTCCCCTCCCCTCCCCTCCCCTCCTTTCCCCTCCCTTCCCCTCCCCTCCCCTCCTCTCCCCTCCCCTCCCCTCCTTTCCCCTCCTTTCCCCTCCCTCCCACTGCCCCTCCCTCCCCCCTCCCCCATCCCTCCCTCCTTTCTTCCCTTCCTTTCTTTCATTTCTTTCATTTCACTTCTCTTCTATGTAGAGTTTGATTCTTCACAACTTGGCTGAAAACATTCATGAAGACTGCCTGGTATGTTAGAGGTTGGCTTGTTGGGAGAAACAAAGGAAAAGAGGCAGAAAAAAAGCAATAAAAATGGTAATGAGAATGTTGACAAATTGAATATTTTGCATAGGGCAGACGGGACTGAGTTTGAGATAGGTGGACTTGTGTGTTCTATGTGATTTAAAGAATATATACATTAAAATGCACAGATCTTAAGCATTCAATTTAATGGGTTTTGACTTGCATACACCCACACAACCATCATGCCAAACAAAATTTAGAATGTTTCTATGGCCCTGGAAAATTCTTTCATAGCCCTTTCACACAACCCTGTCGCCTTCCAGGGGCAACCACTGTTCTAACAATTTCCATCACAATAAATTAAATTTGCCACTTCTTGGGCTTTATTTAAATGGAATCATATGCTATGCACTCCTTTATGCCTGGCTTTTTTTTTTGCTCAAAAAAAGTTTTAAAAATCAATCCATACTGTGTATATCAGTGGTTCGTTCTTTTTTTTGTCACATCTAGTTGATAAGTAGCAGTCCATTGAATGCATACTTTATAATTTGTTATTTATCTACCAGTGGATAGACATTTGTTTCCAGTTTTGCTTATTATGAATAAAACTTCTATGAATAAATATTTACCAAACTTTGTGTGAACATATTCTCATTCTTTTAGGTAAATGCTCAGGAGTAGAATTGCTGAGACATAGGGTAGATGTGTGTTTAACTTCATGAGAAACTGTTAAACAGTTTTCCAAAGTGGTTTCACCATTCTGACAAGCCACGTATGAAAGTTCCAATTGTTTCATGTTCTCACCAACATCTGCCCTTGCCATTATTTTTGATTACAGCCATTTCAGTCATTGATTTTTATATGTTGACTTCATATCTAGAAATATTTGTAACTCAATTTGGTGAGCTTTTTGTGGATTTCATGGGGTTTTTTGATGTATACAATCATGCCATTTGCAAATATTGATAGTTTTTCTTCTTTTCCTTGTAATTTTTATGCATGTTTCAATTTTTTTCCCTATTGAACTAACTAGGAATTCTAGTAAAATTGTGGATACAAGTGGGGATAATGGGTATCCTTGTCTTATTCCTGATCTTAAGGGAAAAACATTGTTTTACTGCTAAATATGATGTTAGCTGTAGTTTTTTTTAATAGATGCACTTTATCACATTGAGGATGTTTCCTTTTATTCCTAGTTTCCTGAGGGTTTTTTATAAAAATCATGAATGGGTGTTAAATTTTGTCAAATGCTTTTTTTTTTGGGCATATATTGAGAAAATTGTAAGTTTTTTTTTCCCTTTTTTCTCTTAGTGTGTTGAATTACTCTAACCACTTTTTGAGTCATGAACCAATCTTACATTCCTGAGATAAATCTCATTTGGTCATATTGTATTATCCTTTTAATAGATTGCTAGATTTGATTTGCAAATATTTTATTAAAGATTTTTGCATTAACTTTCATGAAGGGTATTGATGTATTTTTTCTTGTATGCACATATGCTGGCCTTAAAAATGGGTTGAAAATATCCTCATCTCAGGACACAAGGGCATAAGAATGATACGAGGGATCTTGGGGACTCGGGAGAAAGGGTGGGAGCGGGTGAGGGATAAAGACTACACATGGGTACAGTGTACACTGCTTGGGTGATGAGTGCATCAAAATCTCAGAAACCACCACTAATGAATTTATTCTTCTAACGCACCACCACCCATTCCCCAAAAACCAGCTGAGATAATAATAATGATAAAAAGAAAGTGTCCTCATCTCTATTATTTTCTGAAAGAATTTAAGTAATAATTATATTATTTATTTTTTAAAGATTTGATGAAATTTGCCAGTGAAGACATCTGGGACTCGGCTTTTGTTTGTGGTAAAATGTCAACTTATGAATTCAATTCATATGATAACTGTAAAACTTTTCATATTTTCTAGTTGCTTTTTTTGGTTTTGGTACTTTGTGGTACTTTGTTCCTTTCATCTAGGTTGTTGAATTTATTCACAAAATCAATGACAGTTTTGAAAAACAAAATTTTTGAAAAGTAAAATGTCGTTCATTTTGTCTGTTTTATTATTCTTTTAGTATCTGTAGTGATGTCCTCTCTTTAATTGCTGGAATTAGTAATTTGTGTGTTTCTTTCTGTCTGCCTGTCTGTCTGTCTCTCTCTCGCTCTTGTCCTGATCATTCTTTCTAGGTTTATTTTTGGTAGGTAGCGCTCAAAGTGGCTTCCAGTAGCCTCTGCCTCTTGATATCCACATCCTTGTGTAATCTCCTCCCTTCATGTGTGAACTAAATCTAGTGACTCACTTGTAATGAATAGAACATGGAGAAAATGATGGGATGTTACCTTCGAGACCAGTTTACAGAAAGACCGTTGCTTCCATCTTGTTTGTTCTTTCTTGCTCTCCTATTTGCTTGTTCTAATGGAAGCCAGCTACCACCATGGAGAGGTTCACATGGCAGGGAATTGAGGGAAGCCTGCAGCCAGCAGCCACTGAGGCCCTCAGTCCAATAGCCTGCACGTGTTTACAGACTTCCAACAGCTATATAAGTGAGCTTAGGGCTAGGTGCGGTGGCTCATGCCTGTAATACCAGCCCTTTGGGAGGCCAAGACGGGAGATTCATGAGGTCAGGAGATTGAGACCATCCTGGCTAACACGGTGAAACCCCATCTCTACTAAAAACACAAAAAATTAGCCAAGTGTGGTGGCAGGCGCCTGTAGTCCCAGCTACTCGGGAAGCTGAGGCAGGAGAATGGCGTGAACCCAGGAGGCAGAGCTTGCAGTGAGCCAAGATTGCGCCACTGCACTCCAGCCTGGGTGACACAGCAAGTCTCCATCTCAAAAAAAAAAAAAAAAAAAACACACAAAAACAAAAAACTGAGCTTGGATACACAGAGCTCCATCTCCTTAGCAAATCCTTGAGATAACTGCCACCCTGGCTGACAGCTTGATTGCAGTCTTATAAAAGAACCACGTATTACAGCCACCCAGATGAA
The DNA here is from genome assembly GCF_000001405.40 of Homo sapiens. Taxonomy (NCBI): domain Eukaryota; kingdom Metazoa; phylum Chordata; class Mammalia; order Primates; family Hominidae; genus Homo; species Homo sapiens. Next base: position 5,301,775 of record NC_000016.10, read on the forward strand.
ACCCTGTAGAAACTATGAGATAACAAATGTTTGCTGTTTTAAGTCACTAAGTTTTAGGGTAATTTGTTGTACAGGTATAGATAGCTAATATAGTGTTTATTGATTTTATTCATTATTTTAAGAAACCAGCTTTTGTTGATTTTCCCTATTGTTCATATGTTTTTTATTTCACTGATTTCTCTCTCATTTTTATTTTCTTTCTTATAATTACTTTAAGCTTCATTTGCTCCTCTTTAGCTTCTTTAGGTTCCAGTTTAGATCATTCATTTTACAGCTTTCTTATTTTTTAATATAGGCATTTAATGTAGTAAACATCTAGGCTAGTGCTGGTTTATCTGCATATCACAAATTTCAATATATTGTCTTTTGGTTATCATACAGTTCAAAGTATTTTCTAATTTCCCTCATATTTTAGTCTTTGGGCATTTAGAAGTGAGTTATTTAATTTCTAAATATTTGGTAATTTTCTAGATAACTTATTTTTAGTGACTTTTAATTAAATACTGTTGTCAGAGAAATCATTTTTTTGATTTCAGTATTTTCTAAGTTTAATGAGACTAGCTTTATGGAGCAGCAGCAGCATATGGTCTCTCTTAATGAATGGTCCACAGGCACTTGAAAAGAATGTGTATTCTGTAGTTTTTGGGTCTGTCATACTATAAATATCAAGTAGGTCAAGCTGGTTGATTGTGTCATTCAAATTTAATATATGCCTACTAATTTTTTCTGGTTGCTTTATCAGTTACTCAGAATGGAGTGTTAAAAATCTTAAAGTACGGTCAATGAATTTGTCTTTCAATTATTGCATCATCTATTTTGAAGCTCTGTTAATAGGTACAGCATACATTTTTAGGGTCATTTTGTGTTGTTTATAAATTGACACCTTAATTGTTATTAAATGATCATTTTTACCCCTAGTAATGCTCTTTGTCTTGAGGTTTATTTTGTCTGATATTATTCATGCCAAACCAGCTCTCTAACACTTAGTGTTTGCATGGTATCTAAAAAGTGTTTCCCGCCTTTTTTAGTTTAATCTTTATGTGTTGTGTATTTAAACTGTGTTTCTTATAAACAGCATATAGTTAATCTTGCTTTTTTTGGTTTAATTTGTCAATCTGTGCTTTGCACATGGAGAGTTTAGGCCATTTATATTTAATGTAATTATGGATATGGTCAGGTTTAAGTCTATCTTGGCTTTTATTTTCTATTTGTATCCTCCATTCTTTGTTCTTCCGTTTCTCTTTTACCACCTTCTTTTGGGTTAATACTTTTTTCCTAGTATTTTGTGTGTGCTTTTTTGGGGTGTTGCTTTGGTTGATAAAGAAAACTTCAAGCTAGAAAATGACCAGTATTATTTATGATTCAGGAATACAGCTGCCTTAAGCTTAGACTCACAGAGGCTGCTGGTCTTTACTGCAGTGGATGCCTCACTGGTTTTATTAATATTATCATCATAGTGTTGATGGGTCCCTATAGCACAGGGCACATTGGATATTATCCCTATTCTCCCTGGGATTTTCTGTCAGGCTGTGGCACATGAGCTGCACAGGCAGAGGATTATTTGCAGATAAGCCATACAAGCCTCCATCTGCAGTAAATGCTAGTCTTTTGGAGTCTGTATTTCAGTTCCACGGTCAAGCTGTGTCTCTCTCTAGGGGCTACCAGACTTCTGTTTGCTGTCACCTCTCTTTCCATCACAGCTGCTTCCCTCAGTTTGTTAGGAGGCAGGGAACATTCTGAAACCCTGGAGAAAAGCTGGCTGTGGGAGTCACAGATGCCAGTGTTTTAGATAAACTTCAGACATGCTTCTGATGTTGAGGGGCTTGATTCCAAACAGCGCTTGGGTCCCTTCCTCTCTCCCCCACCACAGTGCATGTTATAGGAAAAAGGAACCAGGCCTTATAGGTGTTGAATTATTGTTCACTCCATTCCTCTTCATTTTTTTTTTTTTGCTTTGTTTATGACTTAGATTAATTCTGAATCTCTTGTACCTGGACTCCTTTGAAAATTCCAATAAAGCAAAAATGATTAAAATTGAATTGCCCATAGAAGCTGAGATGCCTTTTTTCCCCTGGAGCTAGGCTCAGCATCTAAATAAGGGAGGAGGCCCACACCCTGCATATCAGCCTTTCAAACAAGGCACCGTGGGAGTACCTGAGTTTGGATCCATAAATACAAAACAGGAAATCTTAAATGGAACTTTTCTCTATGTTTTTTTAAAGATCTAATATGAGATTATAGCTTTGATCATAACTTAATTTTTCATTTCCATTTGAACTCTAATTTTACTTAAATTTCCTTCTGACAAATCTCCAAAGGAATATTTAAGTGACACAGCATAATGCTGGCAGATTATTCATATATCAGCCCTTAGGCTACCAAGGAAGGCTTCATCATCTCAGAGTGAGTTTTATTGGAATCTGTAGCTCACAAAACATTGCTTTCTGACAGCTCCTGTGCAGTAGAATTTAAAGGCTTAAGTTTTGGGAGGATTTACACATTGGTAGCATCCTCTGCTATGCCTTTTAGGGACATTAAATCAGGAGGCTCCTAAGTGGTAGTCCTGTAGAAGGGTGTTCTATAATCCTCCCATATTTATATCACAGGTATATGGGCCTTGGAAGAGCTCTTTTTCCTCCTACTTTTTGAACCTGATTGGGGCAACTGCGTTCTTCTGACCTGTGCACTTTAGGGGAGTTGAGTCTGTCATGGTGACCTGAACATGGACACAAAATCCTATCTCAGTGCGGCAGAAAGCCAACTTTGCTTCATTCATGTGTTCACCCATTCATTCATTCATTGAATAAATATCTATTAAGCTCCTTTTATTGCCAGATACTCTTCTATCCTGGGGACATTAGTAGTGAATAAATCAGATATTGTGGCTCTGTTCATAGAGCTCATGGGCTAGCAGGGAAGACAGAAGAAATAAGACTCATAAACATACAACTCCATCTATCATAACTGGTCATGAGAGCGATGAAGGAAATAATTTCTCTGTGGAAGAGGAATTTGAGCTGAGACCTCGAGGACTGGTAGAAGTTAGCCATATAAAGTGATTTTTTTCCCCCAAAACAATATAGAGAAATGTTTTCATTTGCATTTCTCCTATTCCCTGCGAATTTGAACCTCTTCATGACATTACTGGCAATTTGAATCTTGTTTCATGAAATTTGCCTCTTCGTGTCCTTTACCTGTTTTTCAGTTCCTTGTCTTTTGCTTATTGCCTTGGGGGAGTCTTGCCTTTCACAGGTAGGTTTTCATCCACCTGCAGCTTGTGTGATGTAGTGACTCAGGTGGGCTTTGCAAGGGGGTAGATACTGAACGAAGGTGGTGCGTGTTGAGAAGTCTGAACGGGTAGCCTTACAGAATGCTGGTTTGGTCAGATCAGCCTGGGACCAAGCTGAGTACCACATGTTTCAGAATCAGTGAGGGACCGGTTTCACCTGCTACACTTCATTACATAAGCTGGGGCTCATGTTAAAGAGAGGTCAAGTGTTCCTATTCTGAGCCTGGCACCACACAGGCTTTTATTGTGATCAGCAACATTTTGGTAGAGATTCTTCCCATGGAGTTTCTGAAATACCTGCTTTCTGTCTTCTGCTGGGGGTCACTTACATCTACAGAGGATGACTGAGGAGGAGGTCTGGCAGGAAATGATGGGGGGCTGTTTTCATCTCATCTCTATAATTCCAGATGTTTCCCTTGACTTCTTTAAAGACCATGTTTTACCCTATTGATTAGAAAAACAAAGTGGCTTTCAGAAACCTGCTGTTAGGATCTGTGAGATTTTATCTAATCTTCTCCATATTTCTTGCCCTTGCAAGAGATGTCTTGTGAAATTCTTTTCTTGTGAAAAATAAAGTCTGCTGAAGAAGAAATGGGAAATCCTACACATGCAGAAGCAAGGTGGCACACATGCAGATGGACACTTCTGGGTGGTGGGCAGCCATTTAAGGTTTTAAACAGCGAATTATACTTCAGTTTTAGAATGGTGAGTAAGCCAGATGCGGTGGCTTATCCCTATCATCCCAGCAAGTCGGGAGGCCTAGGTGGGGGGATTGCTTGAGCCTAGGAGTTTGGGACCAGTCTGGGAACATAGTGAGACCCCATCTGTACAAAAAATTAAAAAATTAGCTTGATGTGTGGCACACGTCTGTAGTCCCAATTACTCAGGAGGCCGGAGGCAGCAGGATTGCTTGAGTCCAGTAGTTTGAGACCAACATGGGCAATGTAGCAAGACTCCCACCTCTACAAAATTAGACACATACACAAAAGCAACTAGGCATGGTGGAGTGCACTGGGAGTCCCAGCTACTTGGGAGGCTGTGATGGGAGGATTGCTTGAGCCCAGGAGGTTGAGGCTGCGATGAGCCAAGGTCATGCCATTGCACTCCAGCCTGGGCGCATAGCAAGACCCTGTCTCCAAAAAACTAAATAAATAAAGATAATGGTGAGTAAAGAAGACTTAGAACCTTCAGTGATTTGGATAACAGTCCCTACTAATATTCCAGATACTCCCTTTCCAAGGAAGAGGTCTTCTAGAATTCTTTTTTTTTTTTTGAGACGGAGTTTCACCCTTGTCACCCAGGCTGTAGTGTAGTGGCATGATCTTGACCCACTGCAACCTCCTCCTCCTGGGTTCTAGTGATTCTCCTGCCTCAGCCTTCTAAATAGCTGGGATTATAGGTGCATGCCAACATGCCTGGCTAATTTTTGTATTTTTAGTAGAGACGGGGTTTTACCATGACCTTGAGCTCATGACCTCAAGTGACCCACCTGCCTTGGCCTCCCAGATTGCTGGGATTACGGTGTGAGTCACCATGCCTGGCCGGGGTCTTGTAGAATTCTGATGATTAGAGCTTTATCATGAAAGATCGAGTTAAATGCACAGCAATGCTCTGCGGAGCAAGGTAAGGTTGCTTCCGAGAGAGCACGCCCATGCTGCCCTGCCCTCCATCACCCGGATCACTTTATGCCTTTTATCTGTTAGAGTCCCAGTCTGCTCTGTTCTGCGTCTTGCAGGACCGTAAGACAAAGCATCACATCACAGCTGGATCAGAACAAGTTTCAGCCTCCTCCATGTTCTCTGCTATCATCAGGATTTTCAAGGATAATTTGGTCTAAGTCAAGGAGAATCATGTCTAGAAGCAGCAGCCAGTGGGGGTGAGGCTTATTTCACCTTCCCCATGGCAGGCATCTCAGCAAAACTTTGGCAATCTTTGCTGGCTGGTTAGTGCAGAAATATGAAATTACTATTTTCACTTCAACTTAAGCTTCTCCGTGGTGGGGGGTGGAGTGGGGGAGCAGGAAAACCAAGTAAACCACCACCAACCTGGCTGTTCCTGGGGCTTAGCAATGGAGTTGGCTACTCGCTTATTACATTTCAGTTGGTGGGTCCCCAGGCTAGCCACTGTCATTGCTTTGCTTGCATTTCATGTTTGCATGCTTTAGGGAGGCATCTGACAAGTCCTATTTCTGTGCTCACACCAGGAGACTTTTCTGGCACTCAGGTGTGCAAACCTGGTTTTACTTCTCTTGAATCTGCTTCACACCCACCTGCCCAGTATTTTCTGGACTACTGATTCTCTCCCTGCCATCTTCCCCTCCCTCCCTCCATTTAAAAATAATCACAAAGGAAACACATGCTCGTGGTGAAGTTAAAATAAAACAGCAGAGAAGGATGTAGAAGAAAAATGGATTCTCTCTTACCACTTCCCCTCCTTATGCCACTATTTTCTGAGGGTGCCACCCTCACCCCTGTTCATAGTGTGAGGTGCTTTATTCCAGACATTTTGATGCAGTCACCAACACATACCTGATCTCACACACACCGGGAATTGTGCACACATGTGCACATACACACATGTCTGAGGGTCTTAGATTTTATTTATTTATGATGAATTATTACTACTTTTTAGAGACACGGTCTCACTCTGTCCCCCAGGCTGGAGTGCAGGCACCATCATATCTTACGGCAACCTCAAAATCCAGGGCTTAAGCAATCCTCCCACCTCAGCCCCCTGAGTAGCTATGACTACAGGCATGCACCACCATGCCCAGGTAATTTTGTAATTTTTTATTTGTAAACATGAGATCTCACCATGTGGCCCTGGCTGGTCTTGAGATCCAGGCCTCAGGCAATCCTCCTGTCTTGGCCTCCCAGAGTGCTGAAATTACAAGCTTGAACCACCGTGCCTGACTATAATAGCTGTAATTTAAAATAGTCATGCTTGTGGTTAAAAAATAAAGCAGTACTGAGAGGCTTACAATGAAAAATAACTGGCCAGGTGTAGTGGCTCACGCTTGTAATCCCAGCATTTTGGGAGGCTGAGGTGGGCGGATTACTTGAAGTCAGGAGTTCGAGACCAGCCTAGCCAGCATAGTGAAGCCCCATCTTTACTAAAAATACAAAAAATTAGCCAGGCATGGTGGCAGGCGCCTGTAATCCCAGCTACTCAGGAGATCGCTTGAACCTGGGAGGCAGAGGTTGCAGTGAACTGAGATTGCGCCACTACACTCTAGCCTGGGTGACAGAGTGAGGCTCTGTCTAAAAAAAAAAAAAGAACAAAGAAAAAAAATCACTTTCTGCCTTTGTCCGCTCCCAAGAGGCAACAACTTTGAATTCTCTTAGCTTCAACACCCCAGTGGTGGTGATCACCAAGGCTCAGATAATATTTATATATTGCCAGTTCTTGACTGATCTGACTGATCAATTTCAGTCATTATTAATTCAGATTTCTGGCTGTGATAGATGAGATTTAGCCTCATCTCAAACCCATGTCTCCCCTTCCTTTAACCTCAACAAATTGTTATTTTGACTATATTTAGTAAAATAATAAATAGAGTTATATTATTTTGGCTATGTAAATATTATTCTTTTCAGGGCCGATAGTAGTAAGATGACCTTTTTTTTTCTTCTGGAGTTTATAGTTGCCTTTATTTTTACTTTCAACTATTTGCCTTTGCTATGTGTTACATTTTTTTTCAATATTTGTCTTATATTAAGTATACAGTCAAGTTTTCCTCTCTTGTGTCTTTTTCTGGAGATCTCTCTCGCAGATTCCCAGTGCTCCAATTTGCACGGCACCGCTGTTGTCCTGAGACCTCCCTGCTAAATGCATTGTGTTTTCAGCTCTGTGTTTCTCTCCCACCTCCCCTGGGCTTGGGAGTTCTAGGTCTTAAGACCTTGTGGGGTTCTTGAAGGGGATCAGCTTTCTCCTTGGCTGATCCCTTTCCTTTCTCATGTTGTCTTGGCTAGAGCTTCCTCTACTCCACTTCCTGTCAACTTCTTTAAACACACTCCACGAATTTGTTAAAATCTGTCTTTAATAAGACAGCTCCCTCTCTTTCTAATAATTCTTGCAGATCCCTGACTTAAAATTCCTTTACTGTCATTTTATTGGGTTTTAGGAGGAGATAAATGGTTTTGCTTTTGGAACGTCTTCTCCTTTAAACCAGAAGTCTTAGTGTTTAAAAGGTTTTTCTCAGTCTCTTTTTATTTCTTGTTGCTATCTCTCTTTCTCTCTGTATTATTTTTCACTTAGAGATATCTAGTCATTGATAACAGTTCTCATAGATGAAGTAGCTCTCCTCTCAGACAAAACTAGGTAGAACTTAGTGGTTATATGCCACAGTAAGTAACACCAAAGTTGATTGATCCTGAAGTTTACCTAGAGGTTCATAATGCCATGCCATGCTTTTTAAGTGTCTAAACCTCCTAATTTTTTTAAAATTGTTTTTTAATTTTTATAAACTTAGGGGGTACAAGTGCCATTTTGTTACATAGATATATTGCATAGCGGTGAAGTGTGGGCTTTAAGTGTAACCATCACGTGAATAGTGTACATTGTACCTGTGGAGTCATTTCTCATTCCTCACTCCCCTCCCACTCTCTCACCCTTCTGAGTCTCTGGTTTGGTAATGTCATTTAGTGCTTTTCAATTATGATTATAGAGAGTATAATTTTATAAGGAATGAAATCCAAGGGAAGCAATTTTATTAAACTATACCGTAAGTGTATAGAGATTCACAGACACAGAAAACCACAGTTCATCTGACCCTCAAAGACTTTGTTTCCCTGCCTGGCATTTTTAGATGTATCACAGGCATTGTTCCTTGGGTCATTTTCAAATTTAAACTGGAGCCAAAGCTTCTTTTTCTGGTCCTTTGATTTAGAGAGAGCTGCTTGTTCCTCTCTGTACACTGTGAACTGACAGGGAGCCTGAAAACCTTTTTTGGCTTAGCCATGGATGCACTTTTCCTATTTTTCTCTTAGGATTCAGCTCTAATGTTACCTCCTTCCCAGAATCTTTCCTGATCTGCCCTGGCTTGGGCGGCTGAGTGTAGAGGTAAAAAGTGTGGACTTTGATCCCAGCACTTTGGGAGGCTGAGGTGGGCGGATCACTCGAGGGCAGGAGTTTGAGACCAGCTGCCTGGCCAACATGGGGAAACCCTGTCTCTACAAAAAATACAAAAATTAGCTGGGCATAGTAGTGCACACCTGTAGTCCCAGATACTCAGGAGGCTGAGGCAGAGAATTGCTTGAACTCAGGAGGAGGAGGTTGCAGTGAGCCGAGATCATGCCACTGTACTCCACCCTGGGTGACAGAGCCAGACTCTGTCTCAAAAAAAAAAAGTATGGACTTTGGAATTAGGCAGGTATGTTAGAATCCCAGCTTCAACATTTTCCAGGTATAGTGAACTCAGGCACAGTATTCAGCATTTCTGAGTCTCTGTTTCCTCATCTGTATATGGAGGAGGGGGTGATAATTGTACCTGTCCAGGTCATTTTGGCTGGGCTAGAGATTCATGGGCAGAGGCTACACCCACATACAATTGTAAGGTTAGAATCGATTCCCAATTTATGAACAACTTGAACAGGAGGGTTAGTGCTCAGCTGGGGTGACACTGTAAACAGTAGGGTCTTGCTAGACCTGAGAAATTAATTTCTTGTTGTGCTGTCATCCATCTTTTCTTTCCTTTATTTTGGAAAAAATACTGGGGTTTGCATTATTTTTCAGAAGGAAAAGTATAGTTTGTACAAATGAAGTACACTCTTTTCTTTAAAATTTTTAAAAATTTCAATAGCTTTTGGAGTCTAAGTGGTTTTTGGTCACCTAGGTGAATTGTGTAGAAGTGAAGTCTGAGATTTTAGTGCACCTATCACCTGAGTAGTGTACAGTGTACCCAGTATGTAGTTTCTTATTCCTCACCCCCACTACCCCTGCTTCTGAGTCTTCATTGTCTGTGATACCACTCTGTATGCCTTTATGTACCCATAGCTTAGATTCCACTTGTAAGTGAGAACATGCAGTATTTGGTTTCCCATTCCTGAGTTACTTCACTTAGAATAATGGCCTCTAGCTCCATCCAAGTTGCTGCAAAAGACATTATTTCATTCTTTTTTATGGCTGAGTAGTATTCCACGGTATGTTTGTATGTATGTACATACATACATATCACATATATCACACACATATACACACACATATATATTAATATCACATTTTCTTTTTTCACTCAGTGGTCAATGGGCACATAGGTTGGTTCCATATCTTTGCAATTGTGAACTGTGCTGCAATAAACATATGTATGCAGGTGTCTTCTTGCTATCATGACTTCTCTTTTGGGTGGGTACCCAGTAGTGGGATTGCTGAATTGAGTGATAGATCTACATTTAGTTCTTTAAGATATCTCCATACTGTTTTCCATAAAGGTTGTAGTAATTTACTTTCCCACCAGCAGTGTATAAGCGTTCTGTTTTCACCACATCCATGCCAACATCTCTTTCTTCTGACTTTTTAATAATAATCATTCTTGCTGGAGTAAGGTGTATCTCATTGTGGTTTTATTTTGCTTTCCCTGATGATGAGTTATGTTGAGAATTTTTTCCTATGTTTGTTGGTCATTTGTATATCTTCTTTTGAGAAATGTCTATTCATGTCATTTGTCCACTTTTCGATGGGATGATGTCTTTTTCTTGCTGATTTCAAATTACACTCTTAGTAGGGAATAATTACAGATGCGTTGGCCTCTTGTTGCTGTCAATCTAGATGCAGCTTCAGCAAGCCCCAGTTGTGCCTGGGAAGTAGCTCTGACATTGTTCCTTCTCTTGACTCCCATGGTCACTTGCTCCTTGTTACGGTGCTGTAATAATCTGTGGGCAAATCCATCCTCCCCAGTAAATCATGAGCCTTGCAAGAGCAAAGGCCATGTTCTATTAATGCCTGAATTTCCCAGTGCTTCAGATAGCACCTAATACCTAGAAGGGGCTCAGGAGGGGCTGCATGAATGAAACCCCATATGTATTATGCAAAGGGTCGGTTTGCTATTTCATTGCATGAGAATAGCCAGGTAGACTTTACTAACATGGAATGCGTGTTTGGGACACTCTGGTCATATATAGGCCATTGTTGTGAGTGAAGCTTACTTCGGGTGAAAGAGGGTCTCTGAAGCACAACTGAGAACATGTAGGGAGGTATCCTCCAGGGCTGTTGAAACTTAGGGCGGAATTTCTCCCAACTGGGAAGACATGTCTTTTTCCTTTTTCTTTTCTTTTTTGAGATGGAGTCTTGCTCTGTCACTCAGGCTGGAGTGCAGTGGCACGTTCGTGGCTCACTGCCACCTCTGCTGCCCGGGTTCAAGTGATTCTCCTGCCTCAGCCTCCTGAGTAGCTGGGATTACAGGTGCCTGCCCGTGACCACTAAATTTTGTGGTTTTTAGTAGAGACGGGGTTTCACCATCTTGGCCAGGCTGGTCTTGAACTCCTGACCTCATGATCCACCTGCCTCAGCCTCCCAAAGTGCTGGGATTACAGGTGTGAGCCACCATGCTTGGTGACATGTCTTAAATTATAGATGATATGGGATCCATTAGGCTCATCTAGGAGTTCTGAGGACACCCAAGAGACAGACAATTCTCAAAAGAAGACATACAAATGACCAACAAACATAGGAAAAAATTCTCAACATCACTCATCACCTATAGTGGCTGATGCTGCAGATGCATGAGGGACCTGTGTGAAGCTTCGTAAGATCCTTGGACAGAGACAACCAAAGAATGTCTTCAGATATGAGCCCAGAATAGAGAGGCGGACACTGCAGATTGCAGGATCTGATTTGCAGTCTTGCTGCCTCTCACATGGTGCCTCTGTTTGGCTTGCTTCAGCATGAGCAGCAGTAGGCGCTTATTTGTTTAATGATGCTTAGTGCCTTTTTTTTCCAGGCACACCACTGAGAATGGCAGGCTCAGTGATGAGATGTAATTCCATTTTGTGCCATGTGCTGTCCTGGGCGCTTTCTGTGAACTGTTTGATTTTGTCTTCACAGCCACCCTGCAAGGTGGATACCGTTGCCCCCACTTTAAAGATGGGAGAAGGAAAGCCCGGGCAGGGATGCTCATTACTCAAAGTCATGCACAGCCTGTTGAAGCAGGGCAAATTGCTCCATTTGCTGCAACCCTTAGGACCTCTAATTCCCCCTCTCCAAAGTCCTCTGGGAGGTCTCAAATCATGGCAGTTGATGAGGAGAGCAAGGACCAGGTGACAAGACAGCTCTAGATATGGCTTTCCCCACAGTGATGTGACTCCTAGCATTAGTGCCATTGCTGTGTCTTTGGGAGGTTAGTCTGGAAGTGGCTTATGTTATTCACCAGGTCCTTTCCTGTAGAACAAACAGGATCATCTACATATGACCTCCTTAATCTGGGACCCATGACTTACAAGAAGACTGTATTAGTCCATATTCATGCTGCTGATAAAGACTTACCCGAGACTGGGAAGAGAAAGAGGTTTAATGGACTTACAGTTCCACATGGCTGGGGAGGCCTCACAGTCACGGTGGAAGGCAAGGAGGAGCAAGGCTATGTCTTACATGGATGGCGGCAGACAAAGAGAGAGAGTTTGTGTAGGGGAACTCCTCTTTTTAAAACCATCAGATCTCCTGAGACTTATTCACTATTGCGAGAACAGCATGAGAAAGACTGGCCCCCATGATTCAGTTACCTCCCACTAGGTCCCTCCCACAACACGTGGGAATGGTGGGAATTACAATCAAAGATGAGATTTGGATTGGGGACACAGCCAAACCATTTCAAAGACTTATGGGTGGGCTTTGGAGGCTGTGGGTGGGTGGGTGGTGATAGCCTGAGCTCCCATGAAATGTATGGGATGTTTTGTGTGTCCTTTCTCTGGGTAAGGTTGTAGCTTCCATCACATTCTCAAGAGGGGTCCAAAGAACAACACGTAATAATAGTAATAAATAATAATAATGATCGCATAATGTGAGCTAACATTTATGCAGCACTTTCCAAGTTTTATCTCATGAGACCCTCTTGACAATCTGATGAGCTGGGTGCTGTATTATCTATCCCCACTTGCATACAAGGAAAAAAATAAGTCACTTGGCCCAGGTCATGCAGTGGGTATTGGATGGAGTTGGAGTCTAAGCTTAGGCAACCCAACTTGCGAATGCATGTATTGCAGACCCAACAGATAACCAGCCTTTGTGTGGATGTGTAGCTGTTGTTTGTTAGGGAAATGTGGAGTGTGGAGAGGGGGAGTGGTAGACCCGTGCCCCATGGCACAGGTGAGCTCTGCCTCTGGAGCTGCTGTGAACAGCCTCTGTCCTTCTCTTGAGGGATCTGGGAGAAGCAGCACCAGGGCTGACCGCTTCACTAGGTGCAGCAGGCACAGTGACTCATGAAAATGCTTTCATTTCTTTTATTTACTCATTTTTTCTTTTTTGAGACTGGATCTCACTCTGTTGCCCAGGCTGGCGTGCAGTGGTGCAATCACAGCTCACTGCGGCCTTGATCTCCTGGGCTGAAGTGATCCTCCTTTCTCAGCCTCCCTAGTAGCTGGGACTACAGGCATGCACCACCATGCCCAGCTAATTTTTTCATTTTTTGTAGAGACACGGTCTTGTTATGTTGCCTAGGCTGGCCTTGAACTTCTAGACTCAAGCAATCCTCCTGCTTTGGCCTCTCAAAGTGCTGAGATTTGAGGCATGAGTCACCACACCTGGCCTCATTTCTTTTAAAACCAGAAGATATTGGAAAAAAAAAAAAAAAGAACTTTCAGGTCAAAGAAAAAACTTCAAGTAGTGATATATATGTCTTTATAACAACACAGACAAAAAATACCGTTTTGAATTTTTTTTAATGGAGGAAAGGAGCCCACAAAAGTGAAAGTGCCCGAGGACCACAGAAGTCATAACGTGACCCTGGAAAGGGCATTGGGGGCCTCTGTGAGATGCCCTTGTGCCAGCTGTTCAGAGGAACCAGTTTATCTGCCTTGGAAATTTATTTTAGTTCTGGAGCCTTATGAATCATGATGGAACCATTTGGAAGACGCATAAAGTGAAATGTACAGATCACGTTGTTGGTGGAGTCTGTGGGCTGATAGGGCAAATGGCTCTGTACCGGAGGGAAGATGCCAGAGAGGAAGGTTCGATGAGGCCCATCTGCTGTGGGACGGGGGAGGAGGCCGTCCGTCTGTCCAGGTGAAATGTCTTAAGTCAAAATTAGCATTTCCATGTTTAATTCCACTATTATTGCCCCACAGGCCACGTAATCACCGGTGATTAAATGGAGACAGGGATGTGCTTAGAATTCATATCTTGCAGGATCTAAATCAACAGTGAAAAAGGGTACTGCTGTGATTTTACTCAGTTCCTGAGTCTGGAGTTTCTTGGAGCAGCTCCCGGGGAACGGGGTCTGCGTAGCTGCACCCCAAGCTGTCTCTGCAGGTGTTTTGAGCTGGGAGGGCTCCCCTTCATTTCAGGGGCCAGGCAAAGAGGCAGGGGACAAGAATCACAATTATGCCTGATGTTTGTGTAGCAGGGACCCTGTTTGTCACGTACAGAAAGTGCGTTTGCAAGGAATTAATTTAAGCCATTTTAAATTTGCTTTGCTGGTGAGTGCTGTGCGTAAGAGCACCAGGAAGGTCATTATGGGAGTCTCAGTCCTGCATTGCTCCCTTCTGAAGGCTGGGAAGAAGGTGAGCTCTTCTCCCTTTGGTGAAGAACACATAGGGTGGGCATGCTGGGATGTCCACCTCTGTGCTCACATTGTCTAGAGCCTGTAGACGCACCCTGATGCCAGAGTATCAGACTCATCATACATTCTCATAGGCCTGTCTTTGGAGAGTCACCTGGTAGCGCATAAGACAGAACTTTTGACAGGTGCCACCTGACCCCTGTGGTCTCAAGTTCCACCTACAGTAGGTCTCCTCCCACTACCAGAGACCTCCCCCGCCCTACTCCTCTCCTTGCTGTCTCTGCTCTCAGCCATACATTGGCTGCTTTTCCGCTCCCAGCAAACCACACTCCCCTGCCACAGGGCCTTTGCATGTGTGGCCTTTTGCCTGGTATTCTCCCACTTTTCCTCCTTTACCTAGTTAACTCGTGTTCATTCTTCACATCTCTAATCGAGCACAACTTCCCTCAGATGCTTTTTGTGACTCAACAGGCTAGGGAAAGATCTGTGCCTTCTCAGATATCCTTATTGCATTTCCTCAAGACACTTGCCTCAGTGTGGCATTGCACCTTCTATAATGTGATGGCCAAGTTTGTCTTTGCTCAACTGTGTGCCTGTGTGTCTAGTGCCCAGCACACTGCCCAGAACATGGGCAGTCTCCAGTGAATAGGTGGAGATGGTTGGCGTGGAGCAGCTTGAGGCCAGAGGCTTCTGAATACTCTCCTCCATTGCTATGAGAACACCCCCTCCACAACGATAAACGTGCTTGATTTCTGACTCTGCCATGTACCAATAACTGGGGGACATTGGGCACATTACTTAGCCACGTTGCTGAGCCTCATTTTTCTCATCTGTAAAAACTAGAATAAGAATACCTACTGTGATTGTTGATTTTGGGTGTCAACTTGACTAATTAGGGGATACCCAGATAGCTGGTGAAGCACTTTGTATTCTAAACCATTGCATTAATTATTCTCAACACACTGAGTCCATCTCTCTTCTGCTGAAAGGGAAACCCAGGTGGTTTGGCATTCACTTAGGATAATTGGGCCGCCGCAGGTGCATCTCTGAGGGTGTTGCTGGAGGAGATTGGCAGGTGAGCCGGTGCACTGAGTGGGGAAGATTCCTCCTTTATATGGGTGGGCAGAGTCCAATTGGCTGGGGTCTCAGAGGAACAAAAAGGTAAAGGAAGGGTGAACTCTTACTATGTCTCTTCTGGAGGAGCTGGGATGCCCATATTTTCCTGCCCTTGGATTTCAGAACTCCAGGTTCTGGAGCCTTTGGGCTCTGGGACTTGCACCGATAGCCTCCTGGGCTCTCAGGCCTTTGGACTTGGACTGAGCCACACTACCATCTTCCCTGGTTTTCCAGCATGTAGACAGCCTGTTGTGAGTCTTCTCAGCCTTTATAAATGAGTGAACCAATTCCCTTAATAAATCCTTTCTTCTCTCTCTCTCTCTCTCAATCTCTCGATATATGTATGTGTATTTTCTATTGGTTCTGTCTCTCTAGACAACCCTGACAAAATCACCTAGTCTGCATATCTACTGTGAAGATTAAATAAAAACACATTCCTGGCCAGGCGCAGTGGCTAATATCTGTAATCCCAGCAGTTTAGGAGGCTGAGGTGGGCTGATCACTTGAGGCCAGGGGTTCAAGCCAGCCTGGCCAACATGGTGAAACCCTGTCTCTACTAAAAATACAAAAAATTAGTTGGGCGTGGTGGCGCACGCCTGCAATCTCAGCTACTTAGGAGACTGAGGAACGAGAATCGCTTGAATCTGGGAGGTGGAGTTTGCAGTGAGCTGAGATCACGCCGTTGCACTCCAGCCTGGGCGAAAGACTGAGACTCTGTCTTGAAGTGAAAAACAAAAAAAAGCGAACAAAAAGAAAAAGAAAAAAGCATCCCTGAAAGTGCCTCATTCAGTGCCTGACAATTACTCAAGAAATGTTTGTTTTCTTTTGTTTCTTCTCGTGATCAGGCATTGCTTTGCGTTTCTTCTTGTAAAATTGTAGTTAAGTATATATAACATAATATTTGCCATTTAAACCATTTTAAGTTTACAATTCAGTGGCGTGAAGCACCTTCATACTGTTGTGTGACAGCTACCACTATTTATTTACAAAATTTTTATCATCTTCCTAAACAGAAACTCTATATCCTAAGCAATAACTTCTCATTTCCCCTGTTCCTAGTGTCTGGTAACCTCTGTTCTACTTTCTGCCTCTAAATGCTGCTGCTGAAGAGGCAGGGGAATGCAGGTGCAGGAAGGGAGCTGTGGGCCTTCAGCATGGAAGTGAAAGAGTGGATGTCTGTAGGTTTGAGTTAAAGTGTCTCCTGCTAAGACACTTTAACAGGTTGTTTACACCTACTGTTTTTTTTTATTATTATTTTTAAGACAGTGTCTCACTGTGTCACCCAGGCTGGAGTGCAGTGACACGATCTCGGCTCACTGCAACCTCCACCTCCCAGGTTCAAGCGATTCTTGTTCCTCAGTATCCCAAGTAGGTGGGATTACAGGCATTCACCACCACACCCGGCTGATTTTTGTATTTTTAGTAGAAATGGGGTTTTGCCATATCGGCCAGGCTGGTCTCAAACTCCTGACCTCAAGTGATGCACCCACCTTGGCCTCCCAAAGGGCTGGGATTACAGGCATAAGCCACCATGCCCAGCACATCTACTGATATCTAATCCAGCCGTTACCCATGAATTTGCCTTCTCATGTTTGCCCACTAAGAGTAAATGATGCCTGTCCCCTCCCTGCACTCTGTGGATTGCTTGGAATTATTGAGTTAGAAATAAGAGCAACCTATTTGCATTGACTTATACCAAAAAAACAAACAAAAAAACAAAACAAAACACTTTATCATATGGAGCCCAGGGTTCCTCCTTGTGGTAGACAGACTTCTAAGATGGTCCCTCAAGATTCTCAGCCCTGATGTGTACACTTTGTCCCAGTTATCCAAACGGTAACTTAGGTACTGCTCTAAAGGGATTTGCAGATATTAAGGTCTCAGTTTGGCTGACCTTAACATAGGGAGATATTCCAGGTGGGCCTGACCTAATTGCGTGAGCCCTTTAAAAGCAGAGAGTTGGGGTTGGGCATGGTGGCTCATGCCTGTAATCCAAGCACTTTGGGAGGCTGAGGCGGGCAGATGATGAGGTTAGGACTTTCAGCCTGGTCAGCATGGTGAAACCCCATCTCTACTAAAAATACAAAAAATTAGCTGGGCATGGTGGCGTGCGCCTGTAGT
This sequence comes from Homo sapiens, assembly GCF_000001405.40. Taxonomy (NCBI): domain Eukaryota; kingdom Metazoa; phylum Chordata; class Mammalia; order Primates; family Hominidae; genus Homo; species Homo sapiens. The sequence continues at coordinate 5,319,009 of NC_000016.10, forward strand.
CCCAGCTACTTGGGAGGCTGAGGCAGGAGAATTGCTTGAACCTGGCAGGTGGAGGTTGCGGTGAGCCGAGATCACGCCACTGCACTCCAGCCTGGGCAACAGAGTAAGACTCTGTCTCAAACAAACAAACAAACAAACAAACAAAAAAACATAAAAAACCAGAGAGTTTTCTCTTATTGCAGAATAGGTCAGAGATTCGAAGCATAAGTACTTGACCCACTTGTGATGGAGAGGGCCATGTGGTAAGGACTATGAGTGACCTGTAGAAGCTGAGAGTGGTCCCTGGCTGATGGATGACTAGGAGCCAAGCATTCACTCCTAAGCTAGTCACTGCCCTTGGAGTTTGCTCTGAATTTGTCTTTGGTTCACAGCCCTGTTCTAGTGGTCTCTGACTGTCTGCCCTCCCACTGGTCTTTTCATTCCCTTCTTTTCCAGCCATAGCCACTCCAGGGCTGTTTTCATCCCTAGAAGATGATCTTCCATCTGGGAGTCTCAGGAGCCATCTCCAAGAATCCTTTACTGAGCGCCAATGTCAGTCTTTGAGCTGGGTGCTAGGGCCCAGGGACAATCCAGGCCACGTGGACCTTGTCTTGGATGGGTTCCCAGCCTGGTGGGGAAAGACTGACCGTTTCAGTGTCATATATTAAGTTCAAAGACAGACTTATTTTATTAGATAGGGAAAGTCACACTAGAGGCTGCAATCACAACTCTAAAATCTCAGTAACTTCCACAATAGAAGTTTGTTGTCCACAAGACAGTTTATGGTAGATGCTGGTTGGATGGCTTTCCACACAGTCATTCAGGGATCCAGGCTCCTTCAACTCTGTGACTACATCATGCTCTGGGTCCTGGTGTTCCCTCCTAGACTCTCTGTATCCACCCAGCAGAGAGGGAAGGAGAGAGTGCAGAAGGTTTTCATGGGTCATCTCTGTGAGGGGCATATATCACATCTTCCAACATTTTGGTGGCCCGGGTGCAGTCACATGGCCTGACCTTACTACAAGGGAGGCTGGGAAATGTAGTTTAGCTATGTGCCCAGGAGGTAAAGCAAGTGGGGTTTGGCAAACACATGGCTGTGTTCTCTTTTTGCCATAGGTGTGCACAGGTCCAATAGGTGTGCCATAGGTATGAACATGTGTTTATGTGCATAGGTGTGCGTGTAACCAGGTTTATGGAGGCACAGAGAAAAATCACTTAGCTCATTCTGGTAGTTGAGAAGGGCTTATGGGAGAAATGGTGCTTGAACTGTATCTTGAAGGAAAAGTAAAATTTAATGAGCTAAGAATGGGTGAGGTCATAACTCTAGACAAAGGTGCAGAGTTGGGAAGTACATGGGTATGGATCAGGGTACTCCAGCATTTGAGCAGGGAGCAGGAGAGATTGTGATGAGTGAGTTTAGCGTTTTGCTGGAGTTTACAAAAGCTCAGAATAGAAAACAGTAAGTCCAAGAACAAGACCCTCGAAGGACTTGGTTTTATTTTACTTAGAAGTCTTTTAGAAGGCTCCGGAGTCTCCATAAAATTCATCAAGTCTCACAGACACAGAGCTGCCATGTTTTCTGCTGCCTGATCTGTGCAATGCATCTTCAGAGAGAAGTTCTCCTAACATGCTTTTGTTCTGAATCTCAGGAGAGGAGAGCTTGTAGAGATGATGTGCTCAGGCAGGTGTAGCCACGGGAATCTTCTTGTGTGACTGATTTTCAGGAGGTGGCTTGGAGTCTGCAGTAGGGTTTCCTGGCCACCCTTGATATCGGGACCACAACTTGAAGCTCCATGGTCTGAGTAGAGAGAGCTGGGGGCTCCAGGGAGTTTCCAGGAAGCCCTAGGCACGAGGGGGTTCTGGGCTGTGTGTGCGCAGCTGAACCCACCATTACATTCTGTCTCCTGCTGTTGCCCCAGGGGCGGCCCTGCCTCTGGCTGACCCTGGCTGTGGGCTGCCCTCTGCCCACAGAACAGCTGTCCTGGGGCTCTTCTGTCTATAGTCAGATGCTTTTATTTCCACGTGTTGCTGCTGCTGGTCCTGAGTTTCTCTTGGACTTAGGTCTCAGGGAAACTGTACTGTTTGCATCCAAGCACTGGAGACTGAATACATTTTAGCTGGACCCAGTTTCCCAAGCTCAGTACTATAGACATTCAGGTCCTGGGCATTGTGGGATGCTGAACAGCATCTCTGGCCTCTCCCCACTAGATGCCAGTAATACCACCAACTAAAAATGTCTCCAGACGTTGAATGTCTCCTGAGGGGTGGGAGTGAGAAGCAAAATTGACACTGGATGATCATTACTGTACTAAAACATGAGATATAAGAGATAACTTTTGTTTTTTTTTTTGAGATGGAGTCTCGCTTTGTCACCCAGGCTGGAGTGCAGTGGCGAAGTCTCAGCTTACTGCCAGCTCCGCCTCCTGGGTTCATGCCATTATCCTGCCTCAGCCTCCCGAGTAGCTGGGACTACAGGCGCCCACCACCATGCCTGGCTAATTTTTTTGTATTTTTAGTAGAGACGGGTTTTCACTGTGTTAGCCAGGATGGTCTCGATCTCCTGACCTCGTGATCCGCCCATGTTGGCGCAAAGTGCTGGGATTACAGGCGTGAGCCACAGCGCCTGGCCAAGAGATCACATTTTTAAAGCCACTAGGTTCTGGGTGGGTGATTCTGCAGTAGATAGGGGAAGTGGTGGTGGCCGTCATGGTCCATCTTCCTCCTTCCACACCTGGGGCTACTGGTGGTGGTTTGAGTAAATGGAAACCTGGATTGCTGGCAACAGAAGAGAATGTGCACGGCGTGTGGCGTCTGTGACTCTCATGACGACCAGAGTCTGGGGAGAAGATTCTGAGCCTGTCTTCATCCAAGGTGACCTCTGTAGCACAGAGCAGGGACCCACACCTTGCTGCACGGCCTTACGGGGCACTGATTGCTCATTGCTCTCTTGCTACCCTGATGTGTCCTTTACAGACTCCCTCTCGTCTCACCTTCAGATCTAACCATCTGTGGTAGATACTAGAGTGTCTCCATCCTACAGATGAAGAAGCTGAGGCTTAGGGGGCTTTAGCATGTTTCACAAGGCCTCAAAAATATAACCGGGACCTGAACCCTGACGCATCTGATTCCAAAGCTCAAGCTCTGAGTCATATTTTCCAGGTCTTGCTTGGCTCTTAACAGAAAGCTACTTGGGTTCCTTCCAGTTCTGGGAGCTTCTGAGAGAAAAACGTAATAAACACAAAACTAGAAGCAATAGAAAGCTTTTAAGTAAGCCCAAGGGTAGATGGCTGAGGATTTCTCAGACTGCCTCTCAGATACATTCCTCACTCAACCTGCCTGCTCCTGGGGCTGGGGGACAGCAGAGATGTTCTAGGAACTGGCTTGTGTGTGTGCACGCCTAGGGGTTTGGGGTAGGATGAGCCTTTTGGTCTGGGTGCTGAGCCGGGTGCCCTGGGCATGGCCAGAGGTGCACTGTTAGCCTCTGTGGCTGCCAGTTTCTCATGATGGCATCCGTCCTTTCTTGGGGATCATCTTCTTTAATCCTCCGGCAAGACTAGGTCTCCAAATCAGATTGAACTGATGTAGGTGTGAGAATCCTCTTGCTCAAGCCCTTTTGTTCTCTTAGAGCAAGGGGACACTGGAGCCCCCAGTCTTCCCCATCCTTCAAGGGTCAGCTCAAATCCCGTGGTTCCTATGACACCTCCCCCAGTAATCTCCTTATGAGTCATGCGACTTCTAATGTATCATTTTCTTTCTCTGACCCACAGTTTACAATGTGAAAAATAGAAGGTTTCAGTGTACCTACCTTATTCTACTTATTTTGAGAGTTAAATGTTATAATGCACTTAGGGCACTTAGCAGAGCAGTAATCACTCACCTGTCATACTGATTGTTTTCAGTGGTTTCTCTTCCGGCATGAATGGGTGGTTTTGTCTCCAGAACTTCTTTTGTCCTCAGAGTCTGAGGTCCTGGGGGCATGGAGTTGTGTAGATGAGTGTGGGCTTCAAAGTCAGACCTGACTCCCCACTCCCTAGCTGGATCTCCTTGGATAAGTCATTCTGCCTCTCTGTGCCTCAGTTTCCTCACCTGCAAAATGCAATGGGAACATCTCCCTGATAAGGATCAAGTGATTTAATGCTTTGAAAATGCTTAGCACAGTCTGGACATATGACAAAGTGCTGTATGCGTACATATTAAGAGAAATGCATTTCTTGCCGACTCAGTACCTATGAGTAAAATGTACAGATGGGTGGAATGTGTGGCTTTCTCACAGTGCTTACCTTTACTATGGGCGATGCACATTCTTTCTTTCCTTTCTCCTCCCCTTCCTCTTTTACCATTTTACCAAAAAGCATGGCTGGTCATGATGACCCAACGAATTGATTTCATGACCCATGAATGGGTCGTGACCCGCAGTTCGAAAAACTCTGCTGCGGTGACCCTGGCCTCCAGCCTTGCTCATGTTAATTACGTGGGTTCTCTGGCATCTGAAACATCTGGCCCTGCATCAGCGGCCTTGCCTCATTGTCTCTGCCCCACTGGGCTCTGCAGATGCATTGCTCTGTGCACCTTTGCTAGCGTCAGATTAATTAGACATTTCAGAAGAGATCGACTTTTAAAGCAATAGCTTCATTAGCATGGATGTGCTGGAAGCTCTGAAAAGTAAAACTTAGTTATTTATATGTTAATAAGCTAACCCGGGCTTCAAAAGCCAGCTGATGAGCTCTGGCATTTCTTGAATTCATCTTCAACAAAACCGATTCCTACACAGCTGTGACGGTTGGCCTTACTGATAGTTCTGTGAACATCTGCCCATCACCAGGGTTCTGTGCCAACTGGCTGAGTGTCCCTGTAACATAGACTGGGGATAAATGGGTTCAGCAGCGTTGTGATGGCAGGGACAATGGGAAATCCCTTAATTAGGAACTGAGTTTTGTAATTCTGACAGAGACGATGTTATTTTTGGTGAGCTGTCATATTACACGTGTATAGTGCTTAATGATTTTGAAAGTGCTTTCCCCTACACTGTCTCAGATGGGCATCACATGAGTCTCTTTTAGTGTTGTGTCTCTTTGCAAAGTGTTTGCCAGTGCTTCTGCCCAGCACCTGCCTCCTCCTAGTGTTGGGGGAGGGGGTGGGGGCTGGATCAGCAGCACGGGCATCACCTGGAAGCTCCTTGGAAATAGAGAATTCTGCTGGGTGCTGTGGCTCATGCCTGTAATCCCAGCACTTGGGGAGGCCAAGGCAGGTGGATCACTTGAAGTCAGGAGTTCGAAACCAGCCCGGCCAACATGGTGAAACCCCATCTCTACTAAAAATGCAAAAATTAGCTGGGCATGGTGGTGCACGCCTGTAATCCCAGCTACTCAGGAGGCTGAGGCAGGAGAATCACTTGAACCCAGGAGGCAGAGGTTGCAGTGAGCCAAGATCACGACACTGCACTCCAGCCTGGGTGACAGAGTGAAACTCTGTCTCAAAATAAAATAAAATACACAATCCTAGCCCTGCCCCAAACCTTATTAGAACCTACATTATCAGTATTCACAATAGCAAAGACATGGAATCAACCTCAGTGCCCATCAGTGGTAGATTGGATAAAGAAAATGTGGTCCATATATACCATGAAATGTTACGCAGCCATACAAAGAACGAAATCATGTCCTTTGCAGGAACATAGATGGAGCTAGAGGCCATTATCCTTAGCAAACTAACACAAGAATAGAAAACCAAATACCACTTGTTCTCACTTATAAGTGGGAGCTAAATGATGAACTCACGGACACATAGAGGGGAACAACTGACATTGGGGCCTCTGGAAGGGTGGAGGGTGGATAATGGGAGGGAAGGAAGAGGGAGAAGATTGGAGAAAATAACTATCATTTACTAGACTTAGTGGTACTACACTGCCAAACCCATTTATCCCCAGTCTTTGTCACAGGGACACTCAGCCAGCTGGCCACAGAACCCTGGTGATGGGCAGGTGTTCCCAGATCTATCAGCAAGATACAGTATTTGGGTGAAATCTGTACAACAAACAGAAGTCTACCTATGTGACAAACCTGCACATGAGCCGCTAAACTTAAAAGTTAAAAAAAGTACCTGCATTGGAACAGGTGGTTTACACACTCACTGACGCTTAAGAAGCGCTGCTCTACAACACCTTCCCTTTCTCTCCCTCCTGTGTGCTTGGCCCTTCTTCTCTTCCTCTTTTCTCTCTTCCCCTTCCCTCTTCTTGTCTCCTCCCTGTTTGTCACCTCTTTTTTCCTTTCCCCAACTACTTGTAATAGCTGCAGGTTTACAGGCATGGCTCTGACACATGGAAACACGAGACTCACTTGTCCTTTGTATCTGCATTTACTTTTCTTTGACAAGATCCTATTCCTGCACAGTTGTGTGAAAACTAAATTTAGTTCAATCCAGTAAATTTTCTACCACATTTGTTTTTAATTTTATTTTTAAATTAACGTACAGTAAAATTGCCGTTTTTTGGATGTACGGTTCTATGAATTTTAACACATATATAGATTTGCATATCTATCACTATAGTCAGGGTAAAGAACAGCTCCATCCACCCCCAAACACTACCCTGTGATAGCCCTCTGAAGTCATATCCTGCCCCACTGATGATCCACTCATCTGTTCTTTGTCCCTATAGTTTTGTTTTTTCAAGAATGTCCTATAAATGAAACCATGTAGTATGCAACCTTTTCAGACTAGCTGCTTTCCTTTAGTGTAATGTCTTGAGCATCACACAAGTGGTTGTGTGTACCAATAGTTAGTCCCTTTAGACTAGTATTCCATTGTATGGATATACTGCAGTTTGTTTATCCATTCACCCTCTGAGGGATATTTGAGTTTGTTTTCCGTTTTTGGCAATTTGAAATAGAGCTTCTGTACACATTCATGAACAGGTTTTTGTTTAAACATAAGTTTTCATTTCTTAAGGGTAAATACCTAGAAATGGAAATGCTAGGTCCTATTGTGCTTACTGGAGTATTTACGTGTCTTTAAACAGCTTGGCATTATATAATTTAGCTTACATACTTATATAAGAGTTTGGCATCAGAGTTTTTACACTCCCGTCAGACAGCAGTGTATGAGAGTTCCAGTTGCTCCACATCCTTGTCAGCACTTGGTATCGTCAGCATTTTTAATTTAGCCATTCTGATAGGCATGTCCTAGGATCTTGTAACCTGTTTAACCTTTTCTATTTTGCAATACTTACCCTCCTTCTATAGGTGGGATATTGTAAATTCAGAGAGCCAATGTGGCTAGCAGAGCCTCAAACTAACAGCTTTCGGATGTATGTGGGAGCCAGGTAATTCTCCCCACCAAACAGACTCAGAGGTTTACTCAAAGGTCATGTGAGCACCAAAAAATAATAAAATACATGTCCAAGTCCCCTTCTACTATTTTGAGCCCCATCCATACACTTGAGGCTGGGGAGAGTTCAGGAGAACAGTGTTTCTGTTGCATTCATTTGCTCAATAATAACCTCTTCTGAGCTCTGGCATTTCAGATAGGCTGTGACCAGAGTGTGTGTGCCCTGGTACGATGCACTCCCTGCCCATTCTAGACTTCATTATCACAGAACATGGAAAGCAGATGTTCTTCATTTTTCCTAGCTAGATTTCAGAGGGCTGTGACTCATCCAAGATCTGTAGGCATCTTTATTTAGCAGAGGTTATCCGTTCCAATTAAAAAGAGAAACATTTTTAAGCGGTGGCTGTTAATTCAAAACCTGGCAGCCTTGATGATGATGATGTCTGGCAATGAATGGAGGAGGGAACATATCAGAAAGCCTTCTGCCTGCTAGGCACTATCTGCTAATTCCATTTTAATATCAGACGTCCAAATGATTGATATTATATCTCAGCAGAAAGCCCAGCACGAGCTCAGGATATTAATTCATTAATTCATTTGTCCAATATCGAGCCAGGCACTGTCCTAGGAACTGAGGGTAAACAGCAAACAAAACACAAACATCCGTTCTTTGTAAAGCAGAAGTTCTGCTTCAGGGAGGTATTGATCATTAGATTTTGTTAGAAAGCCAGAAAATGCTATGGGAAAAGTAAAGTAGAACAAGGAGATCGGTAGTTCTGACCGAGGAGCTGAATACTTATTATTTATGGAACAACTGGGAATGGCAGTTTCTGAGTGATCATTGAATAGGTTTTCACCTGGAGATTCCAAAAATTTGGTGTGTAGATCCCCTGCATCAAAATGCCGTGGAGACCTGTGAAACTGGCCAGACCCTGCACCAATCTGCTGAATGGGACCCTGCCCCATGTCCCTGCCTCTCTATTGAGTCTGTATCCCTGGAGAGAAGCCTTGGGGAATCTGTGTAGCCCACAAACTTCCCTGGTAATTGTGAAGCACCCTGAAGTTTAAGGACCACTCTCTTAAGAATGCAAGTTTAAAATAGGATGCATGCTTTCAGTCCCAGGAAATGATCAAAATCGTCTAAAACTGGGTCCAATTAAAAGCGTGTTCACTCGTTCAAGTCTTGACACTGCCTGACTTTGAAACTTGCAAATGTTAACTTTGCAGCAGCTGCTGCTTAATTTTAGCCCTCAGAGAGAAACGCCCCAATCTGCACAATAGGTTTCTGGTACCCTGGTTGGCAAACATCCTCCCCTACTTCCCCACTACATGCCAAGGGCCAGAGCTTCCTAACTTTGGAAACAGAATGTAGCAGCATCCCCCTCCCCGATTCCCTGGCCTCAGCAGTGAGCTGCCCTACTTTGCAAAATGAGAGTCTCTTACCTCATTAAGCCAAGCGAAAATGAATTACACAAAGATAATTTTCCTGTTAGTACCCCTTGTAAAGCCACCAGCAGACTCATCCATAGTTAAAACATCTCTTTGTAAGCTGAATGGTTCTGTGGTCTGGGAGGGATGGGAAGTAAGGCTTAAAAATGGTTGTATCCCTTTCTGGCTTTCCATATTGTTTCTCTGATTATTTCTACGAGTGAGGAGAATCCCAGGAGAAAAGGAGAGGTATTTTGGAAGAGCTGAAGACCCCGTGTAGTGACTGAAAGTCCTAAAACAAATGCAGCCCCCATGTTGCTTAGGAGTCCAGGCACCAGGAGACGTGGATTTCTTGGGCAAAATGAAAGCCCTTTTGTGCCTGTTATGGGCTGAATTGTGTCCCTGCAAATTCATATGTTGAAGCCCTAACTACCAGTACCTCTGAATATGACTTACTTGGAGATGGAACTTGTAAAGAAGCAATTAAGTTAAATAAGGCTTTTAAAGGGGCCCCTAATCCAATCTGATCAGCGTTTTTATAAGAGGGGATTTTGACACACGAAGAGACTGCAAGGATGCATGCATAGAGGAAAGGCTGTCTGCAAGCCAGGAGACGCTCTGACCTTAGAAAAAAATCAAATCTACCAACACGTTGATCTGGGACTTCTAGCCTACAGAATTGTGAGGAAGTACATTTCTGTAATTTAAGCCACCTAGTCTGTGTGATTTTGTTATGCTTGCCCTAGCAAACTGATGGAATGCCTTCAAGAATAACTCAGCCTCGATGACAAAGCATTGCTAATGTCCCAGACACAGAGGCAGAGCTTCTTCTGGGTCATTTGAGTCAATGAAACATACCTTTTATGAGGTCCACCAAGCCCCATGCCTGTCTGCACGTGGAAGATCTAATGAGATGCTCTCCAGCCCTGCCATACCCTTTTTGGTCCCAGCCTCCTGCGGAGCTGCCAGTGGACCATTTAAGCCCACCCCCTGGACACAGCTGATTGGCCCAAAAGTGGCCATCCGATTCAAGCTCAGCCAATCAGATTTTTACATGCAAGAATCAGCCACGAGAATGTGAAATTCACAAAGAGAAGGGAGAACTCATGGCCCCAGACAGGGAAATTAACCATTAGGCTGCCTTGATTCCGGGTCCTACCCAGTTCCTGAGTACCCTTGATGCTATTCCTACCCTTAGTTTCCAGGAGATGCTTCCGAATACTTTATTTCTCATAAATCTGTCTCTTGGTCTAAGCTAGCTTATTAATATTATTTAATAACAACAGCTAAAATGTAGCCAGGCACCATGCTGAAAGTTTTACATATATTGTTTTATTTGATTCTCACGAATCCCATGGAGTAGTTTCCGTTATTATTTCCATTTATAAATGGAAACTGAAGTTCACAAAGGTTATGTAACTAAAGTTGAAAACCGTATTAGTTTGTTCTTGCACTGCTTTAAAGAAATACCTGACACTGGGTAATTTATTAAGAAAAGAGGTTTAATTGTCTCATGGTTCCACAGGCTGTACAGGAAGCATGACTGGGGAGACCTCGAGAAACTTACAGTCATGGTGGAAGGTGAAGGGGAAGCAGACATGTCTTCACATGGCCAGAGCAGGAGGAGAGGAGAAAGGGGAAGGGACTACCCACTTTTAAATAACCAGATCTCACAATAACTCACTCCGTATGACAAGAACAGCACCAAAGGGGAAATCTGCCCCCATGATCCAGTCAGCTCCCACCAGGCCCCACCTCCAACACTGGGGATTACAATTTGACATGAGATTTGGGTGGGGACACAGACCCGAACCATATCAAAAACTGAGGTCCGAAAAACTTACATAATTTATTCAAGTTTACTGTCTTAGTCTGTTTGGACTGTTATAACAAAATAACATTAATTAGTTAGCTTATAAACAATAGAAATTCATTTCTCAGTTCTGGCAGCTGTGAAGTCCAAGATCAAGACATATGTGGGCCGGGCGCGGTGGCTTACGCCTGTAATCCCAGCACTTTGGGAGGCTGAGGCGGGTGGATCAGGAGGTCAGGAGATCGAGACCATCCTGGCTAACATGGTGAAACCCCGTCTCTACTAAAAAAGTCCAAAAATATTAGCCAGGTGTGATGGCAGGCACCTGTAGTGATGTGATGTGATGGCGTGAATCCGGGAGGTGGAGCTTGCAGTGAGCTGAGTTCATGCCACTGCACTCCAGCCTGGGTGACAGAGCGAGACTCTGTCTCAAAAAAAAAAAAAAAAAAAAAGACCGATGCGGTGTCTGATGAGTGCCTTCTTGCCGTGTCCTCACATGGTACAAGGGACCCGTGAACTCTCTGAGGCTTCTTTTGGAAGGACATTGATCTCATTCATGAGATCTAATTATTTCCTAGGGGCCACACCTCCAAATACCATCGCTTTCTGGGTTGCAATTTCAACATACACATTTTGGGGGGATATAAACATTAGTCCATTGCAGTTGCATAGCTAGTAAGTAGAAGAACCAGGATGCAAACTCAGCGAATCTAACCTTAGTCTCCTTCTTTTAACTGCTATGCTAAGCTCTTTAAATTCTATTTATTTCTGGAATTTACTAGAATAAAAATTATAAATTGGTTTATCCCCTCTTGCTTTTTAAGATGACTTTAAAAATTATTTTATTTGATTAAAAGAAAATTTTTTTTGAGACAGAGTCTCAGTCTGTCACCCAGGCTGGAGTGCAATGGCATGACCTCGGCTCACTGCATCCTCCGCCTCCCAGGTTCGAGCAATTCTCCTGCCTCAGTCTCCCAAGTAGCTGGGACTACAGGTGTGCGTGCTACCATGCCCGGCTAATTTTTGTATTTCTAGTAGAGATGGAGATTCACCATGTTGGCCAGGCTGGCCTCGAACTTCTGACCTCAGGTGATCTGCCTGCATCTGCCTCCCAAAGTGCTGGGATTACAGGTGTGAGCCAGTTTGCCCAGCCTACTTTTTTTTTTTTTTTTTAATGAGAAACCCTGTGGCCACAGCAGACAAGGAGCATCATTTAAGGATGTTAAAAGAGCACTGTTTCAGGAATGATGTGGAGAGGAAAAGTCCCCAAAGCAAACTCTGCAAGGTGGAGGCTGCTAAAAATTTCTCCATTGCCTGTGTACTCAAGCCTGGTCCAATTCAGGTTTTTTTGTTTGTTTGTTTTGTTTTTTCCCTTCTCAGAACAGGGATATTCTTTAGATAGCAAAGCACAAATACCCAGGCTCTCTGGTGGTTTTTTTCCAATTAAATTTAAGTCACCTTCTCTATATGAAAGGCCTACTTGGTATCAGGCACCAAACTCTGAGGATCTGGAGGTGATGTGGCTCTAGGAGAAAGGGGAGAGAGGGAGGTAAACCCACACATTACCATGGAGCATTTTTGGTCCGCTGTATAACTTACGTGGACTCCTCCGGATAGGGTAAGCCTGGAATTGGACATTGGTTATTTAATCTGTTTGGCTTGGCTTGGCCCAGCTCGGGAAGGTTTGCTAAATTCGTTCATCACCAGATGGTTGTCATGTATCTCACGTGCTTTGGGCTTCGTATCAGTCAACAAATGCTACAGAAGTGCTGTGTAACAAATCACCTCAAAACTTCATAATTACTATGTTCTCTTGGATTGTGTATCAGCTGAAAATGGGCTGATCTTGGCTAGACTCATTCATGTGTCTGGAGGTCAGGTGGAGGCAGAAGGATTTAGATGGGGCTTGGCTGGGTGGTTTGTTTTATGTCTGTCTTACCAATTCTGGAACTAGTGGGCTAGCCCAGGCATGTCCTTCTTAGGGTAATGGCAGAGCACACTCAAACTCTTTGAGCCTTTGCAGACATCATACTTATTGACGGTACATTGGCCAAAGCCAGTCACATGGCCAAACAAAAATCAAAGGGTGGAGAAATAGGGTTCATCTCTTTACTGAAGGAAACTACAAAGTCACATGGCCAGAGGGTATGGCTGCAGAATGCAGTAAGAGGTGGGGACCATTCCTGTAATTCCCCATGGGCTCTCAGCAGCTCAGGTGATAGCCTTGTAGAAGTCACTGATGAAAGAGCTACCTGGTGGGAGGGGCTTTTGACTCATGGCTGGTGACCATGCCCACCCTGGGCACCAACCCCTGTGTTCCAGTGGGGTCTGCATGTTCTTCCCTTCCATCTAAAAGCCTCTTGACCCTTCAGGTGAGACCTGCTTCTTATCCCATAGTGTCAAGTCCTAAGACAGAAGGGGTTTTCGAATCTGGACCTATTTCTAGCCTCTGATTGTAAAATAAAGCCTAAAAGTAGACTCACGTCAGGGCCAGCTTTAATCATAATGGCTTTGGAACAGTGGATCTTTTCGGTTTCTTGTTTTCCTTCTTATGTCTTAGACTCTGGCAAATCTTCTCTACCTTTCTCCTTGGCTTCTCTTGAAGAAAACCACCAAGTGTGGTTTTATTTATTGTTTCTTTTATTTAACACCTAATGATAACAGTTAGCTTTTTACCCACGCAGAGGCATTTGCCTCAAAGGAAACTTTATTTTATTTTATTTTATTTTATGTTTTGAGACAGTCTCCCTCTGTCACCCAGGCTGGAGTGCAGTGGTGTGATCTCGACTCATTGCAACCTCTGCTTCCTGGGTTCCAGCATTTTTCTTGCCTCCCGAGTACCTGGAATTACAGGTACATGCCACCATGCCCAGCTGATTTTTTTGTATTTTTGGTAGAGATGGGGTTTCACCATGTTGGCCAGGCTGGTCTTAAACTTCTGGCCTCATGTGATCTGCCTACCTCGGCGTCCCAAAGTGCTGGGATTACAGGTGTAAGTCACTGCACTCGGCCAAGGGGACTTTTAAAAGTCAGAAAACCTTTTAAGATTCAAATAAATATATATATTACAATTACATATCGTATATTTATATTTTTACATATGTGTGTGTGAATGTATGCATTTTATTTTCATTTTTCACTCCCTTATATCATTTGAATTTTTATTACCATGTGTAGATATTATTTTTGTAACAAGAGAAATCAAAGAAAATACAAGGGCAGTTTTATATATTTAACTTATAATACACATTATTAAATATACTTTATATATAGAAATAAACCAGCCCTATTATTTTCTGTTCCCGAGTCACCAGGTAGGAACAAGTTATCTTTCATTAAAAACTACACTAGAGGCCAGGTGGAGTGGCTCACACCTGTAATCCCAGCACTTTGGGAGGCCAAGGTGGGCGGATCACCTGAGGTCAGGAGTTTGAGACCAGCCTGACCAATGTGGTGAAACCCTGTCTCTATTAAAAATACAAAAAAATTAGCCGGGTGTGGTGGTGGGCACCTGTAGTCCCAGCTACTCAGGAGACTGAGACAGGAGAATCGCTTGAACCCAGGAGGTGGAGGTTGCAGTGAGCCGAGATCATGCTACTGCACTCCAGCCTGGGCGAAAGAGCAAGACTCCATCTCAAAAAACAAACAAAAAACCAAACTACACTAGAAAGATAAGATTGATCATTAAATGCAGGGGCTGACAAACCATGGTCTGTGATTTAAATTTGGTTCAAGTCCTGCTTTTGTAAATGAGGTTTTATTGGAACATGGTCACGCCCATTCGTTTGCATATTGTGTGTCTGCTTTCTCTTTTGGGAGACAATGGCAGAGTTGAGTAATTGAGACAGAGACTGTCAGGTCTGAACAGCTGAAAATATTTTCTACCTGGCCCTTAATAGGAAGAGTTTACAGATCCCCCGATTATATACACAATGAAAAAGCTGCTCCTCACACAGTTGGCCCCTTCTCTCCTTCCCTGTGGTTTGGTTTGAAGCACAGCAGACGTAGAAGTTCTACAGGGCCCGAGCTTCTCTCCTGGAGGCAAGTGCTTCAGTGTACTGTCATATGTCGCATAATGACGGGGACGTGTTCTGAGAATTGTATAGTTGGTTGATTTTGTCAATGTAAGAACATCACAGGGTGCACTTATACAAACCTAGATGGTATAGTCTGCTACACACCTAGGCTATATTATGGTGTACTTATCACTCCTAGGCTGCAAACCTCTACAGCATGTTATTTTACTGAATCTGGTAGGCATTTGTAACACAGTGGTTAGTATTTGTGTATCATATCTCAACATAGAAAAGGTACAGTAAAAATACAGCATTATAATCTTATGGACCACCATTGCAAGTGCATTCTGGAGATGTCTGAAACAGCATTATGCAGTACATGACTTTGTAAGAGTTAAAGACAGAGGAAAGGAACACAAAAAGTGGCTCAACAAGTCAAAGATGGGTTTATTTTGGTGAATAAACCTGAGAGGTGCTTCTGGCCGATTTCTGTCAGGAGTACTCTTTCTTACAGACTAAGAGTATTTAAGGGTTTAGGGCGAGAGCTTATCACAGGCTTGGAATGTTTGTGTGGAGGAGAAGTTTATTGTGGAGTTGGAATGTGTCTGGTCAGAGGGGAGGATATCTTGGGGCTGACATCTCTCCGGCCAGAGGAGAGGTTATCTCAGGGCTGGTATGTCTCTGCTCAGGGAGGGGTTTGGAATGTTTCTGGTCAGAGATGTCATTTGTGGTTTATGGTCATGCCGATGTTAGCCATTAGGCTGATGCCCTTTGGGTTGGATTTAGGCAGTTTTTGATTAAGGGGAACCTTAAAATGGCAGTGCTTGTTCAAGATGGCTATGTTCCTGCTCTGTCAGACTGTATGGAATTCTCTCTCTGGGGTTGTCTCAGGTCCATATCTTTTCAGAAGAGAAAAGAGATGGTTGGGTCTTGCTCATTTTTGGAGGATTCTAGTAAATAAAGGAAGATGAAGAAGGAACAGAAGGAACAGGAGAAGAAAAGAGGAGGAGGAATAATACCCTAACAGGATTTTAAAAAGCTATGGTATATTTTTCAAGTGTGTGCTTGACAAATTGAACTTTTAGGATGTTCACATGTGCACATATATAATAAATACAAAACGATTGTTCTCTTTACAATATAATTATAGGGTTCATAGGAATAATGTACCATGGGCAATGTGGTACACTGTCCAACGTTAAAGATGGCCAACCGTGGTCATTGTCCTTAAGCTTAAAGTTGGACAATGACCACAGTTGGCCATCTTTAAGCATGGACACATCCTTAAGCTTGAACACTTAACCTGTTTCCTGTTTTAGTTTTGCTGTTATCAGTGAGGCTGTAATGAGTAGCATGGAAAGAATAGTTTTGTTCGCTTGTTTAAATCTTCTTGTAGTATAGACTTCAAGTAGACTTGTTTTTCTAGGCCAAAGAGTATGCCCAATTTCAATTCTGATAAACATCACCAAAGTGATTCCAAAAAAAGTTGTTTCAATTTCTGTGCTCACTGGCAGTGTGTTTGTGGTGCCTCTTCCTTCACAATGTTGCGAAGACTGAATATTATAAATTTCTTATCTCTTTGGCTGTTTTTCTTCCGAATTGCCAGTTCACCTCTCTGCAATTTAAAAAATTGGGTTCTTTATCTTTTTTCTCATTGATTCAAAGGAATTCATGATACATCACAGAGATTAGCCTTTTGGTTCATTCATTGCATAAAGAGTTTATTGAAAGGGTTGGATGGAGCCTGAGGCTTGCCGCTGTGGGAGAGAGGTGAAGATCTGAAGGTGCCTGAAGCTTTTAGGAGTTCAGATTCAAAAGGGAGAAAGGTGGAGGCTGGAGTTTTTCCCGTCATCAGCGGGACTGGGGGACAGTGGCTTTGCTGTCTCCTTCCTCTTCTCCATTGCACATGAGTGACCAGATTAGGAGATAAAACAGAAAGGTATTAATGTCGGTTTTTTGTGTTCAGAGTTTTTCCCGTCACTGGGGGATTAGGGGACTTTGATAGGCTTTGCTATGTCCTTCCTCTTCTCCATTGCACATGAGCGAGCAGATTAGGAGATAAAACAGAAAGGTATTAATGTTGGTTTTTTGTGTGTGGAGTGGCACGGTGTGGGGGTGGGAAGGATTTCTCCCAGTAGATCATAAGCTTTCTGAGGGCAGAGACTGCGTTTGTCCCATGACTGTATCTTCAGAAGCCAGCATAACCACCTGGTACCTCGTGGGTGTTCAGTAAATATTCCTTGTGTGCATAAGTGAATGGATCCTATCAAAAGATGTTCTCAGACTGCCGACTCTTTGGGGGTGGTGATCATGGTGATGGTAATTATACCTGCCATATATGGATTCTGTGAGCCAGGTACTGGGTCAAGCATTTCTTGTTTCCTTTAATCCTCCCAATCAGTCTGGGATGTAGGAATTATTATTAGTCCAATTTGGTAGGTGAGAAAATGGAGGCTCAGAGAGGTTAAGTGACTTCCTCAAGGTACCATAGCAAGGAATTAACCTCTAGGAGGTGTGGCTGCAGAGTCTGAACTCCAAATCATTGTGCTTTTTTGGCTCGGAGTTCATCTGTCTTTCAAGATGCAGAATGTTTCCAACTTGGGAGCCAAAGGACCAGTGGACAGAAAGCCAGGTCTGCTGCTCTCTGTCAAAGGGGGATGGCACTGAGACCCTAGAAACGGGCACATATTAGGGAGGCTGGTTCATTTCCTGGGCACTTCCTTTGCTTGTAGTGGTCAAGGGCACACATTCTCAATTCAGACAGGCTGTTCCTCATTATTTCTGTTACACTGGGCAAGCTGGCACCCCTCTCTGAATCCCCACTATCCTCATCGGTAAAACAGGGATGATGCTAGAGTCTCCTTACAGGACTTCCGTTGCCGAGGATTGAATGAGATCATGCATGGGGGTGCTGATCCTTCTCCAGGCTCAGAATTATCTGTGTGTGGATGAGCCGTCCTAGGTATGGTCAGACCTGTGGACAACTTGATCCCTGGTCCTGTATCCTCTGGAGTAGGTGCAGGGGCAGGAGAACCTCTTGGCATCGTCTCTGAAGCAGGGTGTGCTTGGCTGCCCTTGGAGATAGGTAGTGATGACCCATTCATGAAGCTGAAAGAAGAGAGTGGTCCTTCTACTGGGTTTAGTTGTCTTTAGAAGCTGACAGGGTTTGGAGGAACTGCCCCTCCAGCCCCCCTCCTTCTGGTGAGCTCCTGGGCTAGCTTTGCCTTCAGCTCACAACTCTCAGGTGGACTTTAAATGGTGCTCATGGCTTTTTAAAAGACTTGTTTATCCTTTCAGATGCCAGAGCTGATGGATTTGTATGTTCGTCTCCCACTGGGGACACAAGAGCTACCTTCTATTCTCCTCCTGGCTGCATCTGACAGCCCTAAGTACCTTTCTTGCTAGAGCTCCGGGAGATTTAAGAGGTGCCAATTAATTGCTTTCCAAGCTCCCCTGGAGAATGGCAGCTGCACTCTTGGTATTTACTCTCTAAGTGGGTGAGGAGCAGAGGCGAGTTCTGCGGAGCTGAAGAGATGGCCGGCTGGGGACGGCTGCTTCAAGCAGTCTGGGATTTAGACAGAGCACATGGCTCAGGTGACAAAAGAACCTCCCCCTCACTGTGGTTTTGGCTTTGTGGGGCCATTGACTGGGCTTGTGAGAAACTCTGCTTTTATCATGCAGGGATGATGGCCTATTGGGATGTGTATAAGGCATTTTTGATTTTGTAAAAGTGTACAGGTGAGTTTTCCCAAAGACCGCTCTACTCTCCTGGTGGGTATTGGTGAGTGCATGGGTCAAATATAACCAGTTCCTTCTGATTTCATACTTTATATTCAGACAAGGTGATTTGTTTAGTGTATGAATTAGTTTATAGACCCTCTAAAATATTTTTTTCCTAAGTAAATGCAGAAACTGGAAATTGTCCCTTCTCAGACTACATAACCTAATATTACTGTCAGTTTTCTTGTATTCCTACTTCCTCGAACAATATATGGCATAAAATAAATGCTCATAAATGTTTTTAAAAATAAATATTGTTGAATGTTTGGTTTGGAAACTGTGATGTCTTACCTCTAGGTATGTAAGACCACAGAATTAATTGGTGATGTAAATCTGGAAGAGGTGAATCCTCATTCAAGCTCCTGAGCTCTGTGCCTGTACAGATAGTTGAGAAACAGTTGTGGCCATTGACTGAAGGTAGAAACTCTGAGAGGGCAAGGAAGGAACTGGACTTTTGGAATATAAATTAATGTATTGCTTGAGCCCAGGAGTTCAAGACCATCCTGGGTAACACAGTAAGGCCCCATCTCTGCAAAAAATTAAAAAATTAGCTGGACATGGTGGTGCATATCTGTAGTCCCAGCTACTTGGGAGGCTGAGGTTGGAGGATTGCTTGAGCCCAGGAGATTGAGGCTGCAGTGAACTATGATTGCACCATTGCACTGCAGCCTGGACAACAAAGTGAGTCCTTGTCTCTAAAAAGAAAAAGAAAATAATTTATAGCTTTCTTCTAGGGATAGAGGGTGATCCCAGGCAGAGAGGCTTTTGAGATGCTGCTGCTGGGTACTGTGGTTGTTACTGAGCCTTATTGAGGCACCTGCTAGGCTGCAAGTTGTCTTCTATGAGAACATGATCTCATATGGATGCCTTGGGAGCCACGTTTTTATTCCACGACCTCAGAATCTTGGCCATAGCTGATTGAGCCAGAGATGGACACATGATCAAGCTGGACCAGTCAGATTCTCTCTCCTGGGACTTTATAATTGGGAAGTAGAGATGCTTGTTAATCTTTGCTGTTGCCTGTCTGTGGGACCTTGGGAACTGTGAGTTGACCTTTCTTGCCAAGGAGAAGCAGGACAGCTGGTTTGCAGAGAGAAAATGAAGAAGATCTGGAGAGAGAATCAGAAACTAGGGCCGTCTGAAGACCAGAGATCCTGAAGGTAACCTTCTTGACAGATTTCCAGCTTTATCTTCCAGTTCCTCATGTTTTTTATGACTGAACAATATACATTTATTATTAAGGAAAGATGCATAGACTAGCCAATTTTAAGGTTGGAAAAGATTTTGAAAGTTTTACTTTAAAGTTTTTTCTTTAGATAGGATCTCTTTGTCACCCAGCCAGAATCTATCACCCAGGCTGGAGTGTAGTGGTGTGATCATAGTTCACTGGAGCCTCTGCCTCCTGGCCTCAGGCAATCCCCACTTTAGCCTCCTGAGTAGTGGGGACTGAAGGTGGTTGCTACCACACCTGCCTATTTTTTTTGTATAGGTTGGGGTCTTACTATGTTTCCCAGGCTGGTCCTGACCTCAAGCAATCCTCCTGCTTTCTTTCTTTTTATATTGACAAGATTGTATTTATGGTGTACATCATGATGTTTTGAAATCTGTATACATTGTGGATGACTAAATCAAGTCAGTTCCACATATAAATTACCTCACTTTTTTTTTTGTGGCAAGAACACAAAATCTCTCAATAATTTTCAGGTGCATATTATCTTATTAACTACAGTTACCACGATGTACAGTAGATCTCTTGAACTCATTCCTCCTGTATAGCTGAAATGTTGTGTCCTTTGACCAACATCTCCCCAGTCCCCATAAACTCCCAGCCTCTGGTAACCGCTGTCCTACTCTCTATTTTTATGAGTTTGACTTCCTTAGATTCCACATATCCATGATATTCCAGTTTCCCTGAGGTCTGTCTGCCCCCGCTGCCGCTTGGTTGCATGAGATATGATTGTACTGTTATAGTAACATGCTAATTTAAACTAGTTCAGTGGGTTTCTGTCACTTTCAACCAAACTGGCCTTAACAAAGGCAATGGTCCTTATGAGACCAAACTCATGCTGGTTTATGGTGAAGAATTTAGATTTTGCCAAAAGCTAGAAGCTGCTTTTTCCGTGTTTTTTTTTTTTTTTTTTTTTTTTTTTTTTGAGATGGAGTCTTGCTGGGTCACTCAGGCCGGAATGCAGTGTCACAATCTTAGCTCACTGCAAGCTTCAACTCTCGGGTTCAGGTGATTCTCCTTCCTCACCTTCCTGAGGAGGATTACAGGTATGTGCTACCACATCTGGCTGATTTTTGTATTTTTAGTAGAGATGGAGTTTCACTGTGTTGTCCAGGCTGGTCTCGAACTCCTGAACTCAGGTGATCCACCTGCCTCAAGTCCTCAGAGCAAAGTGGATCGAGCAAGTGGGTCAGGGGTGAACACAAGCCTTCCAGCATGGCAGACTGAAGTGCAGCCAAGGATTCTTGGGAGCCAGGTGGGAGAGCTTTCCCAGCCCGGGGACTGAGCAGGAGCCATAGAATCCAGGTTGGCTGCAGAGGTCATGGGAGGCCCGTTCCCAAAGCTTGGGTGCTTTGGGAGTCCCATCAGTCTGAGGCATGATGCCACCTTGACATTCCAAGATGTTGAGGAATGAAGTGTACAAAAGTAAGTGGTTCGTTCTCCCAGTGAGCAGCACCAGCAAAATCAGTATGGGCCAGATTTGAATTTCCTTACCATAAGTAGTCTTAGCTTTATAATTCATCCATTTCTTTTTTCCTGGTATTTTGTTTTAAGTGAAATTCTTCAGCAAAAATCCAACTTGCTTAAGGCTGAATTATGACAAAAGACAGTTGCTTACATCTGGGGCTTTTATTCTTGTTTGTCCATAAACCCAGAGCACATTGTCCTCTGCCTATTAAGACCATATGTTAAATACTGGGGAAAGGGGAGGAATTTGGACCAGGTTTGTGGTTTTCAGAGCTATTTCCTCACATTAAGTTAGTATATTGGTGCCATAATGATACTGCTTTAAGTATAAAATTGTATCATTAGTTGAGGTCTTCTGGAAAACTGTTGTGAGGATTCTGAGACTTGCTTAGCAAGAAATAATTCTATGATCTGTCAGGGATTGCTGCCATGGGCACATATTGGGAGTGATGGCATGTGTCATTCCTGAAGTAGGAGGAGAGAAGTTTTTGGTAACAGTTAAAGAACACATTCATGGAGCATTTAGTTTTTGGATGGAACTGAGCTTAGTGTTTTGAGGATTTTAGGAAATGAACTGGCTTTTGCTGGTAGGAAACTTCCAGTGAAGTTAATATAAATCAAGGCATATAGACATGGAGCAGCAGCTAATAACTTAAAGTAGCAAGTAATCAATTCATTTATAGAGTGTTTGCCATATGCCAAGCACTGTCCAAAATGCTGGAGACACCGTGATGAATACATTAAGACAGATCAATTTCCTATTCTCACATGGGAGACAAAATGGTAAACAAGCACAACAGACAAGTCCTACAGTTCCAGACAGTGATGAGGACTCAGGAGAGAAAGACAGCTGGGTAAGTGGGAGGAGAGTGAGGGACTGTGTGGCTACTGTAGAAAAGGGGTTCGGGGAAGTCTTCCTCAAAAAGATGACATTTAAGCAGTGACCTGTGTGATATGAGGGAGCTGAATAACCCAGATACCTGTGGATGCCTAGGAAGAAGAGTATTCTAGGCAGAGAGACTAGCCAGTGCAGCAGCCTTGAGGCAGGAACAAGCTTGGTGAATTTGCAGGAGACCAAGGATGCCAGCAGGGTTGGTGCAGGATGAGTAAGGGGGGAGTAGGAGGAGAGGAGGCTGGAGAGGGTAGCAGGGACCAGATTGTGCAGGACATTTTAGCTCATGGTGAGAAGTTCAGATTTTGCTTTAAACCTGATGGAAGACCATTGGAAAATTTTGGGATAGGGAATGGCATGGTCTGATTTATATTGAGTAATACTGGATCCTGTTTGAAGAATAGGTTGGTGAGAGGCAAGAGAGAAACAGGGAATCCATCTGGCCCAATTATACTAGTCCAGGAGAGAGATCATGGGGGGTAGAATGTCGTGGCTATAATGGAGTTGGAAAAAAGTGATTGGATTGAGGATATCTTTAGAGTTGGAGCTGACAGGACTTGGGGATGGATTGGATGTGGGGTGGGGAAAAGAACTGAGATATTCCCTGAGTTTTTTTATTTGAGCCATGGCCCAGCTTCATGGACACACAACGTGAGCAGTGACTAAGAAGCCCTTGTTTAGTAGGGTCCTAAGCTTGGTTTAATGCTCTGCTTTTGCCATCTTGAAATAATGATCCATTTTAGGGTGAGGGCATCTTCATTTTGCCCTAGGTCCATGCATCATACAGCTGGCCTTGACCGAGCCAGTGGGTGGATGGTGGCCCCTTTTGTGGGGATGGAGGAGACTGGAAGAGAAACACTTTATGGAAGGGGAACACGGAGTTCTCTTCGGACCATGTTAAGTTTGAGGGGCGAGTTAGGCATCCCAGCAGAGCTGCTGTGTAAGTCACCTGGTGGAGTGTTCAGACGGGAAGCCTCCCTGCCAGGGCTGGAGCCATGGGGGATACATTCTGAAAGAGGTGAGATTTGGATCACCCTTTTGGGAAGAGAACATGTCAAGTTTGTTCCCCTCCTTCTGCATGGAAAAAAGAGTCAGTGGTGGGACAATGCTGGTAAATCCTTTAGTGTAGCTTTTGTCTAAATTTTTATTTCAGAGTTTGCGGCAGATCGTACCTGTTGACCTATTGGAGAGGCATAATTTTCCACCTTCTAATTGCTTTGCATATATGTTCATTTCTTCTCACACAGTTGTTTTACTCTTACCTTTCAGCCTAGGGTGACCACCAGTTCCAAAGGTGGCCTCTGCAGCCATCTGTTGAGATTTGAGGTGACTGAGCAACCCTGGCTTTAGAAGTTTGAACCCATCATTGTACAAGTGATTCCAGGGGACTCTGTTAGAGGCAAAGAGCTGAGAAAGCCTTGGGGGACTACAGAGCAGAGTCCTGCAGGTAGTCAGGCTTGGTGAATAATGCCTCAGTCTCTAGGTACAGAGGGCTTGGACTCTATTTCTTCCTGCTCTGTGACCCTGGGAATGTCATCTAATCTCCATGGACCTTAGTAAAATGAGGATAATAATATTTTCTATTTCCCAAAGTTCCTGCAATGTAGAAATGAGGCAATTCATGTAGAACTTTTAGCTCGGGCCATGAAACAGGGAAAGGACTCAAAAATGCAAAATGCTGCAAGTACCACTGAGAACAGTTCTTCCTTCTGTGCTGGGGTAGGAGAGCTGGTCTTAGACTGCATTGTGAAGGAAGCCTTGAGCAGTCTCCTACCTGTACCCCAAAGCTCATTTCACCTCTTGGTTTCCTTGGTGCACATCCAAACCTTCATTAAGATTGGTATTGCAACATGTCAGCAAAACCATCTGCTTACCTAGTTTTCCTTACTATGGACATGTGACTGTTTTTCCGCATCTCTTTCCCTATTGTACAGCAGAGCCATGCAGTTTGTGGGGTATAGGGAGATTAACCCCTACCCCACAAGCCAAGATGAGTTCTAATTAGACCTAAGCCATCTGGGTAATTTCTCTTCTATTACTCCAGTGATCGGTTCAGGGTTGGGCATACCACCCAAGACTAAGTCAATGGCATTCCATTACCACATTAATCAATAAGGAGTGGTCATACAACCTAGAATGGTTAGCTTAGTGTAAGGCTTAGGACTTTTGTTCTTTGGCCAGTAGACATCAGTAAGGAAGCATGTGACCATTGTTGCTTTCAACATTCATTGGCTACTCAAGATGGGAGACAAAGATAGAGTGTTTGGTGACATTGTTGCTTGATCAAACCATACCTAAAGTCCTACTTCTGTACTTTTCAGTTAAAGTCATTACATTTCCTTTAAAACTTTCACTTCTTTGAAGTTTTTTTTTTTTTTTTTTTTGGTTTTGTTTTTTTGAGATGGAATCTTACTCCATTGCCCAGGCTGGAGTACAGTGGCGTGATCTCAGCTCACTGCAAGCTCTATCTCCCAGGTTCACACCATTCTCCTGCCTCAGCCTCTTGAGTAGCTGGGACTACAGGTTCCCACCACCACACCAGGCTAATTTTTTTTTTTGTGTATTTTTAGTAGAGAGGGGGTTTCACCGTGTTACCCAGGATGGTCTTGATATCCTGTCCTCGTGATCTACCTGCCTTGGCCTCCCAAAGTGCTGGGATTACAGGCATGAGCCACTGCG
Organism: Homo sapiens; assembly: GCF_000001405.40. Classification (NCBI taxonomy): domain Eukaryota; kingdom Metazoa; phylum Chordata; class Mammalia; order Primates; family Hominidae; genus Homo; species Homo sapiens. The sequence continues at coordinate 5,343,614 of NC_000016.10, forward strand.
CCCGGCCACTTCTTTGAAGTTTTAACCATTATTTTCTTTCAGAAGAATCCCTCTGATACGAATACAATATGGGTGCCAGTTCTTCAAATGAATAGTGAAATAAGGTTGACCTGGTGACTATGTCCGTATGTAACAATATCAGGAGGATTATTTAACTTAGAACTTTTTGAATAAGGCAAAAGGGTTATTTGATATGATGGCACCTGTATTCTGGAGTGATAACCTTTATGTATTACTAAATAGTTCACTTAGGAGCTCTTATTTTTGCAGTATGTATACTGTGCAGTGGATTTCTGGTATAAATGTGTGCTTGTGTCTCTTTCAGGACGTGGTAAGAACGCTTGAGCATATGTAACCAAGAGACTAGACTTTCTTTGGGTCTGAGCTGGGGTGTTCTGCTTATGCCTCTTATGCTTCTCTGTGCTGGGATGGGGTGCAAATGTTTATATCAGAATCCTATTCTCGTTTTCGGAGAAATAAAGGTATCTACATCAGTAATGGGTTTAAACATTTTCCTTCAGAACTGAGTCTTTACCTTTGGTATTTCTGTGGAAGTTTTTTCCCTGAATGCACTCTGCAAATGTCTGCTGCTGTTGAGCTGTTGGCCTCTTGCCCTAGGTTTGGGTTCTCTCCCATGTCCTGCAGCTCCCTCTCTCCTGCTAAACCATGTGGTCCCAGTCCTTTGCCCAGCTCCCTCTTTCTACATCAGCTGTGTCATTGGTAGGGATGGTAAGTCTCCCTCTGTTTTGCTTTAAAAACAACCTGATTGGGGATCAAGCTAAAAAAGTAATCCCTTCTCAGGGTAAAATCATGGCACACTCAATTGAATTACACTCACTGGATGCTTCTTATTTTGTTCCCTCTTAACTACCTCACCTCCCTCCCCAATTCAAAACTTGCCAGTTCAGTGCCCTGTGATACTTGCTTTCACTTTAGGTTTACAGATTCCATACCCAAAAGGCCATTTTCCTTCTTGGGATGTTTTTTTCCCCCTCCCCCGGCTGTGAGGACATCCTGACAGTAGTTTGTGGCAGGGGAAACCTGGCTGGAATTCTGAACTTCAACATGGATTTTATCTGCATTCCAAATTATATCCATCAATATTTGATACATTTTTGGTTGAAAAAAATATAACTTCATGAAAAAAGTAAACAAAATTATCCAACGTTATTTAAAATGTCTATGAACAGCACGTGCTTTGAGAAAATAGGGCCACTGCAGGTCATTTCAGGTCTCATCATGGATGATCTGATGAAGGCATGTTGATATCAATAACTCCAAATTCATGTTTTTGCCTCTATCTATGTACACCAGACATCCAGGTCCCACCTTGTAAAATTCTTCTTTCCCGCAGTGTCTGGGTTTTGCAAATGCCTGTTCACCTCCCTGCCCTTTGCAGGCACCACGTGGCATCTGTCTAGTTCTTCTGTTCCCGTCCTCCCCCTTTTGTCAAGGATCCTCAGAGTCATGGAGCCCATCGTGAAGACATCGTTGTTCATCCCCAGGGGGCTGCCTCGACCCTCTGTGAACTGCTTGTCCTTGAAGCGAGAGGCAGGGCTGTGCTCTGTTCTGGGTGGAAGCCAGTCCCTTTCTTTAGTTCTCATTCCGCTTTGTGGCCCAAGCTGCACAGCAGCCCCAGAGGCCTCTTGTCCAAGTCATGTCCAAGTCAGGCCAAGGGGCCCCTTGGGAAACAGGTGCCATGCCCTTACCCTTTTCCCCTTTTCCCTTCCTCTCCATTGTGCCCCTGAAAACAAGGTAACACAAAGCACCCCATTCAAACCCAACTAAAGCCCTCGTGCATGCCCACCCATGCAGACATGTGGCCAGGGAGATCAGCCGCTGTCCACTTCCATCAGTGGTCAAAATGAACTGCAGGCAGATCTTAGCAGCCCCCAAGCCCTGGGGCACTGGTGTGGGTTCTGGCTACATTTGGCTCCTTACCTCCCAACTGAGGATTTCTGTTCATGTGAAACAGTAGAAGCAAGAAGATTTAATTATTGAGTCTGCATTTGGCCGTGCTCGTTGGGCTTCTTAAACACCCAGGAGCCACTTGCTGAGCAGAAGCCATCTCTTTCCGATGCATGGGAGAAGCCATCTCTTTCCGATGCATGGGAGAGAGTGGTGGCACCTGATGGGTTAAGGCACATGACGCCACCCCTTTCCAGCTTCCAGGTTTTCATTTTAACAAGGAGCCTTCTGTACATAATGCCTGGACTTAAAGGAATGATGCTGATGGCCCGTTAGTGGGCTGGTGAGGAGATATTTTAGGATAGGTTCACCCTCCAGAAGCTCCCCAACCATATTGTGTGGAAGAAACCCTGCTAATTATGCCCCTAGGAATCTACCAGGGAAACTTGCTTCCCCCATGCTCATGGAATAACATGGTGTGGGGGATTGTCAACAATCCCTTTCAGTATCTGTGCTGAGACTTGGAACCTGAAAGGCTCTTTGCCTTCCAGCAGCCCACTACCTGGTGAAGGAGACAGACAAGCGCACAGAGAAGTATGGCAGCCTGCATCACCTCCGTGGAGCTCCTGGGCTCTGGAGGCAGAGGGGAGTTTCGATCCTACAGCGGACCCTTACTATGTGTGTGACGTTGTGCAAATCTACCTCTCCAGTCTCGGTATGCCCAGTTATAAGACAGGGAATAAAAAAGTCTTATAGAGCTGTGGTGAGAATGACTGAGCACTTGCCTGGCACATCTTCAGCACTCAGAAAATGTCACATTTAAATCATCATCGTCATTACATAAATTGTCAGGAGAGGGAAAACGAGGGAGCAATTAATTAAGAGAAAACTACAGAGAAGTTATGATGTTTGAACCACGTCTCAAGGGATGCATGGGATTTCACAGGATGGATGAGAAGGAGAGGGTGCTTTGCGGAGAGAGAGAACCGCAAGAGCAAAAGGCTGGGTAATAGGACCTTTATATCACCCTACATCTGGGGCTCCCAGTTGGCTCTTGGATTTGTCATTTGCTTTTTCCTGTATGCACGTCTTGTCTTATCCCCTCCTGGGAATTTTCAGTGCAATACAGGAGAGTGGAGTGTGCTGTGGGAGTGGAGTGAGATGAAACAGCTTTGCTGTTTTCTAAGGCATGACCCTCGCTTGTGGAAGGATGTAACGGTTAAGAGCATGGCCTCTGGAGCTGAGCTGTCTCAGCCCAGTCCCAGCTCTGTAGTCAAGTGTCTCAGTCTTTGTGCTCTTCAGTGTTCCCATCTGCAAAGTGAGGATGATAACAGCACCTCCCTCAAGAGCTGGTGTGGGGCTTAAATAACTGACGTATATTCAGCATTCAGAATGGACCCTGGCTTGTGGTAAGTGCCCTGTAATTGTTCACTGATATCTGGCTTTTGCATTGGTCGCTCTGTCTGCCTGGAAACTTTTTTTTTTTGCTAACACACCTACTTGGCTTGTTCCTGACTTTATCCAGGCCTTTCCTCAAGGGACGCCTTTTCAGCAAGACTTTATCTGGCTGCTCTATTGACAATCCCAATGTTGCTCATCCTCCTCCTGGCACCTGATATCTCCCCTTCCTGCTTCATGTTTCTTCATAATATTTCTTGTCATCTTATATACTATATGTTTTCCTTATTTATTATTGCATGTCTCTTCTAACCAGAATATGAGCTTCTTAGAGACAGGGATTTTTGCTTATACATTCAGTGCTGTATATGTGCATGTAGAAGTGTGTCTTACATACAGTCGTTGCTCAACAAATACTTGAATGAATGCATGAACTCAGCCTCCTTGAATCATACTTTGTTCTTCTGTGAAATGGAGCTATTAGCCTATGTCAGGTGGTGTACAAGATGCCTGTTTAGAAATGACAAAGCACTAAATAAGCAGAAGAGATAATAATTATCATTGAAGGCAAGGATCATGTCATGTGTCTTCTTATTTCCACCATACACTTGGAAAATCACTATTCCATCCACCTACCGACTCATCCTTCCACTCGTCTGTCCGTCTACCCACCCATCCACCCACCCATGCTCCCATCCCCCTATCAACACATCCACCCACCCATCTACCCATCTACCCATCCACCCACCCTTTCACTCAATCATGCACTCTCCTACCCTTCCACCCACCCATCCATCCATTCATCCTCCCATCCACCCCTGCCCACCCGTCAACCCATCCACCCACACTTCCACCCACCCATTGGTCTATCCGCCCACCCTTCCACTTAATCATGCACTCACCCACCCTTCCACCCACCTGTCAGCCCATCCACCCACTCTTTCACTCAATAATGCACTCACCCACCCATTCATCCTCCCATCCACCCCCTCCCCCCCATCAACCCATCCTTCCACTCAATCATGCACTCATTCACCCATCCACTCCCCACCAACCCATCGATCCATCTACCTGCCCATCCATCCATCCATCCATCCCCCCACCTACCCACCCATCAACCCATCCACCCACCCTTCCACTCAGTCACCCTCTGTACCACTCACTCACCCACTGTTCACCCACCCACCCTTCTGTCCATCCATCCACCCACCTATCCATCCACCCATGTATCCATCCACCCATCCACCTGTCTTTCCACTCAATAATCTACTCTTCCACCCGCCCACTCACCCATGCATCCACTCATCTACCCACCCATCTGTTGAATCCCATCCATCCTGTTCCCCATGCATCCATCCATGCATCCAACAAATGTTTATTGAATACATAGTGATTACTAGGCATTGGAATAACATTTATGACTAATAGTAATAGGTGAAAATTAACAAAAACTCACTACATACTACCTACTGTGTTAAGAATGTTGCATCAAATATTTTATTCAATTTTTAAGAGTCATATGAAGTAGGCACTATTATCACATCTCCACTTACAGATGAGGAAACAGGCATGGAGAGGGTAGCAGCTTGCCCAGGAATACATATCTAAGAAGTGGAGGAGCCTGGGTTCAAACCTAGGTTGGCTACCCCATCATACTTGCTCTTAACCCCCCATTATTTCAACTCACCTGGAGTTCACAGCCCAACAGGAAAGACAGACATGGAACGTGAATTTATATAAATAGTAGGCTCTCAATTTATGTGTTTAGTAGATGTGTACTCTCTGAATGTTGGTTAATAATGAGGACCCCTTTTCTGGGAAAAGTTTCAGTTTGTGAAAATTCCTATACCTGATGCTGTATTGAAAACCTCACTGCATTTTCTTTATGCATTAATTTGTCAGCAGACTCTTAGGTTGTTTCCATATCTTCACTGTTGTGAATAGTGCTGCACCAAACTTGGGCATGCAGGCATCTCTCTGAGATCCTAATTTCGTTTCTTTTGGATATATACACAGAAGTAGGATTGCTGGATCATATGGTACTTCTGTTTTCAATTTTTTGAGAAACGTCCATCTTGTTTTCCAGAACAACTGTGTCATTTTACAATCCCATCCAAAATGTGCAGGGGCTCCAATTTCTCCACATGCTGGTCAGCCGTTGTTATCTGCAATGGAGTATTATTCCGCCTTAAAAAAGAAAGAAATCCCGACATATGCAACAACATGGCTGAACCTGAAGGACATTATGCTAAGGGAAGTAAACCAATCACCGAAGTACAAATACCATATGAGTCCACTTCTAGGAGATATCTAAAATAGCCAGACTCATAGAAACAGAGTAGAATATTGATTGCCGGGGGAGTTTCTGTTCATGGGTACAAAGTTTCAGTTATGCAAGATGCATATGTTGTAAATGCTGTACAACATTTTCCCATAGTTAACAACACCATGCACTTAAAAACTTGTCAAGATGGCTGGGTACGGTGGCTCAAGCCTGTAATCCCAGCACTTTGGGAGGGTGAGGCCAGCGGATTACTCAAGGTCAGGAGTTCGAGACCAGCCTGGCCAACATGGCGATCCTATCTCTACTAAAAATACAAAAAATTAGCCGGGCGTGGTGGCATGCATCTGTAATCCCAGCTACTCAGGAGGCGGAGGCAGGAGAATCGCTTGAAACAGGGAGGCGGAGGTTTCAGTGAGCCAGACCATGCCATTGCACTTCAGTCTGGGTGACAGAGCAAAACTGTGTCTGGGAAGAAAAAAAAAACTTGTCAAGAGAGTACATTTCATTTTACCTGTTCTTAAAACCTCGTTGCCCCTGAATGATTTGGAAGCTGCTGCCATCCCTGCATTTGGCGGGGACCACAGGAGCCGGGCTGTGCTGGAGCTACCTTGGCCCACGCCCTGCTCTGAGCTGAGGCCCCAGGAAGCAGCCCTGCTGAGCAGTCTCTCTCCCTGGCCAGGAAACACATGTGCACCATCCACCGGCTCCCACTCTCCCTGTGCTCCTTCCCAGCACAAGGCATTTCTCACTCCTCTATAATTACCCAGGCTAATTAAATAAATTGATCTGCTGATGTACACTTCACAGTCATTTCTGTGGTGTAATTTGGCTTTAATAGAACTGGCGCTTGCGTGAGAGGAAATGAAAGCCTGGGGTAGAAGTGGGATCTTTTAATATTCAAGAAAAATAATTTTTTCAGGGGGTTTCGGTTCCCTGCATGTGCATAATGTATGTGCTTGCTGTCAGGATTAACTGGGAAACAGCAGCTGTCTGGTAAGAAGGTTAGTGTGGGAGCCCCTTTGCCATGAGAAACTCAGATGGACTCTGAAGTCTTGACAAGAAGCTCATGATTTTGGAGACAAATGGGGCATGAAGCATACTGTTGGCTGCCTGGTGGTCAGAAAGTGAATTGTTTGCTCTGTGGGGATGTTCTGGGAAACGGCTGTTGGCTCTGGTTGATAGACGGGGGTGTGTCAGGCTGACACACAGCAGGAATGGGAGGTGAGGTGTCCCTAGTCAGAGTGATGGTTAACAGTGTGGTTTTGGGTCCAGTACCATTTAGTTCCCGTGTCAGCCTTTGCTCTTTGTTGGATGTATGTGTCTTTCTGCAATTGGCTCCCACTTCTAGAGCCTCAGTCCTCCTTTAAAATGCACACTGCACGCTGGGCACAGTGGCTTACACCTGTAATCCCAGCACTTTGGGAGGCCAAAGCGGGCGGATCACCTGAAGTCAGAAGTTTGAGACCAGCCTGGCCAACATGGTGAAACCCCGTCTCTAGTGAAAATACAAAAAATAGCCAGGCATGGTAGTGGGCGCCTGTAACCCCAGCTACTCAGGAGACTGAGGCAGGAGAATCACTTGAACCCGGAGGCGGAGGTTGCAGTGAGCCGATATTGCACCACTGCGCTCCAGCCTGGGCAACAAAAGTGAAACTCCATCTCAAGAAAATCATAATCATAATCATAATCATAATCATAATCATAATGCATCTCGCAGGGTTGTGAAGAGGAATGCATGAGCCCAGCCAACTGCCTAATTGGTGAGAACTGTAGAAATGTTAGCTACTCTCAGTGTTTGTGCTGAAGGCAATCGTTCACCCACCCACGAATTATTAAGCAAAAGCCGTGAACCAGGTATTGCGCTGGTGGAAGCAGGTTGACCCCGGATAGGTCTAAGCCTTGTTAAGGATGTGTCTCCCATCTGATACCCTCATTTTGCCCATGATGGGAGTCAGACTGTTGACTGTATTGATAATGCCATATTGATTTATTTAACTCGACTATGTGCCAGACACTGCCTGAAGCACTTTGCAGGAGTTGCTTCAATAAATAATATGTTTGTCATCTGTTAAGCGCTATGCCAGGGCTTTGACATACATGATAGAATTCCGTCTTCTAACTACTCTAGAAGGTAGATACATTCACTGTACCCCCTTTAGAGTTAAGGAAAGTGAGGCTTGGAATAGTTAAGTGATTAGGGGCACATGGCTAGTGGGAGAGAAAGGCAGGATTTGAACTTCAGGCTGGCTCACTCCAGGTTTTTAACCATATCATTGAACTGATGCCTATTGATGGGTCTCAGGAGGAGGGTCACCTGGCCCCCAGGCATATATGAATGGCATAAGATTCAACTCAAGGTGTTATGAAGGTGACAAAAAATTTCATTGCAAATATTTAAGCCTTTCCTCTCTATGGAGACCGCATGCAATGTACTCAATGCCTGTGAGCTTAGGAATTGGTGAGAGCATTTAACTAGAGCGGTCAAGGGAGGAATTCAGGTTGGACCCTTGATATCGCTTAGCCCGAGAACTCCTTGTGAGTGACCCTGGTTATCTGTCTCGGATGTTTGCTTGAAGCTTTAGGCTCTAAGTCTCCATTCTTCTTCTTCTTAATTTTTGAGACAGAGTTTCACTCTTGTTGCCCAGGCTGGAGTACAATGGCACAATCTTGGCTCACTGCAGCCTCTACCTCCTGGGTTCAAGCGATTTTCCTGTCTCAACCTTCCGAGTAGCTGGGATTACAGGCGCCCGCCACCACGCTCGGCTAATTTTTTTGTATTTTTAGTGGAGACAGGGTTTCACCATGTTGGCCAGGCTGGTCTTGAACTCCTGACCTCAGGTGATCCACCCGCCTCAGCCTCCCAAAGTGCTGGGATTACAGGGGTGAGCCACTGCGCCCAACCAGTCTCTATTCTTATTTTTGTACTTTTCCCCAGTATGGTCTGTTTGATCTTTTTCAATTTATTTATTCAGCGGATGCTGCTTCCCTCTCATGTGCTCCTCCGAACGCTGTGTGCCTCCTGCGCTTGTCCACCCTGGGAGTGGCTGGGAGATGCTATGAACTCTTGTCCCCCAAGCTGAGCAGCTATATCCAACTTTAAAAAAGTTCACATACATTTAACCTATAACCCAGCAATTGCATTCCTAGGTATCTTTACTCTCAACTTTTTGTCTCAAATAATTTCAAACCTGCAGAAAAGTTGCGGACATCTACAATGAACACCCTATCTACCCTTCACCGGTTGTCAAACATTTTCTTTCGTTGGCTTTTTCTTGCACTCTCTGTCTCTTTATGCACACAGGCTCACATTTTATTGAACCCATTTGAGAGTCAGTAGCAGACATTACATTTCACCCTGAACGTTTGATCACGTATGGCCTAAGATCAAACACATTCTCTTACATGACCAAAATGTAATGAGCACACTCAAGAAATTTAATGATAATAAAATACTCTTCGGTGGTCACGGTGGCTCATACTTGTAATTCCAGCACTTTGGGAGGCCAAGGTGGGGGGATTGCTTGAGCCCAGGAGTTTAAAATCAGCCTGGGCAACATGGCAGAAACCTGTCCCTACAAAAAATATAAAAATTAGCCAGGCATGGTGGCATGCACCTGTAGTCCCAGCTAGTCAGAAGGCTGAGGCAAGAGGATTATCTGAGCCTGGGAGATTGAGGCTGCAGTCAGCTATGATTGTGCCACTGTGCTCCAGCCTGGGTGATGGAATGAGACCCTGTTTTAGAAACAAAAATATCCTTACTTGATACATACTTCGTAGTCAAATTCCCCAATTTTTCTGATACTATTCTTTATGGCTTAAAAAGAAATCCAGTGTTGAGAGATGAAACGTTGCATTTAGGTTTCACATTTTTAAAGACTTCTTTGTTCAGGCTGGGTGTGGTGGTGCACGCCTGTAATCCCAGCACTTTGGGAAGCCGAGGTGGGTGGATCACCTGAGGTTAGGAGTTCAAGATCAGCCTGGCCAACATGGTGAAATCCCATCTCTACTAAAAATAAATACAAAAATTAGCCAGGTGTGGTGGCACATGCCTGTAATCCCAGCTATTCAGCAGGCTGAGCCAGGAGTATTGCTTGAGCCCGGGAGGCAGAGGTTGCAGTGAGGCAAGATCATGCCACTGCACTCCAGCCTGGGCAACAGAGTAGTGTCTGAAAAAAAAAAAAAAAGACTTCTTTGCTATGGAGGAGTTCCCCAGCCCTCCCCTCTTCCTCCGCCCCTCTGTGTGTGGTGTGTTAGGACATTGACATTTTTAAACAGTCCAGTTCAGATATTTGGTGGCATATCCCATTTGCAAATGCAGGATGGATTTATGTGAATGTCACAGCCTAGTAGATTCTGGTGAGGTCGTTTTGGCAGGAGGACTACATAAGTCCTCCTTGGTGCATCACATCAAGAGGTAGATGATGTCATTGGTGGTATTAAGGGAGACATATTTTAAAGTCACTTTGATGAGAAGAGTCACTTCCAGCTTGAAACCTAGGCTGAAAACTAATTTCCCATTGAGGAAAAAAAAAAAAACCTCGCCATGCCCTGTGAGACACTGCCGAGTGCTCCCTTAGGACGTCTCGGGGGCTACTGTGCGCTTGCTCGCATCCGGTCTCCTGTGGGGTCCACAAGATGCTGGGATACAGAGATCAACAAGACATGGCCTTTGCTCTCAGAGGGTCTTGCTGTATCTGGTGGGAGAAGCTTTGGAAACACATCAGCCTGGGGCGGTGTAGTAAATGTTGAAACCAAGCAGGATGAACGGAGGGGCCACTAGCTCAGCTGGGGAAGGCTGGGATGACTTACCAGAGGAGGAGACATTTGGAATACTTACAATTCCTTTCCAGAAAGGCTGCTGGGAGGCCAGTCTCCACCGGCCCCTTACCTGTGAGAGTTAGGATCCCCTCCTCCATCTGAGCTCAAGTCCTGGAACATTTTCCCTGTCTCCTTGAGCCAGGCAGGTGCACTTGCGGGAGCTGTTCCTGTCGGCCTTGGCTGATGTCTCCTGAGCACTAGTGGGTGAGTCTCTCTGGTCTTTCTGTGTCTGTGTCTCTTTTTCTTGAAGAGAACTGTATTGGTTGGACCACTTTTTTTTCTCTATTCACTGTCTTTCAGTCTCTCCTTGTCGATCTGTAGTCTGACCCAATATTCCTGAAAGACAGACCGACTTGAATTACAACCCAGACTGTACCACTTATGGGCCATGTGACCTTAGGCAAGTCACTTGATCTTGCCAAGCCCCGGTTTTCTTGTGTGTAATGGAGTTATCATTGTGCCTTCCCCAACAGGGCTGCTTGGGGGTTAAATGAGGTGGTGCCCGCAATGTGGGGCCCAGCAGAGAAGGGGATCAATACATTCTGGCTATTAGGATTTTTCTCTTTAATCTTAAGCCGCTTTTCCAGGCCTTGTGCTCTGCACAGAGTGCTGTCTGCCCAGCTCCTTTATTCCAACCCTCTCTTTGTGTAGGGCAGCTCTTTTCTTTCTAGAGCATGCTGTCTTAAGTGTGGTCCTTCTGATAGGACAAACGTTCACGCAGCATTATTCATTTCGAAGGTACCAGGGCAGGCTGGAGGGAGTGGAGACACCACCTGCATCTCAGGGGAGTTTCTGAGACTCCTGATGGCAGCAGCCACTTGTCACCATGTGCCAGGCAGCTGTGGAGGGTGTTGGCTTGGTTCCAGTGGCCTTCTTGGAGAGGTCTTATCTGCTCAGCTAAGGGCGCCTGAGGGTGGTTAAGGGTCCCGTGGCTTGGTTTGTGATCAGCAGAGGTTGGAAGGGGTGAAGGGATGTGTATGTGTATATGAGAGAGAGAGAGGGACAGAGATACAGAGAAGGGGACAGACAGAGAAGAGAGAGAAAGAGAGAAATAAGAGAGAATAAAAGAGAGAGAGGGAGGGATTCAATACTAGGGTCGTCTTAGCTCAGAAGAGGTGTGTCCTTCTTGGCTTTGAGTATGTTGAATTTTGGAGAAATGGAGCTTCTGTGAGTTTCCCAAACTTGCATCATTCTGTGCGTTAGTTCAGGCCCCAGCAGGAAATGGCAGATGGCACACTTAGAGCAGGATAGTTCAAGGAAGGTTTCACAACTGAACGCAGGTGTGGCAGGACGCAGGGACTATGGGCCGGGAGAGATGAGGAAGGAGCAATTTGTGGATTCCTGGAGGACACGTGTATGTGCCGTCCCTCTGTCTGCATCGTGAAGCCTGAGGACAAGGAGACCTCTTGATGTAAGGTGTCAAGGTCAATGTCTGGGTCAGGAGGCACCTTTGCTGGCTCAAGGCCCGGGGCCTGAGGTCAGCTGAAGCTGGGTTTAAAAATGGAGACTGGTCAGCTTCAAAGAGAGGTTAATGAGATTTTATTTATAGACAGAGACTTCTTCCTTGATGTAATTAGGAAGACAGAAGGAGCTTTAGAAGGGGCCTGTAGTGGGTTGAGGAGCGTCTCCTCCAAAATAGGTCCAAGTCCTAACCCCTGGTAACTGTGAATGTGACCTTATTTGGAAATAGGGTCTTTACAGATATAATAAAGAGTCACAGGATGAGATGGTCCTGGATTTAGGGTAAGCCCTAATCCAACATCTAGTGTCCTTAAAAGAAGGAAAGAGGCTGGGTGCAATGCCTTATGCATGTAATCCCAGCCCTTTCGGAGGCCGAGGCAGGTGAATCGCCTGAGACTAGGAGTTTGAGACCAGCCTGGCCAACATGGCTAAACCCCGTATCTACAAAAAATACAAAAATTAGCTGGGCATGGTGGCCCGTGCCTGTAATCTCAGCTACTCAGGAGGCTGTGACATGAGAATTGCTTTAACCCGGGAGGCGGAGGTTGCAGTGAGCCAAGATCACACCACTGCACTCCACCCTGGGTGACAGAGCGAAACTCATTCTCAAGTAAAAATAAAGGAAGACGTGAGGCATAGACAGGCACAGAGGGGAAGGCCGTGTGCAGGTGGATGCAGAGACTGGAGTGACGCATCTAACAGCCAAGGGGTGGCAAGGATTTTTGGCAGCCACCAGGAGCCAGGAGGGAGGCATGGAATGGATGCTCCCTCAGAGCCTCCAGAAGGAATCATCCGTGATGACACCTTGATTTTGAACTTCTAGGCTACAGAACTGTGAGCCGATACATTTCTGTTGTTTTAAGTCACCGCATTTGTGGTAACTAGTAATGACAGCCGTAGGAAACTCTATAGGGACTAAACTTTCTTCGTGACTCAATAATGTTTAATGCTATGCCCACATTTCCTTAAGGTCACCTTCTTCAAGTCGCCTTGAGGACCATTGGTTGCTTGTGCCCTGCCCTGTGCTTTGGGGGAAAGGATAGACTGGATTGTCAGTTTATTTCTAGGGCAAGATTTTATCTCTCTGTTGTGTCCCTAGCTTCTGGAATGGTGTCAGGCACAGGTTTACCATGAAAAATATACTTGTTAAATGAATGAGCGAACACCAAATGGAAATTAATAGTATCAGTCAAAGTTATGATGGGAAATGGCAAACAGTGAGTACTATGAGGTTAATTCAAAGATTGTGGCCTAGAATGCCTTGGAAATCACTAGGCTTATTGAGGAGGAAATTAATTTATTTGACTGCTTTGATGTCTAGTTGACATCGTTGTTGTCATTGTCCTTATGTTTGTTGCCGATAGTAATACTATTGATAATGTTTATAATAGCAATGATAGCTAATAGTCACTGGGTGCTTGCTTTGTTACCTGGCATTAGGCTAATTGCTTACATACATCGTTTCGTTGAAGCCTCACAGGTACCCAGTGAAGTAGGTACTATTACTTATTTCCATCCAGTAGATAAGGAGATGGAGGCTTACAGAGTTTAAACTACTTGCCCGTGATGACACAGTTCGACAGCAGTAGAGTTAGGAGTGGTGCTGCTCTTAACTGGCAAAATGTGTAATCTCATGAGCATTTGTTGAGTGCACCTCTTGGGCTCACTGCTCGAGCCCTTCCCTGGGAACTGTACCTCTCACCCATTGCCACATGATGTAGCAGTGGGGTTGCCACAGCCATGTTTGTTCTACTGGGGCATTCTCCTTGGCCATAGCTGATTGGCTTATGGCTGAACCAGTCAGAGACCTGTAATCAAATATGGCCCAATTAGAGACCTCTCCCAGGAATATGGACTTGGAACTGAGAAAAAGAACCACCTCTTGCTCTGGGGTGTAAATGCAGGTGCAGAGGATAGCCATGGTTTCTGCATTGTTCACAAGAGAACAGAACAACGCAGTCTACAGGGAGAGAGGAGACTGAGTCCCACAGGGAAGAGCCACACAGAGAAGACTTCAGGATTCCCCACCAGAATGGATCTCAAAGGTTAATGTGCATAGGAATCAGCTGGGATCTTGTGAAAATGTAGATTCAGATTCAGCAGGTCCAGGTAGGTTATGTGATTCTAAACTTGTAACAAACTCCCAGGTGATGGTGATGCTTCTGGATCATGAACCACACCCCAGGCTCTGGTTTCAGCAGAGTCTTAAGGCCTGGCTGTGTCCCTGTCCTTGGAATCCGTCAGGAGAGGACACAACTGTTCTGTTAGTCAGAATCTCCCCCTTTGCTTAAGACATCACAGGGAATTTCTGTTTCTTACAACCAATCTGTTGCTTATTTATCTGTGTGTAATTTTTTATGTGTTCCTTAAATGCTGTTTGAAATCCTCCATGGAATGAGATGAAATGTAAACCAGATAAAAATGACGATTAGGAATACTAATAGTGAGTTTGGAATACATTAAAAATTGCTGGGGGACTTTATTAGTTTCCTAGAGCTGCTGTAGCAAAGTACCTCAGACTGGGTGGCTTAAATGACACAACTTTATTTTCACATTGTTCAGGAGGCTTAGACTCCGAGACCAAGATGTCGGCAGTATGGCTTCCACTGGAGGGCTGTGGGAAATCATCTGTTCCATGTCTTTCTCCTTGCTCCTGGTGGTTTGCTGGCAACCTTTGGCTTGCCGTTCCTTGGGTTATAGATGCATCACCCTGACCTCTACCTTCACATTAGCTAGGCCTTCTCCCTGTGTGAGTGTCTGTGTCCAAGCTTCCCCTTTTTATAAGGACATAGTTTTATGGGATTAGGGCCCATTCTGTTCCAGTATGACCTACTGTAATCTTTTTATGCCTGCATATTTTCAAATAAATCACACTCTGAGGTATTAGGGGTTAAGACTTTAACACATGCATTTAAAATTTTTTAAAAGTTATTTTTAAATTAAAATGTTGTGGGTACATAGAGGTGTACATATGTATGGGGTACATGAGATGTTTTGGTACAGGCATGCAATGTGTAATAATCACATCATGTAAAATCCCCTCAAACATTTATCCTTTGTGTTGCAAACTTAAAAATGCACCTGTAATCCCAGCAGTTTGGGAGGCCAAAGCAGGTGGATCACCTGAGGTCAGGAGTTTGAGACCAGCCTGAATAACATGGAGAAACCCTGTCTCTACTAAAAATACAAAATTAGCCGGGTGTGGTGGCGCATGTATGCCTATAATCCCAGCTACTGGGGAGGTTGAGGCAGGAGAATCGCTTGAACCTGGGAGGCAAAGGTTGCGGTGAGCCGAGATCGCGCCATTGCACTCTAGCCTGTGTGACAAGAGCAAAACTCCATCTCAAAAAAAAGAAAAAAAGTGCAATTCAGTCATATTGACTATAGTCACCTCATTGTGTTATCAAATACTGCATCTTATTCATCCTTTGTATGTGTTTTGATACCCATTATTCCTCCCCACCTCTCCCTCCACCCTCCATTACCCTTCCTAGCCTCTGGTGGCCATCCTTCTACTCTCTGTTTCCATGAGTTCAATTGTTTTGATGTTTATATCCCAGAAATTAGTGAGAACATGTGATGTTTTTGTTTCTGTGCCTGGCTTATTTCACTTAGCATAGTGACCTCCAGTTTCATCCACATTTTTGCAAATGTCAGGACCTCATTCTTTTTTGATGGTGGCATAGTTTTCTGTTATGTATAAGTACCACATTTTCTTTATCCATTCATCTGTTGATGGACAGTTAGGTTGCTTTCAAATTTTGGCTATTGGGAACAGTGCTGTACCTGGCATGAGAGTGCAGAAATCTCCTTGATATACTGGTCTCCTTCCTTTTGCGTGTATACCCAGCAATGGGATTGCTGGATCATATGGTAGCTCCACTTTTAGTTTTCTGAGGAGCCTCCAAACTGTTCTCCTCAGTGGTTTTCTAATTTACATTCCCACCAACAGTGTACACGAGTTCCTTTTCTCCACATTTTTGCCAGCATTTGTTCATGCCTGTCTTTTGGATAAAAGTGATTTTAACTGGGGTGCGATGGCATCTCACTGTAGTCTGGATTTGCATTCTCTGATGGTTAGGGATGTTGAGCATCTTTTCATATGCCTGTTTGTCATTTTTAGGTCTGCTTTTGAGATATGTCTATTCAAATCTTTTGCCTATTTTTTTGATCAGATTGTTAGACTTTTCCTATTGAGTCGTTTGAGCTTCTTTGCCGATCATTTCCTCTGCTGTGCAGAAGCTTTTTAACTTGATGTGATCCCATTTGTCCATTTTTGCTTTGGTTGCCTTTCATATGAATTTTCGGGGAGTCATAGTTTAGCATTTAACAGGGAACTGTGGTTAATGGTTTCCTCTCTGGTCCTCCGCTTTCTCACTCATAAAATGGGGATGCTGAAGTGCGTGATCTCTATGGGACTTGCCAATTCTCACATTTAACATCTCTTGATTATGTTTTTTTCTCTGTCCTCACCTCAGAATGTTTGTTCCAGAGCGAAAACAATCCAAAACATAAATTTACATTGAAGGTTAGTAAGATGTCCTCTCATGAGCATTTGCTTGTTCAGAGAACCCTGCAAAGGTTGGGTAGTCACTGTCTTGCGGAATAAATCACTGTCCTGTTCCTTTGAGGACAGAGACAGTTCTGGATGTTGCTCCATAGGCTCCTGATCATCCCACATCTGCAGCCGCCTACTCCATCCGTGGACACGCAGGCCTGGGCAGAGTTCTGCCTGGCTAGCTCTGTGTGCTGCTGACATGTTGTGGGAAGGCTGGAGGGCGAGGGATAATTAGAGGATAGGCATCCTCCTGAGATCAGCTCTAGAGACTCCAGGGCCCTTCTGCTGAGGGAGTATATCAGCGCCAGGCAGCTCTGCCTATTTTCTGTGTTCTGCTTCTTGAAACTCAATGTGCACGTGGTTTCCTGTGGGAGAAAAGGTGCCAGGCTGGCTGGCTTGCCGGGAGGCTTCCTGTGGGTCACATGCATCACCTACATGCACAGGTAATGGGAGAGAGTGCACCTTCCCGTTATACCAGTATCAGCTACCTGGGCTGAGTCTAATGCATTGAGTGAATTGATACTTTAAGGGAAAGATCTGGATGTGTATCCACACTCCCTGAGTGAGGGGGTAAAAATTAGAGTCTTTGGTTGCAAGCAGCAGAAGCTGCTGTGACTAATGTGAGGAAGAAGAGGGCTTATTGTAAGGACGTAGGGAAACTGGCAGGGTTGAAGGAAAGGCTAGAGATCTCGACAGCTGCAGAAATGTCAACAGCTGAAACTGTCTTTTCAGGACTACTGATGGATTCAATGAAATCGTACAAAAATTTCTTCCATCTTTGCCTCTTTCCTGCCCAGTTTTGAGGAGAGTATGACTGACTGATCTTATAGCATGAACCTGCTTTCCCAGCAGCACAAGCACATCAAGAGGGAGATCTAGTGGGAGAAGCCTCCAGTGCCCACGGCTTCTGCGGTGAGGAGGTGTGTAACCCTGATTGATAACCATACCAAGGCTGCACACGATGCAGGGAGAGACAATGTCAACTCTACAAATGCTAATAGACAACACAGAGTGCTTACTTGGTATGGAACACTCTATATTCATGATCTGATTTAATCTCTGCAATAATCCTGTGGTTCTATTGTCTTTTCAGTTTACAGATGTAAAAGGCAAAGCTGGGATTTGAACCCAGGTTTATCTGGGTCCAGTGCCATTGGTCTTAATGGTGATATGGTTCTGTCTTCCACTGCTGCCAATTTGCCCAACAAGGTGAAAGGAGGAGCTGTAAACATGGGTATAGTTGCTGTCCAAGGATCCCTGCAGTTCTTGGCCCCAGAAATAGGTTAAGAAGTGGGCCAACTAGGTAGTTACCCAGAGGTCTAGGTTATAAGAAGTGCTAAAACAGCACCGGAGATATCACTAGAAGGATAAAGCTTTGTTTTTTTGACCATTTTATTTCTCTTGTAAAAGAAACTCTCAGTGACTGTAAAGAAAAATATGTTGATAAACTACTCAGGGTGTGGCAAGATTAGCTGCATAATTTACAGGCCCCAGTAAGATATAAAATTGTGAGGCCGCTTGTTAGAAAGTTAAGAGTTTCAAGACAGTGACAGCAGAACATGGAGCGTGGGGCCTTGTGTGATTGCAAACGTTGCAAGCCCATAAAGCTGGCCCTGGGGTTGGAATGAAGGTAGATGGTTGCCGAGCAGTCAACTGAGAAAAACAATTCCAGGTACCTGCAAGGCTCCTCCACTTTGTGCCAAGTTGTATTCTTGCTCAGGCCACCCAGCTGTCTCAGGTGAGCCTGCCTGGTTTTCACACACAGCAAGAAAAGTTAGTGGGAGACATAGAGAAAGTACTTCTGAGGCTAGCCTATGGGCCTCTTTACAGCCTGCTGCTCACAGGCAGTGACAAAAATCATCTTAATGTTCTGAGAATGGTTTGGACAGCAGGCAGATAATGCTCAAATAGCATTTCATTAACAGAGCTAAAAACCACCACAATTAATATCGGAATTGATTTTGAGATATTAATTGTGCCAACTGCATTGCATAAGTTATGTTTTTATTTAAATTGTAGTAAGAACATTTAACTTAATATTGAACATGAGATCTGTCATCTCAACAAATGTTTACATGCATAATACAGTATTGTTATCTACAGGCATAATATTGTGCAGCAGATCTCTAGAACTTACTCAACTTGTGTCACTGAAACTTTTTTTTTTTTGAGATGGAGTCTCGCTCTGTCCCCAGGCTGGAGTGCAGTGGCACGATCTCAGCTCACTGCAGCCTCCGCCTCCTGGGTTTAAGTGATTCTCTTGCCTCAGCCTCCCGAGTGTCTGGGACTACAGGTGCACGCCACCACGCCCAGATGGTTTTTGTATCCTTTATTTTTTTGAGACAGAGTTTCGCTCTTGTTGCCCAGGCTGGAGTGCAACGGCGCGATCTCAGCTCACCGCAACCTCTGCCTCCTGGGTTCAAGCGATTCTCCTGCCTCAGTCTCCCGAGTAGCTGGGATTACAGGCATGCGCCAACACGCTTGGCTAATTTTGTATTTTTAGTAGAGACGGGGTTTCTCCATGTTGGTCAGGCTGGTCTTGAACTCCCGACCTCAGGTGATCCAACCATCTTGGCCTCCCAAAGTGCTGGGATTGCAGGCGTGAGCCACCGCGCCAGGCCACATCACTGACACTTTATACCCATTGAATAGCAACTCCCCACCCTCTCCCCTCAGCCCCCGACAACCACCATTTTGCTCTGTTTCTGTGTGTTTGACTGTTAGAGAGTCATCCTGTAAGTGGAATCATATAGCATTTGTCTTTGTGTAACTGGCTTATTTTACTTAGCATAATGTCTCCCCATATTGTCAAATGTGGCAGGGTTTCCTTTTTTCAAGCTAAATAATGTTCCACTGTATGAATATACCATGCTTCCTTATCCATTTATCCATCACTGCACATTTAGGTTGTTTTTAAACCTTGGCTATTGTGTATAATGCCGTAGTAAACATGGGAGTGCAAATATCTCTTTGAGATGATGATTTTAATTCTTTTTTTTTTTTTTTTTTTTGAGATGGAGTATCTCTGTGTCACCTAGGCTGGAGCGCAGTGGTGTGATCTCGGCTCACTGCAACCTCCACCTCCTGGGTTCAAGCGAGTCTCCTGCTTCAGCCTCCTGAGTAGCTGGGACTACAGGCATGTGCCACAGCCCCTGGCTATTTTTTTTTTTTTTTTTGTATTTTTAGTAGAGACAGGATTTCGCCATGTTGGCAAGGCCGGTCTTGAACTCCTGGCCTCATGTGATCCACCTTCCTTGGTCTCCCAAAGTGGTGGGATTACAGGCATAAGCCACCGTGTCCAGCCTATTTTGGATAAATATTTGGAAGTGGGATTGCAGATCATATGGTAGTTCTACTTGTAAGTTTTTGAGGAAACTGCATACTATTTTCCTTGTTTAATTTTATCCTCCTTCTCTAGCTTCAGTTGCAGGAGGCTTATTTCATTTTCTCAAAAGTCCCATGGGCTTCAGGACTTCCAGGCAGGCTCTTCTCTCTGCAACAAGCTTTCTTTCTCCCCCTGATTGGGGAAGTCCTCATCCCCAGGGCTCAGTTGACCTGACTTTTCCCAACACCTCAGACTAGGTAGGTAGCACCTTGTACTAATGAATCATGACCCTTCTTGCACACTTTGGAAATTGCTTGTGAAATTATTTGCTTGTCTGTCTCCTACACCCCCAAGTCAGTGTCCTTGGGTTGGGGACTACGTGTCTGTCTTATTCACTGTTGTATTACCAGGGCCAGAAGGGTCAGAGAGATCTCTCTTGAGCTCCCTGGGGTTCCCAGCATCTTTCATTTCTAGAGTGCATGGCTGTTCCTGTCTATTCATTTTTCTGCCTAGGCGTTTGCCCTGGTGGACGACCAGTGCTGACTGAGCTCTCGCCTGGAACCACAACTCCAGCTGGTCTCTGCTTTGCCATCTAGTCAGATCCTTCATCCAGTGTGTGCAATCAGTTTCCAAGAGAAGGAAAAACCAACCTAGAGTTAGTAGTTACTCCTTCTCTCCCTCAGCGATTCCCCGACGCTGGATATCAGAAGCAGAAACTGGCAGCCAGGTCCCCTTAATTAGGAAGGTGTCAAAGGAGGTTTTGAAACAAAAAAGTCAGTGTACAGGTTGCCAATTGCTTTATTAATTTTTAAGTTTCCTTCACATTTAGGAACAACTTCTCCTAGAAGTTCCAGCCAAGTGCTAAGTTTTAACTTGGATGTGTGCTGGTTTGAGATGTGAATGCACCAACAGTCCCCCAGGGGTGCACAGAAGGCGCATAGAGTCCCTGGCTAGGCTTTCTTCCTTCTCTCTCTTGATGACTTAAAAGCTGTTGTGCAGCTGTCACTCATTTTCTAGGAAAACAAGCCAGTTGCCAATCGACTTGGCAATACCTAAGAAATATTCCGGTTCCAATTACAGGCTGCCAATGGCAAGTACAGCCTCAGCCAAGAGGAACTTACTTTCTTGGTTCCCGATGCAAGGGATCTGGCAATAGGGACGTCCTTCTATGTTTGTAGAAAAGATTTTTCTCTTTGTGATGATACTTACTCCATTCTCTATCTAAAAATCTCTCCCTAATGAATTTTTTACATTCTGCTTTTTGGAACCCATTCCTTTATGCCAAGCACTTGTGCTCTACACGCATCTCGGAAAACCCTGGGTACCTGCTTCTCTTTAGGAATCTCCAAACAGTGAATAGAACAAAGGTTGAGCTGATTCTGTGGCAGACACCTCACACATCCCTGTGAGGCAGGTGCTGCTTTAAAGATGGGGAGATGGGGACCAGCTATGGGGCTTGGCTTGTTGACATAATTAGCAAGGGCAGATTTGGGATTTGGACCCCATCTGTGAAACGCACCTGCTTGGGCTCCCTCCATGATGTCACGCTGGACAGTAGGGTCGCCTAAGAAGCTTAAAGGATGCTGAGGAGGAGGAAGCCTTGTCTCGGTTGCAGTGGTTTGGGTTCTTCAAGAAGCAAACTCCGAGACATGGATTTGAATGCGAAAGACTTATTTGAGGTGATTCCTCAGGGAGGGAGTGGGGAAGAGATGAAGGGTCTTTTAATGACCTACTTACTGCTGTGGGCAGCTGGCACCCAGGCCTGCTGGTGGACTCCGGAGGCTGGCCCAGAACATCCCTAAGTACCGCTTCGTGGAGGTCCGCCTGTTCCCATTTCCCACTGGTTGAGGGTCGTTCTGGGAGGTGTCACACTGAATGCACAAAATTTAATGTTGATCAACTTGGAGTGTAGATTCTCTTGAAAAATGAGCAAACACATATGCAGCCACACATCTCCTCCCTGTCACACATCACCCAACACATAAAGTCTAAAGATCCTGGCATTAAGAAAAGTGTTACCGGCTAGGCACAGTGTCTCACACCTGTAATCCCAGCACTTTGGGAGGCCAAGGTGGGAGGAACACATGAGGCCAGGAGTTTGAGACCAGCCTGGCCAACCTGGTGAAACCCTCATCTCTACTAAAAATACAAAAATTAGCTGGGCATGGTGGCATGTGCCTGTAGTCCCAGCTACTTGGGAGGCTGAGGCAGGAGAATCGCTTGTACCCTGGAGGTGGAGGTTGCAGTGAGCCGATATCGTGCACTGTACTCCAGCCTGGGTGACGGAGTAAGACCCTGTCTCAGTAAATAAGTAAAAAAAATAAAAAGAGCTTTCCCTGGTGTGATTCCGTCCTGCATGGCTGTTCTCTTGAGCAGTGGTCATTTATCTCTGTCCGCCTTCTCTCCCACCTAAGTGCATGCTGCCACCCAATGGAAGATTCAGTGGACATGGACATGAGCCCCCTGAGGCCCCAGAACTGTCTTTTCGGGTGTGAACTCAAGGCTGACAAAGATGATCACTTCAAGGTGGATAATGATGAAAAGGAGCACCAGTTATCTTTAAGAATGGTCAGTTTAGGGGCTGGTGTGAAGGATGAATCGTACATTGTGGAAGCAGAGGCAGTGAATTAGAAGGCAGTCCAATTAAAGTAACACTGGCAGCTTTGAAAATGTCTGTACAGCAATGGTTTCCCTTGGGGCTTTGAAATCATACCACCAGTGCTCTTACGGTTGAAGTGTGGTTCAGGGCGAGTGCATGCTAATGGACAGCACTTTGTACCTGTGGAGGAAGATGCAGAGTCAGAAGACGAAGACAAAGATATGAAACTCTTAAGTATATCTGGGAAGCAGGCTGCCCCTGGAGGTGGTAGCATGGTTCCACAGAAAAAAGTAAAACTTGCTGCCGATGAAGATGATGCTGGTCATGACGATTTTGATGATGATGAAGATGATGATGATGATGATTTTGATGATGATGATGATTTTGATAATGAGAAAACTGAAGAAAAGTACCAGTGAAGAAATATATATGAGATACTCCAGCCAAAAATGCACACAAGTCAAATCAAAATGAAAAGACTCAGAACCATCATCAACACCAAGATCAAAAGGGCAAGAATCCTTCAAGAAACAGGAAAAAACTGCTAAAACACCGAAAGGACCTAGTTCTGTAGAAGATGTTAGAGCAGAAATGCAAGCAAATATAGAAAAAGGTGATTCTTTTCCCAGAGAGGAAGCAAAGTTCATCAATTATGTGAAGAATTGCTTCTGGATGACTGACCAGGAGGCTATTCCCGATCTCTGGCAGTGGAGGAAGTCTCTTTAAGAAAATCATTTAAACAATTTGTTAAAAATTTTCCATCTTATTTCATTCCTGTAACAGGTGATATCTGGCTGTCCTTTTTGTAATGCAGAGTGATAAATTTCCCTATCGTGTTTGATAAATGTTGTCCAGGTTTCATTGCCAAGAATGTGTTGTCCAAAATGCCTGTTTAGTTTTTAAAGATGGAGCTTCACCCTTTGCTTGGTCTTAAGTATGAATGGAATGTTATGACAGGACATAGTAATAGCAGTGGTCAGACATGGAAATGATGGGGAGACAAAAATATACATGTGAAATAAAACTCAGTATTTTAATAAAGTAGCACAGTTTCTATTGACTTAATAAAAACAAAGATGGTATGACATAGGTGGTTTTCTCAATTTTTAAAATTTATTTTGCATGTCAGAAATGCATTTTAATTTTTATTTGAAAACAACTTAAATTTTTAGACAAATGATTTTGTGTATAAATTTGATCTGGTTTTTATACAGAATATAATTATTTCCCTCTTTAATCTTTCATGTGAAGGGCATTACAAGCCTAAAGGAAGATAGTTTCTGCACACAAGTGGGTATCTTATGTGTGCAGTATTAGAAATCAGTGATGCGGTTGCTCGCTCTGCAACTCCTGACCTGCCCAGAACACAGGCTGAGCAGGTTCCCATGGCTGGAGGATTACTCCTAGGTAGAGAGACGCAGGTGCTTGAATAAGGGACCCACTGATGTGGGAGGGAACTGTCTCTCCAAGCTGCAGGTGACAGCCGAGTTGGCTGGAGGGGATGTGGGTTCTCACTGCATGTGCCATATGGGCAACAGGGAAGGAGGAGCCCAGAGTGGCACCATTACTGTCTTTGGAGTGTTAGGTTCTTACAAACCTTCCCCAGTGGATACTATTACTTCATTATCTTACTGGTACTGGGCGTAACAGCAGCTCTAGCTTAACATTTATTAAATGCCTGCTCTGTGCCAAGAATTGTGCTCAATACTTTATATGCATGATTTCACTTAATCTTCATAACTGCGCTAAAAGGTAGAGGCCATTATAATCTTGAGATTGAAAATGAGACAGGGCACACGGAGGGGAGATGCCTTGCCCATGGTCCCACATCCAGAAAGTAACACAGTAGACTCTTAAACCTGGGTCTGTCTGTCTGTTTGCTGGAGTTAACCTCCAGCAAGAGGAGGTTCCGTATTTGCTCTTTAAATGACAGGACTCTGGACGTTAAGAAGATCCACACCTCATGCACTTGACCTTGGGTTGTGAGGAGTTTCCCGTTCCTTATTCCAATGAGACGTTATGGGTTCCACGGGGGTTCTTCTTAAGCAAGGAGGATCATTAAGTGGCAAGGTGGCCATAGTTGGAGAGACCCACATGAGCTCTAACCAGTCACAAATCAGTTCAGCCCATTAGATTTGTCATAAATGTATGATGAATGGTAATTCCCTGATGTCATATCCAACCTCTGGGAGCTATCTGTTTGAATGATGTCAACGCATAATATTTGAAGCTGCTCATGTGGTTATCTTGAATCATTGGAGAAGCGTGAGGCTTGAACAGATTTCTTAATAACTTTTTTTACGCTTGCGACTGCATTTTCATCTCTAGGTTTTGTTCCTGTACAATGAAAACCTCCCAGTTCTTTTTCCTGGGCTACTGCAATATTAATGTTGATGAGAATTGCTCTGCAATGTCGGGGCACCTAACCAATGTGGGTTTTCATCTCCCACCCTCCCACTTCCTTGTTTTTCTTCAGTAAAGAATAATAAGGAAAATAGCCTACCTTTACAGCAAGAGAAAATAACATCTATTTAGAGGAACTTGAGATGAAAGTATGTTTCTTTCATATTGGGTAATCTAATTCTGCAACTCTTGCTTAGCTTTTATTTCCAATGATTTAACAAGCTGCACTACACGGTTTCTTAAACTCTTGCCGTTATGCACATTTCTGAGCTCTTTAAGAATCAAAAGCTCAAAGGCCATCCTTTAAAAAAAATTCTGGCCTTTCAGGGGGGCAGGAGGGGCTGGCCCTTAGTGACATGGTTTCATAGTGACCTCTCTAAGCAGGGGGTCTCAGCGTTGATTTTTTCCCTTTAACTCCAATCCAGGGTCTTCTGGGGTCTCCTTGTTTATTCTGAGACCTCCAAGCATGGCTGGCTCTTGTCAAGAGAGGCCACCCTCTGGCAATGCATTCCACTTTTTATGTGATATGAGTTAGGTTTTCTGTGGGTCTCTCTCCTCAATTCTCACTATTCTAACTTTAGCTCACGTTCTTGGTATTATTTTCAAAAGCATTGAAGAAATGAAGACCACAGTGGTTTTTGTTTGTTTGTTTTGAGACGAGTCTTGCTCTGTTGCCCAGGCTGGAGTGCAGTGGCGCCATCTTGGTTCACTGCAGCTTCTGTCCCCTGGGTTCAAGCAGTTCTCCTGTCTCAGCCTCACAAGTAGCTAGGATTACAAACATGTGCCACCATGCCTGGCTAATTTTTGTATTTTTAGTGGAGACTGGGTTTTACCATGTTGGCCAGGATGGTCTTGAACTCCTGACCTCAAGTGATCCACCCACCTTGGTCTCCCAAAGTGCTGAGATTACAGGCATAAGCCACCGTGCCTGGCCCATAGTTTTTTAAAATGTAAAATAAGCAACATTTCTACCTGTCCCTTAGCCGTCTTTATCCTCGTGATGTCTCTAAGGCCCTTGGAATAGCCAGGGACCAGCACTGACAGACATAGTCGTCTCCCAGTCACTGGCATTTGCAAAAGACCTGCTCGGTACCAGGCACTGCACTTAGATGCTTTCAGGCATCACCTCATTTAATGCTGAGGACGTTCTCCGTGGTACATGCTGCTATCCTCCCACTTTACAGTGAAGAAGCAGGCATAGGAGACCTCGGCATCATGCCCCACACGCTCCTGAGCAGCGGTCGAGCTGCCTCCTCTGCTATGCTGGGCAAACTTGCTTCTGGGCTATTTATAAAAACTAAACATATTTCCAAAGCACACCTGCTTTCAGAGGTGGGTCTCAGTCAGGATCCTTTGTGTGGTTGAAGCCACCCTTTCCCTTCCCTTATACCTCACCTGCTCTACTCATTAGGAAAGCAGGCCCTGCTTCTAGACGCTATCATTTAAAATAATGAAATATATTAGGTTGGTGCAAAAGTAATTGCAGTTTTGTCATTACTTTTAGTGACAGAAACCACAATTACTTTTGCACCAACCTATAGATGTCTGAGAATGTTAGGAAAGACAGCATGATGGGGTCATGGGGAGGCATCGCTTAGAGTGGTTTCCTGCCAGTACTGCCCTGGATGGAGACAAAGTTCCTCCTCTGAGCTTCCTTGTCTGCATCTATTCCATGTATTGAGCACCTACTATGTGCTGGGCACCATTCTCCATGATAGAATGCATCAGGGAACAAACTGTACAGAAATACCTGCTCTTGTGCATGTTCAGTCTCTTTTTGGAGTTGCAAAGCTCACTCCTGCCCACTCTGGAAACTTCTCTCCTGACACCCCACAGGCTATTTCTGCAGAACCCAATGGTGGGTCAGCTGTGTTCTTGGCATTGAAAGCACAACAGACTTGTAACAGACAAGCCCCCAAGCGTGAGATCTAGACGGCATCTCCATGAGTTTTGTGTTCTCTTCCCTTCTTTAGACATTCAGCTGTTTGACGTCCTCCCTGGTGCCAGATGCTATGAGCTGTGGATGCTCTGAACCAGGATAGGGCACTGTCTGGGGCAAAGATGGTTAATTGTTCCCCGATCCAGCCTCCTCCTCTTTTTTTTTTTTTTGGCTTTTTACAAAATTATTATTATTATTTTATATAAGATAGCGTCTCACTTTGTCACCCAGGATGGAATGCAGCAGTGTAATCTCAGCTCAGCGTAGCCTCTAATTCCTGGCCTGGAGTGATCCTCCTGCCTCAGCCTCCTAAGCAGCTGAGGCCGCAGGCACGTGCTACCACACTCAGCTATTTTTTTTTTATGTTTTGTAGAGACAGAGTCTCTGTGTTGCCCAGGCTGATCTTTAACACCTAGACTCAAACTGTTCTCCCACCTTGGCCTCCCAGAGTGCTGGGATTATGGCTGTGAGCCAGCATGCCTGGCCTCTTCCTCTTCCTTTCCTTCTTATCAGCAGTTCCACCCACCATCCCCCAATTTTTAGCAGGCACATGACTCCCCAGGATCAAGACTATGTTTCCCTGTTGTTATGAACTGAGCAGTGTCCATTTCCCAAATTCACATGTTGAATCCCTAACCCGCAGGACCTCAGAATGTTTTTTAGATGGATTGTTGCTCTTTCGCCAGGCTGGAGTGCAGTGGCACGATCTTGGCTCACTGCAACCTCTGCCTCCCGGGTTCAGGCGATTCTCCTGCCTTAGCCTCCCAAGTAGCTGGGACTACAGGTGTGCGCCATCACGCCCGGCTAATTTTTGTATTTTTAGTAGAGATGAGGTTTCACCATATTGGTCAGGCTAGTCTCAAACTCCTGACCTCAGGTGATCCGCCCACCTTGGCCTCCCACAGAACTGGGATTACAGGCGTGAGCCCCCTGTGCCCAGCCAGAATGTGGTTTCAAAGAGGGCATTAGGTTAAAATGAGGCCCTTAAGAAGGGCCCTCATCCAATCTGACTAGTGTTCTGATAAAAAGGGAAGATAGGGTACACAGAGTGATGCCAGGGATGCCGGAGAAGACCCTGGGAGGATACAGGGAGAAGAGAGGCACCTGCAAGTCCAGGAGAGGCCTCAAGAGAAACCCATCCTGCCAACGCTTTGATCTTGGACTTCCAGCCTCCAGGACTGTGCAACACAAATCTCTGTTGTTTAAGCCACCCCACCTGTGACATTTTGTTATGGCAGCCCTAGCAGACTGCTGTATCTACCTCCCTTGTAATGAGTGCTTATGAACTGAATCCTCGTCTAGGAGGTGTGAGCCGGTGATGTGTACATTTCTGAGTGGTGCAGGGGCAATTCACGCACTTCTCTTTTTCCCACATTTTGAGGGAATGAAGGCTTGGTAATAAGCCCTGCTGGCCATGTGGTGAGGGTGACCGGCATTTCCGGAGATGGTCCCTGGGCTGCACCTTGGCCCTGGGTTGCACCTTGGCCCTGGGCTGCAGATACCCATGCTCCCACCTGAGGGAGAAATAAACTTCTCCTGTGTTTAATCCATGGTTACTTGACCTCTGCAATGCCCTCCCGAGTCAACGGGAGGTTTCCGACCAGTAATCTTTCCTTCCTACCTTGAACCCAGCAGTGAGGCTTTTTTTCATGCCGCGTTTTAATGGATGAAGTGGCAAAGAGAGCTGTCCTCATAAGGGGGGAATCCTCTTTTAAGATGCTCATGATTTTGTGAGAGCAAAAGGACTGGAGATGTCCATGCCGGCTTCAGATATTTCCTTTGCAGCCCAGTGGGTCTAACAAGCTCTAAGATGAAGGATTGTGAAGGCATTCTTGAACTGCCTTTGAAGGGAGGTTAGGTCAATATTTGATGGCTTAGGCGGGAGGCAGCCAAGGCCAGCTGGGATGTTGTTCTGTCTCGGAAGGGTTTCACGGGTCCACTGCAACAAATTGCAGAACCTGATCTCAGTCTTGGGTGAGTCCGTCCACATGGGTGAACTCAGTGAAACCCTCTTCAATACCCACCTCTTTCTCCCCCAATAAAGATGGTGGTGGGAGTGAGGTCTATGTATTGGGTGTGTGGATAGAACAGAGAAGATGGAAATGACCCAGTCTCAAACATGTACAATTTTTATTTGGTCATGAAAAATAAATAAGTAAATAAGAAGAAGATGAAGAAAAGAAATGCTCAGTCTCCAGGACTCTGATTCCTCCACGTGTGGCACACAGGTTGGCCTACACTTCTGCTGGGAACGGGGGTGGTTTAGCCGTGGAGGTGATGCTGACTGCCCCTGTGGGGAGCAGGGCTCAGGTCTCTCTACTATCGTGGCAGCTTCATCCAATCCTGTCAATCAGAACAGAATCGGCTTTGCAAGGAGCTGTTTCTTCCAAGGCTGCTGTATATCTATGTGGTTGGTTTCCCCTGAGATTGAGATAAACTGTTATTAGTTTGATTGCAAATAAGGAGATTGGTAAATGAGAACATTGTTCATGCTGGGTCGCGTTGACCCGCACAATACCATCTCATGATCCTTTGGAATCAAAACACACTTGTGATCCTTTTTGAATCAAAACACACTCTGCATGTTAGCATGACTTCAGCTTCTCTTGGTCTTCTGAAGACGGGGAGAAGAGCTACCAGGTGAGGACCTTTCCAGACACAGGCTAGCTTCTGTCTCATCTTCTCCATCTAAACCTCTAAAGTCTTTCAGAATTTAAAGAAATAGCTTTCACATCTTGATATCACCTCTTCTCACTTCTGAAACTGGTGGGAACCCACAGAAGGCAGTGTGGAAAGGATGGAGTGGGGAGGAGGAGGACGTGAAATGGATTTTCTCGGCAGAACCATGGCCCATTGAGACACACAGCTGCTGCAGCATTCCTTGTGGGAGTTTGTTTTTATGGCTTCTAGGTGTCGTGTTACTGGGTCGGAAAGATATGGACCCCAATTTTAGAGAGATAGGGCCAGTGGGTGTGGTTTGGATTTATGTCCCCAAGCAAATTTCGTGTCGAATTGTAATCCCTGATGTTGGAGGAGGGACCCGGTGGGAGGTGACTGGATCATGGGATTTCCCTGGTGGATTTCCCCCTTGCTCTTCTTGTGATAATGAGTGAGTTCCCACATCTGGTTGTTTAAAAGTGTGTAGCACCTCTCCCTTCACTTTCTCTTCCTCCTCCTCTGCCCATGTAAGACGCACCTGTTCCCTCTTTGCCTTCCACCCCGATTGTAAGTTTCCTGAGGCCTCCTCAGCCGTACTTCCTGTACAGCCTGCAGAACCGTGAGCCAGTTAAACGTCTTTTCTTTTTTTTTTTGTTTTCAGATGGAATCTCTCTCTGTCACCCAGGCTGGTGTGCGGTGGTGCGATCTTGGCTCACTGCACCTTTGCCTCCCGGGTTCAGGCTATTCTCCTGTCTCAGCCTCCCAAGCAGCTGGGATAACAGGTGCCGACCACCACACCCAGCTAATTTTTGCACTTTTAATAGAGATGGGGTTTCACCATACTGGTCAGGCTGGTCTCGAACTCCTGACCTCAAGTGATCCACCTGCCGTGGCCTCCCAAAGTGTTGGGATTACAGGCATGAGCCACTGTGCCCAGCCAAACTTCTTTTCTTTATATGTTACCCAGTTTGAGATGGAGTCTTACTCTTGTCACCCAGGCCAGAGTGCAATGGTGCGATCTCGGCTCACTGCAACCTCCAGCTTCTGGGTTCAAGCGATTCTCCTGCCTCACCCTCCTGAGTAGCTGCGATTACAGGCACCTGCCATCATGTGCAGGCACCTGCCATCATGTGCGGCTAATTTTTGTGTTTTTAGTAGAGACAGGGTTTCACCATGTGGGCCAGGCTAGTCTTGAACTCCTGAGCTCAGCTGTTCCACCCACCTCGGCCTTCCAAAGTGCTGGAATTACAGGCGTGAGCCATTGCACCTGGCTCGTCAGTTTCAGGTAGTTATTTATAGCAATGCAAGAATGAACTAATAAAAGTGCTGTATGTGATACTGAGATAAAGAGGCCTGGAAGTTTGGAGAAAGGAGATAGAGGCTCTCCCTGAGGAGATCAGGGAAGGCTTCCTGGAGGAGGTGGCCTTTGAGTTAGTCCTTAAATTTGCATGTATGGAGATTGTGGAGAGGAATTCCAGGAGGAGGGAGCCCTGTGAGAAAAGACATAAGAACAGAAAAGGATGGAGTGTATATGGGAGCAGGCAGCAGTTTTATCTGGAAGAATCACAGGGAGTGGGAAGGGGAGAGTGGGGTGGAATTACAGATGGGCAGGGTCCGGCTAAGAGGGTTTTGAATGGTTGGGGGATGAGCTTGGACTTAATCCATTAGAGAGAGAGGGGAGTCTTTGAACATGTTTTAACACAGAGGTGATCAGAGCTGGGTTTTAGAAGATGTGATTTATCTCTATGTGTTTTTTTTTTTTTGAAGAATTGACTAAAAACATCAAAAGAAGACGACTATTTCATGATGTGTGAAAACGATATAATATTCACATTTCTGTGCCCATGAATGAAGTTTTGAATTCTACCAATAAAATGTTGATAGAAATTTGTTTTCTCTCTTATCATGTAAGTACCTGTATAATATACTCAGTTTTGCTACTTGGCCCACAAGGCTTAATGTGTTTACTATCCAGCCTTCTAAAGAAAATGTTTATAAATTCCTGGGATAGGTGAAAGGGAAGAGAGACTGGTCTGGAATTCCAGAGAGGCCACCATTGTGCCAGACACAGGCAGTAGTTCCTGATCTGTGTCCTGTGGTAGAAACAGATTTTAAATGGCCAAAAAAAAAAAAAAAAAAAAAAAAAAAATAGGTGTGCGGGTTTGTCAAATGCTAGGTTACATAGAGTTAAACCGATCTCTTCGAGGGACTTCTCAGAGCCTTTAGCACTTTAATGGTCATTGTGACTCTTGGAGAGGGGAAGATGACATGTGATAATTTCTAAAATCAATTGACCATGGAAGCTGTTTTCCAGGGATCCATATTCTAGGGAACCCACCATAGGGAAAACTGTTCTAGGGAGCGGGAGTGAAGAGGACAGTGAGGTTGGAAAGGAAACTGTGGCTGCAGCCAAGGGGCATGGAGACTGAATCTCCAGGGCTTGTGGGAGGAAACAGCATCATGGAGGGCTCTAAGGATCCTAGCCTGAGAGTCTGGGATAGTGACGGTGATAAGTCGGGTGTTCTGTGGGGAGGGCCAGGGGGCAGGGGAGGGAGAGGACTGCGAGGTGTGTACATGGAGATCTCTCATCTGCAAAATGGGGTAAGAAGAGTCCCACATTCTGTGTGAATATGGACGCTGATACTGGCGTGGACACTAACACTAATGTTGTAATATCCAGTATTTATGAAGCACCAACTATGTGCCAGGCACTGTGCCAGGGGTTGCCAAATGTTCTCTGCAGAGAACCAAATGGGAAACATCTTTGGTGGTGGTGGGCCGGATTTGGCCTGCCAGCTGCAGTGCGTTCGTCCCTGCACCATGCTAAGCGCTTTAATATACTGTTGTTAAACTAACTAAAGGCTCATAAGTGCCCTTTGCGATAAGACTTTCTTTATCACAAGTTTTAAGATAGTCATCTGGCTGGGTGCGGTGGCTCATGCCTGTAATCCCAGCACTTTGGGAGGCTGAGGTGGCTGGATCATTTGAGGTCGGGAGTCTGAGACCAGCCTGGCCAACGTGGCAAAACCCCATCTCTACTAAAAAATACAAAAATTAGCCGGGCTTGGTGGTGGGTGCCTGTAGTTCTAGCTACTTGGGAGGCTGAGGCAGGAGAATTGCTTGAACCTGGGAGGCAGAGGTTGCAGTGAGCTGAAATTGTGCCACTGCTTTCCAGCCTGGGTGACAGAGCATGACTCTGTCTCAAAAGAAAAAAAAAAAAAAAGGTTAGTAATCTGTCCAAGTTCACAGCTAGTAAGGGCTGGAGGCAGTGCTGGAGCCCAGACGGTGCATTCTGAGAGCATGCGCGGAACTCTGACACCCCAGTGCTGCTGAGTCCTACCCTCAGTTGTGACTGTTGTTGCTGTTATTCCTGCAGGTGGTTGTTTGTTGGGACAGGAGCTCAGGTGAGGGGATCCCAAGGTTGGGATTCACCTGCTGTTGTGTTTCTCAGAGAAAGGTGTATAGGGGAAGGAGCGGTGGGTGGGGACCCTGCTCACTAAGGAGGACAGGAGAAGGGTTAGGGATGGAGACCAGGGATGAGCAGACAGGGCAGTGGGAGAGTCGGGAAAGGCAGCAGAGGAGGCAGTTGATGAAGGAAGGGGTGGTGCACACAAGCAGTGTTGCCGGGAGACATTTTCAGCAGGATGAGGAGCTCTAAGACGCTAGTGCAGCTGCTGGCTGTGGTTACTAGGCGTGGCACATGCTGCGGGTACCATTGGTTCTTGTCCCCTTGGAACTCATCGTCTTGGTCTATTCTAGTGGGGTCCTTTGGCAGCACCCATGACTGTCTGCTGAGTACTTTCTTTCCTTCCAAGCTTGGGGTAGACCAGAAGTGTCAGAGATAAAGTCCCCAGTAGCAGCCTCAGCCAGTGATGTTGCCCCATGGCAGGGGGAGCAGGTTCTGCGTCATCTCCAAGTGGCCCCTGGGACTAGGCCCCTGTTGCCTGCGTTGGCAGTCTCTTCATAGCACACCCTGCACTGGCTTCCCTCCCTTCTCCAAGTCTCTTCTGCACTCAGGGGCTTACCTGCTAAATAAACTACCTGTACTCGAATCTTCATCTCAGGATCCACTTCTGGGGGAGCC
The DNA here is from genome assembly GCF_000001405.40 of Homo sapiens. Taxonomy (NCBI): domain Eukaryota; kingdom Metazoa; phylum Chordata; class Mammalia; order Primates; family Hominidae; genus Homo; species Homo sapiens. The sequence continues at coordinate 5,377,049 of NC_000016.10, forward strand.
CAAACCAAGGAACCAGAAACCATCCAGAGAGTTGTCAGTCAAGTGTGTGGGAGTCATTGGCTTAGTCATGCAGTTGAAAGCACTGGTTGAGCACCTGCTGTATATCTGCCAGACATGGGGATAAGCCTGGGGATGCAAGTGCAAATAGTCAGACATGACATCTGCCTCCCCCACGCACAGCAAGTATGTTCAGGAATGGGCTACGAGGAGTAGGGTAAGTGCTTTGAAGGAAGCTGCAGGATGCGGAGGGGTAGAGGGAGGAATGGAACTACTTTTCATGGAGAAGTCAAGAAAGCCCCCTTGAGATGGGGTCACGTAAGCAGAGACTCGAGGGATGAGAAGGAGTTGACCAGGCAAATCACAAAGGGAAAAGTGTTTGAGCAGAGGGAACAGAAAGTGCAAAGGCTGTTAGAGTTTGAGTGAGCTTGGTGAGGAGGAGGAGTAAGTTGAAGGCTAGTATGGGTGTGGGAGGGGAGGAAGAAGGACGGAGGTGAGGGAGGAGGAGGGAAAGGAAGGAAAGGAAAGAGAGGAGATGGGGGGAGAGAGAGAGAAAGAACAAGAGAGAGACAGAGAGAGAGAGAACGAGAATGAGAATGAGAGAAGGCGGAGGCAGAGACGGAAGTTGAATGCGGACCTAGAGGTCCCAGGGGAAGGCGTGCAGCCCAGGAGAGGGAGCCTGTAAGACAGAACGTCTGTCTCCACACTTGTCAACAAGTCCTCTGAACTGCACCTCTCATCAGGGTAAGGAAAATAAATATGCAAAAAAGCCTTCTGAAACATTGTGAGAACATTTTCAACACAAGTTTAAAACACAATCACAGGGTCAACATGTGCTTTCTCTTGAGAACAGTTTTCCGTTTGAAACCGTTTCTTACTTCCCACTAATGGGAGCCTATTCAGGTAATTTTCTTTTCTTTCTTTTATTTTTTTAAAGGCTCCTTTTAAAGCACAATGACCTTTTCCATTTTATTTTTTTCTTTCTGTAGTCATTCATGGAGAGAGCAAGACAACAGCACAGTGTTGCACTGCCTGCCAATTTGAGGGAAAGAGGAGTGGGGAATAAAAGGCAAATAAGTAGACAGAGATATGGAGCCTGCAGTTGTTGAAGGTGTGTGCGTTTTCTGGAATATTCAGCAACAGCTTCTCCTTGGGAAGTAGGGTCACCAGCTGTTCTGGATTATCTGAGATTGAGGGATCTCCTGGGATGTGGGACTGGTGGGTCACCCTCATCCAAACAACCCAAAGGAATGTGTCAGAGATGTCCTGCCTCTGCTGGCCACCCAGTCGGACTCTCGCTCTCCAACACCTGCATCCATAGTTGCCATCCTCGTTTCCACTCCACCCAGCCCGCCCAGGATCGGGGAGTTAGCCTCCCTTCGAACACTCCAGGAAGAGTCCTGGCTAACCATGTGACTTTGCTAGGGGCACCCTAGCAAGGAGCTTAAGCGTCAGTATTAACTATTTTCGTTCTGTGAATAGCCTCAGCAGAACCTCCACTAGGGCAGCAAGTTGTCCCAGTTATACCTGGGAATGCAGGCTTCCTGGGACGTGGTACTTTCCATGTTAACATGAGAATGGCCCTGGGTAAACTGGGATGGTTGGTCACACTGCTGGAGAGGAAGAGTTTCTGGATCCTGTTCCTATTACCGATGGACTCGGATATTCCCATGACTTACGTTTTCTGAGCCTCAGTTTTGTCATCTGTAAAATGGGAGATAATGCTAATGCCCATCTCATCCTTGTAAAGTGATTAGCATAGTGCTGGGCATACAGTAGGTGCTTAGAAAATGTTTGCACAATAAATGTTCATTTTATGATTATGGATTAGGCAGAGTAGACTGTATACATAGAGAGATTTCAAGGGCTTGGGATGACCTTTTCTCCACTGAAAACCATTCCCTTACTCTGCTGCCAATAATCTTTCCATTAAGAAATCCTTCCTTGGGCTCAGGACCCCTCACAGTTTTCCACCAATGTATTAGGTTGGCACAAAAGTAATTGCAGTTTTTGGCATTAAAAGTAATGGCAAAAACTGCAATAACTTTTGCATCAACCTAATGCATCAACAGCGTAAGAGACGGACCTCATGCCGTTAGGAGCCAGGGCCAGGGTCATGCGGGTGCTTCATCTCAAGGCACTGACGGGGACCACAGTGAATTTAAGTCTAAAATTTAATCATAAAAGTTCAGGTGAATTTCATATTTGGTTTCATTTTCAATTCATTTTTAAAATATGAAAGCAGTTTTTATCGTTTTTTTTCTCAGTTATTTTATCTTTCCACATTCAGACCTCTCAGAGAAACACACCCCCAGCCCAGGAAGTTCTGTGTTGTTTATCTTGTGAGTTACACTTGGGCCATTCCTACCTGGGGTGGAGAGCTGTGGCTCTAATGGAAAGTGTGTCTGAAAACATAATCATCTCTGAATGACACAGTCATTCACACCTTAGTCTAAACAAGCACATGCTCTAGAAGTTCACAGAAAGCACAGTAGCCTGGGAGTCAGGTGTCAGGGGACTAGAGCCCTTCACTGGGCTCTGCTACTTAATCTCTGTGTGGTCTTTGGTGAGTAACTTCCTCTCCATGAGCTCCAGCCACCAAATCTGAGAAACCAACTGGACCAGATAGATCAGTGGTTTATCAACTGTATTCTGGAGGACCCTGGGGGTCTCAGGGGAAAAGATGAGGCTCTTTATCTCCCCCTCTGAACAACCAGCTTGGTTCCACCAGGGCTCTCCCTTTGATCTGCTTTATAGATTAGTGGTCTGGGTAACATTTCAGGGTTTTGATAGTACCCAAGTCATTAAACATCTCTTCTGGGTCATTTTTTAGGTCCTTTTTGGCCAGGGTAACTCCTTGCACTTGGCCCCCTTGCTGGAGAGAAGCGCTTGGGGCGTTGGAGGAATCATCCCGGGCAGGTGCCCTTGTTGGCTGTGAACCTGGGAGCCTGGGCACAGCCTTGCAGTGGGCGGTGTGAGGGCACAGCACCCAGCTGTGACAGGAAGCCGGTGACTAAGGATGTGCTTCCCAATTTTGAGAGGGTTAAGGACAATTATTTATTTTGAGTGTGCCCCAGATTGTCGTCATCCTTCCCGTCCTTGGCAGAGGCTCTGATGACAGCATCCTCCGCCTGGCTCCACTTCCTGGCTGCTCAGCTTCCTCCATCTGACATGCTGGAGTTTGGCTGCCTTTGCATGTACGGTCGACTTTCAGTAGGTAGATGGTGGAAACTTAAATGTCCACAATAGGGGAATTATTCAATCTATCATTGTGCCTCTGTCCCAAGGATAGACGTACAGAGCGGTTAGAACAAGAGATACATCTGTGTGATGGGCATTAAAATATCCCCACAACTCAGCTGAACTCTAAAGCAAGCAAGTTGGAAAACTAAGGTCTGCTGTGATCGTCTTTATACTAAATGTGCACTTGTACTTGTTGGGTACCTGTATAAGTAAATGCATAGCAGAGGGTCTCCAAGTCTTCATGCCAAGCTGCGAATAGGACTTACCTTTGGGGACAAGACTAGGGTGTGAAAGCATTGCTAATTCCCACTGTGTGCAGGCTCAGAGCTAAGCATTTTTTAGGCATTATTACATTTCATCCTTAAACAGATATTTGAGGTACAGATGAGGAAACTGAGTCACAGAGAGGGCAAGTAAGTTGTCCAAAGACACACGTCTAGTAAGGGATGGAGGTGAGATCCAAACTCAGGAGTCTCTGCTTTGAAACCTTCAGCGCCTCTGTGATGAAAGGGACTTTTGCTTTGTGCCCTATGCACTTATATATAACTTGAATATTTTATCCTGAGGATGTACTCATGCATGACTTGTATAATAAGGTAGGAAATTTTAAAGAGATAAAGAATGCTTTGTGATGTCACCTTTTTATGCACTAAAATGGCACTGCCCATCACTTGAGGTTTGGCAATAAAGATCTGGATTTTTTTTATCAATCAGTGGCGGAAAGCATGGCTTGAGCTTTGGAACTCCCTTGGAGAGGCCTCGTAGACCATGAGTCATTTACACCATAGTGTGAAATAGATACGCCACTGGAGAGGACAGGATGCTGAAGGAGGAAGAGGGACTGAGGAATCAGAAGAGCTAGTATGGGGTCCTGGCTCTTTGTATTTGACAGCCTGGTCTTTATCTGTATAGAGAGAGACTCAGTAAAAGGCAGGGCAGACCCTATGCCCTTGGGTGAGTCATCATCACATCCATGCATATTATGCCGAGTCTGAATTTTATCCTAGCAAATCTCTCCGTAAGCTACAGTGACGACAATACAAATAATTAATATTTATTTAGTATTTACTTAGGGCCAGCTGCTGTCCTTAGCAAATTGTGTCTAAAACCCTAACAGGCACATAAATCACTTGGAGATCTGGCTCACGTGCAGATTTGCACTCAGTAGGTCTGGGGCAGGGCTCAAGATTCTGCATTTCTAGCAAGCTCCCTGGTGAAGCTGAGGCTGCAGGCCCATAGACCACACTGGGTAGTGAGGATGAAGAGGTCAAGGCATAGGCTGCTGGGGCTCGAGCCTGCATCCCTTCCATGTGGGACCTTAGCTGTGCTAACTCCCCCATAGGGTTGTTACAAACATTAAATCAAATAATGCACAGGCAGACTCTTGGCATGGTGCCCAAGGCATAGCAAGAGCCTGTTGAATGGAAGTGATGATGGTGATTAATGTCGCTTCATAATCTCTCAACAACTCTGGAAGTTAGGTCCTGGGATGCCCCCTTATTTGACAGATGGTAGAACCAAGGCTCAGAGAGGCTAAAAGCTCCCTCAAGGTCTTGCAACCAAAAAACAGGCTGGCTAACTCCAGCGTGGGATTCTCAGTCTTGGCGCTATTGACATTTGGGGCTGATCATTCTTTGCTGTGGTGTCTGTCATGTGCTTGTGGGAGCTTTTGTGGCATTCCTGTCCTCTACTCAGTGGACGTCAGTAGCATCTTCATCTCCCCAAACTGGGACAACCGAAAATGTCTCCAGACATTGCCAGATGCCCCTGGGAGAACAAAATCACCCCCCTGGTTGGGAAGCCCTGCAGAACTTTATAAGGTGGTGTCCCTCCAATGGGGCAGTCTGTTTTTCCAGGCTTCACAGAAACTTAATATGTCATTCAGGCCATCTAAGAGTTAACTGAGGCTTCATCAGTAATTGACAACATTGTCTCTAATGCTGTGATCAAGGGTACCACATCTTTTATGTTTTTAAAAAATGCTCAAATAGTTCCAATTCAGCTGTTATTCAACTGTTATTCTGCTCTTTGAAAACTATTCGGGCTGATATTATGTATTACCACTTGTTTGCATTTAGTGCTATGAAATCATGCCATTTTCATCTTTTTTTTTTTTCAAAGAGATGTTGCCAACACTATTTTTAAGTATGCTTTTATTTGCCTTCTGGTATCTACATATAATGGAACTTCTGGAAAGTAGAATTTATGATTTGCAATCTGTGGCCATTTCTGTAGCGTTCTGATTTGCAAACAGGACTCACCTCCTCGTCTGTACTTTCCTTGCTTGCTACCTTAGGTTTGACTAATTTAAGGTTCTAGTAGATGTACTTGCAGAATGTTGCTTCATTTGTCACTAAAGCTGCCTGAACAGCTTCAATGAAATTGTGCTGACCTCATTTAATTATTTGTAAAACCCGTGTTCTGATTCAGTTGGCAAGGTTTTCGGTATCTTTTTATGTTTAAGGAAATTAAAGAGCAAACATCAGATAATTTATTGAGTGCTTACAATATGCCACTGTGGTTTATCTCTCTGAATCTTCTAAACATTTATTGGAGATAATTTATGCCCATTTTATGGGTAGGAAAATCCAAAGCTTAAGTCTCCTTTTATGATGACGCAGAGAAGAAATGGTAGAGGTGGGATTTGGGTTTCAGACCCCAGTGTGCACACTCTGACTGCTTTGCTGGGTTCAATTTAGCCATCAAGAATAAAGTGGCATTAATTTCCTCCCTTGCTCACATGCTATAAAGCGACCACCTCTGATTGTTGCTTGATGCCACAGTTTCCAGATGCGGCACAGTCCGTTATTTGGATGTTCCATCTGCCTAATTTCACACTCCAACTGTTGAGAAATGGCTGGATTTTCAAAGCTATGGAGACACAGCCAACAAGTCTTCACTTACTGGTGGGGAAACAGGAGGAGTAGGGGGCAACCTTGAGGGCCTGGCAAGATCTGAAATTCATGAATGTATAAGTGGCGCCCACTGGTGTGGGGAAAAGGTGGGCTGTGGGTCTGCCAGGAGGGTGAGATGGCTTACAAAGATGAGAGCCGCTCAGACCTGAGTTGGCACCACTTTGCTTGCCAAAACTCATCTGGGTCTCCTCTAACCCAAGGCAGCAGGATGGCAGCACAGGCACTACATTTGGGTCTGTTAGGCCTGGTTAGTTGGCACTGTTAAGCACCAACTGCATGCATGCTATGCAAAACACTAGTTGAATCATATCAAAGACATAGAATATTCAGAGGAAACTGCTTAAACTTTCTGAGCCTCAGTTTCTCTGTTTGTGAAATGGGGGTAGGAATGCATAGTAAGTCCCTAGGATCAACTGAGCAGGTGCTCATAAAAGCATTTTGAAACTTAGAAGTTGAATTTCATTGCAACACATGTTTATAAGATGTTTCACACTATGATTTGGGCACTGGGAAAATGAGTTAGACATTGTTTTTTATTAGAGGACCTCAGCCATTCCCTAGAGATTGTACTAGTCTGGGCTCCTGGGGCTACAAGTGACAGAACTCCAACTCTTACTTTCTTTAGTAGAAAAGAGAGTTTATTGGTTGACATAATTAAGATGTCTAACAATATGACTACTTCAGGTAAGGCTTGATCTAGGAGCTTGGCCAGTGTCATCAGGACTCAGGTTTGTTCTCTTTCTTCTTTGCCTATTCTGCATTCTCCTCCATGCTGGCTTCACTATCAGGAAGTCCCTTTCCACAGGGTGGTACCAGTGGCATCAGGCGCTCAGCTTCCCAGCTCCCAGCTCTAAGTCCTGCAGAAATGAGTCTATGTGTCCAGGCCACTCCGTCAGGAGTCTTGGGGTTCTGTCTTACTGGCTTTGATTGGGTCATGTGATCATTGCTTAGCAATTCCTGCAGCCAAGGGTGGTGCATTGCTCTGACTGGCCACACATGGGTACAGGCTTCTTGCAGAGGTCAGGGTGGAGTCATCTCACTCCCTACCTGGACTGAAAGTGGGAAGGAAAGTCAAGGCTTGTAGCAGCAGCAGTAGCAGCAGCAGCGAATCATCTCAGCTCACTACTGTGGGTATAATGGGCATACAGTCTGGCCAATGTCAGTCAATAGAGGTTCTCCTAAAGTTGAAAGAAAGGATATAAGTTAAGGCACTAACTTCACCTTGGACAGAAGTGTTCAGAGAGGCCTTCTAGAAGCAGCAAGTTTTAAGTTGGGTTTTGAAGGGTGCATAGGAGTTTACCAGAGAGAGCAAGAGTAGGCCAGGCAGAGGGACAATCAAGGTAGAGCATATTAAGAGCCTAGAAACAGAAGAAATTTGAATATGACTCCAAAGGTGATGAGGAGGCATTCTAGGTTTTTGAGCAGAAGAAGTAGTTGATAAAAATGAAATTTTATGATAGTTTTCGGAGAAGAGCAAATGGGTCACAGGAAAATAGCTTCAGGAGGTTCTCAGGGGTTGGGCTTTTTGGCCCGAACATCAAAGATATGGACTAGAGACTCTAGGGCCAGCTACTCACTAGCTGCGTGACTTTTGGCAGGATGCTTCACGTATAAATGTGCCTCATGTATAAATGTGCATATTCATCGTAGTGATTCCTACCTCATCAGGTGGTCGTGAGGATTAAATGGGCTAATGTGTATAAAGCACCCAGAACGGTGCCTGGCTCAGTATGTGGCTCATCTAACTGTTGGTCAAATTAAAACAAAATCGCTTACTGCAATCTTTCCCCCTCAGTGTTTTGAGGAAAACCACTTTCATAGGTCGTAATGGGTGTTAACACAAAAGAAGAACAGAATAGTCAAATGTATTTTGGTAAATGCCGGGTTCAACATTAGTAATTATTATTGTGGCAAATATGTATTATGTGCTTACCAGGGGCCAGGCACTATGCTTTACGTGCTTTTTTTCTCATTCAGTTCTCACCACCACCCTGCAGGGTTACACACTGGAAAGTGGCAAGGCCAGGATTAAAAGCTAGAAGCGACTCAATCCAGATGTGAAGCTACTCCCTTCTAGGCTGCACTGATTACTTTTTCTGCAGGACTTCTCAGAGCCTTTACTATTTACCTGTGTACTTGTAATGTCCATTGTCCAGGCAGAGAGGATGTAAAATATTTCCCTAATGTATTGGATTAAAATGTCACTCCACCCTTAGTGTATCTTTTGGGACATGAAACATGCACTTTGAGCAGAGAGTACTTAACAACAATTAGTAATGAGAAGGTGAATGATAAAGAAACAGAATAATTCGGGGAGCATTCCTCTCAAAGAATGACATGGCTTTCTCCCCCTTAAATGACCTAGATCAGCCGCCTAATGGGCTGTCAGTGTCCCTTATGTGCCAAAGTGACATGGTCATTACAGAATTTGCCGGAAGGTTCTTCATCACTCCATCCCATTGTCTCTGTAAGTTTCAGCTTCTCCCTGAATTTTGTAGCCTCTGCTCAGGGAGAAGTGAGCAGGGTCCCATTTAATAGGCTATTTGTTATGACCACCCTTCACTCTGCACTCGAGCAGTGGCCTTGTCTGTTTTCCATGAATCCCTCAATCAGCACCAATATTGAAATTGACAAGAGGTGAATGCAACTGATATAATGTGTGATTGATTGACCTCGTCTTTTGCTGGAGAGACAAGTGGGGGCAGGAGTGTGGATAAATCTGCGTTCCAGTAAAAATGCTGAACCATATTTTTTTGTACATCTAAACCACAGATGCAAAGAGAGGAGGAAATGAATGCCTCTTTTAAGCTTCTGCCAACACTTCACGTTGCCTAGGGAAGGGACTGTGTTTGCCAAGATGGAATAATTTATAATCCTGTTTTGAACTTGGAAAGTTTGCAACTTTTTTTTTTTTTTGGAGGGGGAGTTTATTTAGGTTTATTAGTGATCACCCACTAAGAGGTCAAAGCTAGCAATAAGAAAAGAAAATAGGAACTAAAATTGGCAGCTTTGATGGGGATGGAGTGGAGGTTAGAACTGGGCTTGAGAAGGCTGGGGGTGGGTAGATAGAGCTGGGACTGGGCTTCTCTTCTGCCTCAGGGAAATGACCAGGTGTGGATGGAGAAGGGTCCTGAGAGCATTGCATCTCAAAGGCCCCAGGGGAAAAGGTAGACGGCCTCAGGTGATTAATGCACGTGGCCCATCCTCACTGCTGAGCCACGCAAGAGGGCTGTTCCTAGTGCTCCAGCATAGAAGCCAAAGCTGTCAGCTTCATATTCCCGATATTTTCTGCTTTCCCCCCGTAAATCACCTCTCCTGCCCTCCCTACTCTTTGCATTCAGACGTTAACTCACTGGCCATCTCACTGCAGCCCCACTCTCTCTTAACCCTTGTGTGACCTTACCCTTGTCCTGGAGGTCCCACTGCCTGGAATGAATGCTCTTTTCACCTTTACCCCCGGCAGACTCCCACACATCCTCACTTCCCCATGGCCACCTCCTTGATTCCCCCAGCAGGAGTTGTTGCCTCTGTAGCTCACCAGCCGTACTTCTAAGAACGTACTTTGGGCCAGGCGTGGTGGCTCACACCTGTAACCCCAGCACTTTGGAAGGCCAAGGTGGGCGGATCACCTGAGGTCAGGAGTTGGAGACCAGCCTGCCCAACACGGCGAAACCCCATCTCTACTAAAAATACAAAAATTAGCTGGGCGTGGTGGTGGGTGCCTGTAATCCCAGCTACTCAGGAGGCTGAGGCAGTAGAATCTCTTGAACCCAGGAGGCGGAGGTTGCAGTGAGCCGAGATTGTGCCATTGCACTCCAGCCTGGGCAACAAGAGTGAAACTCCATCTCAAAAAAATAAAAATAAAAATGTAGTTTGGTTGCATTACTACTTGTATTACAACTTAGGCTTGAGCTGTCTCCCCACAAGGCTCAAATCTTGGGGTGTAAGGACTGTGACAGGTTTCTGTTTGTATCATCTAGTACTGTGCTTGGCCCTTAACAGGCTCTTGGTATACGCATGTTGAGGGATGAATAAGTAAGGCAGTGTTCTCATTTTCAGAATCTGCTGGGAGTTTCATTTTGCTGTAATAGAATTCTTCCACCCCCACCTGTAGAGATTTAAACACACACACTTCTATTTTCCCTTATAAATAAGTCCAGGAGAGGCCCTCCAAGTTGGCATGGTGACTCTGTAAAGTCATCACAGACCTAGGCACCTTTGGCAATTCATTCTGTTATGCCTTTGAGGGACATTGTCATGGCCCAGTGTGGCTACTGCTGCTCCAGTTATCACATCTGAGTTTGAGATAGTAGAATTGATGTGATGAAAAGACTGCCTTTAAAGGGAATTCCTGATATTATATAAGTGCTTGGATTTATATTGCATTGACTGAAACATAATCTCACGGCCACACCTATTGGCAAGGGAGTTTGAGATTCTCTGAGAGAGGGAGGGGAGTGGATGTCTGGCATGAAAGGTGGAATGTTTCCCCGAAATAATGTTTCCCTGATGATATTCACATCCTAATCTCTGCAACCTGTGGATATGTTACGTTCCATGGCAAAGGGGCATCAATGTTGTGGGTGGAATTAAGGTTGGTTATTGTCTGACCTTGAGATAGGAAGAGTATCTGGGATTGTCCCAGCGGGATTGATGTAATCATGAGAGTTCTTACATTTGGAAGAGGCAGACAGCAGGCTCAGAATCAGAGCGATCTCATGGGAGAGAAACTCCGTGGTCTACTTTTGGCTTTGAAGGTGGAGGAGGGGACCACAAGCCAAGGAATGCAGGTGGCCTCTAGAAAGTGGGAAAGATAAGAAAATGAAGAAGAAAATGAATAATCCCATAGAAACGCCAGGAAGGAACACAACCCTCCTGACACCTTGATTATGGCTCAGGGAGAACTATGTCAGACTTCTGACCTCCAGAAATGTAAGATAGTACATTTGTGTTTTAAGCCACTAATTTGCATGAATTTGTGACAGCAGTAGCAGGAAACCAGCACATTGGTAGAGGCAGCCAGGGGTCTCTGCCTCACCGTGCTTCTAGAACACATCTCAGAAGACATAGCACATCCCTTGGTTGGGTTGGGGGCTTCTTTGTAGTGGGAGGCTTCGGACAAAGGCTGATCTCTGCCAAGCGACAACAAGCTTTTTCTATAAAGGGCCAGGTCCTAAATATGTCAGGCCTTGTGGTCCAATAGGCACAGTCAAGGATGCTGTGTAGGTTCTTTGGTTACCGTCTCAATGCAATCCTTTAAACACATGAAAATGATTGCTAGTAGGTGGGCTGCACACATACTGTGAGCTGGATTTGGCCTGTGGTTTGCTGTGGCCACTTTAAGGAGTGTGTGTTTCTGTGTGTGTGTATGTATGTATGTATATATTTACTGAGACAGAGTCTCGCTCTGTCACCCAGGCTAGAGTGGCGTGGTATGATCTCAGCTCACTGCAACCTCCACCTCCCGGGTTCAAGCGATTTTCCTGTCAGCCTTCTGAGTAGCTGGGACTACAGGTGCATGCCACCATGCCCAGCTAATTTTTTTGTAATTTTAATAGAGACAGGGTTTCACCATATTGGTCAGGCTGGTCTCGAGCTCCTGACCTCAGATGATCCACCCACCTCAGCCTCCCAAAGTGCTGGGATTACAGGCGTGAGTCACCGCGCCTTGCCAGAAGTGTTTATTTCTTAAAAATAAAGGTAAGGGGCCGGGCGCGGTGGCTCACACCTGTAATCCCAGCACTTTGGGAGGCCGAGGTGGGCAGATCACGAGGTCAGGAGATCGAGACCATCTTGGCTAACACGGTGAAACCCCATCTCTAGTAAAAATACAAAAAATTAGCCTGGCGTGGTGGCAGGCCCCTGTAGTCCCAGCTACTCGGGAGGCTGAGGCAGGAGAATGGCGTGAACCCGGGAGGCGGAGCTTGCAGTGAGCCGAGATCGCGCCACTGCACTCCAGCCTGGGCGACAGAGCGAGACTCCGTCTCAAAAATAAATAAATAAATAAATAAAGGTAAGGTATGATTTTTGTGAAAATTTCAAAGAATGAAGGACACAAAGAAGAAAGTGGAAATCCTCGTTCTCAGCTTCTCTTCCTCCAATCTTACCTGCATAACAGGCTTTTCGACCTTGGCTCTATGGACGTTTGGGGCTGGATCATTCTGTTGTGGGGGTTGCCTTGTGCCTCATACGATGTTGAGCAGCAACCCTGGCCTCCAACCACTTGATGCAAATAGCGCTTCCCACCCCTGCAGTTGTGAAACCCCAAATGTCTCCAGACATCGCCAAATGTCCTCTGGGAGGCAAAGTCACTCCAGCTGAAAATTGACATACTCCTGTGTATGTAACCACTCAATCATTGGGGGCATCCTTTGGGCATTCCCTTCTTTTTTTCTCTCTGTCTGTTTGCTTGCAATTCCCTCCTTCCCTCTCTCTTTCCATCCTTTTTTGCTGCTTCTCTTCCTATTTTATTTTATTTTATTATTTTATTTTATGTTATTTTATTTTATTTTAAGATGGAGTCTCTCACTGTTGCCCAGGCTGGAGTGCAGTGGCATGATCTCAGCTCACTGCGACTTCCATCACCCAGGCTCAAGCGATTCTTCTGCCTCAGCTTCCTGAGTAGCTGGGATTACAGGTGCCTGCCACCACGACCAGCTAATTTTTGTATTTTTGGTAGAGATGGAGCTTCACCATGTTGCCCAGGCTGGTCTTGAACTCCTGACCTTCAGGTGATCCCCCTTCCTCCGCCTCCCAAAGTGCTGGGATTACAGGCATGAGACACCATGCCCGGCCTGCTTTTCTTTTTAAAAATAGGGCTGTACTTTCCATTTTTATTCTGTAGCTTAAAAACTTTTATTGAAGTATGACATGCCTACAGAAGAAATGCACAGATAATCAGGGCATGGGTTATGAATTCTAACACTGATGAAGTCGCACCCAGGTTAGGAAAATTTGCTCTTGACAACTTTTAATTTCACAATATATTTTTATGCACTACATATAGTGTTTATATGATATGCTATTTTATAAAATATATATGTATGTAAAATATAGTATGTAAATATCGAAAAGTAGTTTTTTTTTTCTTTTTTTTTTTTTTTTAAAGACAGTGTTGCTGTGTCACCCAGGCTGGAGTGCAATGGCATGATTTCAGCTCACTGCAACCTGTGCCTCCTGGGTTCAAGCGATTCTCCTGCCTCAGCCTCCTGAGTAGCTGGGATTACAGGCGCCCACGACTACACTCGGCTACTTTTTATATTTTTCGTAGAGACGGGGTTTCACCGTGTTGGCCAGGCTGGTCTCGAAGTCCTGACCTCAAGTGATCCACCTGCCTCGGCCTCCCAAAGTGCTGGGTTTGCAGGTGTGAGCCACCACGCCTGGCCTCATATATTATTTTTAAATGTCACAATATATCATGGATGCTTTTATGTTTTAGCCAGGCGAATCTCCCTCATCTTTGAAGGTGGCTGGAATGAAGCTCTACCCCTCTACCCCATCTCCAGGATGACCCACACCTAACCCCAATCAGTTCACATTATTCCCTGGGTCAAATGAATTGTTCCAGAATGGGCCTGTGGCTCAAAGCTGACTCGTCTCCTCACTGGGCTTGAAGGATAGTGCATGTGATGCTGAAGCTGTGGCAGCCATCTTGTCACCATAAGGGAAAGCTAGGACCCACCCAGAGGAAGCAGAGCATAGGCTTGGAGAGGGAAGACTAGATGCCAGTGGTGCGTTTGGGGGCCTTATTAAGCCATTCCTGAAGCTAGACCAATCCTGATGCTTTCATTCCAGCATCCTGGCTTGTGAGAAGCTCAACCAACAGGGTACAGTGTCTTCTTACTTCCCATCCTCTGAAACTTCACTCCATCTCTAGTGAGACAGCAGGAACATTCCTTGGAAGCAAAACCAGACATACACGTTAGGTTGTGTTAGGAAAGCCATTTTGCATGAAGTCTTAAAGAAACTTGGGGCATTAGTTTACTTGCAGCTGTAAAATATCACCCAAAACTTAACGGTTTAAAACAATTCACATTTATTCTCTTATAGTACTGGAGGTTAGAAGTCCTACATGGGTCTTATGAAGTTAAAATCAAAGCATCAGTGGGGTTATGTTCCTCCTAGAGGCTTTAGGGGAGAATCCATTTCCTTCCATTTTCATCTTTGAGAGGCTGCCTGCATTCCTTCACTAGTGGCTTCTGCTTCCGTCTTCAAAGCTAGCCAGGAAGGGTTAAATCCTTCTCACACTCCACATGTAAGGTCCCTTGGGACTCCACTGGGACCACCCAGATAACCGAGGAGAATCTCCCCATTTTAAGGTCAGCAGCCTTTATTCCATCTGTGGCTTAATTCTTCTGTGTGCCAGTTCTGGAAGCCAAGGCTCTGAAATCAAGCTATCTCCAGAGTTCGTTCCTCCTGAAGGCTGTCTGTTCCAGGCTCTTTCTCTTCCAACTTCAGGAGAGCTCAGGTGTCCCTAGGATCACAGGTAGTGTCTTCCCTGTGTCTACATGTCATCTCCCTTCTGTATGTGTCTGTTTTCATATCTAGATTTCCTTTCTTAAAAGAAGGACACATGCCCATCAATTAATGAGTGGATAAAGAAACTATGGTGTGTGTGTATATATATACACACACACCATATATAAAGAAATGAGTGGATAAAGAAACTATGGTGTGTGTGTGTGTATACACACACACACACACACGCACACACATATATATACACACACAATGGAATACTACTCAGCCATAAAAAGGAATGATTTAATGGCATTCACAGCGACCTGGATGGAATTTGAGACATTATTCTAAGTGAAGTAACTCAGGGTTGGAAAACCAAACATCATATATTCTAACTCATAAGTGGGAGCTAAGCTATGAGGACGCAAAGGCATAAGAATGATACAATGGACTTTGGGGACTCAGGGGGAAAGGATGGGAGGAGGATGAGGGATAAAAGACTACAAATTGGGTTCATTATGTACTGCTTGGGTGATGGGTGCACCAAAACCTCACAAATCACCACTAAGGAATTTGTTCATGTAACCAAATACCACCTGTTCCTCTAAAACCTATGGAAATAAAAAAATTACTTAAAAAATAAAATAAGGGCATAGTCACATCATATTAGGACTCAGCCTGGTGACTTCTTATTAACTTCATCATCTGCAAAGGCCGTACTTCCAAATAAAGTCGCATTCATTGGTACTGGAGGTAATACTTGGATATCTTTAGGCAGTGTAAAATTCTAAACATAACATTTTAGGGGGTGTTACTCTGTCTACCCAATGTGGGATGGAGTATGTCTAATGATATATATATATATATTTTTTTTCTTTTTTTCTTTTTTTTTTGAGACAGGGTCTCATCGTGTCACCCAGGCTGGAGTGCAGTGGTGCAATCACGACTCACTGAAGCGTCGACCTCCTGGGTTGAAGTGATCCTCCTCCTATGTCCAAGGAGATTTTTGAAGCTTCTTCAAACCTAGATGTATCGTACCTTTGGGAAAGAAACAAATGCAGATGTAGAAACAAATGTGCTCATCTAGGCAAGTAAAGCCTGCCCTCTGCCATCCCTGGGTCTGTTGTACACTCGCCCCTGACCCTGTGGGCAGCAGGAGCACCTCAGGGACCACACAGACTCCTGTCTCCTCTGTCTGCAACTTGGGCTGTTCAGAATCTTTACATCCTGGCACTTACCTGCTCATTTTGCAACACATGGGTCAGATGGTACTCATTTTTTCATTCCACATATCTTTATGGAGCCCTAGGGAGGTGTTGAGTGGGATGTGGTACCCCTGAAATAGACATTAGACCTTTGAGAAGAGGTGGCTAAAAGACCTCCGAGCATGGGAACCTGGAGGCAGAAGAGTGGCGAGGGTGGGGCTGTGGCTCAGGGCCTCAGCAGGTGGATGGCACCTAGAGTGATGGAAATGGACTCTTGTTCTGTCCCTGCCCCCTCATCCTTTCTCTGATGGCTGTGAGTGCCATCACGGCTGGGCTGTGGCTGTTCTGAGTCACTGTACCCCAGCACTGGACACGGTGCCCTGTAAAACTTAGGAGCTCCACAATTAGTCATTCATCACATGGATGATTGGGGGTTGGATCCAGCTGTCTCAAGCCGAATACTTGGCAGCTTGGGTGTATCTGTCCGTGTCCAGGCAGCCCTGCCTGAAGGATCTGCCAAGAAGGTTGATCTCCCTTCTGCTTTTATTCCTACCCCTTCAGTGGTTAAGCAAATATGCCTTGCTTGTGATGTTGACAAAGTTGGAAGAGAGTGGGTAGGGAACTGGTGACCAGGGACATCCATTAGACTGTCACTTTTGATGAATGGGTCTTTCTGAGGATTTTGTCCTGCTCAATGGCTTCTCTCAGCATGGAGCAGACCAGGGCCTGGTGTTGGGATGACATTCTGCTGTGTTGTTACTTCATGTGTCATCCTGTTGCTCTTTTCAAAAAAAGGAGGTGTTCTGTGTTTTTGTTTTTTTAAAAAAGGTGGTAAAATATATGTAATTTAAAATGTAATCATGTTTACCATGTCTAAACCATGTGTACAGTTCATTGGCTATAAGTCTGTTATTCACAGTGCTGTCCAACCATCACCACCATCCATCTCCAGAACTTTTTCATCTTCCCAAATAGAAGCCCCACACCCATTAAACACTAACTTCCCATTCACGTTTCCCCCTAAGCCCTGTGATCTTTCTTCTGCCTTCTGTCTCTGTAAACTTGACTCTTCTCGGCACCTCATATAAGTGGAATCATACCGTATTTGTCTTTTCGTGTCTGGCTGATTTCGCTTAGCATAGCCATTTCTTTTTCTTTTTTTTCTTTTTTTCCGAGACAGTGTCTTACTCTGTTGCCCATGTTGGAGTGCAGTGCTGTGATCTCAGCTCACTGCAGCCTCCACCTCCTGGGTTCAAGCAGTTCTTCTGCCTCAGCCTCCCCAGTAGCTGGAATTATAGGCATGCACTACCGTACCCGGCTAATTTTTGTATTTTTAGTAGAGACAGGGCTTCACCATGTTGGCCAGGCTGATCTCAAACTCCTGAACTCGTGATCTGCCCGCCTCAGCCTCTCAAAGTGCTGGGATTACAGGCATGAGACATTGCGCCCAGCCAGCCATTTCTTTTAACAATGTTTACTGGAAAATTTTAGGACAGCTCACATTGCTCTATTCCCTGCCTTTTTTTGATTTTCTGATCTTCCCCAAATCATTGTGCTTTTCTGATGATCCATTTCTCATTATATCATCTGGCTCTTCGCTTTTGGACTTGACCCCTGAAACATATCTCAAATCTCTTTTTTACCCCTTCTTCTCTTCTCTTGTCTTGTCTTCTCTTCTCTCTTCTTTTCTTTCTGTCTTTTTTTTTTTTTTTTGACAGGATCTTGCTCTGTTGCCCAGGCTGGAGTGTAGTGGTACAGTCATGGCTCGCTGCATTCTCGACCTCCTGGGCCCAAGCAATCCTCCTAAGTAGCTGAGACTACAGATGCATGCAACCATATCTGGCTAATTTTTGTATTTTTTGTAGAAATGGGGTCTCACCATGTTGTCCAGGCTGGTCTTGAACTCCCGGTCTCACGCAGTCTGCCCCACCTTGGCTTCCCAAAATACTGGGATTACAGGTTTGAGCCGCTATGCCTGGCCTGTCTTTTTTTTCCTTATTATGGCATCTGCACTTCATCTCTTGCTAGGACTGAAGTGGTAACATCCTCACTGGCCACCTTGTGTCCAGCCGGCATGATTCTCCTGAAGCTTAATCTGATGGTGTTGCCCTCTGGCCTGTACCTTCATTGGCTCCCAGTTGCTCGGAGTCCCACATTTCAAGCCAGGTGCTCGACACCCTTCAGAATCTCTTCCCAACCTGCCCGTTCAGCCTTGTGGTTTGCCAAGCATGGTTCGTTTTCTTTAGGTTTCAGCCACAGGGAACTACCTGCCAGTTTTGGGGCATGCCAGCATCCCAGAGCACTGCACTTTCACATCTGTCATGACCTCACCTGGTGGTCTCTGTGCATCTCTTCTCCATCTCACTAACTCTTCCTTGAAGGCCAGGCACAAAGGGTGGCTGCAAGGCAACTCCTCCAGGAAGTTCAGGCTCTTCGTACATTCTTCTGTTAGATTCTTGCCAACTTGGATCGGAAGATTTGTTTTTGCCTCTGTTGTAGGTGAGGGAGACCATGACTCCTAGAGAGGCCAGTGATGGGTTCTGTGAATAACGCAGTTGCGGGTGAGGTCATGGGCCTTTGGAGTTCTTCAGACTTGGCTTCTAATTCCAGGTCCTCCACTGTGGCTTGGCTGCGTGGTTGAG
The DNA here is from genome assembly GCF_000001405.40 of Homo sapiens. Taxonomy (NCBI): domain Eukaryota; kingdom Metazoa; phylum Chordata; class Mammalia; order Primates; family Hominidae; genus Homo; species Homo sapiens. Next base: position 5,395,511 of record NC_000016.10, read on the forward strand.
GGAAATTTCTTCTACTCTTTAGGTTTTCTAGCCTTAGGTTTTTAAAACTTACGTATAATGTATGTGGTGGAGACGTTCAGGTGGTCCTTAGGATCTCCACTTCCTGATGTCTGTGACTTTGTGTGATCCCCTCCCGTTGCATGTGGATGGGACCTGTGACTTGTTTTTAGCCAACAGAATGTGGCAAAAGGGATGCTCTGTTGCACCTCTGATTATGTTAAATAAAACTCCATCTTCCCAGCAGACTCGCATTCTTTCCACTGCTGACAGTGAAGAAGCAGGCATCTGTGGAGTATGCGGCCATTTGGGAGAAGCCCATGTAGCAAGGCACTGTGGGCAGCCTCTAGGGGCTGGAGGTGGTCTCCAGAAAGAAACTGAAGCCGTTGGTCCTGCAGCCACCAGGAAATAAATTTTGCTGACAACCCTCGGGAGCTTGGAAGCAGATTTTTCCCCATTTAAGCCTGTGGGCTCAACAGCCCCACTGTTGCCTGAATTGTGTAGCCTGGTTAGAGCTGAGGGAGAGAACCCAACTAAGCCATGCCTAGACCTGTGACCTGTAGAAACTGTGAGATAACAAATGTGTGTTGTTTTAAGCCCCCAGGGTTATGATAATCTGTTATGTAGCAAATCAGTAACTAACTCAATGGGCATATTAATACTTATGCTAAATAGGTAATCCTCTTTGCAATGGTTACGTGAAACAAGGCATCTGAAATGTTACCAAGGTATAAATGCACGAAAATTAGATGTTACTGCTCTCACCAATATCCCTACATCTCCCTAGACCTTATCCTGTAGTAGTGAATCAAGATGGGTCAGTAGGTGGCTGAATAGATGAAAGAAGGAGGGGCGAGGCATGGGGGCTCACACCTGTAATCCTAGGAATTTGGGAGGCTGAGGCAGGTGAACCACTTGAGGCCAGGAGTTTGAGACCTGTCTGAGCAACATGGCAAAACCCCATCTCTACTAAAAATAAAAAAAATTAGCTGGGTGTGGCAGCACATGCCTGTATTCCCAACTACTCAGGAGGCTGAGGCACAAGAATCACTTGAACTCAGGCGGCAGAGGTTGCAGTGAGCTGAGATCACGCCATTCCACTCCAGCCTGGATGACAGAACAAGACTCTGTCTCGAAGAAAAAGAAAAAGATGAAAGAAGGAGGAAAGATCAAGATTCAAGACCCCTCCCTACCTTATCAGTCATGGACTCATCTGTATCGTGGCTTAACCTAGAAAGATCGAAGATAAATGTGATTTCTATTTAGATGGAGCATTTTATTATCTCCTTGAAGCCAGCAAACTCCAGCAGAGAGAGTAGATTGATTTCTTGAACTTCGTTGTCTCAAAGTGGTAAATTGTTACCGTGATTTATAGAGATTCTCAGCTGGAGGGGAATTTGGAGATCCACCTTGTCCAGAATCCTATCAGACACCCCTGGATATGTTTATACCTCCCAGCCTTCCTGTAGTCAGACCAGTTTCTTGCCTTTGAAGATCTCAGGTTGTCTGGCTTATAGGGGCCATCCCTACCAAAGGTCATAATAGGCTCTGGGGAAGAGCATGTGGAAATTAGCAGAGAGCAGAGACATTTTAAAACAATCAGCTCATCCAAAGGCAGAAGCAAGAGCAAAGTGAAACCACAGGTGTCTGGTCATTTAAAGTCACCCTGGAGGTGACTCTCCAATCCCTGGTAGAGAAACGTGGAGGAGGCTGAAAGGCTTCTCTAAAGGGATTTTCCCCCTCTGGTTTCATGGTATCCTCTTGAACTCAGGTGCTCCAAACATTTCCTTCTGGAGTGGCAGCCCCTCTGGGTCCTGAAAAGCTCTGGATGGTCTTGGGCTCTGAGTGCTGGGATCAGCATTTACTAGAACAGGATCAGGCAGCCACCTGGCAGGTGCTCTCTGCACTGAGCCAACCTGAAACCATGAGACCATGCCTGCATGTGAGGTCTGTGGTACTTGCCAAGTCTATGGACGGCGGAGTGTGCCATATCTGCAACCCCATTCCCCTCTGTACCACATTACAGGGCCCTGCTAAAGACACTGATTAAAGATTGAAAAGTCATTTCTGAGAAATAAATATAGGAGCACAAAAGACTCAATTTCTTCAATAGATGAAAGGCATGAAGAAAAGAGAGGAACTGCTGTGGTTTAAAAGAGACTTAAGAGACACATCACCCAAATGCTACGTGGACCTTCTTTGGGTCTTGATTCACACATGATAAGACCATTAAAAGATATTCTGGAGACCTGAAGTCAATGAAAATAGACTTGATATTTGATTTTATTAAGGAATTACTATTATGTTGGGGTGATAATGACATGGTTGTTTTAAAGCCACTTACTTGTTAGGAATGCACATTGAATTGTCCTATGTTCTATGTTTGGTGACTTCCAATTATGGTAACACTATGTGCCACGTGCTTGCTGAACAAGACATTCGAGGTCCTTGCCCCCATGGAGCTCATGGATTGGTGGAAGAGACAGATGTTAAATAAACATTTGCCCAGGGAAGCATTTAATTGAATTGTGGTTGGTGCTGCAAAGAAAAACCACACGGGGCTGTGAGAGGTTATAACTGAGATTCAACCTAGACGAAGACCAAGACCATCAAGAAAGCCTTTCCTGAGGGGACACCTAAGCTGACAACTGAAGGGTGGCAGCTTGGGCAAGTGTGTGCCCGTGTGTATATGTGTGTACATGTGTGGACATGAGTGTACATGTGTGGACATGGACATGTCTTTGTGTGGATGTGGGTGTGCACGTGCTGGTGTGTGTGCATGTGTGCTTATGTGTGTGTGCATGTGTGCTCGTGTGCATATGTGTTCATGTGTGCAGGTGTTTGAGCACCTGTTTTAGTGTGCATGTGCTTGTGTGTATGCATGTGAGGGTGCATGTGTGTGATTGTGTATCTGTAGGTACGTGTGTATGCTTGTGCTTGTGTGTATGTGTATGCATGTGTGTGAATTGCAGGCACTTGTGCTTGTGGGTGTGCATGTGAGCAGGTGTGCATGCATGTGTGTGAATGTTTACATGCACGAGTTCGTGTGTGCATCTGTACGTGTGTGTGTGTGTGTGTGTGTTGGGAAGGGCAAGGAAATAGAATAACAGCTGTGCAAGTGTACTAGGCACGCTTGGAGTTGAAGGGAGTCCAGTGGGAGGATAGCAAGGTTGACAGTGGGGGAGGAAGGAGGCTGATGAGCTGTGGGTCTCTTGAAGGGGTTGGGAGTAAGTGATGATTCCATGGGAGCGAGGGAAGATATTTGGGACAGTTCTGGTGAGCAGCACGTTGGAAACCCTGCGCTCATTTCAGAGGAATTGAATTTGAGTCTAGTTTAAGTTAAACGTTTGAGGCGTAACCCGCAGCATCCAGGGACCCTATTAAACGCTTCATTACAGCAGCGGAGGCTGTGAACCAGAAAGGTGGCTGCGATTGGTGTCTGACTTTGCACTCTGCTCTCCAGTCCCAGCTTTTCTCCTTCTCTTCCCGCATTTGAGGGCCGCAGTGACAGCAGCTACCTGGGAGCTTAAGCCTTTCCTCCAGACCCCTTCTTAACTTGGTGATTGGTGAGAACACATGGCTTTCGACTTAAATCTATTCTCAGAGGACTAATAGGTATGTGTGTCAGGGAGGAATTCCAAGCCTCAGTTTCCTTATCTGTAAAATGCGGAAAATTAGAGTCCCTCCCTCGCTTGATAAATGGGCACGTGATAATGCCCAGTAATCATGAGCCGTTATTGCCATTATTAACTCTGGGGTTTGGACCTTAGCCGTGGATGAGGTCAAGGGCTCACACCTTGATTTATCTGTTTTTGAGCCAAAAGTAGATATTGGAGTAGGATAGAAGTTAAGAAAACTAATGTGTATTTTGAAATATATAAATGCATTTAATTTTTCTCGTAGAAAATTTGGGAAATGGAAAATAAAGGAGAAAGTAAGAATTGCTCTTAATCACCCCATTGGGAGAATGAACACCATTAACATTTTGGTGAATGGGTTCCTTATTTTTTCTCTTTTAAAAATTGGATCAATGCCATCCTGGGAAACATGGCAAGACCCTGCAAAAAATCCAAAAATTAGCTGGATGTGGTGGTGCCCATCTGTAGTCCCAGCTACTGAAAGGGATGATGAGGTGGGAGGATTACCTGAGCACAGGAGATCAAGGCTGCAGTGACCCATGCTTGCATCACTGCTCTCCAGCCTGGGTGACAGTGAGACCCTGTCTTAAAAAAAAAAAAATTTTTTTTTTTGGCTCATTTGCAGTTCTAAGTCATGACATAATCTCATCCCCAGTTTTGTCCATCTGTCTATCCCTTAAGGTGAACTGTTAAAGATGATTGGTTTTGAAGATCAAAAGCAGTGGTTTATCAGCAATTTTGGTTTATCTTACTGTTGATTTTATTTTTGATGGTAAGAATTCGTGAACCCAACAACCCAAGCCAAAACTTTTTCCTCGACAATAACTTCTGTCTAACCATATGTTTGCCCTCCTTTCACCCCATCCTCCACATCCAGGTACTCATCACCTGGAGCTGACACTCATCATTCCATTGCTTGCTTTTCTTCTTTCCTTTTCTTTTTTCTTTTCTTTCTTTCTTTCTTTTTTTTTTGAGACAGAGTCTCGCTCTGTCACCCAGGCTGGAGTGCAGTCTTGGCTCACTGCAACCTCTGCCTCCCGGGTTCAAGCGATTCTGCTGCCTCAGCCTCTCGAGTAACTGGGATTACAGGTGCTTGCCACCACACCCGGCTGATTTTTGTATTTTTCAGTAGAGATGGGATTTCAGCATGTTGGTCAGGCTGGTCTGCAACTCCTGACCTCTAATGATCGGCCCACCTTGGCCTCCCAAAGTGCTGGGGTTACAGGCGTGAGCCACCACACCCGGCCACTGCTTGCTTCTCTCTTTGTACATCTCTATGTAATTCTTTAAAGCATAAATACTTATTTTTCTAGTTTTATGTATGCATATATATTATTCTCTTTCAAAACAAAATTGAAATCATACCATGTATCATTTCTATCCTGATTAAAAAATATTATCTCTTGAACATATTCCCTTCTCATTAAAAAGTCTCTGAAAATAGAAAATTAAAACTTACATAATATTCCATATTATGCCTGGGCCATAGTTTAATTTCCCCTTCCAGTTGGGCATGATTGATTTTTTTTTTCTATTACAAATAATGCTGTGTAAACTTTTGAAGGATTCCCAGTGTATTTTGTTAAATTGCTTTTAAGGAAGATTGTAAAAACTTTCATTCCCTGCCTCCCTTTTCTTCCCCACCCCCAACAGGTCTTTTTAAAAAAATGTTGCCACTTTGATAGGAGAGAAGTGGTCATATTTTCATGTGTTTATTTGCCATTTATATTTTTTCCACTAATGTTCCATTTTTGTTCATAGATCATTTTTCTATTGGGGCATTAATATTTTTCTTATTGATTTGAAAGATTCTTTATATATCAAAGAAGTTACTCCTAATATGTCATAGTTAAGGCAGATATTTTCCAGGGTTGTCATTTGTCATTAAGTATTTTTATGATGGTTCAAAGGAGATTTTTTAAAAATTTTAAGGTCATCAATATATCTCAGGCTTTTTCTTTGTGATTTTTTCCCTATCAAGTTTGTGCTTAGAAGAGCCTTCTCTATCTTAATATTGGCTAAAGGTTTATTTATACTTTCTGCAAATTTTTATAGTCAGTTTTTACTTTTTAGATCCTAAATATATTTGGAATTCATTTTGTGTAGGTTTGAGGATCTAACTTGATTTTATTCCCATAAATATACAAGTTCCTAGAAACCGTTTTGTCAGTGTTTTTCCTTTTCTTCTTGGTTTGTGATGCCTCCTTTAGCGTATGATCAATGTTCCTGTTTATGCTCCGGTGTGGTTCAGCAATGTCCGTGCTGTGACTTGGTTTGCCCATCAGGTCTTATGCCATTAATGTGCTGGAACAACTGCAGCTTTGTGATGGGGCCCCTCCTCCTGCCGTTAGTCCTCTTTTGTGATAAGCTTCTGAAGGATTCTTGTCTGTTTCTTAATGCAGGGGATTTCAGAATAATTTTGACACCCTTCCCCTAAAAATGATTCAAATATTAATTGGGACTGGCATAAACTATAAGTTTACATTATTTTGGAAGATTTGACATTTTTACATATTTAATCTTTCCATCCAGGGAAGATTGGAAATTCACACTTTCATTGTTTTGATTTCTTGTTAGTATTTTCCCTGTCTCTTTTTCTCTCTCTCTCTCCCTGTCTCTCTCCTCCTCCTCCTCCTCCTCCTCCTCCTCTTTCTCCTCCTCCTTCTCCTTCTCGTGCTGCTGCTTCCTCATCATCATTTCTGTCTCTGTCTCTCGTCATCGTCGTCGTCATTTCTGTCTCTGTCTCTCTTTCTTTTCTCTATTTTTACTGCTGTTGGGAATAGAATTCTCCACCCAAAATAGGTTGATGTCCTGGTTGGAAACAAAAGACACACAATGAAACTGGATAATTCAAAGAGAGTTTAGTAAATGACCTATTTCCAGGGTGTGGGAGAGGAGTGTGCAGAAAAGTCCTAAGGCATTGGAGAGTACTCCCGGGCTAAGAACAAGGGGGCATTTACCAGTCCCAGGCTTCAGAGGCAAGAGGAAGGGGCAGAGACCAGGAGCGGGAAGAGGAGGGTCATGTGGAGAGGGACTCTGTGACAGGCTGGGTCACTTGGCTAAGACACCCCAGCGTACTGGAGAAGATCTGGAAGGAAGGAACTGGAGGATAAATACCCAGAGCTCTCCTCCTCGCCTCTATCATGTTGCTGGTGCTCCCCATTGCCTAGGTCCACCTGGAAGACATAGTGCTGGGGGTCCATGCACGCATGCACATAGGCCAGCCTTGTGGATGGGTGGAGAAGAGTGGAGACAAGACGTGAGAGGCCAGTGGAAGATCCCCAGCTCACAACCTCCCCCATTTTCTATTCTTCCCTGACATATGTACCATCTGGTATTTGTCAGCATAGCCAGAAACAATGGAGGCTACTGTCTTCCTTTTGTTATAACACATTTTCTAAATACCTGCTTTCTTCCAAATTCTAAAAACTTTTCAGTTGATTCCCTTGGGAATTCCAAGTATACAGTCATATGATTCGCAAGTAATTATTTCGTCTCCTTGCTTCCCGTGGTTGTGTCTCTTATTTTACTTGCTGCTGCAAGTTTTGAGCCTTCCTTAAAACCTGATGTGGTTTTAAAGAGACCCTCTTAAGTGTGTTAATCTCAGCCCTTTAGAATCATGAGAAATCTGTAGGTTGGTTCCTCTGTTTCCTCTTCCCTCTGTTTCACTTTCTTTCTGTTTCTCCCTCCAACCGTCCATCCAATATAGATATATTAAGTGCCAGCCGCATACTAGTAAACAAGAGAGATAATTAACAACCAGAAAATAAACAGTAAAATATCAGTGCAGCATTTATCAACCTTTTGGAATTCATCGCACAGTACCAGACTGATTTTATACTGTGTCCCAACATGTGCATGCATGCATGCACACACGTATACACAAATGCATGGAAGCAAAAGTGTCATAAAACCCTTACTACGGGCGGGGCATGGTGACTCATGCCTATAATCCCACCACTTTGGGGGCCCAGGCAGGCGGATCACCTGAGGTTGGGAGTTCCAGACCAGCCTGACCAACATGGAGAAACCCCATCTCTACTAAAAACACAAAATTAGCTGGGTGTGGTGGTGCATGCTTGTAATCCCAGCTATTTGGGAGGCTGAGGCAGGAGAATCGCTTGAGCCTGGGAGGTGGAGTTTGCGGTGTGCCGAGATCGTGCCATTGCACTCCAGTCTGGGAAACAGACTGAAACGCTGTCTCAAAAAAAAAAAAAAAAAACAAAAAACAAACAAACAAAAAAACCCAAAACCCTTGCTATATGTAATGCACTGCTTGTAATATGCTCTGATGTTTCTGTTTCTGTTTGTTTTTTGAGACGGAGTGTCACTGTGCTGCCCAGGCTGGAGTGCAGTGGCACAATCTTGGCTCACCGCAACCTCCTCTTTCTGGGGTTTAAGGAATTCTCCTGCCTCAGTCTCTCGAGTAGCTGGGATTACAGGTGCATGACACCATGCCCAGCTAATTTTTTGTATTTTTAATAGAGACGAGGTTTCGCCATGTTGGCCAGGCTGGTCTCGAGTTCCTGACTTCAGTTGATCTGCCCGCCTCAGCCTCCCGAAGTGCTGGGGTTACAGGCATGAGCCACCACACCCAGCCAATGCTCTGATGTCTTCTATGTTGGTGCTAAAGAAAGGAAAAATCCCCACTGCTCTATTCAGTGATTTCCTGCCTCACTCCTGGGTCCCAACTTGCAGTTTCAAGAACATGGAGAATGAAATATACTGGGGAAAGATAGTCATAAGGGAAAGAGTAACTGGGTTGCTACTGGAGTCAGGTGGCCTGGGAAGACACCTCTGGGGAGGGACATGCAATGACAAGAAGGACTTGGCCATGGGAAGGGTGGGGCTGGGCATGGGGTGGTGGGAAGCAGGTTTGGTGCAGAGGACAGAATGGGTGGAAAGCAGCTTGGCTTGTCTGAGTCATGGGGGCGGGGTGGGGGTGGGCAGTGAGGGAGATGACAAAGGAGATGGGGATGATTAACACTGGAGACTTGGAGGGGTGAGGAGATATGGGGGTGGATGGTGAGGAATTAGTTAATTCATACAATGTACCTTATTTAGGTGATGAGTGCCTGGGAAGCCCTGACTTGACCACTATGCAATCTGTGCATGTAATACAATTGCACGTGTACCCCATACATTTGCACACCTTTTAAAAGAAGTGCCAACCTTCTGGGAGCATTGAACCTTATCGAATTAGCAGGAGTCCCTCCAAATGATGAATCCCCTGAAGGCTAGGGAGGGAGGAGGAGCTCTGTCTTTGATGTCTTCAAATCTGAGAGGCCACTGTCACTTAGAGAAAGTTTCTCCCGATCAGTGATCTCTGTGGACTGCACTTTGTAGGTCTCAGGAAGTCATTTATATGCAAATTGAGTGTGAAGGTAACTGGGCTGAGGACAGAGGATAGCTGTATCTTCAGAGCTGGTTTCTCACCCATTGGCTCCTTTCTTCACCTGATGGTTCCCACGTTAGCTCTGAGTTCATCACAGAGCCCTGAACCCCTATTCTGTGCACAGATGCTGTTGTGCATACCTGGGGGATAGGGAAACCCATGCATGGCAGTTTTGTGGTGCATGCTGTCTGGAGCCTGCAGGGCAAGATCCTGTCCCATCATTTAGAAAGATGAGGAATCAGATAAGACAGCTTGTCAGAAGTGCTTGATAGATTCCAAAGCAGTTGAGAGAGAGCGACAAAGCCATGAAACCACCAAAGTCTTAACCACCAGGAAAAGAAAGCTTTCCAGCTTGGTCTTCAGGATCAGTAAAGAGTTCATTCTGGGTCTGAGGAACTTTTGGAGTCATCATCATAGGAAGTACTTCTCTAGAGCTTTCTACATGCCATGGACTATTTTACATGCAATAATTCATTCTGTGAGTTAGGTACTGTTATTATTCCAGTCTTACTGATGTGGAATCTGTGCAAAGAGAGGTTGAGCAGCTCATTCATCATCACACAGCTATTAAGTGTCAGAATGGGGATTTGAACCTTGGCTCATAGGGCTCCTCACTGCTGTGTGGTGTGCCCAGGGTGGGCCAGGTGGGAGGGCCAGGACCATGCGCTTCCTTGGTGACATGGTTTGGCTGTGTACCCCCACCCCCAAATATAATCTTGAATTATAGCTCCCACAATTCCTGCATGTCATGGAAAGGACCTGGTGGGAAGTAACTGAACTATGGGACTGGGTCTTTCTCATGCTGTTCTCATGATAGTAAGTCTCATGTGATCCGATGATTTTATAAAAAGGAGTTCCCCTGCACAAACTCTCTTTTGCCTATTGCCATGTAAGATGTGCCTTTTGCCTTCTGCCATGATTGTGAGGCCTCCCCAGCCATGTGGAACTGTGAGTCCATTAAACCTTTTTTTCTTTATAAATTACCCAGTCTCAGGTATGTCTTTATTAGCTGCGTGAGAACAGATTAATACTGTTGGACATTAGAATACTCCATCATAGATGCTAAAAACAAATGTGAAAAAATGAGTTCATGAATAAATCAGTGCTCATAGAGTCTGAGTTGGGTTCATATTTTGGGTGGCAGGATGCTCATGGGAGGCAGACTTGGTTTGCGGGGATAAGTTATTGTTGGTCTAAGCCAGTTACAGTAATCCCTTTCCCTTGGCCAGTGATTGCTTTGGGTGTGGAGTGTGACTGGGGGGCATCTGCTTGGGCTCCCGGGAAAAGTTTTCTTCCTTTTCTATTTTTGAGTGTAGTTGTGTGTGGAAGTGAGGGCAGAGTGATCCAAGTCATCTCCCCACAGGCTGAGGACAGGAGTCAGTAGGGAGAACGCTCTGGGGAAGAGAGAACATCGGGGACAGGGAAGCATGTCTGGACTTGTCTCTCTCTGGACATCCTATTACATAAAATAATGAGCCACTGTTAGTTGAAGCCACTTTTATCTGGGAGTTCTCTTACTTGCAACCAAAGGCATTCCAACTTATGTATTTGAAATCTGATTATTCTTTTATTCATTCATTCATTTATTCATTCATGTAGTGTGATGGTCATCTTTATGTGTCAACTTGACTGGGATACATGATGCCCAGATAGCTAGTTAAATATTGTCCCTGGGGTGATGGCGGGGGGGATTTCCAGACAAGAATAGCGTTTGAATTGGTGGATGAGTACAGCAGATGGCTGTACTCTACCCCAGTGTGGGTGAGTGCCATCCAATCCGTCAAAGGTCTGAATAGAACAAAAGGTGGAGGAGGGGAGAGTTAGCTCTGACTGCTTGAGCTGGGACGTCAATCTTCTTATGCCTTCAGTGTTCTGGTTCTCAGGCCTTTGGACCCAGACTAGGATGTATCCCATTGGTTTTTCTGGGTTTCCAGTTTGTGGATGACAGATTGTGGAACTTCTTAATCTCCATAATTCTTTAAGTGTCATACCTTATAATAAATCTCTCCCTCTCTCTGTGTTTCTCTCTCTTTATTTCTCTCTCTCTCTCTATATATATGTATATATATTCACACACACGTGTATATGCATGCATGTGTGTATATATATAAATATGTATGTATATGTGTGTGTGTTCTATTGGTTCTGTTTTCTGGAGAACCCTAATATATCCAGCAAATATTTATTTTGCATTTAGTACATTACACAATGGGTCCTGCAGGAGGGGCTGGGGATCCAATAGTGAACTCTCATGAATACAATTCAGTAGAGGGGAGACAGACGGCAGGCACATAGTCAGATCCGTGGGCACTCACCAGCGTGAAGAGTGCTGTGCAGGTGGAGTACCTGGTGACAGCAGTGTGTGTGATGTGGGATTCATCTTGGAGGGAAGTCAGGAGGGCTTCCCTGAGGAAGTGACATTTGAGTGATGTATTAGTCCACTTTCACACTGCTATATAAAGATACTACCCTAGACTGGGTAATTTATAAAAGGCAGAGGTTTAGTTGACTCAGTTCCACCTGGGTGGGGAGGCCTCAGGAAACTTAGCAGTCAAGGCAGAAGGGGAAGCAGGCACATCTTTCTTGGTCTCAGGCAAGAGAGAGACAGAGTGAAAAGTGCAGGGGAAGCTGCCGTTTATAAAACCATCAGATCTCTGAGAACTCACTCAGTATCATGAGAACAGCATGGGGGAAACTGCTCCATGATCCAGTCCCCTCCCACCAGGTCTCTCCTCAGCACCTGAGGATTACAATTCAAGATGAGATTTGGGTGGGGACACAATGCCTAACTATATCAAGTGACATCTGAAAGAAGAGTAGGAATTAGATGAGTAGTGAGGCATGGAGGGGCTGTGTTCTAGGTGGAGGGAAAAACAAGAGCAGAGGCCCTGTGCTGGGAGGGAACTGGGGAGCTTGGAGGTGAGGAAGGCTTGTGGACGGAGTGTGGAGTGCCAGGATAGTGAGAGGTACTGGCAGCACTGGCCCCCATGATTGCTGGATGTCATAACAAGGCCTTTGGGCTTTTTGTTTTTTTGTCTCACTCTGTCACCCAGGCTGGAGTGCAGTGGCATGGTCTTGGCTTACTGCAACCTCTGGCTCCCAAGTTCAAGCAATTATCCTGCCTCAGCCTCCTGAGTAGCTGGGATTACAGGGACCCACCACCACGCTGGGCTAATTTTTGTGTTTTCAGTAGAGATGGGGTTTCACTGTGTTGGCCAGGCTGGTCTCGAACTCCTGACCTCAAACGATCCAACTGCCCCGGCCTCCCAAAGTGCTGGGATTACAGGCGTGAGCCACTGCACATGGCCCAGGCCTTTGGGCTTTAACCCAAGTCCCGTGGGAGGTGTTTAAGCAGCTGGTGATGGGATTAGATTTACATTTTGGCAAGATCACTGCCCAGGACCCAATTTGGATTGAACAGCCTTAGGAAGATTCTGGCCATTCTGAAATCATGGCAGGGCTTTGTGTCCTCCACCTCCTGTGTGGCCCCTGCTGAGGGCCCTGCAGGCTGATGTGTTTAATTCGGTTGCTTATTTAAAGGTAGTGAATTATCTTTGATGTGACACACGTTCCTCCTCCTGTCCAGTTGTGGGGCAAGGTGGTGCATTTTCAGCTGCTCGTGGTGTTTGAATGAATGTTCTAAGAGCCAGGAGGAGGCTTTTATTATCCCAGCTTGGCAAAACCTCAGCTTAGAGAAAGTGAAAGGGGCCATACAGAGACCCAAGATTGGAGAGAGATGACATGTTTTAAGTGCTTGAACTCAGCTCCGCCACTGGATTTCCCAATTTCGTGTTATATGAATCAATACATTCCTTTTTTTATTGTCAGAAACTAAGCAAGGCAGGCTGGGGGCAGCATGGGAGGGTGCCGCGGTATGAATAGAGTCTGAGCTATTCAGAGGCCTTAAACTGAAGTCTGCACTCTGTGCTGGGAGTGGGTTCTCACACTGTGCCACCCAGCCCACGTCTGGTTTCTGAGGGATCTCTCTTTCTCCTGGACCATTCCTCTGGATGGCAGCGACAGTGCTTCCTGCTTCGGGTGTGTGGCTGCTGTATTAGGCCGTTCTTGCATTGCCATAAGAAGTATCTGAGACTGGGTAATTTATAAAGAAAAGAGGTTTCATTGGCTCATGGTTCTGCAGGCTGCGTAGGCATGGTGCCAGCATCTGCTCAGCTTCTGGGGAGGCCTCAGGAAGCTTTCAGTCATGGCAGAAGGTGAAGCAGGAGCAGGCACTTCCCATGGCAAAAGCAGGAGCAAGACAGAGTTGGGGGTTGGGGATTGTGCTACCCACTTTTAAACAGTCAGAGTTGGTGAGAACTCACAGTCACGAAGACTGTTCCAAGAGGAGGGTGTTACACCATTCATGAGAAATCCGCCCCCGTGATCCGTTCACCTCCCACCAGGCCCTACCTCTAATACTGGGGATTACAGTTCAGTGTGAGATTTGGTGGCGACAAATATACAAACTGTATCGGCGGGTGAAACCTGTGGCTATCTCACGCTGTTGGAATTTCAGATGGAGCTGTGCTAAGTGTTAAGGTAGGGTGGGCATAATTTCTGCAGGGCAGGTCCCAGGCAGCAAGAAACAGGAATCAGAGAGAATGCAGACAGCAGTAGTTGGCATAGTCCTCACCACAGCGATGTGTGGCAGGTCTATTTAAATGGCCACAGACGATCAGAAGGCGATGGCTTGGCCTTCCTGTGTGTGGCTGCGATGGACAGTGTTCACTGTTCTGCATACAGCCCCTAGGGGAGCCCCCCAGGTGTGTCCACTCCTAGAGCTCACTGACCTCCTTCAAGGTGGTGTCTCATCCTCTTCTCTACCCTCTTCCAGCCTAAAAGACCCTTTCTAATTTGTTTCTTAATAGACTTTTAGGTCTCCGGAGGCTTTTTCCCTCTTAACAACAATGTCTTCTTGCAAAGTAGAAGTTTGAAGCTTCAAAATCATTGATTCTTATACTCCTTTAAAAGCCTTCTTTGAAAGTTATAAAATGGGAATCTTTATTTTTCTCTTCATACTCAACAAATATTTATTGAGCACATATGTGCCAGGCATGTTCTAGGTGCTGGGAATATAGCTGTGAACCAAACTGGCCAGGCTCCTTGCCTCCAGGAAGCGTATATTCATTCCAGCCAGAGGAGAGAGAGAGAGAAATAAACGTGTAGAGTGAGAGATGGTGTGTCTGTGCTCTAAGTATTCCAGTCTCTTAAAAATCAACATGCAGGCTGGGCATGGTGGTGGCTCACACCGGTAATCCCAGCACTTTGGGAGGCCGAGGTGGGCAGATCATGAGGTCAGGAGTTCGAGACCAGCTTGGCCAACATGGTGAAACCCCGTCTCTACTAAAAATAGAAAAATTAGCTGGGCATCGTGGCGGACACCTGTAATCCCAGCTACTTGGGAAGGTGAGGTAGGAGAATCATTTGATCCCGGGAGGCAGAGGTTGCAGTGAGCTGAGATCACGCCAGTGCACTTCAGCCTGGGTGACAGAGCAAGACTCCATCTCAAAAAAAAAAAAAAAAAAATAATAATCAACATGCAGCTGGGAAAGGTGGCTCATGCCTGTAATGCCTGCGCTTTGGGAGAGCAATGTGGGTGGAACACTTCAGCCCAGGAGTTCGAGACCAGCCTGGGCAACATTGCAAGACACTGTCTCTACAAAAGAAAAAAACTACAAAAATTAGCTGGGCATGGTGGTGTGTACCTGTAGTTCCAGCTACTCAGGAGGCTGAGGCAGGAGAATCACCTGTGCCCTCAGAGGTTGAGGCTGCAATGAGCTGTGATTGGGCCACTGCACTCTAGCCTGGGTGACAGAATGAGACCCTGTCTCAAAAAAAAAAAAAGAATAAAAAATCATTGTGCATGTCTCTTGTTGACCAGGGAAAGGTTTCCCAACAAAGAAAAGTGAAACAGAATGGTACAAATAAGACTATTTCAAGATTTCGTCTTGCTTCATTCTAATGAAATATACCTTGTAAAGTAACTGGAATGGCATGGTCTGAAATTCAAGTCTTGCACATTCCTGCAGGAGAAACGTCAGTCTCTGTAGCTTGTCACTCAAGGTCTTTACAGTGACTTACACAGTCAGCCCAGTCTTATCCCCACTGCTTCCATTCTAAGCTCCGTGTTCCTGTCAAACAAAATCTATATATGGACTTTTGGACATGTGCATACTTCCTGCCTCTGAGCCACTGCTCCAGCTGTTCCTCCTGTTTACAATGCCCTGTCCTCTCCTTTCTGACTTTAAAATTCTTTCCACTGTTCAAACCCCAACTGAAAGTACTTGAAGCTAGACATCAGAGTGAGTCATATACGCATGGATTTAAATCCTGGCTCAGCTGTAAGCTTGGGAAACCACTTGTACTCTTTACATCTTGATTGTTTTCATCTCTAACTGGGGATCATGAAAGCACTTGTTTCAAAGGTTGGCGTGAAGATTAGGCGGGCCAACACAACAAAGTGCTTCCAACCTAGTAAGTGCTCATTAAATGTGAGTTGTTATCCTCCTCCATAGTGGGCTGAAACTTTTGGGGATATTGGGATGGGGTCAAGTATTTTGCATGTGGGATAGATATAATTCTTGGGCGGAGGCCAGAGGGCAGACTGTGGTGGGAAGAAAAAAGGACCTCAAAGATATCAACACCTTAATCCCCAGAAAGTGCGAACAAGTCACCTTGCATGGCGAAAGGGACTTTGCATGTATGATTAAATTAAGGATTTTGAGATGGGAGGTCATCCTGGATTACCTGGGTGAGTGCAGTGAAATCACGAGTCACAGTAAGAGAGAAGTAGCAGAGTCAGAGTCTGAATGGAGGATGCTGAGCTGTTGGCTGGAGATGGAGGAAGGGGCCATGAGCCAAGGAATGCAGGTGGCTTCTAGAAGTCGGAAATGGCAAGGGAGCGACTTCTCCACTAGAGCATCCAGGAGGAACACAGCCCTGTCGATACCTTGATTCTAGGCCAGTGAGTCTTATTTTTAACTTTTGACCTGCAGTACTGTAAGATGGCAAACGTGTGTTGTTTGAAGACACTAAGTTTGTGGCAATTTGTTACAGCAGCAACAGAAAATTAGTAGTTGGCCGGGTGCAGTGACTGACACTGTGGTCCCAAGACTTTGGGAGGCCGAGGTGGGAGGATTGCTTGAGCCCAGGAGTTTGAGACCAGCCTGGGCAACATGGAAAGACCCCATCTGTACAAAAAAAAAATTAGTCAGGCATGGTGGTCTCATCTACTCTGGAGGCTGAGGTGGGAGGATTGCTTGAGCCTGGGAAGTGGAGGCTGCAATGAACTCTGATTGCACCACTGCACTCCAGCCTGGGTGACAGAGTGAGACCCTGTCTCAAAGGAAAAAAAGAAAAGAAAATGAACCCCACTGCTCCTTTTTAAGTGATTCATCCTCTTCCTTTGTTAAACTCAACAGATCTCACTGAGACTATTCTTATCTGTTTAATATTTCTAGATCGGTTAGTTATGAGAGTCACGGGCAGTTTCTTTGAGTACCATTTGCCACCAAGATGCAGAATGTCTTGCCCTCCTGAAGGAGGTAGCCTGGATAATGGGGACCACTGAGACTGACATGGCTTTTTCTCTGGACAGAGGTCAAACGCCCAGGTTCTGGACCCACACAGACCTGGGTTTGAACCCTGGCCAGGCTCCTGACTTGCTATGAGAACTTGGGACAGTGACCACCTGTCTCCAGTCTTTAGAATCCTCATCTCTGAGTTAGGAACACCAACTCAGAGTTATGGTTGAGAGCAGGTGAAACAACACCTGTAAAACTCTTAGCATCATGCTAGGCACAAAGTAAATACTCAACAAATATTAGTTATTGTTATCACTAATGATATTTTTCTTGTTATTCTGATATGATTATGGGCTCGTGATGGTTGTAAGATAATTTCTGGGCTTTCAGGGACTGTGGATGCTGGAATCTGAAGCAGTCCAAGATTTATAGCTCAAAGATTGCTGTTCCACAAAGCACACAGGTACACAGATTTGTTTTGCAGGTCATTACAGTGGGATGGGCGTGAAGACTCCCCTGGAAGGGTTTAGAGTAGGGGAGGGAGGTGGTCAGATGCGAGAACTCACATCGAGTCCTTATTGTGCGCTGGTTCTTGCTAAGGGCTTTGCAGGCATTTGCTGATTTATTTCTCGTAACATTCCTCAGAGGAGTCGGAATTAGCGTCCCTATATGACAGGGAAAAAAATCAAGCACAGGGAGGCTAATCAGCCCGCCCTAGGGCTGGCACCTACACACATATCCACCAAGCCTGTCACAGCTAGGGCTTCACATTTTTGGGAAGGATCCAGGAGTCCTGAGCAGACAACTGTGAGCAAATGCTGGAATTCCCCAGCGAGAGGCGCCACCCACCCAGGACATGGCTGCATGAGCGTTACGGTTGAAACAACACATCTCACTCGCTGAAGGACGCAGGTGGGGTGGAGCTGGCCGTGCCTTCCTGGTGACAGCTCTGGATGAAGCCACTCTGGCATGTTTTGAAGTGAGGTTGCCCTAGGGGGTGTGCAGAAGAAAGGCTGCTGTATTGATGTTTCCCATCACGATGCTTACGGTTTCTTTATTTCTGGTCCCTGAGCCTCAGGAGTCCTGAGTGCAGCTGCCAAATTGCTTCATGCTCCAGAAAGTGGGGTGCCTCTTAACTAAGAAAAAAAACCTGGCATTTTCTACCAACAGCCCCAACTGTTACAGCTTCTTCTAATATTAACAAGGCATCCACAGCATTCTCCAGAGAGCACCATGGCCCTTTTTCTTTCTTTCGTTTCCCAGAAAGGGCTTTATTTTCTTTCTCCTCATTACTGGCTACTGAAAGAACTCCATCTGCTTGACCTAGGGTTGCAGCATCCAATACATATCCGTGGTATCCATGTAGCTATTTAAATTCAAATAATTAAAATACAATAAAATTCAGCTTCTCAGTTACAGTAGCCACCACTCCCGTGTTCATTGCTACCACAGCTGATCATATATCAGGGAGCTGTGGCCACCATATCAGACAGCACAGACGTAGAACATTTCCATTGTCACGGGAGGTTCTGTTGGACAGTGCCTGTCTAGGGCATTTATTCATTCGTTTAACTCTCATTACTGAGGACTTGCTATGTGTCAGGCATTGTTATTCTGGGAAATAAGTGGTCAACAATTAAAGCAAGTCTCTTTCTCGTGGTATAACCTTCGTTGTGGGACAGGAAAAGTAGTAGGTGCAGAATTACGAAAAGAGTCCTAAAGGAGACCGGTAGGGGTGAGGTGTGGAGGGTAATGGTGAGTGAGGGACATTAGGTAGGGTTGTTGGGGGAAGGCAAACACAAGGTGAGTGTTGATGTTTGCCCTTCCCATTCCTGCGTCCATGTTCCTGAAAGCTCATGACTCTAGGCGCCTTACGGAATCAAATCCCTTTTGGTTGCCTGCTCATCCATTTTACAGATGAGGACATTGAGGCTCTGGAAAGGTGTGAGTCATTTGTCTACTGCAGGGAGATAAAGAAGGACATCCCCAGAATGGTGGCCTCTTCTTTGGGGCTGTACAACACTCAATGATGAGATAAAGGGGACCTGCAAGTGCACTCCCGACCTGAACACACCGTGGTTCTAACAATCATTGCGCCAAGGGAAAAACAAGGGTGATCACTTGATTGGCTACAAGCTGAGGAAGCCAGGATGCCAGGTTTTTCTCTTGGTGTGGAGGAGAGAGTGTTGTTGTAAAGGAGTCTGTATGAAAAAGCACAAGTCTCTCTCCCAGTTATTACTCAGCTGCTAGGGTCCAGATTCAGTGTTTGTTCCACTTCCGTCCTCCGACACTGTGGGTGGGTATTTTCCTCTCTGTGGGCTTGCTTAAAGCAGAAATGGCCATGCCAATTAGTTGTCACTTTATGAGAGATTTATTCCCTCTAATCAACAGAATGGAGGGTGACAGTTGAAGTGCTATGAGCCTCTGCCTGTGGGTAGACCCTGGATGTGGGTTGGTCAATTTGGGGGGCTGCTGTAGGCCTTATGGCTTTCATCATTGCTTCATAGGCATCGTGGGTTGGTGTCCAGCTTCCAGAAAGCTTAGCTGGAGGTGACAGCTGGACCTCCATGGCTTCTCCCAATATTTCCATGTGATTCAATTTTATAGTGTCTCCAGGCTTCGGATGCTGAAATTCAAAATGACCTCTGGCCACTAACTCACCATCAGTCCAAGCCTAGAATGACTGGTTGGATCTTAAGGGTGAAATTGACAACTGGCTGGACATAACGTGACATATAGAGTTGGGGGTAGGCTGTGTCAGTCACCATCCTCGGTGGGATTCTTCTTGAGGAAGTTAAGGAGCCAGCAGGGATGGAGATCCTAAGCTTCATCCAATAAATATGGGTGCAGGGGTAATAGTCCATGCCTGTTTTTTACCCTTGGTGGAGGCTTTTGTGCTTTTTCATAACTTATAGTTTTTGTGTGTTTTCCGTGTGCCAGGTTATATGTTAACAGTCTTGTAAGGTTGACCCCGTTTATCATTCCCATTTTACAGATGGGTGAACTGAAGATCAGACATTTGAGATAATGTCTAATCACACCGTGTATTAGTCCTTTCTCACGCTGTTCTAAAGATACTACCTGAGAATGGGTATTTTATAAGCAAAAGAGGTTTAATTAACTTGCAGTTCTATGTGGCTGGGGAGACCTCAGGAAACTTACAATCATGGCAGAAGGTGAGGGGGAGGAAGGCACCTTCTTCACAAGGTGGCAGGAGAGAGCAAGAATGAGGAAGTGCCATACTTTAAAACGACCAGCTCTGGTGAGAACTCCCTTGCTATCACGAGAACAGCATAGGGAAAACCACCCCGATGATGCAGTCACTTCCCACCGATTCCCTCCTCTGACACGTGAGGATTACAATTAGAGATGAGATTTGGGTGGAGACACAGAGCCAAACCATATCACACGGTGATGGAGCCTTAGACCTGGGTTGCAAACTCAGGGATCCAACTCCAGGACCTGCTCTCCTCATTGTACATCTTCAACAGAAAACACTTAAAAGATTAGCTCTTAGGTTCTGAGTCTTGGCAGGCAATAGCACCTAGCCAGAATTTAATACCACTGTTTGGTTTTCATTGCATTTATTTTTACTTGAAATGATACTGGTTTTCTATTCACAGTAGTGATAAAAACTTCCTCTAAAAGTAAATGTGTTTATGTAAAAAGGTGATTATATTTAAAGAGAAAATATTAAGGAACTGTAAATGTGGTATGGATATAGCAAAAATAATGACAGTGGTGAAAGAATGTCCTGTATCTCCCATTAAGGCTAAGACACAGGGATATTTGTTGGTTATAAAGGCCGGTTTCCCAGGGCAAAGGGAAGCATAGATGAGTCTTAGGGGCACTCAGAAATGCCAAATGTCCCTCTGCATGTGTGTGGACTCAGAGACCAATGTGGTGGAGCTGAGAGCTGTAACGCAGTGATAGTGTTACATAGGGGAGGTTTCTCTGGAACATGGTAGAAAGGAGAGGTTTGACTGTGGCTAAGGAACGGGGCTGAAATTTAAGTCTTACACTGGGAAACGCCTGTACATCTCGTTTATGAGAGTTGACATGAAGCCTTCACTCTGTGCCAGACACTTTGTTTCACATCTCATTTAATCCTCACAGCGACTCCTGGACACTATGGTCCCATTTTACAGATGAGGACATTGAGACTTTGAAAAAAGTGAGTCATTTGTCTACGGTCACACATTTATGCATGTTTGTGAATGGTGGAGCCAGGACTTACATGCACAGATCCTGACTCCAGAGTCCCTTCTCTTAAGCCCTGCCTTATAGTTAATCATTAGCTGTATATACATATCTATCTTTCCTTTTTTGACCTCAGTGATCTAGTGGATCTAAGAAGAATCACTGATTTTTAGTTCAACTTTTTCCCGTGTCGGTTGGGCAGAAGTGATGATTTCCAAGCTTTTTCCATACTGGGCTAGAAACTGGAAATACCTCCTTCATTTTAAAAATGTAATTGCATAGGTTATAGAATTCCAGGTTGACACCTTGTAAAAAATTTTCTTATGGCACTTTAAAGATCTCACTGCATTTTCTTCTGAACTGCGTGATTTGAAGTCTCTTACAATGCTTACGATTGTTCCCTGTATGTAATGTGTCTTTTTTTTTTTTCCTCTGGTCGTCTTCAAGATTTTCTCTGTATCTCCTCTTTTGGGGCCAGAGTTGGAATCAACTCCCCTTGTCTCATTCATGCAGATAGGAACAAAGCAATTTGCTTTGGCAAATTGAAGTTACTTGTTCTTATCTACATTCAGTAAGAGGAGGGAAGTGTAGCGTTTGTTACTGCGGCATAACCCAGCCCATCCTGCCTATCTGATAGACTATCTGCCCTCCTTCAGATGGAAACCAAGGGGATGGCTTATGGAACAGGGCACAGCAATGAAAAGTTCTTCTGTGTAAAACCCAGCCCGCTGAAAATGAAAAAGTGTAGAGAGAGCAAGGAAGAAGATTCAGTAGAACAACAACAATAACAATGACCCAGTGAATCCTACCGAAGTCTCACAGCCCTTCTTCATTTGGCAAGAGCTGTAGCACTGCTGGATAATTAAGATGCATATGCCACCTGACATTAAGCAGCCTTTTGTGAACTGTTAATTAAGATTTAATCAGTCACATATTTTATTCTTACTGAATTAGAAGATTAGTGTTAATTTCTGGCAGGGTTCCCCTACTCCCTGTTGAAGGAAATCAATGTGTCCGAACGTAATTTAATGAGAAGAAGCTGGTTCCACAGTGAAAACAGGCTAGGGAGAAATTATCTTGACATTTTAGGTAATTCAGTAAGTCTGGCAAAACAGGCATGATTGACAAAGTCATTTCTTCCACCGAGGGAGTAGAAAGCACATTTCTGCAGATGAGTTAAGATTTTTGTGGTGAAAGAGCACAGTGAGAATTAAAGGTGGTGTAGATAAGGTGCCCCTCACCACCGTGTGTGGCTTCTGGACAAAGATGATCAATCGTGGATTTCTTACCCCTGGCTTAAGAGAAGGAAAACAACCAGAAGAGAGCAAAGGTGGGCAGACATGGGCTGGTATCAATGGGATACCCTTTGCAAGCCCTTTTCAGGTTGGATCTGGGGAAGGCCTGCCATTTTCAGGAAGTCTGCCTGGTTGGGAATACAGCAGGCATTTAATAAATGTATGTTGAATGAATAGGTCCAGAGAGGTGACTGTGTCTTCACAGACTATTGGGTGTCCCCCTACTAAGATTTGTGAAATGGCCGGGTGTGGTGGCTCACACCTGTAATCCCAGCACTTTGAGAGGCCGAGGTGGGTGGATCACTTGAGGTCAGGAGTTTGAGATCATCCTGGCGAACATAGTGGAACCGCATCTCTACTAAAAATACAAAAATTCGCTGGGTGTTGTGGTGTACGCCTGTAATCCCAGCTGCTGAGGAGTCTGAGGCAGAAGAATCACTTGAACCGAGGAGGCAGAGGTTGCACTGAGCTGAGATTACTCCATTGCACTCCAGCCTGGGCAACAAGAGCAAAACTCCATCTCAACAACAACAACAACAACAACAAATCTGTAAACTATGCAGAAATGTCCTTGAATGTGCCATGTGGTCTCACTGCATTAAAACCTTTTCTTATGCCCATCTTTAAAAGCAGGAATAATTAATGGTCAATAGTGTAGTTATTGGCAAGCATATTAGAGTGTTAGCTGTTTATGACAATGATGTTGAGTGATAATGGCAAGGCAGCTGGGGATAGAGTAGGCAGCCTGAGCCCTGGCCCTTGGGGGCATCTCGGTGGGAGGCAGGTGCGGTCACAGGTGTCTGAGAAGATGCACAGGGGAAATACGGAGGACCGGGGTGTTGTGTGAGGCATCAGGTCCGACGTGATCAAGTGCAAATGTAATGACTGAATTACGCCAGGAAAGACCAAATTATTGGTTACAGGACAGAGGGCAGGCCTGAATTCAGGAGATATTTCTTTCGGTGTAGACAGAGAGAGAGGCTGTTGTTAGAGGGTGTTTGGTCCTTGTCTGTGAGCTGGAATGTGAACCAGTTTATGGATTTATAGGACGAAGATGACTTCCTAACCACCCCGCCATACCTCCCTTGTCCTCGCTCCTCTCTCCCTTCCCCCTTCTTTCCTCCCTCTTCTGGCTTTCATTCGACTCCCTCTCCCAATGTTCCTTCATCCTTTATTTTCTTCCTTTCATCCCTCCCTCTCTCCTTTCCTTCCTTCTGCACGATTTATGGAGAACCTACAATAGTGTGATACCCTGGTTAGCAAAAGAGAAAGACTCAGACTTTGTCCTTGTGAACCTGGTCTACGGAAGAGATACCCAAACTGAGAATTACAGAATTCCAAGCAAACAATGCAGGAAGGGTGGTGCCCCAGCTCAGAGGTGAAGGCAGCCAGGAGAGTATCTAGTTGAGGCCTGAACTGGATTGGGGCGCTGAGGGCCAGGTAGGCCAGAGAGAGCAAGGTGGGGAAGGTACCTCACAGAGTCAGAGACCAGGCTGGAGCAATGACAGACCAGCTTACCTGAGCCCAGTGGGTTCTTAGAGTGTGCCATTGTTCCCTGGTGTGGAAGGCTGGATTTCTAGGGATGGTCTCTGTATTAGGGTTCTCTAGAGAAACAGAACTAATCAGATAGATGTTTATGTAAAGGGGAGCTTATTAAGGAGTATTGACTCACACGATCACAAGTTGAAGTGGTAGACGGCCATAGTAGGCCGTCTACAAGCTGAGGAGCAAGGAAGCCAGTCTGAGTCCCAAAGCTGAAGAACTTGGAGTCTGATGTTCAAGGGCAGGAAGCATCCAGCACGAGAGAAAGATGTGGGCTGGGGGAGGCTAAAGAAATCTAGTCTTTTCACATTCTTCTGCCAGATTTTTTTCTGGCAATGCTGGCAGCTGATTAGCTGGTGCCCACCCAGATTGAGGGTGGGTCTGCCTTTCCCAGTCCACTGGCACAAATGTTAATCTCCTTTGGTGACACCCTCATAGACACACCCAGGAACAATGGGTGTGTCTTTGCATCCTTCATTCCAATCAAGTTGATGCTCAGTATTAACCGTCACAGTCTCTGAGATCCCATGTCCCAAATCCTCAGAAGCTGTGAATGCGGTGAGACATCACTCCCATGGTTGAGTTCTTTTCTGTGGCAGGGCTCCCAGTGAGCCTCATCTGAACACAAAAGACCTGAAAGGCAGAGGGCTTTCTCTGGCTGCCAGCAGAAGGAGAAGTTGGAGAGATATGAAGCTTGGGAGGGGCTCAAAGTGCTGCTGTGGTTTGAAGATGGAGAAGGAGTGTGGGTGGCCCGTAGGAGCAGAGAGGGACCCTGGGTGATAGCACCAAGAAGACAGGGACCCTGGTCTTGCAGCCACAAGGAAAAGCAGCCCATGTGAGCTTGGAGGCAGGGTCTTTGCTGGTGTCTGCAGATACCAGCCCAGCTCAGCCGATATTGTGACTTGGGCCTGTGAGACCCTGGGAAGAGAGTCCAACTGAGTCCCCTGCCCATATAGCCTGCAGAACTGTGAGAGAGCAGACGGGTGCTGTTTCAAGCTGCCAGGTCTGCAGTAATTTGTTATACAGTGACGGGAAAGTAATATACTGGGCCTGGTCTGACCAGAGTCATACCCAAAATAATGCAATGCTGGTTTGGGGTCAATGAAGTAGATTTAAACAAACAAGGTGGATTTATGTTCTGCCTCTGTTTAATGTAGTTTGGTTGTTTTAGGTAACCAGGGAATAGTAAGAAAAATGGAAACTATTCAATATGCATATTTCCATCCTGTTGGAAGACAATTTCAAAATAACACCGAAGGTTTTTAATAAATATTCTCCACCACCCCCATATACACACACACACACACACACTCTCAGGTTCACACAGTCACACACACTCATACAGTCATACACACACACTCATACACTCATGTACACACAGACTGCATCCACTTTGTTTTTTTTGTTGTTTGTTTTTTGTTTTTTTGAGACAGGGTCTCACTCTGTCATCCAGGCTGGAGTGCAGTGGTGCAATCATGGCCCACTGCAATCTTGACCTCCCCAGGCTCCAGCGATCCTCCTACCTCAGCGTCCCCCAACCCTGAGTCTGCAGGACCCTGAGTTGCTGGGACTACAGGCGTGCGCCACCATGCCTGGCTAATTTTTGTATACTTTTGGTAGAGATGGGGTTTCACCATGTTGCCCAGGCTGGTCTCAAACTCTTGGCCTCAAGCGATTCACCTGCCTCAGCCTCCCAAAGTCCTGGGATTCCAGGCATGAGCCACCATGCCCAGCCATCGTCTACCACCACCTCCTCTTCCTCCTCCTCCTCTCCCTCCCTCCCCCTCCTCCTCTCCCTCCTCCTCTGCCTCCCTCCACCCCTCCTCCTCCCCCTCCCCTTCCTCCTGCTTTTCCTCCTCCTCCTTTTCCTCCTCCTTCTTCCCTTCCTCCTCCTCCTCCTCCTCCTCCTTCCTTCTTCTTTTTTGAGACTGGAACTTGCTTTGTCACCTAGGCTGGAGTGCAGTGGTGCAATCTCAGCTCACTGCAGCGTCCGCCTCCTAGCTTTAAGTGATTCTCTCACCTTAGCCTCGAGAGTAGCTGGGACAACAGGCATGGGCCACTACACCTGGCTAATTTTTGTAGTTTTTGGTAGAGATGAGGTTTCACCATGTTGACCAGGGTGGTCTCGAAATCCTGACCTCAAGTGATCCCCTGCCTCAGTCTCCCAAAGTGCTGGGATTCCAGGCCTGAGCCACTGTGCCCGGCTATCATCCACCTTCTTCTTAAATGAAAGAATGGGATTCTGTGAAGGCAGCAGCCTGAGTCTGGCTTCTTTCTCCTCTACTTCTAAACCTAATCCACTCACCTCTGCTGAGCCAAATGGCAGCTTGGCCTTGGGGGTGTCCACGTGCAAGTGTGGCTTTGACTTTTCCAGTTCCAGTAGAGAGAATGGGGTGAGTTAGGATGTCATGAGTCTCAGGAGGATCTTGGCCCTGAGGAGGTAAGGGAAGCCCTGCAGGGGGACTCGAGTGAGGCTCCTTGGCCCAGGGAGCCCAAGAAGAAAATCAATCACCCCCACCCCGGGAGGACCTGGGAACACAGAGGCTCCAGAGCCAGGCTTATTTTATTCTTTAATTATTAAAAAAGACATTTGAGTGGCAAAACAGATCCTGAAGTCAGTAGCTGAATAATAGTCTTGGAAGATATTTTGCAAAGAATATGCAAATAACCCTTACTCATCCAGATGAGCCTAAGAAACCCAATAGAAAAATGGATATGGAGAGGCCGTTGTTGGGTGAGCAAATCCAGACGGCACCGGCACACGTGAAGGCATGCTCGTGGTTAGGGACATGAAAACCCAAACTCAATATCATTTTTTAGCTGTGTGAGTGTCAAGAATACGAAAAGAGCCATGATGCCTACTGCTAGTGGGAATAAGGGAGAAAGGGTGTCTATACACTTGCTCAAAGTGAAGGGTTTTCTTTAAAAGCAATTACGCAGTACCTGTTAACTGAAAATAACAAAAACCTGTTGACTCAGCCATCTTGCTCCTGAAAATCTAGCCCATGCGAATAAAAGTACTAGTAAGCAAAGATGTATGTTTTAGGATGCTGAATATGGCATTGTTTGTAGAGGAAGAGAGAGAGGGAGAGGGAGGAAGGAGAAAGGTGGAGGAGAGAGGAGGGAGAGGGAGAGGGAGGAGGAGCAGGGAGAGGGAGGAGGAGCAGGGAGAGGGAGATTAGAGGAGAAGGGAGGGAGAGGAGGAGGGAAAATGTAGCAAAGGGGAAGAGGAGAACGTGGAGGAGGAGGGAGAAGGAGGGAGCAGGGAGGAGCAGAGAAGAGAAATGAGGAGGAGGGAAGAGGCGTAGGGAGAGGAAGGAGGAGGGAGAGGGAGTATGATGGAGAGGGAACATGAGGGAGAGGGAGGGGGAAGAAAGGAGGAGGGAGCGGGAGGAGGTGAGTAAAGGAGGAGGTGAGGAAAGGAGGAAGGGCGCATGAGGGGGGCAGGGAGGGGGAAGAAAGGGGAGGAGGAGGGGGAGAGGGAGGAAGCGAGGACAGGAGGAAGAGTGAGAGGGTGGAGGGACAGGGAGGAGGAGGGAGAAGGATTGGGAGGAAAGAGGAGGAGGGGGAGGGAGAGGGAGCAGGAAGGAGAGGGATGGGGAGGAAAGAGAAAGAGGAGGAGGGAGAGGGAGCAGGGAAAGGGATGGGGAGGAAAGAGGAAGAAGATGGAGAGGGAGAAGGGAGAGGGAGTGGGAAGAAAGAGGAGGAGGAGGAGGGAGTGGGAGGAGGAGGGAGGAGCAGAGAGAAGGAGGAGAAAGGAGGAGCAGGGAAGATGAGTAGGGAGTGGGAGGAGGAAGGAGGGGAGGAAAGAGGAGGAGGGAGAAGGAGGATGAGGGAGAGGGAAGGGGGAGGAAAGAGGAGGAGGAGGGAGAGGGAGGAGTGGGGAGAGGGAGGAGGGGAGGAAGGAGGAGAAAGGAGAGGGAGGAAGGGGAGGGAGGAGTGGGGAGAGGGAAGAGGGGAGGAAAGAGGAGGAGGAAGGAGAGGGAGGAAGAGGAAGGAGGAGGGAGAGGGAGGAAGGGGAGGGAGGAGGTGGAGAGGGAGAAGGTTGAAATAATTATGGACTCAAGAAGTTACAACAGTAGTAAATAGAGTCCCATGAATATTTTCCTCCGCTTCCCCCAAGGTGACATCTTGTACAACTATAGCCCAGTATCACTATCAGGAAAGTGACATTGGTGCCATCTGTTCACTAAACCACAGACCCTGTTCACTGTCACCGGTTTTCACCTGCACATATTTGTGTGTGTGGTTCTCTGTGGTTTTCTCTGATGTATAGATTTATGTAACAACAAATGCAACCAAGATTCAGAACTGTTCGATCACCACAGAATAACTACCATGTGATATCCCTTTATCCTGGCTCCCTACGCCATCCAACAGGGAGCATTTTGAGCTTCCGCCACCACCTGTCTCATGGTGAAGGGGCCACAGATGCCAGGCCTACCCTGGGCTGTTGCTGCGTGTCTCTGAGGCCATTGCTGCGTGTCTGTGAGGCCATTGCTGCCTGTCTGTGAGCAGGGGCGGCCCATCCTGCCTGTGCTGCTGTCTTATTGATATAATATCTTCTTTTACAAATCTATCTTGCTGTCTGCTCTGTCCCCCCTTCCATTGACGATTGTACCTTTGAGTGGCTCATAGAATCATCTTGTGAAATTGGCTCTTTTTATAAATCATCCTCTCCCTGTTTCGTGTTGCATCCAACCTGATTTTGGCATAAAGGGCTCTTGTTGTCTTCTCGAGCTCCAGTGGCCAGGCTCATTGAGGCCAGGCATTGCCTTTTGTTCAAGCATCTCAGAGTAGTTTAGAAAATAAAATGCATTTCTCTGACAACCTTGTGAGGTTTTCTGGGCATTATTACCCGAAGCTCGGGGCTTTGCAATTCCCATTTCTCAGCAATCTAAGGATAAAGAAGGAGAAATCAACCAACCCTCACTGTCCTAGGGACCCCTCGTGTTTCCTGGCCACCTTCAGATTTATGTATTTGTTTATCCCCACTATGTGCCTCTCAGTAGCTATTCAATCAGTAATCCCTCATGGTTAATAAACTAAAGAGCTGGAGAGTGTGCACTCTCTCTCTCGTTCTCTCTCGTTTGTTGAATTTCTTAGCACACTGTGAACAGTGAACATCTGCTGAATTGCATTGAGAGACAGCGCCACCTAATTTTGATCAAAATCGTGTTTATTATAACTTGCCCATGCAGGTTTCACTGATTCAGAGTTCATTGACAGGCTGTGTAGTTTATCAGTGTGGTGTCTTGGAACAAGACTGGGCGAGCTCCATCACCTTGGGCAATTTGCTTAATCTTTCTGAACTCTGTCCCCACCGTTAGTCTGTAAAATGGACATGCTAACATTATGAGAAGCAAAGGAAAAGATAGGCCAGGGGCCCAGCACTTACGAGGATTCTAAAGATGGGTGGCGTTTTACTTTTTTTTTTTTTTTTAGCGTTTATTTTATAGCTAACGCATGCAGGGCTTAATACCTAGGTGATGGGTTGACAGGTACAGCAAACCACCATGGCACACGTTTATGTATCTAACAAACCTGCACATCCTGCACGTGTATCCTGGAACTTAACTATTTTATTTTAGATTCTGAGGGCGCACGTGTGGGTTTGTTACATGGGTCAGTTGAATATTGTTGGGGTTTGGTGTATGAATGATCCCATCACCCAGGTAAGTAGGAAGTCCAGGCTCATGGTGTCTGTTTTCTCTTCTCCTCTCCTCTCCTCTCTTTCTTTCTTTCTTTCTCTCTCTCTCTTCTTTCTTTCTTTTTTTTCTTTCTTTCTTTCTTTCTTTCTTTCTTTCTTTCTTTCTTTCTTTCTTTCTTTCTTTCTCTCTCTTCTTTCTTCCTTTGTTTCTTTCTCTTTCTTTCTTTCTTTTCTTTTCTTTTCTTTTCTTTTCTTTTCTTTTCTTTCTTGATTCCTCCCTCCCTCCCTCTCTCTCTCTCTCCTTCCTTCCTTTCTTATCTATCTATCTATCTATCTATCTATCTATCTATCTATCTATCTATCTATCTATCTTGAGACAGAGTCTCACTGTGTTGCCCAGGCTGGAGTGCAGTGGTGCGATCTTGGCTCACTGCAACCTCCGACTCCTTGGTTCAAGTGATTCCCCTGCCTCAGCCTCCTGAGTAGCTGGGATTATAGACGTGCACCACCACGTCCAGCTAATTTTTGTATTTTTAGTAGAGATGTGGCTTTACCATGTTGGCCAGGCTGGTCTCGGACTCCTGACCTCATGATCCGCCCACCTTGGCCTCCCAAAGCGCTGGGATTACAGGCATGAGCCACCGCGCCCGGCCAGCATGTGTGTTTTCTATGCTAAGTCCCCAAACGTACTGGATGATGGAGATCTCCTCCCTGCCATAGCCCCCAAGTCTCTTGGTAAGTTGATGACCTCCAGGGAAAGAGGACCCAGAGATGCTATTTACCAAATTGGGCCATCGTGCAAAATCAGCCATGTGACTCCCCTCCTTTCTTGTGGATTCCCACATCCAAGAAAGAGAGAACGTGTCCTTTCTCTTTGAATACGGGAAATAAGTCTGGCTGAGCAGGGCCAGATTTGTGGAGAAGAAGGGGTGGTGCAGGGGCAGGGGAGAGTGGCAAGAGGTCTTTCATGGAGCAAGACCCATGCACCTGCTGGTCCACACTGTCCTCAGGTTCCCACCTCTTCCAGATCACCTGGAACCCCCCACGTCCCTGAAAGCTGGGCTTGGCGAGAGTTGGGCGGGCTCATTCCAGCTCTTAGAGGTAAGCTTTCTGCTCCTGGTAGAACCCCAAACGTCAAATCCTATGTCTGCAGCGGTGTGTGCCTTTCATAGGCCCCAGTGCAAACACAACAGCGGCTTTAGCTTCCTTTCACCCCTGGAAGGAGAGAGTGTGCAGGGACAGGAAGTCTGGAGTGGAAGTGCTGCTGGTGGAAGGCATGGAAACGGAACCCAAAACACAAAACAGAAACAAATGAAATCCTCTGAGTCTCCTTCCAAATCGATTTCACATTCAGGTGAAATCCAAAGATGCTGTTTTCCCTAAAGTGAGTCCATTCTTCATGGAAGAGGAAATAATGACTCTGAACCTGCCCGGTGCAATTGCGGGGCACGTTTGGACTTGTGTGGAGTGGTCCCACTCAAAGTAGGTGTTGGAAGGAGCTGGCAGAGACCCACACCTTCACGGGATGTATGCAGCACCCCCATTCCTGATCTGATTCAGGATGTCTGTAAGCAGGAGGGTTGCTGAATGTTTTTATTTTTTATTTTTGGAAATGAATAAATAATTTAAAAGCATTAGATAAAAGCACCAATTCCATTGAACCTAAAAGACTAAAACCGTACCCAGCGTTTGCAGCCACCGCCAGGGTGTCTGTCAATAACGGAGGGTCTGGAAGAGGTGACCCCTCAGGTCAGCACAGAGCCACGTGCTTCTCTCCAGGGATGCCACAGACTGTGCAAAAACACTTTCCCTCTTTTTGTTACTGATTTCTTTGCTGGAGGAAATGGCTGTTACCTGCTCAGCACTTAATCCGGAGCCATCCCTTTACCAGCCTGTTTCCTACTAAAATTGACTCTCTCTGGAGAGGGAACAGCTGCTTCTTGTGGCTGTTTTTTCTGTTATCGCTCCAGGGAAGAGGGCAGAGAAACTTCTCCTGATTGACCCCAGGGGAGAGAGAGGCTACTTGCTGGCCAAGTGCTGGCTACCATTAAATATAACAACAGTAAAAACAGACATCTGGAGATCAGACCAGGTGGTTAAACAACGCAGTGATGCAGGGGCTGCAACCATCCCTGCTTTACAGGTGAGAAAATTGGAGCCCAGAGCCCTGTAGTCACCTGCCCAAGATAACTCCCTTGTAAGTGGTAAAGGCAGGGTTCAAATTCATATCGGCTTCCAGCTGAGTGTAGGGCCCTCAGCACCCAGCTCCTTTCATGCCACCTCCTCTGTTTTTTTGGCTTTTACCTCATGGTGTCTTATACATCAGGCCTGGGCCCCCTGCCATCCACTGTCCCTTCCCTGTCATCCTGATGTGTCCGCAGATGCTGTGTTCTGGAAGTAAGGTTGGAGCCCTTGAGTGGGCTCACCAGAGAATTAGGATTCACCAGAGAATGAGTACCATCAGATGTGTACCTGTGTACATCAAAAGAGATTTATTTTAAGGAATTGGCTCATGCAGTTAAGGAGAATAGCAAGTCTAAAACCTGCAACGTGGCTGGGCACGGTGGCTCATGCCTTTAATCCCAGCACTTTAGGAGGCAGAGGTGGGTGGATCACCTGAGGTCAGGAGTTCAAGACCAGCTTGGCCAGCATGGTGAAATCCTGTCTCTACTAAAAATACAAAAATTAGCCAGGCATAGTGGCACGTGCCTGTAACCCCAGCTACTGGGAAGGCTGAGGCAGAAGAATTATTTGAACCTAGGAGGTGGAGGTTGCAGTGAGCTGAGATCTTGCCATTACACTCCAGCCTGGGCAACAGAGTGAGACTCTGTCTCAAAACAAAACAAAACAAAACAAAACAAAACAAAACAAAACAAATCACCCTGCAAGGTAGTTGGACAGGCTGGAGGCTCAGGACATAGACAAGGTTACGATTCAAGCTCAAAGGCCGTCTGCTGTAAGAATTTCCTCTTGCTCCCGAGAGGTCAGTCTTGTTTTGCTCATGCCTTCACCTGATTGGATGGGGCCCACCCACATTAGAGAGTCAACCTGCTGGACTCAAAGTCCACGGATTTCTCTGTTAATATCATACAAAACTACCCTCCCAGAAACATCCAGAATACTGTGTGACCATCTATCTGGGCATCGTGGCCCAGCCAACTTGATGTACACAATTAACCATCACAGGTAGAGTCAGCACCCGCTGGAAACTCTTGACGAGAAGCTGCTGCCATCCACACTGACATTGTGGGTCTGGATGCTGCGGTATTAATTGTTACACTGTGTAGGTAGCTTTGCCCTGTGGGCCCTGTCTCCTGAGGCAATAGAAAGCACCCCTGGGGGTGGCTCTGGAAGGGTGTGTGTGTGTGTGTCTGTGTGTGTGTGTGTGTGTGTGTGTATGTGTGTATGTGCATACACACAAACACAATGCATGCATTTGGAGTCCTTACTGAACTTCCCCATGGCAGAAATGTACCCCAGGCAAACCTTGAGAAGCCAGAGAGGTACAAACTTGCTATTGCTTGCTATAAAATGATTCATGATGAGGTTCAAGCATCCAGCACAGTTCCTATCACACAATGGTTACACATGTAGAGTTGGGTAAATGAAAGATTTTTTAAGTAGGAGGCGTCCCCAACAGTCCTTTTTCAACAGTGGCCGAGTGGACACTAAGTGCCAGGTGCTGATGTAAGCTAAACCCCTGGGGAATTGCAGTGTGGCTGAGAGATATGCATTCTAGTAGAGGAAGCACAGAAAAACAAGTCATCAGGCAAATAGGTAAGATGCTTTCAGATTGTCCTGAGCACCACGGAGACAAACAGGCAGCTGAAAGAGGAGACCAGGAAGGACTGACGTTAGCCGGGGAGATCTGGGAAGGCTTCTTGGAGGAGGTGATGTTTAAGCTGAAACCTGGAGGGTGAGGAGGAGCTGGCCAGTGGACATCTGGGGGAAAGTGTAGACAGATGGTACATTACATGGAGAGGAGGCCAGGAGGTTTCTGGGTTGGAGAAATTGAGTATAACTTGCTATGTAACAATTTGTAATGACATATGATTTTTTTGGGGACTGTAGCTGAGTTGGGGACCAAGTGCTCAGGCAGAGGCATATGGAAGCCTTTTTTTCCATAGGACAGTCACTGTTTTGTTCAAATATTTACTCAGTAAGGTATAAGGTGATCTTTATGGCTTGTCTCGATGTGAGCAGTGCAGGGGCTTTTCCTCTCTTCCTAACAACCCTCCGACCTGTGGCTTTTTAAATGGAAGTACCAGGGAGGTTCCACCCGCTACGAAGTTGCTAGGCTCTCCTGGCCCTCTGGTGGCGAAGGGGACCAGGAAAACCAGCCCTGCACTGGGTCAGTTTCCCTCCTGCCTCTCTGCCTGACTCAGCCCTGCAGTGTTTTCTTTTCACTCTGTTAAGTCCCTTCCAGCCAGAGCCTTTACATAATGATCTATCCACAGTAATCTCTTTGCTTAAGCCAGTGACTCGGAGTGAGCTGGAGGTGGGGCAGGTATTCAGCTCTCTGGGACTGCTGGCCCTCTGAGAGTCCAGGCCTTTGCGGTTTGGGTTCATAAGGATTTCTCCGCACTGGGTTCACTTTGCCCCATAAACTCTCCCAGCCGTCAGAGGCTCAGGCCTTAGGCGGGACTCGGGGGAGAGTGAGTTTCTGATTGACTTGACATTTGTGGAAGGGTTTCTTCAGAAATGGCAAGGCTCCTTGGTCTCAAGCATCTGATTGATTTTGAGGGGCCTGTGGGGTCCTGGGAGAGGGACCCAAAGCACAGCCAAGACAGGGACCATTCCGATAACAGCTCCAGGCTTCCAAGCTGGCTCGCAGGTGGAATAGTTGTGCTCGCAGCATGTGGTTCAGCTCTGAGTCTACCAGAATGAGGTGTGGGTGGCACAAAGGCCTGGATAGTTCAACCCTACCTCTGAGGGGCCATTATCCCTCCTTCAAAACCGTCTCAAATACATCACTGTGCCATAATTCTGCTGCTGTCAATAAGCCAGTGGCAGTGTTTGGCCTGCTGTGGCTGATGGAGTGATTTAGTAATCGTCTATTGGCCTCCTTCTGTGGCCCACAGCCTGTGCTAGGGGCTCCGGCTGTGTCAGTGAATGAAACAGTCCCAAATACCTGCCCTCCTGAAGCTGACATCCTTGTGAAGGTTTTCCTAAAAATTCTTCACTCTGAAGGTTTGTGGTGCACTTCTTCATTTTGCTTATCACTGAAGGAGGCAGAGAGGAGGCTGTTACTATCTCAAGAACTTTGCAAAAGGAGTTTGGTTTTATGTTTAGAGGCTTCAAGCATACATTCACTCATTCATCAGTAAGTATTTATTGAGCTCCTCTGACAAATTCTCCACTGACCATCAGCTGGGGGGATACAGGGAGAAGGGAAGCAGGAAAAAGTCCCTCTCTTCATGGACGGACCAGCCAGGAAGGTCGATGGCAAGCAGATAATGACACAGCTAATTACAGCTGTGGCCATTGCAGGAAATGGCAGCAGGTGGTGGGGCCTGACCTGGGGGTCAGGGGAGGCCTCTCAAAGTGACACCTGAAAGATAAATGGGAGTTAGCTGGGAACAGGCCAGTAGGAGAAAATTGCATGTGCAAAGGCCCTGTAGTAGAAAGGGAGGCATTTGAGAAACAGTGGGAGGGAGAGGTGCTGAAACATGGTGAGACAGGGAGGGCAGGTGATATGAGAGAGCTGGGGCTGGAGCTGGAGGAGGCAGAGCCTGGGAGGCGTTGGGGTTGGGGAAGAGCACCCAGGAACGGAAGGAGCATCTTGCGGCGAGCAAGGCGGTTCATGAACCTGTCCAGGATTTAAACGCTAAGCCCACCTGCAGGTGTGAAGTGCAGAGTATCAGTTAGGTTGACTCCAGACACTCAGTGATCAGAGCTCAGGGCCAGCTCAGGGCCTGGTCAAGGTATTTTTAGGTGTAAGCAGTATTATGTATAAACTTCCTGCTGCGCCAAAATGATCAGACCAGACGCCTCATTGTAGTAATATAAGTATTTTGCAATAGCCTTTGCAAAAGGCAAAGTATTTTGCAATAGTCTTTACTGCCCTGAGAAACATACAGATACAACAGCCAACCTTTACACATAGCCTCCAAAGAAGTTTTGCCCTGGTATAAAGGAGAAATAAAAAGAGACAGTTTATAATAGAATCCTACATACTTCAGTGGGGACCTGCTCAGTAACACCGCAGTGCATAATAAGGTGACTGGTCCCCCATCTACTGCTAATGGATATTGGGAGTTAAGAGAAGGATGGCAGGAGCCTACTGAGAATTGGTGACACTCTTTCTCCGTAGTGACATTTTGGGACTGGAGCCACCATAGAGTGCTGTGAGTTTATAGGAACGTGTAAGTCCGCAGTCACCCTGAGTGTGACAGCTACTGAGGCTGTTGTGTTGGTGTCCTGATGACTTGGATTGTGTTGTCGGAGATAACTCGATTCTCCAAAAATGCTGAATAGCCTTTCGTAAAGTTCTGAATGGCACAAACTGCAGTCTTCTTTTTGCGCATGTGAAAAATCCAGTGTCTATTTCAACCGTGCAGAAATACTTGGTAAAATTTTAAAAGTTAGGGTCTGGGTTACAGTAATTCTAAGCTGGCTTATTTTATTTATTTATTTATTTTTGAGATGGAGTCTCGCTCTGTTACCCAGGCTGGAGTGCAGTGGCATGATCTCGGCTCACTACAACCTCCGCCTCCTGGGTTCAAGCAATTCTTCTGCCTCAGACTCCTGAGTGGCTGGGATTACAGGCACCCACCACCATGCCCGGCTAGTTGTTGTATTTTTACTAGAGACGGGGTTTCACCATGTTGGCCAGGCTGGTCTCGAACTCCTGACCTTGTGATCCGCCCGCCTCAGCCTCCCAAAGTGCTGGGGTTACAGGTGTGAGCCACCGTGCCCAGCCGCTGGTTTATTTTTTATTATTATTTGCCACTGCGATTGTCTTGCGGGACTACCCATAGTCATGCAGAAGATGGCAAGTTTGCTTTTTGTGTGGGTCTGTCTCTTATGCTGCAGGAAGCCTGGCCTCTAAGTCCCTCACAACACCCAGTGCTGTTTGTCCCCCTAACATCCAAAATCGTCCCTACAAATTTCCAGAGCTTCCTTCACGGAGCGGTACCTTCCCTGCTGAGGACCACAGTTCCAGTAGGATTCGAATCCTCTGACGGACAACGGAGACTTTTTGGGGGTGTTGAGGGGGGTGTCTGCAGATCAAGTCCGTTGGCCTAGTGGGGTGAGAAGGAGGTAAATTGTGGCCACAGTTGGTTCTCTCCTGGAGGTAATAAAGACGCCCCTTTTGGGGACTGCACAGCCCTGAGACTTTGAGGTTCAGGCCAAGGGAGCCCCTTCTAGGGCCATGGGTGGTCTCTGTGGAGGGAAAATCCACCAGGATTGGCACAGCGAGGTGTGGACATCACAACCATTAGAAATCTGAAAAACACAATTCTGAAAGCATGGGACAGAATCAAATCGGCCTGTAAAAATAAAAACATGGTTACAGTAAAAATGAGATGAAATGGGAAAAGGCAGGCCTCGCCGCAAGAAGCCTGTTGTTGCCGCTAACCAAATTAGTCATCGTAATAGCCCTGGCGTGAAGCTCTCGACTGCTCCGTGCCTCCGCCGGCCCCTGTAATTTAACTAGAAGACGCACCCGTATTTATTGTCCGTCATTATCCCTTGTCTATTGCTTTTTATTGGTGTTGGATTAAGTTAAAGGCTCTTATTTTCTATGATTTCCCAATTTATCGTCTTACCTTACAACTGGGGAGTTTTTTTTTTTTTGTTTGTTTGTTTTTTTTTTTTTTTGGTTTTTCACTCTTTTTCCTCTCTAGCAAAAATAAATGGGTAAAAAAAAAAATCACTTCGCTTTTTTCTGGTATCAGAGAAGACATGGCAGGTCAAAGAGGGCTGACTGTGGGTGCCCAGGCTCCGAGTTTATGGGGGGCCCTCCTCAGCTGTCAGTTAGTGTTCTCCTGTCTTTCCCACAGATTAATGAGGCCCGTATTTTTCTTTGTTTCTTTTCTTTTCTTTTTTTAAGACAGGGTCTTACTCTGTCTCCTGGGTTGGAGTGCAGTGGCGCAATCTCGGTTCACTGCAAATTCCATCTCCCAGGTTCAGGTGATCCTCCCATCTCAGCCTCCTGAGTAGCTGGAATTATAGGCCCACACCACCACTCCTGGCTGATTTTTGTATTTTTAGTACAGACAGGGTTTCACCATGT
Organism: Homo sapiens; assembly: GCF_000001405.40. Taxonomy (NCBI): domain Eukaryota; kingdom Metazoa; phylum Chordata; class Mammalia; order Primates; family Hominidae; genus Homo; species Homo sapiens. The sequence continues at coordinate 5,432,990 of NC_000016.10, forward strand.
TGGCCAGGGTGGTCTCAAACTCCTGACCTCAGGTTATTCCAGGTTAAATGTTTATTACATGGATGGATGGAAAACGCAGGAGACCGAAGACGTTAGAGAGAAGACAACAACCCTGAGCTTCCACTGTGCAGAGTCACTGTTTCTCAGCTTCCCAAAGTGCTGGGATTACACGTGTGAGCCGCTGTGCGTGGCTGAGGCCCATGTTTTTCTTTGCCTCCTTGATTCTCTTGGAAGCTGTTACGGTGCAGGAGGAGTTTGTGGACATCTTGAAAGGAGGCCCCTTGACTGCAGGCCTGTCTCTTGTGAGAACTTCACAGCAGGCATCTTCTGGGGGCTCCTCCTTCCTGCTCTCTGCCTCCTCTTTTCGCTCCTGGCTGGGGGTGAGAATTTGAAGCCACATGCGTGCTGCACTTGGTCACTCTGGCCAGTTGTAGCTCAAGACTGTTTGAGTGGCAAGATTCCAACCCTAGCCTGAAAATAGGATTATAGCTCCTGATGGCATCTTTGAGGAGGGCAGAAATGTTGACCTCCAGTCTCTTGCAAATGGGAGGGAGGCAGAGTAAGTGAGTGACACAAAGAGAGGGACACAAAGAGATTTTAAAAATAGCATCTATTTTATCCCAATTACAAAAATAATGTATGCATTTATTGCACCCTTTCTTTGTGTGTGGCATTTGTCGCAATTACAACGAATAAATGAATGAGTCATTTGCTGAATAACTGCTTTCCCTCTCCTTTCCTCCCCTCCCTGCTCCATGGGAGATTCCGTAGCGTAAGGTGTCAGGCCCTTCTTGTTCACCGCTGCTTCCCCAGCATCTAGCATGGTGCATACCAGCACAGTAAGCGCTCAATACATGGTTATTACATGGATGGATGGAAAACGTAGGAGACCGAGGACGTTAGAGACAAGACAACAACCCTGTGCTTCCACTGTGCAGTCACTGTTTCTCAGTCCAGGCTGCATGTTCGAATCACCTGGGGGAGTTTGTTAACCACTCCTGGGTCCACCCCAGTCCTATCCAGTCTGAATTTTGAGTTGGGGTAGGGGCGGGGAGAAGGGGGTGTCTGACATCAGAGCCTTGCAAAACTCTCAGCTGACTGTAATCTGCAGACCTGTACAGAACCTCTGATGCATGTCCTGCCAGTCATAGCTGCGTTTTGTTTTAACATTACATTATTGTTGTAAGAGTAAAACATTCATTTGCTGTGCAAATCAAGGAGTGGAGAAGGATGAGGCCTTAGCAAAATGAGGCCTTAGAAGAGAAATATTCCCCTGGGCTTCCATCCCCAGACACACGCATCAGAGGGAGCCATCTCTGCTGAAGTCCTTTTTTTTTTTTTTTTTTTTTTGAGGCAGGGTCTTACTATGTTACCCAGGCTGGAGTGCAGTGGCATGATCTTGACTCACTGCAACCTCCACCTCCCAAGTTCAAGCGATTTTCCTGCCTTAGCCTCCTGAGTAGCTGGAATTACAGGCATGCACCACCATGCCCAGCTAATTTTTGTATTTTTAGTAGAGATGAGGTTTCTCCATGTTAAGCTGGTCTCAAACTCCTGACCTCAAGTGATCTGCCCGACACAGCCTAACCAAAGTGCTGAGATTACAGGCAAGAGCCACCATGCCCAGCCTTGTTGTGAGTTCTCCTTCGTGCCTCTAAATTGTGTGCTAATAACCTTATTTCTTCGTTATCTGTTTAAAATCCTGCATCTCTTGACTCTGTCATGAAATGTAAGGGATTTAGCTTATTTGCAATACCTTGTCCTTTGTCTTATCTGGCTATACCCTGACTTTGCATAGTTATATAACTAATATCATTTATTCTCTTGGTTACCTGCCTAATGTTAAATAGTGACCTTAAGCCTCCAGTTTTCACTGGCTTTACATAGCATGTCTTGATTCCCCACAAAGGTAAGATAAAAAAAAAAATTTAAGGCTGTAGCATTTCCCTCCATCTCTTTCCTCCTGCTATTAATTTCACATTATCAAGGTTTACAATATTCCCATTTTCTCCTGTGACTGTCCTTGCCACCCAAGCTTTGTTTATAGATTGATTTTAAAAATTGCAAAAGCAGTAAATGATATTTGTTGTAGAATAAATAATGCAGTTAGACTGAAGAGTAGGAAATGACCCTGAATTATCTGTTTCTTCTCTAGCAACTCACCTGATTCTTCCCTGTGGTTCCCCCTGTTTACGCTCTTGGTGCTTCTCAAGTAGCTGGTGATGGGTGCTTCTCCATATGCGTCTATGAAGAAAAGGTTAAACTGATATGTGCAAACAGCTGGTGTGGGTTTCCTCTGCTGCATGTGGATCTGTTTCCCCACCAGACCTCCCTTCTGAATTGGAGGGATGTTTGTGGGGTGTGTGTGTGTTGGGGGTGTCATCTGTGAGGCTTTGCTTTAGAATGTGTAGGAGTGGAGCTTAGAGGGAGACTGGTCAATCCCTTCCCAACGCCAACATGAGTAGGGCTATCCTGAAGGGAAAAAACAGCCCACTACGATCCCTGGATCTCCCTCTGTAAGATGGGTCAGTGTCTTCAGTAAACATCTTTCTAGTTCCAGTGTTCGGGCAAATGTCGTCACCACCCACTGAGACACAGGTGGGACCCAGGAGGGCCACCTCACTCTGTCTAGTTCTTGCGTCACCATAGGTCCCATGTTTATGGTTTCCAGGGAATTTGGGAAGTCAGGGAAGGGAAACATGTGATCTCAAGCTGCCATATTGAAGTGTCTAGTCTCTTTCTCTGGTCAGAGCAATTGCATAATTGCTTTATCTATGTCACTAAACATTCTCTGGCACATAATTTTTAAGATCACATAGCATTCCACTGTGTGGATAACTGTGCATAATCTATTCAGTTAGTCCTCCATTTGTGGTTGTTTCTGTTATTTTCGACTATCAACAGAGCTGCGGTGAACAACCCGATTGCTTAAAATCTAGGTACACACCTTTGATTACTTCCTTAGGAATTTGAAGTCTTTGAAGATTTTAAGCACATAGCTCTAGCTTGCCCCTCATAGGGAAGGATTTTAAAGATTGAAGTCTAAGGTGAGATACAAACTAAAACAAGCCCGTCTTCATATTTGGCCTCCCAGTGGGAGCAATCCAGGAGGGGAGGGGGCAGTCCTAGAGTCATTATGGCACAAGGAGACACCCATTGCTCCCTCATGCCTTTCTCTGGGGAGAGACACTTCAATGCTCTGATCCCTGCCTAGGAGGCCTCAAAAGGGGGCTCGTGACTCAGACTTACCTGTGTTCCTTTTCTTCAACAGTGACAACGACAAATAAACCATTTGGTCATTTGGTGCCCTTGGTTCCAAGTTGTGGGCACTGGTTTTGGTGGATTAGTTCAGGGGCTACAGAAGAGACAGGGTGAGAAAACCACCATCACTCTGCATGGCTGAGTGATTTACACTCATACAAAGCCTGGTCTTCTATTCTCTAAGCTCTTTGCATTCAGGCCACATTACTAAGAAGTACTTCTCTTGCAGAGATAAGGGAATCCTCAGAACTCGTCTTTTTTACATCTAAAACAGAGTTTCATTTGAAATGCCAGAAGAAAATAATTCTGGCCAGGCATGGTGGTTCATTCGTGTAATCCTAGCAGTTTGGGAGGCTGAGGGTGGGTCACTTCAGGTCAGGAGTTTGAGACCAGTCTGGCCAACATGGTGAAACCCCATCTCTACTCAAAATACAAAAATTAGCTGGGTGTGGTGGTGGATGCCTGTAATCCCACCTGTTTGAAAGGCTGAGGCACGAGAATCACTTGAACCCAGGAAGCGGAGGTTGCAGCGAGCTGAGATTGTGCCATTGCACTCCAGCCTGGGTGACAGAGCAAGACTCCGCTTCAAAAAAAAAAAAAGTTCTGTCAGATAACTTAAATTTTTGCCTTGAATATTTAGTTTCATCCCAAGCCATGTCAATATGTCAGTCTCAAGAGTCTTTTCCCCCATAGAGAGAGGTTTCCTGTCTTTGATTTGTACCTGCCCCCATGACTGGCAGAAAGGGCTGTTGTTTACTCTGATATGTCTACAGGCTGCAAGAGACAGGCTTTCTGATGGGTTAATCCTCATATCTAGAGTGTAGACTGAACTTTTGGCTATATTGCATGATCACATTGTGAACTTTTATAAATTGTAGTAAGAAAATGCATTGACTTGGAATTCTGAGGTGACAAAAGGAAATTGAGGGGTGAAGATATCATAGGAAAGAAGTGAAAGGTGAGGCAGGCACTGAAAGACCTTCTTGAATTGTGGCAGGAAATCTTCAGGAACAGAAGAAAGCCAAAGTCATTGTCACTCTGCACAAAAGCAAACCAGCTTTTGTTTTTTGTTTTTGTAAAGGTAATCTGGCATTTTCTTTTGGGAAACAATTTGGTATGATATACCGAAAACCTTAAAGAGACCTTGAACCAGAGACTCTGAGAAATTCTCACAAGGAAATCATCCTAAGTATCGTAAAAACATGAAGAACAAAAGTGTACTGAGTGCTGTTATATTGCAAACTACCTAAAGTGAAAGCAACCTGCATATCCAACCATAGATGAATCTCTAAGAAGCTTAATGTCTAATGGATGCAAACTTAAAAATTGCACTAAAAATTGTTTTTAAAGAGTATAATGCCAAAAGAGTGGTATTAAGATATTAACCAAAATTAAGACACAATATTACATATGTAGTGTAAATCCGTCTATGGTAAAACTATTTATGCCTACAAAAAAATATCAGAAGAAACTGTCCTGCAATGGCTGTGCCTGGATAATGAGGCTCTGAGCAATTATTCCGTTATTTCTTATACTCTGTATTTTTCACATCTTCTTTAATGAGCATGGTCTTCTTTCATATTAAAAATATGAAAAGAACCATTGAAATATATATTAGAAGCTCTGAATAAGACATATCGTTGTTGATTGGCTGTTGAAGATTGAGTTTGTGTGTATATTTTTCCTTCTAGGGCAAATGAGTGAATATTAAAAAAGAAAGGATCTGACCATGTCTCTGTGTTGTCAAGGGGACACCTTTGAGTAAAAGGGTTCAGATGAAAAATAAATGCAAAAGCTGAATAGGTGCTTGGGTAGATGACCCATTGTTCATCTATAACATTGGCACATTTGTAGTTTGAACACAACATTGTATTGATCTTTGTGGATATTACACTTCCAACCACAGGGGATATTAAAGAAACAAAGCTTGTTAGGCGACAAAACTAGAGGAAGGCTCACTTATAGGACGTGGGGAAGTTGTGATCACCCTCACTCCCATCCAGTCATCACCTAAGTTACCTCCAGGGTTGTGGGTGTGTCTAGGCAGTCAAGTCACAGGTAGGAAAGAGGGAGGATCTATGGCTCAGATTCATTTGTTCATTTATTCAGGTATTTGTTGAGCATCTGCTTTGTGCCAGGCACTGTTAGAGACACTGGACATAAAGCAGTGGACAAGTGTAATGTATGGCCTAACACTTCAAGTGCTGTCTTGACATCTTTGAGCCTGAAAGGGCCCAGCATTCCAACTGAGTTATCCTGATCTCACCAGATATGCCCCCTGTTCTGCAGGAAAGGCTCCCCACCCAGCTAGTTCTCCTATTAGCTGGCCTGGTTGCAGCCCCCTACTTGATTCTAGACCACACGGGTTTCACCTCTGCTGGCCCATGGAAGTATACGAAAAATCAATTGCACCCTCTTATGGGAAGCAAGGGTCACTCTGTTTTGGAGCACACCCCTTCCTCCCTGAATGTCATGCAGTGTCCTTCTACCCTGGCCTGTGAGTATTTGTGACTCATAAGCTGCTGTTGACTCATCCGTCCTGTGGGGGTGTCACGTGCTCAGCCATCTTGCACTCTTTAGGGTCAAAATCCCGCCTTCACCACGAGTCGAGTAGGAGGTGATCAGGATAATAAGGGAGGTGAAGAAGGTCTCTCTTGTCTTCAAGCTAATGTTCTAGTAGTTGTGTGGATGGGGAGGTGGTAAGGAGGTAACAAGTTAGTAATCATGTGACCACTTATACTGCATATTGTGAAGGAAACAGAATGATGTGGTAGAGAATAATGGGGGGGGGGGCATAGTGATTTTGTTTTGGGAGGCTTTTCTGGGGAGATAACATTTAAGTAGAGACTTGTATCTTGGGAAGAAGCCAGCCTTGGGGAGATTTGGGAAAAGCAAGCAGGGTGGGATAAGGCTTCACCTGTGCAGCTGGGCCCTGGTGAGTCGGAAGGAGAAGATGTGGTATGGAATGTGAGTCATTCCAGGAAGGGATAGAATCTTGGAAAGGTAGGCGAGGACTGGATCCATGTGGCTTTGGAAGCCACAGGAAAGCAAACAGACTTTATTTTACATGTAATGGGGGAATGGAAGGGCTTTAAACAGGGAAGTGACATGCTATGATTTATATTTTTAAAAGATGATTTTGGTACCTGGGTAGAAAACGCATCATGGGGAATGAAAAGTAAAAATAGCTCAGCTGTTGCAGCACTTCCAATGGGAAATGAGAGAGGTTTGGACTGGGTGGAACTGGAGAGAACGAACAAATGCATGATAGGTATCTCGTAGGTAGAACCGGGGAGACTTGTTTGTGAACTGGGCATGAGGAATGAGAAGGCAGAGAAAGGACGTCTCTGAGATTTTTGGTTTGAGCGATTGTGCAGATGATGGTGTCCTTTAATGAGATGAGAAAGACGGGCCTCACTCCTGGCCTCAAGTGATTCACCCGCCTTGACCTCCCAAAGTGCTGGGATTACAGGTTTGAGCCACTGTCCTGGCCAGGAAAGAGGTTTAATTGACTCACAGTTCAGCATGGCTGGGGAGGCCTCAGGAAACTTACAATCATGGCAGAAGGGGAAGCAAACATGTCCTTCTTCACATGGCAGCAGGTGAGTTAGGGTTAGGGCATGAGATTAAAATTGAGTGGTTTAGAATTTGTAAGATCTGAGTAAAGTATTCAAGTGGAGATGTCAAGCTGGCAGCTTGGAAGTGCCTTTATGCAGCTCAGGATAAATGCCAGAGCTAAAGATATTAGTTTGGCTGTTAACACCATTTGATAGTATTTAAATTGGTTGAATAATATGGGGAGATGATAAAATATTCAAGATGATTTATCCTCCTGAAATGAGTGTCATGTTGGATATAAGGTTGACTATATCAGTGGGATAATGTATAATAAGACCACTTGTAAAACTAAGAAGCATTGTGCAAATGCAGTTTCTATTCACACCGCCATAACATTTGGGCCTCCCACAGCCCTGGTAATTCTAGGATCTTTGGTTCTTTAGATATCGTTCCAGGTACAAAATCTCCTTCCAATTATATATTCACATCCAAGTTTCTTAGAAGATGCTTGCCCTTCAACTTTGACTAGAAAGAATTTCTTTAGAAAGAATTTCTGCCAAGTATCACAAGTTTAGAGAACAGGGATAAAGCTATGGGTTATCTTTTGTTTTGGTTGAAAAAAAATTTCCACGGTGTTGTTTTAGCCTCAGCCCAAAAGGACTAAAGTCTCTAGGACTTTTTTGACTTGCATTGGAGTTTGGAGAATGTATGGCATTTAATTTTTCCAGGAGAATTTCAGCTGAGGCCAGATTGGAACTCTCCATGGCTCTAGGTAAACAGTCAATATTTTATCCCTGTGATGCTCTGGAGATTATGATTTAGAAGCAAGACTGGCTGGAGGCTGTGATCTACCTGGCCAGGAGCCACATGACAAATGAATCCCCTTTCAAGGAAGCTGAGTATATATTTTACAAGATTTAGCTGGGCAGCAGTGGTGGTGATAGGGATAAATTCAAGGGTAGTTATTTGAATTTCAACAACACAGAATGAGATTCTCATGAGCTGGGAGGGATTCCCATGAGTTGGTCTTCTAGATCAACTCACTAGTTTACTATTTGAGGCTATTGAGGTCCAAAAAGGTTAAGTGATTTTCGAAAGGTCACGCACCTGGTTAGAACTATGTTTTCCAGACTCACTTTGTCATACTTCTCCCAAGCAGCAAACTCCTACGTACCCTTATGTATACATTTTAATGGAAGTAGCTTTTCAAGAACAAATTGATCGTGAAAATGAAGGTCTGTCTCCAGGGTCACAGTGCCTTGACTTGGGCCGTGGTTCAGACCTAGAATAATGTGGTTTGGACTAGTCTGGCTGTGCCCAGAGCTGCAAGAAAATTGGGTAGTGGGTCCCTAGTTGAAAGATATGCATAATTTCAGTGTCATATTTTTCAGGTTATTGTAGATAGAGCTATGAGGATTTACTCATTAACTCCTTCTTTCATTCAGTTTTCTACAATGGGCCTGGCTCTGGGGATACAGTGGTCAGTGTATTAGTCTGTTCTCATGCTGCTAATAAAGACATACCTGAGACTGGTTAATTTATAAAGGAAAGAGGGTTTTTTTTTTTTTTTTTTTGAGACAGAGTCTCGCAGTGTCACCTAGGCTAGAGTGCAGTGGCCTGATTTTGGCTCACTGCAACCTCCACCTCCAAGGTTCAAGCTATTCTCCTGCCTCAGCCTCCCAAGTAGCTGGGGTTACAGGCATGTGCCACCATGCCTGGCTAATTTTTGTATTTTTAGTAGAGATGAGGTTTCACCATGTTGGCCAGGCTGCTCTTGAACTCCTGGCCTTAAGTGATTCACCCACCTTGACCTCCCAAAGTGCTGGGATTATGGGTGTGAGCCACTGTTCCTGGCAGGAAAGAGGTTTAATTGACTCACAGTTCAGCATGGCTGGGGAGGCCTCAGGAAACTTACAATCATGGCAGAAGGGGCAGAAAACATGTCCTTCTTCACATGGCAGCAGGGAGAAGAAGAATGAGTGCCCAGTGAAGGGGGAAGCCTCTTATAAAACCATCAGATTTCATGAGAACTCACTCACTATCACGAAAAACAGATAGGGGAAACTGACACCATGATTCAGTAATCTCCACTTGTTCTCTCCCACGACACATGGGGATTATGGGAACTACAATTCAAGATGAGATTTGTGTGGGGACACAGTCAAACCATATCAATCAGTAAGACACTATCCCTGAATGTAGGAAACTCTTCCTATGACCGGGGAGATAGACATGTAATCAAGCAGTCGTCATGCAGAGAGTTGGGGAGTTTTGCTAGAAGTAGGCAGGGAATATACAATAAGGTAGTTAATTCAGACTTGGAAGCTCAGACCAAGAAAACTTCCTAGAAGAGGCAGTGCCTTATCTGAGACTGGAAAGTAGAAGATGATTTAGTGGGAACACATTTGAGGGGGAGGATGTAGAAGGGCATTCCGTCCAGTGGGAGTAGTACTGCACAGGGATGTTGCATGTTATGAGAGCAGCAGCCCATTCATGCGGAGCTGCAGAGGGAGCCAGGGCCAGGCCACAAGGCCAAGGAAGCCTGGACTGTGTCCTGCAGGCTCTGGGAAAGTTGAAGGACTGGAAGCTCAATGTGAGCCTATCTGCATGTGGGAAAGTCCACTGTGGTTGCTATGGGGAAAAGCACAGGGTGCTGAGTGGAGGCAGGGAGGTGACTGAGCAAGTTGTGTACATGAGGCTGGTGAGGATGATAATGTCGTAAAGTGGCATGGCAGTGGGGAGAGAAAAACCAAATCCCCGAGGGAAGGGAGGACAGCCATGTTTCCAGGAGGAGGATGCAGCTCTTAAAAACCAATTGGGCTTGGGAAGTGTAAATTAGAGTGGTTGTATCTATTTCTAGATCCCTTTACTGAGCCCTGCTATGTGCCATCACCTGGCCACACACCTAGCATTATGTTTTCCATTTAATCTGTCTCACCGTCCTCCAAAAGCAGGTGCTGTCATTATTCCCTGTTGTGGACTGAATACTGTCTCTTCCCTGCCAAATTCATGTCCCCCATGCAACCTTGGAAATAAGGTCTTTGCAGATGTGATTAGGTTAGCTTAGAATTTTGAGATGACCCTGCATTTAAGATGGACCTGAAATCCAGTGTCTAATGTCCTTGTAAGAAGAGAAGAAGACACAGACACAGGGGGACAAACATGGAAAGACAAGGGCAGAGATGGGAATGATGCTGCCTCAAGCCAAGGAGTGCCAGGAGCCACTAGAGACTGAAAGAGGCAAGGAACAGTCCTCCTCTAGAGCATTTGGAGGGAGGGTAGCCTGCTGACACCTTTATTGTGGACTTCTAGCCTCCAGAACTGAGAGAAAGAATAAATTTCTGTTGTAAAGCAACAAGTCTGTCATAACTTGTTGCAGTAGTCCCAGGAGACTAAGCCGTGCTCATTTTAGAGATAGGAAAAACCCAACCTAATGCTTAGGGAGGCATATTCTAAGCTCCAGGTCACCTGACTAGGAAATCATCGGGCAGGGATGTCAACTCCTCATGTCACCTACCATCTGCGTTTTGGTGTTTTTTGTTTGTTTTAGATGGAGTGTCACTCTGTTACCCAGGCTGGAGTGCAGTGTCGCGATCTTGGCTCACTGCAACCTCCACCTCCTGGGTTCAAGTGATTCTCATGCCTCAGCCTTCTGAGTAGCTGGGATTACAGGCACACGCCACCACGCCCAGCTAATATTTTTGTATTTTTAATAAAGATGGGGTTTCCCTGTGTTGGCCAGGCTGGTCTTAAACTCCTGGCCTCAAGTGATTCTCCCACCTTGGCCTCCCAAAGTAGTGGGATTACAGGCTTGAGCCACCACACCTGGCCCATCTGAATTCTTAACCACTCTAATTTTTATGCCTCCCCCATATAATAGCTAATATTTACTGAGTGTTTACTCTGGGTCAGGGACCCCTTTAAGCTTTTGCTTTGATTATTTCATTTATCTTAAGGATTATCTTGCAAGACATACATTCATTTGAAAATATGAACAGGACTATCGCTACTTAGAAGAATGGTCACCTATTTTTTGAAAGTCTGGGCTTTTTTTCCCCTTCTTTTTAAAGCTTGACTCTGGCATCTTATTTGCCGAGGGGAGATTTTCCACCTTGAGGAGCTAAGCAGTATGAGAGGAAGTGTCAGGCATGTCAACCATCGGCTCATGAAACATTTCATCTTGTAATACGTTAATAGAGAAAACCGAGGTGATTTTCAGCCCATTCCAGTAAATTGGTTTTAGCACTAATGAATTGTTCTGTTTGAGCAGAGCATTATTGGCAAAGGTGACACTGAGGCATTTGAAACTCCATCAAAAATTATAATCTCAAAATAAGAGGCTGGAACATGTTTTGTGTTCTATTAATGAACATAGGTGGTCTGATCAATGCTTTTAGTTGGCAGCAGATTAAAGTATGGATTGTTGATGTGGCAAAACTGCAGATTGGCTGCCTTGCTACCTGTTGCTTCTGATGACCTCATTGCAACATTTATATTCAAATCTGATCACTCAGAGCTTTAGTTGTCAGTGGGTCATAAATTTCACCCAGTTCCTTTGGCTGAATTTCAAGCATGTAAACCATGTGCTAATAGCAAGAATGATCGGAAAGACAGTTGTAGACAAACAGAGCATGAAGAAAATCATTCTTATTGGAGGATGTGGCAGAAACAATTTTCTTGTGCTAGGCAGACGTCAGCTCTGCGGAACTGGCCATTAATGAAGATTGCGCCACCGATCGGCTGTAACCCGGGGAGGAGAATGGTACCTTCTCCCACATCCCAGCCCCAGAAATTACGGGATCTCATGGCCAGATGTCTCTGGAGCTAGTGGCATGGCTATACAGAATGGCCAGAGGGAATTTTTACAAGGGAAAAATATGGGGCTGGGTAAAGGGAGAAATGAGGAAGAGAACAGTCACCATGCACAGAGCATTTCTGTGTGCCAGGCACTGTATTCACCTCACTTCATCTAACAATGGCCCTGTGATGGATGTATTAGGTTGAACTGTATGAAACTGCCATTCTTATAGGTCCAGGATAGCTGAATATCAGCACTTTGGTTTAGTTTACTCTATGCTGTTACTAGCCCTATTTTGCAGCCAATGAAAGTGAGCTTTCCCAAGGTCACAGGCCAGAAAGCTAATGGCAAGACATGGTTAGCTCTGGGGAAATCAACACCCTGTCATCTTCCTCCTCCTCCTTCTGTTTTTCTTCTGGTGGGCTTTAACAGGAGGGTGACATGATCAGATGTGCACTCTGAAGACTCCTCTGGGTTACTCTGGCAGGTAGGTGGGAATGTGGGAGGGGATCTGGATGGATTCCAGGAGACCCTTTAGGAAGATGTTACAATACTTTAAGCAGAGTGACTTGGTAGCTTAGACCAGAGTGATATTGTGAGGGACGTGGGAGTAGGGGACTAATATGACAAATATTTAGAGGTGAAAATCAACAGGACATGGTATTTGATGAAGGTGACTTATCTTTCTGACTTTTCCTCCTCACTCTTCAAATCCTGGCTTGAATGTTCCATGTTCTACAAACTCAACACCCTGGAGTTTGCCTTTGGCATCTTTGCTTGACTGTGAGCTCCCTAAGGGTGGGGATCATGTCTCTTATTTATGACTATCCTTAGGACCATTATAGTGTGCAATATATAGTAGGTGATATTTGTTGGATAAACAAAAGAATTTAAAACAACCGATCAGTTACAAGTCAATGCACTCCTACTTGTAGCATTGGACACCCATTTCCTTAACTCTGGATTTCTTTAGGTGAGGACAGTCAGAGGTGGAGGATAATCCCCATGAGCTACGCTATACTCATCTCCCAATTTATTTCTGTAGCATCATCTGAGTCACTCTGGTGGGGCTGCCTGGAACTTAGCAGCCTGTTACTCAGTGTTCACATTTTCAGAGCATATTTATTCATTTAACTCAGCTAATTTGGATCATTGCCACTAAATTTTTCTAGATGGCTTAAAGAGGAACATGCTGACCCATACTATATGCTAAATCGCTTTTAAACAAGCGAAGAAGTTCTGTCGTCTGCAAAATAAAACATCTTTCCTCAGGGTTAGTTCTTTTTCTTTCTTATTTTACTCCCCAGGTATGCTTTGAGTGGGAATGTGAGGAGTAAGAAGAACATTGAGTTTGAAGAATCTTTATTGCTCTAACAAGTAAAAGACCCTTTAACAATCACATTGATTTTTTGTTGATGGATGTAAATGGTCTTGGAAGTAAATTTTTACCCTGGGCAAGACCCACTTGGAGATGTCAGGGTTGTACTGCAGTCTTGTAGGACATTAATGGGGAATGAAGGAAGACAAATTTTACCATGGAAGTAACAATTCCAGCTGATGAATTTCTCAAAGGGACAATAGGAGTCTAGAAACTGACACCCACATGGAGACATTTTTCAAGCAAAAGGGACAATGATCTGGTTGCTGGCTTCTGTGGGCAAAACATCAGGAATGGTGCAGTGACCTCAAAACATGCAGAAGACCCGAAAAAGGAAGGTATGCATCCTCATGGAAGATGGTAGACAGTATAGACAAATCCAGGAAAGTTAGATTCAAACATGCTCACTGGAAATGTTTCTTTCCTCTTTTTTTTGTCCTCAGTTTATCTCAAAGAATTGTGGAAGATTCTACCTCTTTAGCCTGTTGATTAAACCTGGTTGTCTCCCTAAATGGTCCTCTGGATATATTTGTATTTCTGGGGAGATCAACACCCTGTCCTCTTCCTCCTCCTCCTGTTTTTCTTCTGGTGGGCTTTAACAGGAGGGTGGCTTGATCCGATTTGTACTCTGAAGACCCCTGTGGATTTCTCTGGCAGGTAGATGGGGGTGTGAGAGGGGATCGCTGTGATTCCAGAAGACCCTGTAGGAAGTATTGCAGTACTCCAAGCAGAGTGACTTGGTAGCTTAGACTAAGTTCTTCAAGTCCCTCCTCCTGTCCATCCCCACCGCCAAGATGACAGTCTAGTTCTCACAGCTGGGCTCCACGTGGCAGAGGGCACTGTGTATTAGGTGGCATGTGGTCTTGGGTACCACAAAGATGTAGGCTGACATCCCAGCTTCCCTAGGAAGTGGTCTTTTCTCCCTGAGGCTCCGTTTCCTCATCTGCAACATGGATTACTAACAACTCCCACACAGTCATCTTGTGAGGAGTCAATGGGATAAGTGATCTGAATCCATACCAGCACATTTCCTGGTATGTAGAAGCACCCAATAGATGCTAATCTCTAAGCAAACAAACCATCACGATCAACAAAAGAGGTAATGCTGTGACTACCGCATGAGCCCCTTGGCTGGTCTCTGCGTCCAGTAGTTTCTCTTTTCACTTCGCAGCCACCCCCTCCCCACCTACAATAACCTTCCCCTCAAAGGAGTATTGTCCTGCCACCTTCTTGGTGAAGGCAGTGTGTGTGATTATAAGAACTCAGAGCCTGGAGTTAGGCATGAGGTCAAATCCTGGCTCTGCACCGTATAAGCTGTGTGACTTTAAACCTATTACTTACCTTCTCTGAGCCATTCCCTGTCTCTCATCATTCAATGTCAATCAATCAATCAATCTCTCTCTCTCTCTCTCTCTCTCTCTCTCTCGACGCAGTCTTGCTGTTTCACCCATGCTGGAGTGCAGTGGCATGCTTTCAGCTCACTGCAGCCTTCACTTCACTGCAACTGAATTCAAGTGGTTCTCCTGCCTCAGCCTCCCGAATAGCTGGGATTACAGGCACCCGCCACCACGCCCCCCTAATTTTTGTATTTTTAATAGAGACGAGATTTCACCATGTTGGCCAGGCTGATGTCAAACTCCTGACCTTGTGATCTGCCCGCCTCAGCCTCCCAGAGTGCTGGGATTACTGGCATGAGCCACCGTGCCCGGCTGCCATTCTCTCTTTCTAGACTGTGTGGCCTCTCATCAGCTTCTCTCAGCACGTGATGTTATCCTCCCACTTTTCTCTGCAGATGGCAGTGAACTGGCTTTGCCCACTGCTCAGCCTCTTCTGTGCTTGGCATGGCATGGATACCCATGGCCGAAAGTGGCCACCACCCCTGTTTCCTGTGACACTTTTCATTTCAGGTGGCCTCCATGCTGCTCTGGCCTTTTCCCACTCATTCTGTGTAGAGTGACTGTGATTGGTTGTTGATCAGCCAATGGAGTGGGTCGTTCTGGGTCAGCTCTCACTTCCTGTTTAATTAATTGAATCTGGGGGTGGAGTCACATGGGGGAACAGGCTATCATGGGAAGTGAATCGAGGTCAGTTCTTAGACAATTGGCTGGATATGTCTTTTGACATCCTGTTCTTAAATTGAGGGGTCATCTGGTTGTCAATAGGGGCAGCCTAATTTTTGGAAATTCTGAGAGCTAAGCCTCCGCATCTTCAACTGTGAGGGATGGTAAAATTAGACCTGGACGCTGCATGTTTTCACCTTCACTAGACCCACGTATGGGGTTGTCAAAGCTTTCGACTCTAAACTGTTCCTCAAACTTACCTCCCAGCTGGGTCAAAGAGAGAAAGGAAACACCGTCTGTGTTCCAGAGGCAAAAAAACTGGAATAAGGTATGTTTGGGACATTATGCCACAAAATAGGGCTGTTCATTGAAATATAATGAACAGCTGGGAAATAACTATCTCTCCTATGTGGGCTGTTAAACAGAGCATTTCCCTGAAAATTACCTTACAAAGAAATCTTCTCACTTTCCAAGCCAGACACACTGTGTTTTCTGGGTCTCCTCTGTGCAGGCAGGAGACTGGGGTGAAGACCCCATGGAACTGCACTGAGTGGGTACTCTGGGGCTGCAGCGTTTCATAGCTGTTGAAAACCAAGGATCCTGGACCCTCCCTTTGGCGTTGGCTACCGTGTAGCAGAGCTCAATGTGAGATACACCCACCCCTAAATGACTAACTTGCTGGTAATAAATTAGCTGAGCACACGTTTTGTAAGTGCAGCAGATAGTTTTTTGAGCACAAATTCGGTGCCCAGCATTGCTCTAGGCATCTGGGATACATTTAGGAGGAAAGCAGATAAAGATCTCTGTCCTCGAAGACATTTTTATTCCTAAAGCTGGCATGATCCGCCTGCTACCTGCCTCTTCAGCTTGGAATACGTGTCTCCTCCCACTCTCTACTGCAGACCCCCTGGCTGCCATAACCCCACCGTCCTCCTTCCCACCACAGGGCCTTTGCACGTGGCCAGGTCACAGAGGTATTGAGCTGCACGGGACTGCCCCAAAGACTGGACACGTTACCCCAAACTGGGATCCTGTGTGCATCTGGTGCACACTTCTAGCTCTGAATCCCTGGGGTCCCAGACGAGGCTACCCAAAAGTCACAAGGGGGCCTGGAGCATCCCCTGCCCAAAGCCCCACTCCCGACAAGGCATCAGAGCCCTGCAGTCCTGTGCAGCTTAGTTGCTCTGTAATTGGCCTTTCCTCTTCCTGAAATGCTTCCCCTGCCCTGCTTTCCCTAATGACGCCTACTTATCTGAGCCTCCTCAGAGAAGTCTCCGCCACGGCTGCCCCTCATCTCTTCAGGTTGCTTTGTTATTGTGCATTCTCAGAATTGTGCTTCTTTCCTTCACAGTAGCACAAACCTCAGTTTCTGTTTATGTATATTGTCATGATTCTTTGATTGCCATTGCCTCATATCAGACCCTAAACACTACAAGGTTTGGAGAGGTTAACTAAGTTGCCCAAGATCTAAAGGGTCACAGTCAGGATTTGAACCCACATCTATCTGGCCCCATGCTTTCTGTGCAGTCTAATATTGACTTGGAAATATAGAACTACATGTTTCACCTCTAGCTTTGTTTTTTGAGACAGGGTTTCTCTCGGTTGCCCAGGATGAGAACAGTGGCACAATCACAGCTCACTGCAACCGCAAACTCCTGGGCTCAAGTGATCCTCCCACCTCAGCCCCCCGAGTAGATGGAAACACAGATGTATGCCACCATGCCTGGCTAATTTTTTATTTTTTGTAGAGACAGAGTCTCACTATGTTGCCCAGTCTGGTCTCAAACTCCCGGATTCAAGTGATCGTCCCACCTCAGCCTCCCAAAGGTCTTGGATTACAGGGCTGAGCCACTGCACCCAGCCCACCTCTAGCTTTGTACATATCCCCTTCTAATTTACTGAAGCTATGCAGAGCTTTCTACATGCATTTAGTGGTGTAAAGATAATAATAATAGCACCTATCATTTGCTGAGATCTATTTGCAAGGTACTGGGGTAAGTGCCCTGCATGCATTGACCACTTGGATCTGAGAAAGCAGGAACTATGTAATTCACCTCATTGTGCAAATAAGAAAGGGTTGGGCAGGAGAGGTGGCATGCCCAAAGTCTCTCTCACAGGCAGGATTTGAGCCCGATCCTTGTGAATTTCCAGCCTGTGGCATTGCACCTTCAATTCTGTCTCCCTCCTGACACATTCCACCTTGAAGAAAAATGCAAATGAGGTAACAAGGGGGCAAGTCTGAGGCTCTGGGTCCTGCTTACATAAACAGCCCCTGAGATTTATGAAGGGTTCCAGGAAGAAGAGTGATCGATTGGCTGCAGGCTTATTACTCATGGATTTCTTTGGCCTGGGCACATGCAGACCACAGGGAATTTGAGCCAGTGTGGAGGGCCCCTTCTAATGGTTCTCTCATGCTCGAACCCTGCTGCGGTACAACCAGGGGAGCTGCGTGTGGGGCGGGCCTCTCTGGCATCAAAAGGCGTTGGCGCTGCTAGGAGAGGTTGAGCACATCCCTTTCTTTCTTTGTTCTCTGGAGTGTACTGTTTTGCTTGGATTTATGCAAATGGCTCCACAGGGGGATCTCAGTGCCAAGGAAAGGAGAAAGGATTGTTCTCTGAGGTCAGAGTCAGGGAGGAAACTTGCCACCACCACCGCTCCGTGCTGGAATTCGGCTCTGATGCCTTGCTGGGAGTGGGACTTTGGGCAGGAGTTGCTGCAGGCCCCCTTGTGACTTTGGGTAGCCTCGTCTGGGACCGCAGGGATTCAGAGCTAGAAGTGTGCACCAGATGCACACAGGAGCCCAGTTTGGGGTAACATGTCCAGGCTTTGGGGCAGTCCTGTGCAGCTCAATAGCTCTGTGACCTGGGCAAGCTCAAGGGTAAGCTTGTCCGAGCCTCAGTGTTCTCATCTGGAAAATGGGGCTGATCACGGGCCATATCTGTCAGCATGACTGTGATGATTAAATTAGGTCACATGTAACCTGGTTGGCCAGTGCCTGGTACAGAGTGGGCACTCGAGGAATGGCAGATATACACTCAAAATATCCAACGGATTGAGTCCCTGAACCACAGCCTCCTGTTTATTACTGTTGAACAATATGGAGTCTGTCTGATGTGAGAGAACCAGAGCTCTTCTTCCTCTGCTCTGATTGGTTCCAGTTGTTAATTTCTAAGACCCATTTAATTCCACCCCCACTTCACTCTGAAGAACAAAGATATCCTGCTGAAGGATCAGGAAATGAGAGATAGAAAGGAGACCTCTCAGAGAGCGATGATTTGTAATGACCCATCAACAGGGATAATCTCCACTGTGGCGAAAAATAATGAAACATCGATTCTCAGAACCTATTAAAAGTCAGATTTATATGAGAATTTAAAAAAGCAATTAGTCTGCATTGAAAACTAATTAGTACCCCAACCCTGCCTTTGAATGATTTGATGGGGGAGGTTATTGAGGGCCTACTAGGTGCAGGAACTTCAGAGGACTCAAAGATGGAAGGAACTCCACTTGTCGGGAAGGTGCTTCTTGTACTTTAGAAAGAGCAGATAGAAACAGAAATGACTATTATTTAAGAAAGAAATAGATTCTTCAGTAGAAGTCTACGTACAATGTCATGAGGCTTCAAAGGAAGGAGAGAGACATCGTCCCTGGTTTTAATGATAGGCAGTGTCTCTTATCCTGTCCGGGTTCCACATACGGATACCTCTCAGCTCATTCATTCCGCTCTTTTTTCGTGTACCAGGCTACCTGAGCTTTCTCTCCAGCCCTTTCAAGTTTTACTTTGCATACTCTCTGGGTGGGCTTAGTCATGCCTACAACTCCCAGCTGCCCACGATGTGTTCTGATACCTACCTTCCCTACCTCTGGGCTTCTCCCTGAGCTCCAGCTGTATGGCTGTCTCTCTGGGGATCAAAATAAAATTCACCATCAAATTGAAGATCAAATTCACCATCTCCCTCCACCCCCAAACCCATTGCCTCTTCTGGGTTCCTCTCCTAGGTTAATGCCATCCCCATGGGCCCAAGCCCCCAAGTCTTAATTCCTGATTCTGATTTATCTCTCTCTCTCTCTCTTTTTTTTTTTTTTTTTTTTGAGACAGAGTCTTGCTCTGTCGCCTAGGCTGGAGTGCAGTGGCACGATCTCAGCTCACTGCAACCTCTGCTTCTCGGGTTCAAACGATCCTCCCACCTCAGCTTCCCAAGTAGCTGGGATTACAGGCATGCACCACCACGCCCAGCTAATTTTTGTATTTTTAGCAGAGATAAGGTTTTCTCTGCTGGTTTCAAACTCCTGGCCTCAAGTGATCCACCCGCCTCGACCTCCCAAAGTGCTGGGGTTACAGGGGTGAGTTACTACACCCGGGCTGATTCATCCCTCTATTCTGCCTCTCACATCTGATTGTCACTGGATACTACAGATTTCACTTCTTAAACATTTCTTGAGACTGCTTTCTCCTTTCATTCCCACTGCCTTTCGCCAGGACTGTTAGCACCCATTTCAACAATTCCCATTTGTTCCTCTGCCTTTCACCTGCCCTGCCTTACCTGTCCCTCATCCACACTGCTACCCAGTGACCTTTCTGAAAAGTAAACCATAAACCTTGACTTTTTTTTTTTTGAGACAGAGTCTCACTCTGTCACCCAGGCTGGAGTGCAATGGCGTGGTCCTGGCTCACTGCAACCTCCGCCTCCTAGGTTCAAGCCATTCTCCCGCCTCAGCCTCCTGAATAGCTTGGATTACAGGCGTGCACCACCACACCTGGCTAATTTTTGTATTTTTAGTAGGGACGGGGTTTGCTCAGGCTGGCCTCGAGTTCCTGATCTTGTGATCCACCTGCTCGGCTTCCCAAAGTGCTGGGATTACAGGTGTGAACCACCACGCTCTGCGAAACCTTGACTTTTTTACTTGAAATGTTTCAGCATGTCTTCAAGGCCCTTAGGGTGATTCACTGCTCCTGGGCATTTCAGTATATCCTCCTGCTATTGGGACTCTGTTTACCTCTCTTACTTTGTCCCTTGCAACTTTCTAGCAATTCCCTCCTCTAATCTTTTCAGTCGATTGATCAGTCAGTCAGTCTATCCCTACCTTCCTCCTTTTTCTCACTCCATCTATCCATATTTATCAAGCTCCTACTGTGTCCCAGCACTAGACTAAGAGCTGAGTTTATAGTGAGGAAACAGACATGGTCCTTGACCTCCTCAAGGTCACAGTCTAGGGAACAGACTGTTAATATACAGACAACCAATAACTAAGTGTGAAGGGTTCCAGGAAGAAAATGCAGGGTGATATGAGAGAGATTGATGGGAGTAGGGAAGTGCATTAAAGATCTTAGATTCAACTAAACATTTAGATTCATAAGAATACCATGGCACACTCTTAGCATCACATACTGTAGAAGGATAGAGGATAGGACACCTATCCCAGCACTAGGGCAGCACTAGGCACCCCTCTTCATCAACAATTCATGCTCTGGTGTAAGGAAATGACCCCACATGGGTCAGGTGTTGTTCTGCCTTGGCTCAGAAGCTACATGCATCATAGGAGTCAATATATCCTCTTAATACACCATAGGCAGAGCTCTTAGAATCCCTGCAAGTAGCATCCCATTATGAGTAATGGCATCCAAAGCACAGCACCTCATCAGGTACTTATCATTCATTTGTACTTCTTCCCAGACCAGGTGCAAAACACCAGTTAGAGATCAGCTTTACTCTAAGCAATGTTGCCTAAAAATATAATTGATATCCTGACTACTTACGTACGAGGGTGACAGTGCTAGGAAGTTAGCCGAAGGGTAAGTTCTCATGCAGAAGGAGAAAGGGTTTTGTTATTTCTTTGCCTGCTGGGAGATTTTGTTGGGGTGGTTGGTGAAGGGAGTACTTAAGCTTAGTTCCCAAGTATGAAAAAGATGGGGGAGGAACATTCTAGGCAAAAGAAATTGAAAGAGGTTGGTGTGTTCCAGGAAGGGTGACTAAAGAGAGGGAGGGAAAAGGAGAGTCATAGAAGATGAGGCCAGAGAGGTGGCTGAGGCCAAATCGTGCCAGCCTGTATGAGGAGTTTGGGTTTTATTTGAAGTTTGGATTTTATTCCTCGTTCTTGTTGACTCAAGGTGAAATGCAGTTTCTCACTGAGAGAACAGGCACTTCCAGCCTCCTAGGTACAGAGATCTCTGGCCGAAGTCCTTCACACTTCCCTCTGGAGGGAATAGTGTCTATCAAGAGATATTCCAGTGTTGCATTGCTGTGTAGCAAACCACCCTAAACTTAGAGGCATAAAACAACTATCTGATTAAACTCTTAGAGTCTGTGGGTCAGAAGTTTGAGCAGGTGTGAAGGTTAATTTTATTAATGTTTATCAACTTGGTTGGACCACAGTGCCTAGATATGTGGTTACATGTTATTCTGTGAGGGTGTTTTTATCTAAGGCATTAATATTGAAATTGGTAGGTGGTGAGTAAAGTAAATTGCCCTCTACAATGTGGGTGGGCTGTATCCAATCAGTTGAAGGCCTGAATAGAAGAAAAGATTGACCTCCTTTGAGCAAGAGGGAATTCTGCAGTAGGTGGCCCTTGGACTTGAACTATGGCATCTACTCTACCTGGGTCTCTATTTGGTTATCCACCTTGCAGATTTAGGATTTTGCAGCCTCCATAATTATTAGGTAAACCAGTTCCTTAAAATCTCTCTCTTTCTTTCTTTCTTTTTCTTTTCTTTTCTTTCTTTCTCTTTCTTTCTTTCTTTCTTTCTCTTTCTTTCTTTCTTTCCCTTTCCTTTCCTTTCTTTCCTTGCTTTCTTTCCTTTCTTTCTTTCTTTTCTTTCTTTCTTTCTTTCTTTCTTTCTTTCTTTCTTTCTTTCTTTCTTTCTTTCTTTCCTTTGTTTCTTTCTTCCTTCCTTCCTTCCTTCCTTCCTTCCTTCCTTTCTTTCTTTCTTTCTTTCTTTCTTTCTTTCTTTCTTTCTTTCTTTCTTTCTTTCTTTCTTTCTCTCTCTCTGTCTGTCTCTCTTTCTTTCTTTCTCTGTCTCTTTCTCTCCCTATGTCTCTCTTCGCTTTCCTGTTGGTTCTTTCTCTCTAAAGTACCTTGACTGATATAACAGGCCACAATCAGAATGACTTGACTCTACTCCACATGTCTTGGGCCTCATCTGAAATGACTTGAAGACTAGGCCCAGCTGGGGTTACTGACCAGAGTGCCTTCACATGGCCTTTCTGTATAACTTGAGCTCCCCATAACACAGTGGCATGTTTCCAAGAGGGAGTGCCCAGAGAGTGAATTTCCCAAGAGACCAAGACAGATATATGGCTTTTTATGATATGGCTTCAGAAGCCGCCTAGTATCACTTATGCCATACTCTGCTGGTTGAAGCAGTCCTGAGCCCTCCCAGATTCAAAGGAAGGTATATCACTCCACCTCTTGATAGGAGGGGTATCAAATCATTTAGGGTCTTGTTTTCAAAACCACCCCAAGGAGGCCTTGGAGAATATTTGAGATTCTTTCTTTCATTCTTACCTAAGGTAACCACATACATTTTCAGTATGCCTTTTTTCTCCCTTAGGTTTCTATGATATTTTACTCATCTGGATTCCCTTCTCTCACGCAGACCCATTATTTCCCTTTTTACTCTCCATGCATATGATTTTCAGCAACATAGACAGGCAGCCCTTTAGCGGTCACTTTCATTCTCTTTGCCCATTCTCCTAATAGAAAGATGGCAGCATGGACACAATACTGACCAAGAAGTGAAATGCAGGGTGAAGGGTGCTTGGCTAGAGAACCCTGGTTTCGAGAAATAAATTCTTGAAATAAAGGTGATTGGTGTTGGAACATTAAAATTAGCCTTTGACTATATCCTTCACGTTGGGGTGGCAATTCAGAGCATTAACCTAAGGCTTCCAGTGTTTTTATCAGGCATTGTTCTAAATAAATTAAATCTCATGATTTTTGTTGAGTTTCATAATGTTAAGAATATGAAAGTAATATGTGTGCAATGTGAAAAAAATTGGAAAATGGAGTAAAATACACAAGAAGAAATAAAGACAACTAATGATAATATTATGGCATATATCATTTTTTTAAAAAAAAAACGTGCTTAACATGAGGTTATGCTATCTATAGTCAAAAAACTTACAATACCTTAAGCCCATTTCTCCATGCCACTAGACAAAATGTTGAAATGTCATTTCAACAGCTTGCATAATATTCAATGATATGAACGTGCTATACTTCATTTAACCAATCCTCAAATGTTGGATATTTATTTCAAGGTTGTGTTGGGTTTTTTGACTCATGTAGGGAGAAAAAAAGTGAAACTCGCCTTGTCTGTCATCATGTTTTCCACCTCCCATGGGTTACCTTCTTTTCGGGGAACGGATTTGAAAGGTTGGGTTGTGGAAATAGAATCATTCTTGGTAGTCCCTGAGGGTCAGTGATGGTTCTATGGTGATGATGATGATAGTCATGATAGCAATGATGTTTCTGATTGATACCACTTATTTAATATGCCCACCCACTTGTTCATTTTAAAGACCTACACATCATCCTTGCTTTGTTCCTTTTTCTCACCTGCCACACACAGTCACCAAGACCTGTCAAGTCAGTGTATGAAATATTTCTTGAATCTGCCCATTTTCTTCCCATTTCCTTGGATACCTCTCTTCTCTTGATTTCTTTAATAGCTGTTAGCTGGGGAACTTTCTTCCAACTAGGATGGCCCCTGTGAAGGGCAGCCCTGGTCATGTAATTCCAATGCTTGAATCTCATCCCCCTTGGAATAACACCTAACCCCTTTCACATGGCTCCTGAGACCCCGCCTTGCCTCAAGCCACTCCCCACTTCTCTTCTCCAGCCATTTTAAACCTTTCTTGTCTCTAGCACATTCCACCTCTAGGCCTTTATCTTAGTCCGTTTGGGCTGCTATAACAAATATGGGTGAAGTGGCTTAAACAATAGAAATTTATTTCACACAGTTCTAAAGGCTGGGAATTCCAAGATTGAGGTGCCGGCCGGTTTGGTTCCAGGGGAGGACTCGCTTCCTGGTTTGTGGATGGCTGTCTTCTCACTGTGTCCTCACATGGTGGGGAGAGAGATCATCTGTCCCTTTATTTATTTATTTTTTGAGACAGAGTCTTGTTCTGCCACCCAGACTGGAGTGCAGTGACATGATCTTGGCTCACTGCAACCTCTACCTCCCGGGTTCAAGATCCTCCTGCCTCAGCCTCCCAAGTAACTGGGACTATAGGCATGCACCGCTATACCTGGATAATTTTTATATTTTTAGTAGAGATGGGGTTTCACCATGTTGGCCAGGCTGGTCTCGAACTTCTGACCTCAGGTGATCCATCTGCCTCGGCCTGTCAAAGTGCTGGGATTACAAGTGTGAGCCCCTGCACCCAGCCCATCTATCTCTTTTTATAAGAGCACTAATCCCATTCATTAGAGTTCCACTTTCATGAGCTGATCACCTCCCATTGGACCCACCTCTGAAGAGCATCACATTGAGGATTAGGGCTCCATCTGAGGAATTTTGGGGCCACACAGGCATTCAGTTCCATAGCAGCCTTTGAGTTAACTCTTTCGTCTGCATGGAGCACTCTTTCTCCTCTTTCTTAAGTTGTCTTAGTGCAGATACTGCTTTCTCCAAGAAGCCTTCCAGGACAATGCACCCACCCCTGTAACTGGGTTAGGTGCCCTGCTGGGGCCCAGTGTGACTATCTGTGTGGACTCACTTCCTGGTACTTATTTTAATTGTTGCAGAATTTTGTCTTTCTTTCCACTGAACCATGAGCTCTGTGAGAGTAGGGTTCCTTCTTTCTTCCCAGCAGATTTTAGCCTTGTGCCCTACACATAACATGCCCTCCTTAACTATATGAATAAACGAAAGCCATGACTGCCATTTCTTGGCCAAGCCCACTCACAAGATGAGAACTCTGACCCACTTACAAGAACCAACTTGAATAGCCTCCCCTCTTTGCTGTCTTGGGGGTAGAAAATTGTCTTCTGGGCAGAAAAAAATGCTTTAAGAACAGAATAGGAGATCATTTGTGTAAATCATTAATCTCTTTACTATTTCTATTTGCAATGGATATCAAATTAAATATTGCATTAAGTGAATTAAATATTAATGTTGCATTAAATATATATTACATTTTAAAAATTAAGTGCTGGATACTCTTTGCTTTGGAGTTGGATTATGATGGCTTTAGCACTGTCAGCCCAGCATGTGCTGCATGTAGTCATTTTCTATGTCATCGATGAATCAATGATTTATTAGAGCTCATGGGAATAAGAAAAAAAACGGTGGGGAGGAAGGGGGTTGAGGGTCTGTGGATGGGTGGTGTAGCCGGGAGGGCACCATAGCACAGCGAGAGTTGATGTTTGAGGAATGAGAAGAAATGAGAAGAAGTGGGAAGCTATATAATGTATTGTGCTGTGCAATTTACATGGATTATCTCATTTAATTCTCATTAGAGATAAATGAATCAGGTACAGTTATTATTTTGCCTTACATAGGTGAAAACTGAGCCTCAAAGGTTAGGCAAGGCCTCACAGCCTAGACTGGGCCATCCCAGCCACATTCTTAACTATGACCCTCTACTGCTCTTGAAGGAAGTGCTTTCAGGTTGCCATGAATCCAAATAGGCAACTGGGTTTTAAGGAATTTTAAGTTTTGGCTATCTGTATTCCTAACAACAGGAGAATATAACAAAACTTAAACCTATTCATCTCTGCCTTCATGCATCCATCCGTCCATCCATTCACCCTTCCACAGTATTGGTTCTTACTGAGTTCCTGATGGGTACCAGGAATGGCCAACTCTGGGGATATAGTAGAGAACAAGGTAGATATGATCCCTCTGCTAATGGATCTCATAGTCTTGTGGCAGAAGCCAAGAGCACCTGGCTTCAACTCTTCCAGGCTCTTTTCTCCTCCATCAAGATGCTTCCATCTCTGTACCACTCTTGGCCCATGTGATGTTCCATATCCCATATCTCTGAAGAGCCAGGGCAGATGCTCCCTTAAGGGAGATCTCTGCTTCCTTGTTGCTCACCATGCCCTGGCCTCTTGGTGACTCTCAGAGTCTCTGGTGAACCTCCCCTTTTCTTGGCGATGGAGTTCCCACATTCTAGGCAGTAATGACATATGATCTCCACATGTGGACATGCATTGGCATGTAAACCAGATATGACCCTTGTCCTCTGTGCTTAGGGCCTCATCCTAATCTCAGATCAGCTGCTCCTCATCCCATCTGCATGGCAGATATAGCTCCAGCTCGCCTATTCAGATGGGTCTTCAGGCTTGACTGCATCCCATGCAGTGTGGTGGGTTTTGTGGGACCCCAGGTGGATTTTGACACAGAGAGAAGACCCTTAGCACTTTGCTAAACCACCTGGAAAGGCTCTCAGGTCCCCAGATCCATGCTTCCGTTTAGACCTCCTCTCTGAATCCCAGGCTCACGTGACCAACCGCCTGACCACTCTAAATGGATGTCTCAAGGCCATCTCAAATGCCGCATGTCCACTTGTCTCATGTCTGTGCAACACTTTCTCACGATCCCCCAATTTTTCCTTCCCCCACAAATCTTTTTCAGTTTATTAATAAGAATCGTCCTTCACCAAAAAAGCAAGTCGGGAAATGAGAGGTCATGATCTTAACCCTTCCTCCCCGACTCACAGCACACATACACACATGCACGCACACACACGCTCACACACGCACCTGCATACATTCACACCATGACCTACCAGCAAGTCCTCTTGATTCTGAGCTCAGAGACTGCTTACACTGAGATGAAATGTGAGATTAACAGCTCCAAAATATTTCTCGAGTCTCTCTCCTTCTCTTCATCCCTTCCAACAACACCTTAATCTTCACTGCCTCTCCGTGTCGCCACTCCGAGTTCTTTATGACAAAGCTTGATTTATTCTCAGCTGCAAAGACATTCCATGGCCTCCTTCCTACACTTGCATGTTTAGTTTTCCTGTTTTGTCTGATTCTGTTTCCTAAAAGTCAATGATGAGTCTCTGGATGGGGAGACAGGTAAGGAGCTAGGAGTGTAAAGTCGGCATGTTTTTAGTGTAAAGTCGGCATGTTTTTAGTGTAAAGTCGGCACAATGCCAAATGAGAACCTCAGGTATATGAGAGACTCAGTGGACAAGAGGGGTCTTGGAACCAGAATCAGACAGAGAAGGTTTGAATCCCAGCCCACTGACTTTTGCAACCCTCAGACCTTTACTTCTCTGTTTTCATGATTGTTGAAGCAGGAATAGTAATAATCTTGTGGTCTTATCATAAGGACTAAACGTTTTAATTCTTGTATAATGGGATGGAGTTTACCATTATCCCATCTACACCACTGCACCTCCCTCATATTTTAAGGGACTTGTAAGTTTCCTTTGAATAAGGAGAGGGCACCATTGAAAAGAGGGGCACATCACATAGATAAGTTTTGTTGGGGTCCTGCAGAGGCTCAGGGCCCAGGAGAAACACTTCTGTGCTACCCACAGTCCTTGGGCAGCTGATGGTTGTAAAGGACTCTTCCCAGATGATGGTGAGGGCTCGGCTGACAGTGCTCCTTGTCACAGCAACATGCTTTCCAGTGAAGGGTGAGGAATGTTCTGTAGGCATTTGTTCTGCAGCTTCCTTTAGATATCAAAAGGGCTGACTGCTGTTTCCTCCTCTTTTCATGCCTGCTAAAGTAATCCTAATCTTCCCTTAGGCGAGGAAGATGCCTCTGAGTGATGAAGATTCACATTCGAGGAAGGCACAAAGGAAAAGCACAGAGATAAATCTGAGTCCTAATCCCATTGCAGGAGCGGAGCACATCACCTGGCTGGCACTGTTTTGGCATCGCGTAGTAGCGATTACACATATTGTCACTTGTCATCAGGAAGGGGGGTGGGTGGTGAAGGGATGTGCTCAGATGTCAAGGTTGAAATTCTGCTCATGAAACGGATGACAAGGAAAGGAATGTCTGCAGAAATACTTCCTGTCTCATTTTCTCTACTGGGGTGGGGGTCCCGTCATTTCCAAGGGGCTCCTGCAGTTTTGCATTCTTGGTGTGCCTTCTATGAGATTGCAGACTGGAGAGGAAAACAGAAAGCCAGCTCCCAAGGTGACTGAACCCCGTCGTGGTCTTGCTGTTTGCAAGGTTAGACCAGCAGAGAATGGCTGCATCTCTAATAGTGGTGCATAGAGTGGTAACATCTGAACTTGTGCAGAGTTCACTGGTTTATTAATTCAAGAGTGCAATTAGAGGCTCGATGATCTGCCCCGCACTCTGCCGCCTCTGCCTCTCCTAGCGTTTCCCACGCCTCCTTTCCCCTGGAGGCACTCATTTCTAGACTTGGAGAGGCGAGGGGGTGGCTGAGGAAACCAGCAGGCTGGCAGGGAGGGCAGGCACCTAATTATTGTGCTGGGCACTGTTCAGAACTAAAACTTTGGGCCCTGCAGCTGCAACCAACCAGGCTCTGATGAAAGTTTCATGCAGTTTTTTCTTCCCTTTAAAGCCTATTGGGACATTTTCAGCTGAGGAAAAAGGGGCAGAGTCTGCCTTAATCCTTGCCTGTCCCATATTTCTGCCTTTAAGTGGATTCAAGCCCGAGCCTTGTAATTATCTCAAAAATAGACCTGGTGGCCACGGTGCATTTGGTGGGTTTCCTTGGCAGAACCTAATGAAACAGTGTAGTGAGGAGGAGATAGCCTGCTGGCAGGGTGGATGGATGGCCCTGTGTCTGTTAATCTCACATTTCATCTCAGTTTAAGCAGTCTCTGAGCTCATTAATTGTCTTTCTGAGAAGGGCCAGGCATTTATCTTTGAGAGCCATCCAGCTTCACTGAGCTCATAGAGTCTAAAGAGAAGGGACAAGGGGTAGCTATCTACCCAGTTCTACTGAACAAAAAATATATAGCTAGACAGGGCAGATGGCTCTTGATCTATTTTGCCTGGTTGCCCACCAGAAAGGTGGCACCAATTTCCACTCCCACCAGTGGTGTAGGAGGGTGCCAGCTCCTCACACCATCACTGGCACTAAAGATTACCCGTCTCTTTTCAACAAAAGGTGGAACGCTGTGCTTGCCTACATCCCATGAGCAAGCATAAAAGAAACCCAGCGAGTTTCTTTCTTTCTTTCTTTTTTTTTTTTTTTTTTGAGATGGAGTCTCGCTCTGTCACCCAGGCTGGAGTGCAGCGGCACTATCTCGGCTCACTGCAAGCTCCGCCTCCCGGGTTCACGCCATTCTCCTGCCTCAGCCTCCCGAGTAGCTGGGACTACAGGGGCCCGCCACCACGCCCGGCTAATTTTTTGTATTTTTAGTAGAGACGGGGTTTCACCGTGTTGGCCAGGCTGGTCTTGATCTCCTGACCTCGTGATCCACCCGCCTCGGCCTCCCAAAGTGCTGGGATTACAGGCGTGAGCCACCGCGCCCGGCCGAAACCCAGTGAGTTTCTAATGCACATGGAACACCTGTGTGTTTTAAAGAAGCAGGATACACAATAACTCAAGTTTTACCAGAGTATAAAGTGGCCCTTTACTTTGTACATTGTGATAGTTTTGAACTACCAAATTCCTAAAAATGTGGTATTTTTAGGAATTTTGGATGCTGATCAGTAGGGAAATAAATACATTATGATGCATCCATGGCATGGAATTCTACGCACCTGTTAGGAAAGAAGGAATTGGTGTCTCCACACTAAGGGCTCTGGACTGTGGTCCCCTGGGGACATTTGGCCTCTTCTGGAGTCCTTTTTGGTTGTTATAATTGGAGGAGGCGATGTAAGAGTGGCATTCGGTGGGTAAAGGCCAGGGGCACTGCTAAAGGTCCTACAGGCATGGGACGAGCCCCACGACAAAGAATAATCTGGCCTGAATTTTCAATGTTGCTGAAGTTAAGAAACCCAGTTATCCATGATTTGTCTGGGAAAGGTGTTCATACTAAATTGATACATTTATAAAAAGAAAGTGAGCAGATCAACATCTAATCCTTGGTCCATTTTTAAAAAATGAAAGTATTTTTGTGTATGTATATATACATAGATGATAGATAGATATATTTTTGCATTTTTAGGAAAATGGTTAGAAGAATACACGTCAACCTTGCATCCCTGGTTGTACTTCCAGGGTTGAGTTTGGAGAGTAGTAGGGAGTTTTCTCTTCCTTTATAATTCAAAGAGGATTGGTTGGTAACATAATACGGATTTTGTTTTTTATAAATCCAACTGACACCTTACTTTTCTGGGATCACACATACTGAAAATGGATTTTTGCAGGGCAGCTCAGTGGCATGAAGTGCGTTGCTTTTCAAGTGACTGTTCTATGAAGCTGATCTCTTTATTCTCCTCTGTCTGCTGTTAGTTACCATTGAGCTTAGCAATACTAGATTTTGAGTTTCTAAATGAAAAAATAAAATGAAAATAATACAGAGAAATAAATGGATCCAAGTGCTTAAAGATGCATAAAAGTGTTTTAAACCAGTTCATGGTGGCCGGGCGTGGTGGGTCGTGTCTGTAATTCCAGCATTTTGGGAGGCCGAGGCAGGCGGATCACCTGAGGTCAGGAGTTTGAGATCAGTCTGGCCAACGTGGTGAAACCCTGTGTCCACTAAAAATACAAAAATTAGCCAGACGTGCTGACACACAACTGTAATCCCAGCTACTCGGGAGGCTGAGGCAGGAGAATCGCTTGAACCCAGGAGATGGAGGTTGCAGTAAGTCAAGATTGCACCACTGCACTCCAGCCTGGGTGACAGAGTGAGACTGTCTCGAAAAAAAAAAAAAAGAAATAATAAAAAAAAATCCACTTCATGGCAACAGCAAGATTACAACACCCAGAAATGCAACCACTGTGGGAGGTCTATTTTGAACAAATTTGCTTTCAGCCAAATTGTGTTCAGCAGAACAAAGAGAGGTGTCCAGCAGCCTTTGAAGAGCCTCTCACTGCCATAACCAGGCCTGGGAGAATCATGCTGTGCACAGCTGCAATGGATCAATAGCCCCGTGATGGACCAGCAGGAGGAGGGAATCAGGAGGTGCCAGGGCTTCAGGCTCAATGGGCTGGGAGAACGGGGATGCCTTCTGGGTGCCAGGAGGGGAAGGAGGCACAGCTGGGGAGAGAGGAGAGCTGGGCTTGGGCTGTGTGGAGTTGATAATGTCTGTGGGACACCCATGTGGAGAGGCCAAGAGGATGGTCCGTTGAGTCTGGTGCTCAGGAGAGCAGTTGGGACTAGAACTGCACAGTCAGGGGTCCCCAGTGGGGTAGACATTGGGGTCCAGATGCCATGGTGAATGATTCTCTTGGAGGGCAAAGGGCAGACCCTACGGGTTGTTTGCATTCCTAGGATAGGCATAGAGAAAGGAGGAAACGCCTTAGGAAAAGATGTCAGAGAGGGGACACGACAGAGCTTGAAGAAGGGAGAGTCACTGGAGAGCATTCTAGTTGTGGACTAAGCTCTCTGGGTGGGCAGGGAACCCAGGCACTGAGGAGTAGATGACAGGGGACCAAGGGTCCTTGCATCATCTCCTTCTCCTTCAGAGCTGTAGCTTTATGTGGATTTTTTTGCAGCTCTCTCAGTACAGTGTTCTCCTCCCCAGACTGTAGGGCGCCACGAGAGGCCTCCTCTGTTTGTGCCCCATCATGTCTCCAGCATTCAGCCCAGCTGTGGAGGGTGGATGGCAAGAAGCAAAGAAAACAGAGCTGTGTAGTTGATAATGTGGTGAGCTTTGGGTGCGTTTCTGAGTCCCAAGAAAGGAGGCAATAGAGAAGGAGGGCTTGGAGATTGTGAAGGGGAGGCATGATGGATGGAGGAGGGGCTGGGGAGGCACAGGGTGTGGCTCTAGGAGCCCAGGAGGAAGGTCTGTATCTGTTCAGCCCCTGTGTGCAGACCCTGGTCTGCAGGCACCTCCTTTAGGAGCTTGAGGGCAGAGACCCACCTGAGCTGACACAGGGGTCTGGAGACTGGGAGGAGAGGACCTTGAAAACCACAGACCATCTCCTTTGCACCTTTCAGAGGGGAGAGAAAAGCCATATCTGCCTGGGTGTGTGTGTGTTTGCTCAGGCTGCCGTAACAAAGTAATACAGATGGAGTGGCTTAAACAGCAAATTTATTTCTCTCAGTTCTGGAGTCCAGAAGTCCAAGATCGAGGTGTCAGCAGGATTGGTTTCTTCTGAGGCCCCTCTCCTTGCCTTGTAGGTGGCCATCTCCTTGCTGCGTCCTCACCTGGCCTTTCTTCTCTGCTGCTGCATCCCTGACACCTCTTTGTGTGTCCAAATTTCATCATCTTATGAAGACAGAAGTCAGACTGGATCAGGGCCCAGTCTAACAGCCTCATTTTAATTTAATCACCTCTTTAAAGGTCCTGTCTGCAAGTCAATTACGTTCAGAAGTCCTAGATTTGGGGTTGCAAACACAGGAGTTTTGTGGGGCGGGGTGCAGTTCAGCTTAAAACACAGCCTTTGAGCAAGGCTGGGAGAAACAGCTCATTCTCCAGGTGTGTATCCAGCATCTACTCTGTGGATTACCTGTTTTCAAATTGTGACTGTAGGTCAAAGTCATGTCCCCCAGGACTCCTCTTCATGCAGCTGAGATGGAGCTGACTCACCCTAGCCCATGTTCGTTGTTAATTTCATGGTCATGGGCTCATCTAAGAACTATAACAAACATACTAATAATAGCTGTTAACACTCAGGCCTTCAGTGGATGTTTTTCCATGGACCAGGCATGCGTGGCCTCATTGAATCGTCACCCTATGAAGTAGGCTGAGGAATTTGAGACTCAGCAAGTGGAGTCCCGTGGACTGCAAGGGTTGAATGTGGCTTTCTCCAGAATGGCCAGATATGTTGTGCCTGAGACCTTGGGCAGCAGAGCAGAGCTGCATCTGGTCTCTGTCCACGGTGCTGCGGTGGGTAAGCTCCCAGGGGCACCTTGTTGAGTCTGGAGCCCTTGATGGGACCAGTTGGTTTTGGGGCAATTTCCTTGGCTGGGCAGGAAGAGGAGGTGCTGGTGGAGTTCATGGGGACCCTGAAAGGTCTGACGTTTTGACAAGAAAAAAGGGAGTTATGGTATCTTCTCCCACTTTAGGTGGGAAATCGTCTTGTTCAATTCTGGAATACGGCAGAAGCGCAAGCTTGCGTCAGAGAGAGAAAGAAAGAGAAGGTGTTCTTGGCTTGAAGAGTGATGTGCTGGGCTCGGGGCAGGCTGGCCCTCAGATTCATGTTCCATACAGTGTCTGTGCAGTGGGCCCTTGCCATTTTGACTAAGCCAGGGTCCTTCCTGTGCAAGCAACTGACTCAGCCTTCTGAGACCAAGGGGAGCATGTGTGGGGTTTGATCTCCTCCATGGGGGCTGCATTTGGTGAGGGGAGGAGTTGGGTCCTGACCCAACGGAGGTGCTTGGCTGATTTCAGAGCCTGGTGGGGGCAGAGGGGGTATTTCAACTCCTGGGGCCCTGAAATCAGAGAGTACTCACAGAGTGAGGTCTTCCTCAAGGCAGCTAGGGTTTCTGTGTGTGCCCTCTGGGAATCCTAGTTCAGGAGCTGGGGTGTTTTAAGAAAGAAATGCTATCTTCCTGTGGTTTCCCATATTGCTTAGAAAAACACCTGAACTCTTTATCTCAACCTGTAGGGCTAGATATGCTCTGGTCCCTGCCTGCCTCCTTGACATCATCTCTTTGCCTCTCCCATCACTCGGTTTGATGGTTCTGGCTGCTCCAGGCTGCCTCCTAGAGCTTGTCCATTGTCCCTGCCCCAGGGAGTGTGACCTGCCATCCCTCCATATGGAAGTCTCCTTCTTGTCATTCCACTCTCAGTGCTCCTTGATTCCTAGTCTAAAGTAACACCAGTTACTCTCCACCCCGTAATTCATCTTGTTATCATCATAGGAATTATCATTCTGATCTGATCTTCATTTATTATTAATAGTTATTGGTTAGCTTCCTTATTTACCATGTTCTCCCCCATCTTCCTTCTGTCTTATGGCAGCCATTTGTCATCTTGTTTGTTGTCAAAAACAGAGCCTACAACAGAGCCTGACACATGTTAGGCATTTAATGGACGTTTTGAGAATGAATGAATAAAACATTCTTTTTTAAATCTAAGAGAAAAACAAAGCCAAAGCAATTGTTTCAATGTAGACTCAATGTTTCTTCTCTCTCTCTCTCTCTCTCTCTTTTTTTTTTTTAATGCAGGATCTACTGTGCCTGCCATACAGCCTGGTTGAGGGTCAGGTAAGTGCTCATTTTGTCCTGACTTAGGATGTCTGTGAAGTCTAGTGGAAATGAAAGCAATAGAAAAATCTTGCGTCACAGCCCTGCAACTTCACTGCCCAGGGCAGACATCTGTAATCAACCACAGCACAGTTCATCCCTTAGCAAGAAGGTCACTACTAATTGATCAGGGAAGGCTCATGAGATCAAACATACTTAGCATCTTTAATGTATGAGCTCCAGAAATGAAGTCATTTTTGCCAGGGTTGAGGGGTAGGCAGGCAGTTAAACAGCTTCTTATTGGGAACAATGAGGGTGCTTGCCTATATTTCATCATTGAACTTTGAAGGTGAGTGAAGCCCACATCCTTGCATTATGCCACAATTTTATTAGCACTGGAGGTACCAGAGCTTGGCCATGTAAGAATATAATTGAACCAAACAGATCTATACCTTAGGGCAATGCATTTTTTAAAATCGATTTCAACTCTACGTTATTATTGTTGCTTGATAAGGAACTAATGTAATTTCTAATGAAGCCACATGGCCCTTGGATAGAGGAAGTAAGATTTTTATTTCCTCCACGATGTTGTATCCACTCTTCAATTAAAACCTGAGAAGGAAAATTAATACAAATGTAAGAATGTTTTTCCTCAAGATTAGTGTCAAGATAGCATCTTTTTATTATATATGTAAATTTCCTGTGTAATAGGATTGGAGAGGATTGCATGGCTGGCCCTTGAGTGGATTGGGGATGGTTTAAGTGGCAAAGGAGGCTTTGTGGGGAGGCGGAATCTATGCTTGCTGTCATTTAAGTGGTGATTAGGGCATGCTCTGTGCCCTCTTGTTCCTCCTCCCACCCCTCTTACTGTCCACCCTTCCCCAGGTTCCTACTGTTGGCTGCCAGTTATGGGTAGAAGAGTTTGAGTAGCTCCTTTTTAAACAAATTGTGTTGAGGTGAAATTCACATAGCATAATATTAGCCATTTTCAAATGAACAATTGAGAAGTATTTAGTACCTTCACAGTGTTGGGCAATCACTACCTCTCTGTACTTCCAAAACATTTTCATCATGCCAAAGTAAAGCCCTGTACCCATTAAGCAGTCTCCCCTGTTGTTCTCCTCTCCCTTCAGCCCCTGACAGACACCAGTCTGCATTCTGTCTCTGTGGGCTCACCTATTCTGAGTTTTTCACATAAGTGGAATCATATAGTAAGTGGCCTTTTGTGTCTGGCTTCTTTTACCAAGAAAACAGTTTGGCAGTTCCTCCAAAAGTTAAACATAGAATTACCATATGGCCCAGCAATTTCACTCCTACATATATACCCCAAATTGCTGAGAACAGGTACTCAAACAAGCACATGGACACACGACTTCACAGTGACATTATTCATGGAAGCCAAAAGGAGAAATAGCTGACATGTCCAAATAAAATGTGGTCTATCCATGCAGTGGAATATTATACAGCCATAAAAAGGAAGGAAGCAGAAATCCATTCTACAACTTGGATGAATCTTGAACACATTATGCTGTGTAGCTCCCTTTGGCTTGACCTGGATCCTCTCTGTGCTGACATTGGCTGGTTTATCAGAAACACAGTTACAAGTTGTGAGATCCTGGGAGATTGGATCCATCTCAGGACAGAGGTCGCTACTTCTTCACTTGGCTTCCCGCCCCGTCCCTTAGCTTAATTCTAGCTTCTGGGGCTGGGAACTGAGAACAGAACATATTTATACCTTTTCCCTTGCTCTTGGTAGGTGTCTGCCCGTGCTGTGGTCACCCTGAACCACTCTGCTTTCTGCAGGACCTGGTGGGGATGGCTGGATCTGACCAGTAGAGGTTTTCTTGGGAGGTGGGTACTAGAGCGGGCAAGCTCTGGCCTGTCTGTTGCCTCCTCTTCTGCTGCTTTGGAGAGCATGGAGCAGGTGGTGGAGGGGTTCTCTCAGGTGCAGCTGCCTTCAGGCATTTTGCACTGCTGGGAGCTTCTCAGAGTCCTCTTTCTTTGTGGGGAGTAACATCCCAGCACCTGTGCTCATTCCCCAGCACACCCCCCATGTAGACAAGTCATTTCAGGACTAGTTGGGTGTTTGGGAGGTGGGCTCTGTTAAAAGCCAACAGAGCAAGGAAGCATCTAATGAAGTGTTTGTTGTGGTGGGGGAGCAGTTTATAACATGCCAGGGATTATCCCAGGTGCCTTATTCACGTGCATTCATTGCTTCTGTCTACGCTGCCTGAGTGATGGCACCATTGTTTCCCTCTTTATTAATCAGTTTATAATGGAAATTCATATAACATGAAGTTAGGCGTTTTACAGTGAGCAGCTCCGTGGGTTTTATTGCATTCACAATGCGGTGCCACCATACCTTCATGTAGTTCCAAAGCATTTTTGTCACCCCCAAAGGAGACCCTGCGACCATTAAGCAGTCACTCCCCCTTCCTCCATCCCCAGCCCCTGACAACTGCTAGTCTGCATCCTGCCCCTGTGGATTTACCTCTTTTGGATATTTTATATAAATGGAATTGTATAGTATGTGGTCTTCCGTATCTGGCTTCTTTCATTCAGCACAATGTTTTTGAGGTTTATTCATATCGTAGCATTCTCTCCTTTTTATGGCTGAATAATATTCCATTGGAAGGCAAGACCACATGATTATCCATTCATCTAGGGGTGGAAATTTGGGTTGTGTCTACCTTTTGTCTATTGCAAAGAGTGTGCCACCATAAACATTTGTGCCCATGTACTTGTCTGAGTTCCTGTTTTTGGTTCTTGTGGGTATATACCTAGGAGTGGAATTGTTGGGCCATATGGTAATTCTGTGTTTAACTTATTGAGGAGGTGCCAGGCTGTCACCATCTTTTAACAAAGGGAAACAGACTCAGCAGGGTTTCTCCCAGAGCTCCCAGAGTGAGGAACAGAGCCGAGGTCTCAAGCCTGCAAGGCTGGCCTTCACCCGTGTTTCCACCCACCATGCTGTCCTGCATGTGGAACATCAGCCCTGGGTAGCATGGTTCTAGGCTGTGCACTGGGCTTGGGCAAAGAAGGGGGTAGGAGATCGAGGGAAGGGGAGACAGGCTCTTCTCACCTAGAGGGACCAAATGTGTCTATTCCTGGTCCCTGGTATACCCCCTTTTCCCACTGCAGCCCCTTAACCTCTAAACGTTGGGAAGTCTGTGCAGTTTCTGGGTCATTTGATTGCGTTGGTTTGTTGATAGGTTGTTTAACCCAGATACACATGCACACATTCTCTCTGTCTGTCTCTCTCAATCTCTATTTATCTCTCTCCCTCTACCTTTCTATCTCAGGGCTGTCAAAGGCAACTTGACAGAATAATAACAATTCAGTGGGCGTCACCCGTGAGCCATATGATAACCCATCAGCCTAAATCCATGCAGCATCTGAGCAACTGGGTCTCATCATCTCTCTTTTTCTACCATGGAGTGCAGGACCCCAGAGAGCTGAGGTAACCTGCCCACAGTCACACTGCTTGTAAGTGGCAGAGCTGGGATTTGAACCCTGGTCTGTCCGCCTCTGCAGCCTGGAACCCTCCCATTGCATCTAGAGGCTTCTCCAGGCTCCCTGAAAGCATCAGCATTTTTCATACCAGTGCAGTGATTATTATTATTATTATTATTTCTGAGACGGAGTTTCGCTCTCGTCACCCAGGCTGGAGTACAGTGGTGCGATCTCAGCTCACTGCAACTTCCGCATCCTGGGTTCAAGCGATTCTACTGCCTCAGCCTCCTAAGTAGCTGGGATGACAGGTGCCTGCCACCACGCCTGGCTAATTTTTTGTATTTTTAGTAGAGACGGGGCTGGTCTCAAACTCCTGACCTCAGGTGATCCACCGGCCTCGGTCTCCCAAAGTGCTGGGATTGCAGGCGTGAGCCACTGTGCCCGGTCTGATTGATTACTTTTAAAAACTCATTACAGTCTCGGCTTTCCCAGATCCACACAGCCCCCAGAGCATCTTTAGATGCTAAAAAGTTCTTAGTCGGATGTGAGAAAATGGGAATTCCTATTGAGGAAATGGCGTTCTGTTCCTCTTTGAAGAGAGGCTCAGGAACCAGCGTATTGAAAAACAGGTGATCTAGTCTCTACAGTTGAGATGTTTTTTAACTGGCCTTGCATTTCTGCCTTTTCAGTATTTCAGTGACTGGGTTGAGGTAGGAATCTGTTGAGTGGTGTCCTTTTTCTCTCGGAGAGATGCTCTATGAAACTAACAGAGAGGATCCAGGTCCCTACCATTGCTGGCAGCCCAGGAAGCTGAAGATGAGACCCTTCCCAGGTGGGAAGGAGAAGAAAATGATAAAAGGTGGCATGGGCATGTAGGTGCCCACCCCCGGAGAACCCTCTGTCTCTCCAGGCACCAGGGCAGTTACATGGTCTGCCTGGGAAGGAACTTCCCCAAGGCAGAACATCCCCCAGGTCCTCACTCCTGAGTGTGATAAAGCACTCGTGGGACCTCGGGAGTATTTACACCTGCTCTGAGCCCAAGCTTCAGTGGCAATAATTCTCTGACCTTTTTAAATGGATAAATCTCCTTGGCAGCGGTATATTTCTAGAGTCTAGCCTAGAGTGGGGATCAAGGTCCTGGCGAGATGTGGCTAGACCAAGGAGAAGATTTATTATCCTTGAAGGGGGTGTGTTTTGGAAGCTGCCATGCCCTCAGCCCCGCTTCATGCAGCATGGGTGGAAAAAAGTGTGTTTTTGGCTGGAGTGTGGGTCCTTGTGTCACCTCCCCGACAGATGAAAGCAGGCAGGCTGTTTTTCAGATTGCGGTGGATTTATTCCTTTGATCTCCTTGCCTTGTCTGCCTTCTCTGTGACTTCTGACGGATGCTCTTTTCTCATGTCTCTGTTATTTGCCGTCACACAGAAAACGGGGTGAGAATCTTATTATCACGGCTCTCTCCCTGCCTTCTAGCATCACCAGGGAGCATAATAACCTCTGTGGTTGGCAGCACCCTCCTTTTTATTCTGTTTCGGTTCCTCCTCACTCCAGAGCTTCCACCCACGAGGCATAGGGAAGCCTGGGGAGGAGGGCCTGGCATTGCTTGTACACCTACTGTGTTCCAGGCACCTTACAAATGTGATCTCGTGTAATCCTCCCAACATTGTCCCCCCAACCCCCATTGCAAGAAAGATTATTATTAAACCCATTTGCAGCAGGGGGGATCCTCAGGGTTAGATAGGCGAATAACCTTCCCAGGCTACCAGGTCTCCCGGCTCAGCACAGACAGGGCAAGGATTAAAATCTTGGTCAGACTGACTGGGGAGTATTTGCTCTTTTTAATGCTATCCCAGGGGTCAGGAGGGTCCGTGTGCATGCTGGAATGAAATCTTCTTCTCGTCTTCCAGGCTCCTTAATTATTTCTTAGAGTGATTTCTGTGCTGCCCTCCTGGACTGGGTCTCACCTCCTTTCATCAGCTGTTTGTAAATTCACAGCGCCTTCCCTGTTTGAGAGGCTGGGACTGGCTTCCCAGTTGATCATTTCCTAACAGAAGGAATGTTCTTTCTTGCTCTGCAAGTGTCAGCTCATAATTACCAGCGTAATTAGAGCAGGATTTGCCATCTGATCCTCCATGGAAGCTGCACGCCTGTCTGCATAGGTAACTTTGGCGTAGAAGGGTGTCTGACTTCCAGAGGAACTCAGGTTGTCGTAGGGGATCCAGCAGAAACACATGGAATTCCTGCTCAAAGTCCCAAGGCTTCCCGTTGTTATCAGACTATGTCCAGACAGTCTGACACTGACACCAGCTGGCTCCAGTCACCTTTCTGACATTGCCTCTGCCCCTGCCTTGATCCATGAGGCTCTCAGAGCTGATGTCCCTCCTCCCGAGGAGACTTTGATGACTGCCCTGGCTCAAACATGCCCCTTTCCATTGCCCTGTTCTGTCTTTTCCATGGCACTCAGCATGATCTGAAATAATATTCCTTTTTTGTTCTCATGTTTATTTACATGATTTCTTCCCACAAAAATATATGCTCCCCAAGAAATATGTCTCATTCACTGTGATAGCTCCTGGGCATGGCATATAATGAACATCTGATAAATATTTGTTAGGTGAGAAACAGACCTTACCTGACACCTCATTACTCCTGTTACACTGTGATGTCTCATTGCTTATCATCATACCTCTTTTTAATTACTTTCTGTACTTACCCTGTTTTTTTTTCTTTTTTTCTTTTTTGCAGGGCTATGGATCTATAAAATTCCTAATAAGCAGTACCTCACCTTTTTATTCCATTCCCAGTACCTTGTGTAGTACTTAGTAGAGAGTAGATAATGCACGTTGCATGGGTGGGTAGGTGGATGGATGGATGGATGGAAGAGTGGGTAGATGAATGGATGAAAAGATGGACGTAAGGAAGGATGGGTGGATGGATGGAAGGATAGATGTAAGGGTGGGTGGGTGGATGGACAGAAGGAAGGAAGGATGGGTGGGTAGATGGTTGGATGGATGAGTGGGTGGGTGGGTGGGTGGATGGATGGATGGATGAATAGAAGGATGGGTAGAAGGATGGATGGAAAGGTGAGTGGGTAGATGGATAGATGAATTGAAAGAGGGAAGGTGGGTGGGTGGAAGGATAGATGTAAGGGTGGGTGGATAGATGGATGGAAGGTAGATGGATGGAAAGACAGATGTAAGGGGGGTGGGTAAATGGATGGAATGAAGGAAGGAAGGGTGGGTGGGTAGGTAGATGGATGGATGGGTGGGTGGGTGATGGGTGGATGGATGGTACACAGATGGATAGATGGATAGGTGGATGGATGGATGAGTAGATGTGTGAATGGATGGAAGTAAGGAAGGAAGGAAGGATGAATGGGTGCATGGACAGACAAGTGGGCAAGTCTGGCTGAATTTTCCTGAGTTTGTGACCATATTCCAAAGCAAATAAGAATTTCTTTGGCATTACTCCATCTTGGATTATTCAAACCCTACCCATTATTCAACTACAGCATTAGCCAAGGTGCTCGTGAACTTCTAAGCATTAGGAACTTGTCACAACAGGACTTTTAAAAATTAATTTCCACTTACACTATAGGCTGAGAAAGTAGATTGTACAGAACCTACTGAGGGGACTTCGTTAAAGCTTAACTTGTTCATTAATGTGTGTTTAAAAAATACCCCTGGACGGCTAGGCGCGATGGCTCACTCCTGTGATCCCAGCACTTTGGGAGGCCGAGGTGGGCAGATCACCTGAGGTCAGGAGTTCGAGACCAGCCTGGCCAACATGGTGAAACCCCGTCTCTACTAAAAATACAAAAACTAGCCAAGTGTGGTGGTGGGCACCTGTAATCCCAGCTATTTGGGAGGCTGAGGCAGGAGAATCTCTTGAACCCAGGAGGCAGAGGTTGCAGTGAGCTGAGATCGCGCCATTGCACTCCAGCCTGGGGGACAAGAGCGAGACTTCGTCTCAAAAAAAAAAAAAATACTCCCGGACATTTGTAAAGGTGTTCTCTCTGTATGACAAACCTTATTTATTTTATAAGCATGGGGTAGCATGGGGTTCTTTATTTTTCATATGAGATAGGTTGGTTAGGATCTTCCAGAGTTAGTTTATTTCTGTTTGTTTTTCTTGGTACTGGCCAAATATTGTCCCGTACATATTCTGAGCCCATGCTATTTGACTCACAAAGGCTATTTATTGACTAGCATTGGCTATGGATTGAACCTTTTATTAATAGAAAATGACCATCTTGAGCTTGGCTGATGCATCCTACCTTGGGTTTTTCTGAAACCAGCATTATTCTCCATTCTTTCTTTGGTTCCGATGGGTAGGCCTGGGCATGCTACCCTTCATTTTGTAAGATTTCCTTTTGTTGTAGGTGTCTCTTGGAAGTGGCACATGGATGGATTTCGTTTATTCAGCCAGTCTGAGAATCCTAGTCTTTTAATAGAGGAATTTAGTGCAAATATATTTGCCGTAATAGATATGTTTGATCTTCTGTCATTTAAAAAATTATTTATTACAAAGACTTTTCTTGCTGCTTCATTTGTTTTCTCTGTTCTTTGCTCTGTAGAGTCTGTTAAATTTGCTTTTATCTTACCTGCTGATTTGAAGGTAGGCATCCTGCTATTAAGTCTACATTCGATTTAAGTTGAGCCTTGAAGTTCTTCTGAAAAGGCTGCTGTAACCCTTGTTTCTCTAAGATTCAAAGTCAAGAATGAGATGACAGCTTTAAACTGTGTCCAGATAGGATGAGGAAATTTAGCTCAGCTGCATTTTGCATTTTTCTGCACCTTCTTCCAACCTCTTCCCAGGCATTGTCAACTATAATTGGGACCTTCAGAGCCAGCTAAATGTCAATAATTTATAATTTTGACATAGGTATAGTAATAGGTAATATTTATGTGGAGGGTTAATATTTAGCAGGTGCTGTGCTTAAGCACCACATATAGAATTTCTCACCTAATCTTTGTGACAACCCAGTGAGGAGCCAGTCCTTTGCTTCCACTGTTTAAATGGTGAAGGTGAGTCTTTGAGGTTTCATAAGATGCCTACAGCCACATATCTGAGGAAGTGGCAGAGCCAAGAGTGCCTGGACCTGGCTCTAGTTTTTTATTTTTATTTTTATTTTAAGATGAGGCCTTGCTATGTTATCCAGGCCGAAGTGCAAGTACAGTGGCACGATCATAGCCCACTGCAGTCTCAAACTCCTGTGTGCAAGTGATCCTCCTGCCCTGGCCTCCAAAGTGTGGCTCTAGCTCTTAACCATGACTGTCTTGCTCCTCTGTCAGAATTACTGCTGCCAAGTGTACGTGGCTTTGAAAAATGTATTTATACCAAGCAGCTCATCCAGGCTCCTCCCTGCCTTGTTTCCAGCCACAGTGCCCCCTCCTTCTCTTAGACTTATGTTATTGACCCCAGACTTTGAGACCAGCACCACTCACGTTTTAATGCATAAAGGGAGACCCTGGGCACCCTTGTTAAAATGCAGAATCAGGCAATGCATGTTACATACCTTGATTTAGCTGTTCTGCAGTGTACACATATCGCAAAACATCATGTCATATACCATGAATATATGCCATATTTTACTTGTCAATTAAAAAAATAATAAAGTGCAGAATCTGATTCGGTAAATCTGGAGTGAGACCAGACATTTCTTATATGCTCCAAACTGGAGAGGCTGAGGCTGCTGTTCCTAATGCCTTCATGTGATTGCAAGATTCTCCATTACTCTAGAACACAGTCGTTCTCCCTACTTAATTGACATAGTTTTAATTGGACCGTGAGCTCATTACTCATTCATGTAGTGGTCAAGTAAGTGAACTCTGAAGACAACTGCCTCAATTTGAAGCTCAGCCCTGGCACTCACAGGTTTAACAGTGTCCATCTTACCGGGTCATTGTGGAGTTGAAGCAAAGTAAGATAAATTAAGTGTTTTGAGTAGTGTCTGGAATTTACTTGTTGAGGACAAGATACATGTTTAATATGATTTGCTCCATGGATGCCTTTTAATTTATCGCTGCACAAACCACCAGCTCCTTTCCCTGCCTCTTGGGTGCCTCTGGGTTTGTGCAGACCCTGCCTTTAACTTCGAAGTTTCTTCTATTTTCTGGGCAGAAATCCTTTCCTCAAGATGGCTAGAGTCTTGCGTCTTCCAGGCAGCCCTCCAAGTTAACCTTTCTCAATCTAGTTCTCCCAGTTATTCAAATAAAAATGTCTACCTCTCCATCTAGCCATGATAGCACATACTAAACTTTTTGTAACTGATGTTATCTGTATATACAGATTTGGAAAACACACATTGGTAAACTATTTTGGTGTTTATTTATTTATTTATTTTTTTGAGACAGGTCTCGCTCTGTCACCCAGGCTGGAGTGTGGTGGTACAATGAAGGCTCACAGCAGCCTCGACCTCCTGGGCTCAGGCGATACCTCCCACCTTAGCCTCCTGAGTAGCTGCAAGCACAGGCGCATGCCACTACATCCAGCTAATTTTAAAAATTATTTGTAGAGATGGGGTCTTGCTTTGTTGCCCAGGCTGAAGATATTTTTGGTGCCTGTATTTTTTTTCCTAGCCACAGGCCTTAGAGCTGGTTTCAGGGGAACTGAAAAGTTGCACTCAATGCGCTGCTACGTTGGCAGATGGATGATGGTGATGGTGCTGGGGAAGGAGGTAATGATTTTGATTATGATTATCTCACGACCAATCAAATACCCAAAGAGCTAGGAGAGAAATGCTCAGCCCCTCCTGGGGACAGGCTGCCTTTCCTACCAGGTGGCCCAGACTGTCACTTCCAATTTGGGAAACGATCTTACTTTGCATAAGTTATTGAAGTAATTGCACGGGCTGTTTCTCTTAATCTACAAGAAGCTGAGTTGGCATGGGACAACTAATAGGGTTCATTCTGATTTTTGTCTAGACGATATTTGATCCATAGTCAGTATCTTACTGCTTACCCTCATTGCAAATCTTCCTATCTGGGGGCTGGGGTGCATATAACACCAGTCTCTCTTCTCTCCTGATGGGCATGTATGTCAGGACGAATTTCTGTTATGGGTGCTTTATAGCTTTCTGATCACAGAAAAGACCTCCTAGAAATTCGTACTTGCAAAATGACGTGTTGTCTCACTGAAGGAAATTTCTGGCTCAGACACTATTGTTCTTCCCTGGCCAGTTAGCGTGATGTTTTTCGTTAGCTGAGACAGAA
Organism: Homo sapiens; assembly: GCF_000001405.40. NCBI lineage: Eukaryota > Metazoa > Chordata > Mammalia > Primates > Hominidae > Homo > Homo sapiens. Next base: position 5,477,898 of record NC_000016.10, read on the forward strand.
AGGGCGTGATGTGAAACTCAACTTGCTCAGCCCCAAATGCAGTTCTCCTTGGTTCTCATTACGCATCACCGTGGCCCACCTCACTCCCCACTTCTAGGTAACCCTTCCTTTTGTTTTGGCAGCTCAGTAGGGAGGGATCAGGGGATCCACACACCATGGAGCTGAAATTCTGTGTTCCTCCACTTTCCTTGGAGAAGCAGATGACAGGGAAGCAGCCAAACATTCCCTGATTCCGCAGCCAAATGTTATGTCCTCCCTTGGGGCTCAGCTTGGCGGAGTAAATTTCAGAGCCTTGGCATTCTTCTTCCCAATTTAGGTTAGACTAGCGAAGGGAGTTTGATTTCTAAAAGCCGGATGATATTCACATTGTCCGATCCAAGCTGCCAGACGGTTAGAGTGGGCTAGCAGAGGAGAAGGAAGGCTCTGAGCATGGGGATTTGTGCTTCTGGAGGGGGAGTTCCTGGTGTGCTTCCAGGAACGGGTAATGAATGTGCAGTTATTTAATTTGGAATCAGAGCTGCAGCATTATTGATTACCTGGGACATCTAAAGCTCTAGACAGTGAAAGCCCCTTGCAAGAAATGCATCTATAGCAAATCATCAAGCATTTAGAATTAAACACATACACATAAAACACATACAAGGTAATTCTCATTGGCCTTATGAATGCAGGATTAGAAGCGCTAACAAATTCTAATATGACCCCCCAAGATTCCGATGTGCAGAAGGGGAACAAATGGGTAGCATCTGCTTATCTTTCCAGACCCGCTTTCTGCTCTTCTCCACTGTTCTTTGTGCCCTGGTAGGCTTTCCTGTGTAAACCCCAGCACGAGGCACCTTTTCCCACTGGTTTCTCATTGGGTTTGGGCAATAGGGAGCCATAGTATGTTACAGGAGGAGGCAGGAGAGAAGAGGGCATTTATAGGCCCTACTCCCTCCCATGGGCTGCTATATTCCTAAGCTAAGATCTCTGCTGCTGTCAGGCAACCCTCTCTGTCTGTATTTGGGTTTAGGGATGAGGGCAGAGGTGGGATCCTCACTATCACTAGCTGCAGGGCACCAGATTATAACTTGTGGCTCCTTTACCCCCTACCCATACCTTTATGAATAGTCCTTTTATTAATTTCCTCACAAATTATCTTAATTTGAACTTGCCATCTGTTCCCTTCCAGGACCCTGGCTGCCACAAGGGGTGAGAGACGGCTTATTCCATTACATAAAAATGCGGTCACAGTTTAAATGTCGCCTTTGCAGAGAGACTTCCTCGGCCCTCATTATCTTCTGTCATGGCCTCTGTTTGATTTCCTTCATGGCCCTTGTCAAATCTTGGTGCTGTCATTTGATTGGCACCAAGCCTTGTTGCCAATCAGATGACATGTTTGCCCTGTTCATTGCTCATCTCTGTCCCTAGAACAAGGACTGTAAGCACAGAGAAGTCAGGTGATTTGCCTGAGGCCACACAGCTAGGAGAGATTAGAGATGGGGTTTGAACCCTCTCTGATTCCAAAGGCTTCCTTTGCAAAGCCACGCCAAGGCTGAGCTTCAGGCAGAGTATTGTTTCCTTAGAATTATTTCTCCCCGGCCAGGCATGGTGGCTCATGCTTGTAATCCCAGCACTTTGGGAGGCTGAGGCAGGTGGATGACCTGAGGTCAGGAGTTCCAGACCAGCCTGGCCAACATGGTAAAACCCCGTCTCTTCTAAAAATACAAAAATTAGCTGCGTGTGGTGGTGCACGCCTGTCATCGCAGCTACTTGGGAGGCTGAGGCAGGAGAATCGCTTGAACCCAGGAGGTAGAGGTTGCAGTGATCCAAGATCGCGCCATTCCAGCCTGAGACAAGAACGAAACTCCATCCCCGCCCCTCACCCCCCGCAAAAAAAGAATTATTTCTCCCCTGCTACCTGTATTCATGGTGGTCAGACGTGTCCTTGGACTTCTTAAAACATTCCTTAAGCTCCAATTTGCTTCCTGTTTCCCACCAGGCATTTTGCTCAGATGCAGTGGCACAGACTGGTCTTCAGTGTCCAGGGTCCTTCCCTTCCTTGGTTTCTTTCTCCCCACCCTCCAGCCCAGCCCACAGGAGGTCAAGAGCTTGGCCTTCCTCCTTGCCTACAGGCCTGGCTTTCTCCTGTTCAGGGTCAGAAAGTGGTGTTCTGCATCCAGGCTTGCTGGGCTCCAGTCCAGGGTGGCTCACATGCTTAAGTGGGAGGTCTCCTCCGCAGAGAGGGAAGCTATCTCAGATTCACAGAATGACTTGTGATCTAGGTTTTCTTTCATCCGGAGATGCATAAAAGAAATCCCTGCTGTGCTCTGTAGAATCGCTAATGATGTGTGTTGAAGCTTTTGACCAGGGGTCAAAGCCATTGGGGGATTTTCTCCTAATCTCTCTCCAAGGTCCCAAAGAGGATGAGATAAAAGCACACCCACATGTACTACACATCCATAAACACCTCGCCCATCTATGCATCATGTATAGATTATTTAAAAAAAAAAACCCAACAACACAATTTACAGCTTCCTTTCTCAAAAATACAGACAAGTATTAAGAAGAAAATAAAAAATGTTCCATGAACTCACTACCATAATAAACCCTGCTGCCGCTGAAAATGCACGGGATTAGACAATTCAAATGGTATAGAAAGATGCACAATGCCCTGTTCGCCCAGTCCACCAGCCCAGCCTATTTTAGTTCCCAATGGCTTTCTTAATTCTTTGTAGAAAATTCACCCATGGCTATGCTAGTGTGTATGTGAGTGTGCACATGTAGCCTTGAATATTTATACCAGAGTGGTCATTCATAACACACTCTTTTGTGACTTGCTTTGTTTCCCTTTGTCTTGTATCTTGGAGCCCCTTCCAGATCAGCAGAAACAGTTCTGTGCCTTTCTTCTCAGTGCATGCATAATATGTCACCAAGTGGATGTACCATGACTTGTTTGATTTTGACAGTTGGGTTGTTTCCACTGATTTGCTCTTAGAAGCAATATTTCACTGAAACGTTATTGCCACATATATTTTCATATTTTGCAAGGCAATCTATGTAGTATATATTCTGGAGGTGGAATGCTCCGTCTAAAGTCTGAGCTGAGCATTCATGCAGGTTGTAGCAACCTACACAATCAGAACATTGAATGTGAATGCCTGTTATCCCACACAAGTCTACTAGCTCTAAAAATACTCCGACTCTCACTGTTGGAAGTGAAGGAGTTAGTTTGTTCCTCTTCTTTGCACTTAGATTGATCTTCACAACCTCTGCGGAGGCACTTTTCATACCTCAAAATGTTGAGTTGATTTTTCTTTTCATGTCTGGCTTCCTCATTAGACTGGTGTAATCCAAGGCAGGACTGGGGTCTTCTCTTGAGCATCTTCACCCCAGCATAATGTCTGGTTTCTTGTTGACACCCATGACCTATTTCCTTGGAATTTTCTAGAAGGAATTAAGAAAGCCATTGGGAACTAAAATAGGCTGCGCTGATGGACTGGGAGAACAGGGCATTTTGTATCTTTCAATACCATTTGAATTGTCTAACCCAGTGTATTTTCAGTGTCAGCAGGGTTTATTATGGTAGTAAGTTCATGGACCATTTTTGGTTTTCTTGTTACTACTTGTCTGTATTTTTGAGAAATGAAATGATAAAAGTTGTGTTGTTGTTTTGTTTCATCTCTACATGATGCATAGATGCTTGATCATGGCTATTTGTCCTGTCCTGGGAAAGAAGATACCAAGTGCTTCACTTTCCCTAAAATGTCACAGTCAGCTCTTGTATTAGTTTGCGAGGGCTGCCATCCCAAAGTACCACAGCCCGTGTGGCTTAGACAACAGAACTGCATTCTGCCATCATTCTGGAGGCTGCGAGTATGAGACCAAGGTGTCAGCATGTTGGTTCCTTCTGAGCCCTCTCTCTGTGGCTTGTAGATGATCTGCCTTCTGACCGTGTCTCCACATGGTCTTCCCTCTGTGTGTCTGTGTCCTAATCAAAGGATGCCAGTAGGATGGGATAAGGGCCCACCCTAATGACCTCATCTCACTTTAGTTACTTCTTTAAAGACTCCATCACCAAATACGGTCACATTCTGAAGTACTGGGACTTAGAGCTTGAACACACAAATTTTGGAGGGATACAGTTCAGCCCATAACAGCCTCTTCTTAGGTAGTGATGACAGGGACCCTGTCCAAGTAAGGATCCTACACTAGGGACTTTCACCATGGCGAATCGTGTGATAAACACATGAGCCATCATTTACTGTGAGAATGCTTTTTTCACTCTCTTTCAAGTCCCAGGATTTGTAAGACCTTTTGTTCCAGATGAGCCATGGAGCATCCAGGGTCGGGCAGCTCAAGCCTTCTTATTTCTCCAGTTGCAGATGTGGATAACTCTCTTCATCAGTTTCTTGCATGCTGAAGGAGTGTGATGCACACCATTCGGTACTGGGAGGTAGAGACTTTGCCTTCCAGCCCAAGGGGAAGATGGAAAGATGTATGTTTGGCTATTTCTCCTGCTTCCTGCAGCCCAGGCGGGGCTGGCAAATGGCGAGGTGCAAATTTTCATGGGTGAAGCTTGAGTAGGGAAGACAGCCAGGGCTGCCTGGTGCAGAAGTCAGCGTCTGAGCCAGGGAGAAAGACAAAGCAGGCACTTAATGCAAATCTAATTTTTCATGCTGATGCCTATCAATTGTAGGGACTGCTTGAAGTGCTGTGTTTACATAGGTTCTGAGGCCGCATTCAGGTTGATTAGGAAGGAATGTCTTGATTGATTAAGGATGCCTGCTAGGGGCATGAGGCAGAGAATGGGGGTGTGTGTGATCTGTACCTACCATCCTTGCTTCTAAACGTGCTGCTGTTTTGCACAAAGGAGGGGTACTGGTGGACCATCTTGGTATTGCCTCTGGGCAAACGGCTTTTCCTGGGAGAGCAAAATATCATCAGCCTGATGTAAATAAAATGGGGCATTCATTTCTTGCTCTGGGAAGGGGATATTTTCAAGATCCTTAAGGCCAAACAAAAAGAAAAGAATCCTTATTCTTTAGAGACTCTAAGCAGCTTATGGGTTAGAAGTCCCTCTTTCTATCCCTTTGAATTTTCTCTGAATAGGGACCTTATAGGACAGATACAAACTGTCATCTATCGCAGTCAATAAAACACATTCATGTCACAGAGTTCTAACCCCACAGAGTGCCTTTAAGTCTGTAGCCCTGAGTAGGGGAGTCCTAAAAACATTTTACAAAGCATGTCTGTGGGGTTGGGGTGGGGTTTGATGCAAATGTTCTCATCCTCGGAGTCCAGAGTCCTTGATGGCTTGGATTTCCACAATGGGATAGAGCCACTTTTTCTTCTGCAGTTCTAGAAGCACCAGTAGCAAGGATGGCAGACATGTGGCACGTACTCCCACTTCATGCTCTTCGTGCTCTTGGCACACATCATTAGTTGATCAAGACACACTTGGTCTCGGCCTGTCTGTGACTGCTGCTCTTTCCCACGCTTGCCCCCAGAGGAAGTACTGCTTGACTAATCCCATGAGGCATTTTTTCCCCATCTGTAAGATGGAAACTGGTGTTGCCTTGGAATTCTAAAGCTCCTTCCGGATCTAATTGTGTCTTATTTCCACACCCTTCTGATTTTACTTTGTAGACTGATAGCTTCCTGTCTATCCCAGCCACCGTAGCTGTCAGGCTCTGCATTTTGAAGTGTGAAATACGGTGAACTTGCTACCTCTGGATATGCCAATTTGTCTTTTCTAATGCTGTAGACGGGATTGCAGCTGAAATTCGCCTTCTGATCTGCTGATAAAGCAAAGCACTGTTGGGTGAATACAGATATGGATGAGTGTATTAGTTATCTATTGCTGTGTAACAAATTACCCCCAAGCTTAGCGGTTTAAAACAACAGACATTTATTATTTCATGGTTTCTCTGTGTCGGCATTTGTGCAATGGCTTTGTGGGGTGCCCTGCCTCAAGAATCTCTCACAGGCTGTAATCACGATGCCTGCCAGGGCCATGCATGGTGGCTCATGCTTGTGATCCCAGCACTTTGAGAGGTAGAGGCAGGAGGATTGCTTGAGCCCAGGAGTTTCAGACTAGCCTGAGCAATATAGTAAGACCCTGTCTTGCCAAAAATAAAAATAAACAGCTGGGCATGGTGGTGTGTACCTATAGTCCCAACTACTCAGGAAGCTGAGGTTGGAGGATTGCTTGCACCAAAGAGGTTGAGGCCGCAGTGAGCTGTGATCATGCCACTGCACTTCAGCCTGGGAAACAGAGCAAGATCCTATCTCAAAAATAAAAACGAAAACAAAGATGCCAGCCAGAACTTCAGTTAACTCAAGGCCTGACTGGGGATGATCTGCTTCTCAATTCACCCATGAATCTGGCTGGACAGAGCCCTTCAGTTCTTTCTGGCTGTCATTTGGAGATACTAGTTTCCTGCCACACAAACCCCTCCAGTAAGCAGCTCACATCTTGGCAACTGGCTTCTCTTAGTGAGAGCAAATGAGTGAGAGAGGGCACCCAAGTCAGAAGTCACAGGATTTTTCAAAATAACCTAATCTTGGAAGTGACACCCCATTCCCTCTGCTTTATTCATTTAATTAGAAACAGTTAAGGCTGGGCACAGTGGCCCATGCCTGTAATCCAGCCCTTTGGGAGGCTGAGGCAGGAAGACTGCTTGAGGCCAGGGCTTCAAGGCCAGCCTAGGCAACATAGCGAGACCTTGTCTGTACAAAAAATTTTTAAAATGGCCGGGTGTGGTGGCTCACACCTGTAATTCCAGCACTTTGGGAGACTGAGGCGGGCGGGTCATGAGGTCAGGAGATCGAAACCATCCTGGCCAACATGGTGAAACCCCATCTCTACTAAAAGTACAAAAAATTAGCCAGGCGTGGTGGCGGGCACCTGTAGTCCCAGCTACTCAGGAGGCTGAGGCAGGAGAATCACTTGAACCAGGGAGCCAGAGATCGTGTCACTGCACTCCAGCCTGGGTGACATAGTGAGACTCCATCCAAAAAAAAAAAAAATTTAGCAGGGCATTGTGGCACACACCTGTAGTCTCAGCTACTTGGGAGTCTGAAGCAAGAGGATTGCTTGAGTCTAGGAGTTTGAAGCTTCCGTGAGCTATGATTATACCACTGCACTGCAACCTAGGTGAGAGCCTGTCTCAGAAAAAAAGTTAAGGCTGGGCACAGTGGCTCACGCCTGTAATCCCAGCACTTTGGGAGGCCGAGGCGGGCGGATGACGAGGTCAGAAGATCAAGACCGTCCTGGCTAACATGGAGAAACCCCGTCTCTACTAAAAATACAAAAAATTAGCCTGGCGTAGTGGCAGGTGTCTATAGTCCCAGCTACTCGGGAGGCTGAGGCAGGAGAATGGCGTGAACCCAGGAGGCGGAGCTTGCAGTAAGCCGAGATTGCGCCACTGCACTCCAGCCTGGGCGACAGAGCCAGACTCCGTGTCAAAAAAAAAAAAAAAAAAAAAAAGTGAATAAGTTCAGCTATTACTCAACGGAATAGGACTCTCCAAGTGCATGCATACCAAGAGGTGAGATCATCAGTACCATTTTAGAGTTTACCTACCACAATTAGATAAATGATGATGTGATTAGTAACAGTGAAAATGGCTAACAAATATGAAGCCCATACTAAATGCCAAGTACCACAATTAGGGACTTAAATGGATTTTAATATTTATTCCGCATTATACCTCAAAGAGAATTCACCATTGTCCTCATTTCACAGATAAAAGAAACTGAGGCTCAGCAAGGTTAATAACTTGTCCAGGCAGCCTGAGTCTAAAGGCCAGATTTTTAACTAAGAGATTCTGTTACCCTTGGTCTATTTTAGGGCATTTCCTTAAACACCGTCCAGAACTTCAAAAGTGCTTGTGAGTGTGCCCCCTGTCTGGGAGCACAAGAACGACCATGGGTTTGGGACTGAGATAGAATCTGTAATCAGGTTCCTTCTCTGTTACTGAACACTGTGATCTTCAGGATGTTATTATCCTCTTGAACCTCATTTTCCCCATCTGCAAAATGGAGATGATAATCGTTCCCACATCATAAGATTATTGTGAGAATCAAGAGGCAGGCTCTGCAAAGCAGCCAGCTCATAGTCAGAATTCGGTATGAGCTCGCCTCCTCTCTCCCTGCTTCCCAATAATTTATTCTAATTTTGACAATTCTTTTCTCTCCCCTGAAGCACTTCTCTGAGAACTGCTTTATTCCAGTCATTCCTTAAAGTAATAACACTTAAAACCCTATAAAAATGCTCTTCAATTCAGGTTGCCTCCCCTAGGAAGTCCTGGTGATGGAGACTTGACTGCAGTATTGTCAAAGTGATAGATTACTTTAGGGTTCCATCAAGGGTCATCTCATGTCCTGAAACTACCCGTGAAGAAGAGAACATTTGGTGGGAAGGACAAGGGGGCTCAATGTAGCTTCCTGTTCTCCATCTGAAGTTCAGCTTGGATGTCTTGCCTTCTGAGCAAGAGGAGAGGAGCCGAGGGGACCAATGAAGACTTGCTTTCCCAGCAGACATCAGTATTCAACTCCGTCATTGTACAGAGTGATCTGTTTTGAGTGTGGACTCCTTGGCTTGGGTAGATGGGGAAGCCGGATGGAAGAAGGTCTGTGCAGTGACAACAGGCGTTTGGAATCTCCACCTGCCAGTTACTTGACAGATGTTCTGGATTTGGGGGAAATGATACTCTGCACAGGGACATGCCAGAACATCTCTTTCTTCCCCCATTAGCTTGACTTGTCCATCAGGTCTCAGTCTTGTGCCCTGTCTATGTAGGAATGCAAGTCTACTTGAATCACCCCTGGGAGATGGAGAAGACACTCATCAGGACTCATTGACCTTCCCATTTCTGAGCTTGGAGCATTCACTGATAAAACTCAGTGTTTTTTTTTTTCTTTTAACTTAAATTTTTCTTTAATACCTTGCTGGAGATTTAAGAATAAAACCTGAGACTCCTTTACTTGACCTGTGAGACCCAGCAACCTCAGAAGCCCTTTCACCTCAGCAGCCTCTCTCAGACCTGATTCCCTTCTTCTTCAATGCTCACCTCAGTGGAGACTCCGGTCCCCTGTAATACCCCCAGGCCTTTGCACAAAGTGTCCTTCCCAGAATTTTTTTGCTTAACTTCTCCCTGTTTCATCACTTTGAGAATTCCTTTTCCTCTTTCAGGGATCAGTGTAGGTGTCATTTCCTCAGGCAAGCCCTCCGGGAGTTCTCCAGACAATGTCCACCCCCTATTCTGTGCTATCCAAGCTCCTTGTGTTTTTCTTCCTGGGACCCATTATAGGTGTCACTACATAATTATCTGGCTATTGTCCAAGTGCCCTACTGGACTGAAGCATTACGGAGGCCAGGGAGAAGAACCATCTTGTTGTCTATTGTTTCTTGAGTTCGTAGCACAGGGTCTGTGATGGAGCAGATGCCTTCTTCTTTTTCAATGAATGGGGGAATGATGAGAAAACAGGAGAGAGGAAGAGGGAACCAAAGATGATGTGAGAGTTTCAGATCTTGCAGAAGCTGACAGCACGAGTTGGCTTTGGGTTACCCTAGATTGTTGAGTGGACCCTGAGGGTGAGGACTTGGGTTCTTTTCTCTGTTGCAGAAAACTCAAGTCTGGAAAGGTTGGTTGGTCTTGGTCTCTGTTCTTGAAGGTACAGAGGCAATGTTATGAGGAAATCGGGGCATTGAGACTTGTATTTCTATCCCTGGGATGCTTTAATGTACTTGAGACCACAGAAGATGAAAGCTAAAAAGCAAGGCACAACTAATGGTTATGTCTTCCAAGATGGTGGAGCTCATGTCTATCTTCCAGGCATAGGAAGTTTTGTCACACCTCTGCTTGCCCTCAGTATGCTCTGCCCTTGGTATGCATTATCTCCCTGAAATGGAATAATGATGATGATAGTAGTGGGAGTGATGATGATGAAGTTGGTGGTCGTGGGCATGATGATGATGATGTTGATAATGATGGTGGTGGTAGTGGTGATGAAGCTGTTGATAATGGAGATTTATGGTGATGATAATGATAATTATGGTAGTGGTGGTGGGGAGAAGATGATTATGGTGAAGACGATGATGTAATCATGATGGAAGATAATAGTGATGATGATGATGATGGTTGTGGTGCTGGTGGTGATGATGATGGTGGTGAGGTGTGATGGTGATGATAATGGAGGATTATGGTGATGATGGTGATGGTGGTGGTGGTGATGATGATGATAATGGAAGATAATGGTGATGATGATGGATAATGATGGAGATGAAAGACGGTGGTGATGGCAGATGATGGTGATGATGATGGTGGAAGATGATGGTGCTGGTGGGGTGTGATGGTGATGATAATGGAGGATTATGGTGATGATGGTGATGGTGGTGGTGGTGATGATGATGATAATGGAAGATAATGGTGATGATGATGGATAATGATAGAGATGAAAGACAGTGGTGATGGCAGATGATGGTGATGATGATGGTGGAAGATGCTGGTGTGGCGGGGTGTGATGGTGATGATAATGGAGGATTATGGTGATGATGATGGTGATGATTGAAGATGATGGTGTGGTGGGGTGTGATGGTGATGATAATGGAGGATTATAGTGATGATGGTGATGATTGAAGATGATGGTGTGGCGGGGTGTGATGGTGATAATGGAGGATTATGGTGATGATGGTGATGATTGAAGATGATGGTGTGGTGGGGCGTGATGGTGATGATAATGGAGGATTATAGTGATGATGGTGATGATGATTATGGGAGATGATGGTGATGGAAGGTGACGGTGATGATGATGATGGAAGATGATGGTGCTGGTGGGGTGCGATGGTGATGATAATGGAGGATTATAGTGATGATGGTGATGATGATGATTATGGGAGATGATGGTGATGGAAGATTAACAGTGATGATGATGATGGAAGATGATGGTGCTGGTGGGGTGTGATGGTGATGATAATGGAGGATTATGGAGATGATGATGATGGAATATGATGGTGATACAATAGCTAAAACTTGAGTGCTGACTTACATGTCAGTATTCTGGTAAGCAGTTTAAATACATCTCATTTAGTCTTTGCAAGTGTTCTGGTAAATTCCCTTTCTGTCATTTTCTGCATTTTCATACATAAGAACGCCAAGGCAGAGATAAATGTCCTAACTTGCCCACAGTCACACCACAAGTAAGCAGCAGTGTCAGACGCTGCCTGTCCAGCTTTGCCTGACACTAAGTCTCTGTGGGCAGCAGAGGGAAGGTTGGGGTATTTCTGCATGATAGGAATTCCTAGGCGCAGTTGGCTTTTTACAAGTTTCTTTCCTGTTCTCCTCTCATGCTTCCCTTGGCTGTGGCTAACCCTGTGCTTACACATGAAGGGCACATGATGTGGGTGAATTGAGAATTATTAGCTTCCTTGGAAGGAGGATAAAGGGCAAAGAATTAGGCACAAACATCCTTAATGTCCAGGGCTCACCTCAAAGGGCTGGGCTCTGAGACACTGGTTTAAGTTCTGATCAGCCAGGTAGGTTAAAAGAACAGTTCTGAAACTGGATAGACTTCCATTCAAGTTCATCTATTAGCCCTTCCCAGCTGTCTGACCTTGGGCAGGATGATGTCCTTGTTTTTCCTTTTTTGACTTGGTTTCTTTGTCTGTAAAATGGGGACAATGGTGTCTATTCCTAGTGCTACCATGCCATGGAGTAAGTCCTTACATATTAGCTGGTGGTATTATTGTTGCTATAATTATTATTGCAGGAGTTCAGAGCCACCCAGAGGAAGGGGTGTGCCCAGTGCTTGACGTGATGACCTCTCTCGGCCTTGCCAACAGTCCTAAAGATGGATGATTTTGCTGAGGAATAGCTGTCTCTCCAAGAGGGCAAATAGGTTCCTCAGGGTCACCCAGCTCATATAGTGCCAGGGCTAGGATGTGCATCTCTGTCTGAACTCCCAAGCTGTCTTTTTCCCTCCACCAGACCTGGGCATTCCAGGTAGCTGGCAACCTTCTTGGCACCTTAAGCGCTGAATCCAAGGATGTCTCACAGCCCAGAGCATCTGGAAGGAGGTCAGACCCAGGCCTGGCCTGTTATTTTCACTGCTGTCTGTCTTGGTGCTGCCTGCAGGCTGACCTCGGCCACTGTTAGAGGCCTGTGAGCCACAGCCACTGACCTGGTCTGAACCTGTCCTCAGCTTCTACTGTGGCAGAGCTTGATGAATCTAGGGAAATGGAGAAAGGGTGACTTTTATTTTCCCCTTCTTTCTGTGGCCACGCAGTGATGGTGGAAGAGGTTAGGGACCACCTATGTTGGGCTCATCTCGTTCATTTTGGGAAGGGCTACAACTACCAGTTACATCCCAAGGCAGACACTGGTAAGTGACATACATGCTTCATTTCATTAAGTCCTCATTGCAACCCCACGATGTGGGTGGTATCACCTGCCCCCCTTACAGAACAGGAAATGGAGATTAGGAGCTTTGCTCAGGGGCACCTGGAACCAGGACTTGAACCCAGGTTCCTCCTATTCATAGCTGCAACTTGACCTTCTGTAGGTGCTCGGCCTTGTGGAGGCAGAGAGAGGCGTCCTGGGAACCTGGCGTTGCTATCCGGAGCCCTTTCAGGGAGAATTACTTTGGGATAGCTGAGAGCTTTTGAGAATGGAATCCCCCGCCCTCCATGGTGCTGGCCGAGGGCGGGGTGAGGGGGTGATGAGTGTGGCCCAGCCCTGCCTTGGTTCCTCTGGGCACTCCTATCTGTGAGCTCCGAGCATCTCTGCAGACCGCCCGGAAACTTCAAGGAGGCCTGGCCAGGCGGATTCCCGTGGACCAGAGCAGCCGCGTGGGAGAGCAGAGATCATGAAGCTGCCGCGCCCCCTGCAGGCCGTGGGCTAGAAGTGCATCCGCCTCTGCACTGGGAGTTTTTCTTCTTAATAAACTTTTTTTTCTTTCACACTGAGTACAACGATTAATCTCTTAACAACAAGGATACGTCCTGGGAGGTGCGTCATTGGGTGATTTCATTATGTGAACCTCCTGGAGCGTAGTTACGCAAACCTAGATAATGTATATACATTTATTTATATATTTTTTTCCATATAGAAAACCAAATGCGCAATTACTGAATCTCAGTCATCTCCCCGATTTGATCTGCAATGGCCAATATCAAATTCCATATATCAGGTTTCTGTACCTGCTTCATTATAATCTTACGGGACCACCGTCATATCTGCAGTCTGTCATCGGCCGAAACATCGTTACATGGTGTGTGACTATGTAATAAACACACAAAAAAGCAATCAACGCAAGAGTACAGCTGGATGAATTGTCACAGTGTGAACACATCTAGGACGCCAGCACCCACTTGAAGAACTGGAATATTACCAGCCACCCCGAGCCACCCACCTAGCGACTCGGCAGCCACCCTCCCAAGCGCCACCTGACTATTATCGCCAAAGGTTAATTTTGCCTGTTTGGAAATTCCTATCAATGGAATCGCACAGTAGTGTGTATTCTTTTCTATCTGGCTTCCTTTGATGACAAGAATGCATACATATATTCACCAAGTGTCATGTACTAGAATTTTATAGGAGCACTGTTTGTAATAGCCCCAAATGTCCATCAACAGGAGAATGGGTAAATATATTATAGAATATTTATACAACAGGATTCTTACAGCAATCAAAATAGATTAACAACTGCTGTGCATGGTAATGCTGATGAATCCTCAGTGATTTTTACGTAGTGTTCATGTGCCTTTCAAACGTGCACCAGGAGCTGGCCCAGCAGCCATGAGCTAGACTTTGCATTGGATACCCCAGAATGTTCTCAGACTGCTTCTGTGGGCCAAGCCAGTGCTGGAGCCTGGCCCTTAAAGACAGCTCTTGAGCTAGAAACATCTTTTAATTCAGTTGTTCTCAAGCCTAGCTGCACATTAGAATTACCCAGGGAGCTTTAAAGAACAAAACAACAGCAACAGGTAACAACAGACAAACATACAACAATGTCCAGGCCTCACATCCTCAGAAAATCTGATGTAAGTTGGTCTGGGGTGGGGCCCAGACACTGGTATTTTTAAAGCCTCTGCAGTGAGTCTAGTGTGTGGCCAGGGTTGAGAATTACAGAGTGTGGGCCCCAGACCAGCAGTATCAGCGTTGCCTGGGAGCTTGTTGGAACTGCACACTCTCGGGCTCTGTCCTAGACCTACTGAGTCAGAAACACCAGGGCTGAGGCCTGGGAATCTGTGTTTCAGCAAGCCCTCCAGGACATGCTGGTGCATGCTCAAAGTATAAGAACCCTGAACTACCTACTCCTCTCTGCAGATACAGAGGCTGTTCAGTAAGTATTTGCTGATGAGAGGAAACCCACAGGTCACAGGTACCTGTTTTTCCCAATTCTAAATAACCTTTTCAGGCCTATTTATTTAATGCATATTCACTTAGTACTTCCTGCACGCCAGGTCCTGTGCTCCATGGTACCCAGCTTAGGTGTGCCTTCAGGGAGTTTGCAGTTTAATGAGGGGAGAGAGTTGGAGATACAAAGACACAATCACAAACCGCGATGAGTGCAATAAAAGCAGAATACAGGATGTGTTTATCCCTGGAGGATGCAGCCTGTGAGCTTAGACCTGAAGATGAAGAGATTTTAATGGAGAGATAGTGTGACAGAACATTTTAAGCAGAGGCAGTACAGTGTGTACAAAGGTCCTGTGGCCAGAAGGACTTGTCTATGCTGCATTAGTTTTGTGAGTGAGTCGTTTGGATGAAATGACATCTACCACAGTGCTTGTCTTCAGCTTTCCAAAGCAGGGGCTCAGACTCAGGTGCAAGATCCGTCAGTGCCCCCAGAATAGTTCATCATTACCAAATTCTGTGCATGTGTGAAAGAAAGTCATGAATATCTCACTCTTATTTAGTGTTCTAAACCATTAAACCATCAATAGTGCGGGGACTTGGTGCTTTTCTTACCTTCTAAGAGTGACCTCTATGGGAGAGGAAATCTGACTATGATGTTCTTCGTATTCGTTGTGGAATCCTGTTCACTTCTTTTGACCCTAGAGCCTACACCAAGATTTGGCAAACTATGGCCCATGGGCCAAATCTGGTCCACTGCCTATCTTCCTAAATGAAGCTTTATCTAAATGCAGCTATGTACATTCACTTACATATTGTCTGTGACTTCTTTCATGTTATGGTAGCAGAGCTGAGAAGATGTGGCAGAGACTGTATAGCCCTTTACAGAAAAAGTGTGTTGACACCTTACTTAGATGGTTCTTGAAACTCAGATCCCGAAGACATAGCTTTCATTTTTGCCCTGAAATTTTTTATTTGCTTATTTTCATTTTTGTTATTATTTCTTACATTTTGTAGAGATGGGATCTCACTATGTTACTCAGGGTGGTTTTGAACTCCTGGCCTCAAGCAACCCTCCCACCTTGGCCTCCCAAAGTCCTATGACCCACCATGCTTGTCTGTTGCCCTGATCTTAATCTTTAAGACAAACCCTCCGCACCCTCTGTGTGTTTCCTCCTGTGAAAAAGGCCTACCTGAGATCTAAGGTGTAATGAGTTGGAAATAGAAAGAATTGACTTCCACGTTGAAGCAAAAAGTACCCTGCCTCCATCAGCCTAGCAAAACTTTGCGAAGTCCCTGTCCCCATTGGTTTACCCTGGTGCTGATTGATGGGACAGAATATTTTCCATACACACCTATCATGGGCAAATGTAATAAGAGCTGAGAGTGAATGACAATACCGATCTGTCAAGATTGATGGAGTAGCCTGGGATTCTCCCCAGTGAGGCCATGCCGAGTGTTGACACAGCAATATGCTTGCTTGCTCTGCTCATTAAAGTTTAATGTTTGAAAACTTTGTCTTCACTTCCCATCAGAGACCTTGAACGCACAAGGTAACCACACTGGAGACTGATTAAATCTTTCCTTTTTGTACCAGCGTTGGAGGGAAGGTGTTTCTGCAACGGTAGCCAAAATATGAAATTAATCACCCTGTCTCATTTGTAGCTGTCTCAAAGCAGGCAATGAAAGTGGAAAGGAAAAAACAAAAGAAAAAGGATAGAAAATAAAGAGATTTCAGAAGGGCAGAGATAAACAGCCTTCTTGTGGGGCTTTGTGAAGACTCACGAGGTGATTTACTTCTTAATGGAGCAGGAGGTGGGGTCCCATTTCAATGACGGGGTGTTCCTTTCTGCTTGTCCTTACTCACGTGCTTTGCTGTCCTGAGGCTGGGGTATGAATCCCTGTCAGAGCTCCAGAAGGAAACTGAGTCTGAATTCTTAATATGCCTTCTTCCCAGACAGTTCTATGATGTCTCCTTGGCGGATGCTACCCTCATCCAGAAACCTTGTTCCCAAAGTCTAGACATTCGGATTCCAGTCTTGCCTCTAGAATCTGCAGCGTATGTGACCTTGAGCCAGAGACTAGACTTGTGTGTCAAAGGAGAGTTGTCAGACTCTGACCTGCATGTGTCAGGGAAAGAACGAGAACACTAAATAAGGGTGAGATGCATCATGGCTTTCTTTTGCACATGCCTGGAATTTGGCAATGATGAATTACTCTGGGGGCATTGATGGATCTTGGGTCTGTGTCTGAGCCCCTGCTTTGAAAAGCTGAAGGCAGATGCTGTGGTCCAAGGATGAGGGAGGTCTTGGAGCAAGAGGGAGGTCTTGGCTGTTCACTGCCCTCTCCCACGAGGTCTTCTGGAGGCAGGTGTTCCTGGAGCCTGTGGGCCGATGGCAGAGGAGCCATATATGCTTGGCAGTTTGTGGGCAGGTTTGCATGTCACTGTGGGGTTACTGAAGACTAGAAACAGATTAGGGTGAAAGCCAACCAGATGGTGGTCCATTTGGAATTAGATGCTTAATAGCTTTCGCTCCCTGGGCATCTGGGGTGGATCAACTAAGGGACCCTCAGAGATGAAAATGATCACGATGATTGAAAGGGCCAGTAGCAAATATGATCCTCAGTGGACCCCTGTTTACTCCTTCTTTTTATGTTCCAAACCTTCTAGAGTATGTTTTGGCTCCTGTAAGTGAAGTAGGAATAATACAGCGTGGTCGCAGGAGAATAGAAAATCCCAGGCATCAGTTTTACGTGACTAGTGTATTAGTTCGTTCTCATACTGCTATAAAAGACATACCTCAGACTGGGTAATTTATGGAGGAAAGAGGTTTAATTGACTTACACTTCTGCAGGCTGTGCATGGCTGAGGAGGCCTCAGGAAACTTGCAGTCATGGCAGAAGGCAAAGGGGAAGCAGGCACATCTTTACACGGCAGATCAGGAGATCTAAGGTGTAATGAGTTGGAAATAGAAAGAATTAACTTCCACCTTGAAGCACAAAATACCCTGCTTCCATCAGCCTAGCAAAACTTTGGATACCAGTCTTTCCTCTAGAGTCTGCAGCGATTCTCGAATCTTGCCTCTTGAATCTGCAGAGAGAGACTGAGGGGGAACGTGTTGCAGACTTTTAAACAACCAGATCTCGGGAGAACTTGCTCACTGTCATGGTAACAGCAAGAGGAATATCCAGTCCCATCATCCAGTCACCTCCTACCAGGCCTCACCTCCAACACTTGGGATCACAGTTCAACATGAGATTTTGGTGGGATCACAGAGCCAATCCATATCAACTAGCAAACAGGAAACTGTCACAATAGCTGCATAAGCTAGCAGCTGAGAAGACCCTGAAAACTGGAGTGTGGGCCAAGCTGGCTAAGACCAACGGGACCCAACATGGTGCTGGATTTGACCTAGGTCTCAGGCAGGACCTCATGATATGCTCGTTAACATCGTAAACCACACACCCATCAGTACCAGGACAGATCCATAAATACCCATATCTGGTATTAATATGGGTGGCAGCACAATTCTGAGAAATCTTCACCTTTTTCTCCAGGCATCTTCATGAATGTTCCATCCCTTGGCTAAAGAAACCCATTAAGGGCTGAGCATGGTGGCTCACGCCTGTAATCCCGGCACTGTGGGAGGCCGAGGCGGGCAGATCACCTGAGGTCAGGAGTTTGAGGCCATCCTGGCCAACATGGTGAAACCCTGTCTCTACTAAAAATACAAACATTAGCTGGGCATGGTGGCGGGTGCCTGTAATCCCAGCTACTCGGGAGGCTGAGGTAGAAGAATTGCTTCAACCCAGGAGGCAGGGGTTGCAGTGAGCCAACATCGCACCACCACACTCCAGCCTGGGTGACAGTGCGAGACTCCATCTCAAAAAGAAAAGAAAAGAAAAGAAAGAAACCCATT
Organism: Homo sapiens; assembly: GCF_000001405.40. Classification (NCBI taxonomy): domain Eukaryota; kingdom Metazoa; phylum Chordata; class Mammalia; order Primates; family Hominidae; genus Homo; species Homo sapiens. The sequence continues at coordinate 5,496,160 of NC_000016.10, forward strand.
ACAATGGAAGCCCCAAACCCCGCTGAGCACATCTCTCTCGAGTGCACCTCCAATCCCTTTTCTTGAGTGCATACTATTCCCTTTGCAATAAATCTCTGTACTGTCACTATTTTCTTAATTTCTTCTCACGCTGGTGTCAAGAGCCTGGACATTGGCTGGGGTCAAGGTCCCACTGGCATTTGGGGACCTCCCTTAGCCCTCCTGTACCATAATAAGCCTTTGCCTATTCTCTCCCCATTTTTACATGCCCAGCTCCTTCTCACTATTCAGCTTCATCTCGAATGTGTCCATCTCAGAGAGGCCTTTTCCATCTGCAGTGGTCTCTCTAGTCACATCTTCTTTCCTCATCTCTCGGTCGTACTCCGTGGTTATCCCACTTACTCACTTGTTATCAGGCATCATTTAGGAGGAAGCTTGCTTTTCTCTCTCTCTTAGTCACAGATGTCGGCCACAGGGCTGGATCATAGCAAGCAAACGCCCAATAAACGAGGGAGAGTGAGGAGGAGACGTGTTTGGGATGGGATGGGGAAATGGTTTCTGTACTGAACTCCCTGCATTTCCAGAGAGCTTGGCTTTTGTTACATCTTTATTTGCAATCAGCTGCTTCATCCCTGTGTCGAGATCCATTTCTAGTTAGAGATCATTTCCAATTAAAAAGTGCATAAACCACAGCCCAAGCGCTAATCCATTTCTGCTCAGTAGAAAGACTCCAATCATGGATTTTATCATTTGCCACCATTGATTTTCCATGAGTAATAATTACATTTTATACACAACATCTGCACTAAGTGATATTTATATCTGCAATTATCTGGCATAACTTTTAGTGTTAAAAAGAATTTTTTTTTCAGGGAGGGGGATATTGAGTAAATTGAATTTTTTTTACTTTCACAATCGTTTTTTATCCAGACAATGCTCCTTCTCATATGAAATAATAATTTAGCAATCAGAGCCTGAAATGGTTTTATAAACGAAGTTTGAATTGACATTTCCACCAGCTGGGATGGTAATTTTCAGCTTTCACCGGGGTTGGTGAATTTAGATCCACTCTTGAAATTTACTTTGCTATTATTATCTTTGAAATCCTTTGGGATATTTTTTTTTTCTCAGATAACACAAGCACTTCTCTCATCATGCTGGGTATTGCCCTGCTGTGAAGTTCTCGGTGAATCGCTCTACTCTTGAACTCAGCATTCAAGGCCTCACACAACAGATGCATCTTTTATGGGTTTAGAAAATGCTTGTTGAGCCTTGACTATGTGCTATGTATTCAACAGTGACCCAGAGAGACAAGAAAGAAGCACTTTTAGCCAAGAGAAAGCTTACAGCTTCTGGCCAGGCACGGTGGCTCATGTCTCTAATCCCAGCACTTTGGGAGGGTGAGAGGCGGGTGAATCACCTGAGGTCAGGAGTTCAAGACCAGCTTGGCCAACGCGGTGAAACCCTATCTCTACTAAAAATACAAAAAAAAAAAAAAAAGCTGGGCATGGTGGCACACACTCCCAGCTGCTTGGGAGGCTGAGGCAGGAGAATCACTTGAACCCAAGAGGCAGAGGTCGCAGTGAGCTGAGCTGAGATTGCTCCACAGCACTCCAGCCTGGACAACAGAGTGAGATTCTGTTTCAAAATAAACAAAAGAAAAGTTTACAGATTCTGATAATTGTCCCCAAGAATAACAAAGTGATGAAATCAAAGGCTTGCAGGGAGGATGCTTTAGGTAGTTTGTCCCTCTGAGGAGGTGGCTTTGGAGTGGACGCATAAAAGATGAGGAAGAGCTTGCCATGGAGAGATGGGGGAAAGAAAATTTCAGGCAGAGGGAAAAAACATGTGCAAAGGCTGGAAGATGGGGAAAGCTGTCATTTTCAAGGAAGAGAGAAGATTCCAGAGTGGCTGGAGTGAGTGAGCTTGAGGGAGAGGGGGCAGAGGGCAGACCCTGGAGGTCACTGAAGGTCTTAGTAAGGGGATTGCATTTTATTCTTTTGTTTTTGTTTTTGTTTCTGAGACAGAGTTTTTGCTCTTGTTGCCCAGGCTGGAGTGCAATGGCGGGATCTCGGCCCACTGCAACTTCTGCTTCCCACGTTCAAGCAGTTCTCCTGCTTCAGCTTCTCAACGAACTGGGATTACAAGCATGCACTACCACGCCCAGCTAATATTTTGTATTTTTAGTAGAGACAGGGTTTCACCATGTTGGCCAGGCTGGTCTCAACCTCCTGAACTCAAGTTATCTACATGCCTCAGCCTCCCAAAGTGCTGGGATTACAGGCGTCTAAGAACAAAGCTTGGGGAAATTCTAATTGGCAGCAGTAGTGATGGTGGGTGTTTGTTTTTGTTCAGTTTCTTTGATTTGTGTTTCTAGAAGATCACACTGCCTGCTGCAAGGAGAATAAAGGGTGGTGGGAGGAAAGGGGTGTGCATGGCACTGGGAAGATGTTTTAGGAGGCTGTGGCTGTTGTTTAGGCAGGAGAAGATGATAGCTCAGGCTAGGCTGTTGGGAGAGAAGATGGGGATAAGCATTTGAGAGATGGATACTCACACATCAACCTGATCTCTTATTTCCCAGCAGAAATTATCTGATAGGCAGTTGCAGCTTACACTGTACATTATCTGGCAATTATATTTTTGCGTCTGGGCCTTCATGCCCTGCACCCATCACTCCCTCCCCTCCTATTATCATCCATATGTCCCTGGGCTTGGCACCAGGATCTCTCCTCTGTAAGGCCTTTGGCCATCGTGGGTCTGCAGGTCCATCCTTCTCAGAGGTACTAAGTCAGGCTCTCACTGTTGGTGTGTAAGTGGCTCCTGGGCAGGTTGGTTAGGTGTGGATTCTAGAACCCCAGCCTCTAGGAATTCTGGCTTATGGGTCTCCAGCAGGGCCTGGGATCTCAATATGCACAAGTGCCCCAGGTGGTGCTCATGCTTGCTGGCCAGGCCGGCTCTGGTTTTCCATTTCTCCATTTCCCTCAGCTTTTTGTTCATCTTCTGTTCTAGGTCATAAGCTCTGAGGGTAGAAACTGGCTATATTTCATGTTTGTAATCTCTCAGTGCTTGGGTCCCAAGCTGTACGTGGAAAAGACACTCAAATATCTGTCTTATTTTGGGTAGAAAATACTAGAGGAATGACTGACTTCTGTAGTGTGGCTGGTCAGCCTGTCCTGGCACAGGTGACATTCTCTTGCTGCCCCTGTTGGTAGAACTCTCTCTGTCCAGGTCTCGGATTCCTGTCTCCCTTCTGCTCACCAATCCTGACCCACCTTTCAGGTTCCAGTGTAAACATCAACTCTTCACCCGTCCTTTCAGCCCCACTTGAGAGATGGACAAACAGAGGCTTAGAGAGGCTACATCACTTAACCAAATCCACACCATTATAATGTTATAAGATTTAAACGCAGGTTTTTCTTTTTCTTTTCCTTTTTTTTTAAATTTTTTTTTTTGAGGCTGAGTCTCGCTGTATCGTCCAGGCTGGAGTACCGTGGTGTGATCTCAGCTCACTGCAGTCTCCATCTCCCGGGTTCAAGCCATTCTCCTGTCTTAGTCTCCCGAGTAGCTGGGATTACAGGTGCCCACCACCACGCCTGGCTAATGTTTGTATTGTTAGTAGAAAGGGGGTTTCACCATGTTGGCCAGGCTGGTCTTGAACTCCTGACATCAGGTGATCCACCTGCCTTGGCCTCCCAAAGTGTTGGGATTACAGGCATGAGCCACTGTGCCCGGCCAAGCCCAGGTTTTTCTGACTCCAAAATCCACACTCCTGATGGCCACTCAACATTTCAATTTTTCATTCAGCAGATATTTATTTCGTATCTGCTACATTTGAGGCATTTCACTCTTTCTCTCTTCCTTTCTCCCATTCTCGCATTTGCCTAGATCTGTGATCCATGCAAACCCATGAGGTCTACTCTCTCCTAATCATCAGCCTGCCTTCCTGCCTTCCCTCCATTCCCTCCCTTCCCTCCCTTCCCTCCTTCCCTCCTTCCCTCCTTCCCTCCTTCCCTTCCTCCCCTCCCACTCCCTGCCTCCCTCCCTCCCTCCCTCCCTTCATTCCATTCCATTGCATTCCGTTCCGTTCCGTTCCATTCCATTCCATTCTGTTCCATTCGTTTTTGCCCAGGCCGGAATGCAGTGGCACAATAATGGCTCACTGCAGCCTCAACCTGCTGAATTCAAGTGATCCTCCCACCTCAGCCACACAAGTAGCTGAGACAACAGGCATGCAGTACCATGCCTGGCTAATTCTTTAATTTTCTGTAGAGATGAAGTCTCCTTATGTTGCCCAGGCTGTCTTGAACTCCTGGACTCACGCAATCGTCCCGCCTCCACCTCCCAAAGTGTTGGGATTACAGGTGTGAGCCATCATGCCTGGCCGAGTATCAGGCTTTCAAATGTTTATATGCAGCTGCTAAACTTACTTCATGCTCTTTCTGTCTCTGCCATCAGCTATGTCAGGACCTAGAGTTCTCTCTCAACCTAAGTCACTCTATCCAGACACACCATCCTCAGCCAGCAGCCTCAGTGTATGGGTCCCAACATTGAATGCTTCAGATATGGTCCCGTTGGCAAAGTGTCTTATCAGCATTTCTTAGTGCAGCCTCTAATTCCATAAGCTTTTTGCGTGGTAACTTCACCACACAGTTGACTCAGAGGCTAACTGGTCTCCCAGCTTTCATCCTATACTTACGAATTGCCTTTCAGATTATAGCTTTTTCTCTAGTCTACCTCACATAGATCCCAAACTCCAGAGAGATGTCATGTAAGGACAAGGAATTATGGCTGGGAGAAGTTAAGCCCAGTGGTGCCTCTTCATGGGCAGGCATCATAATTTTGAAGTTTTACAGCAATGACTTTCAACATTCCATGAGCCTGAAAAAAGAAAACACGGCCAGGCGCGGTGTTTCACCCCTGTAATCCCAGCACTTTGGGAGGCCGAGGTGGGCGGGTCACCTGAGGTCAGGAGTTTGAGACCAGCTTGGCCAACATGGTGAAACCCCATCTCTACTGAAAATACAAAAAAATTATCTGGGTGTGGTGGTGGGTGCCTGTAATCCCAGCTACTAGGGTGGCCGAGACAGGAGAATCGATTGAACTCGGGAGGCGGAGGTTGCAGTGAGTTGAGATTGCTCCACTACATTCCAGCCTGGATGACAAAACGAGACTCTGTCTACAAAAAAAAAAAAAAAAAAAAAAAGAAAAAATAAAATTATCAATTATCTATTCCCCAGCCAAGCAGGCTCCCACATTTCTAAATGAATGAATAGCAGACAAACTATGCGGACGCCCTGTCGATCTAGTGGAAGGGTTGGTGAGGAGTGGTGGGGAGGCAGGCTGAATCCTGGGGGAAGAGGGTTTGTCTCTGGAGGCAGATGGGCTGGATTCAAATCCAAGGCTGGCTTTGGCTAAATTACTTTAACCTTGCAGTCTCGTTTTTCCCCTCTGTTAAATGAAGGCAATTATAGCATCTTCCTCCTAAGTTGCTCAAATATTAAATGAGATGATGCCGTCAAATCTCCAAACACAGTTCATGGTGTGTGGGTAGTACCCAGTGAATGTTAATCTGATGATTACTATTATTATTTTAGAGACAAGATCTTGCTCTGTCACCCAGGCTGGAGTGTAGTGGTGCGGTCACAGCTCCCTGCAGTCTCAAACTCCTGGGCTCAAGTGATTCTCCTGCCTCAGCCTCCCAGTACATGCTGGGACTACAGGCATTTGTTACCATGCCCAGCTAATTTTTATTTATTTATTTTTTTTGTAGAGATGGGTCTTGCTATGTTGCCCAAGCTGGTCTCGAACTCCTGGCCTCAAGTGATCCTCCCACCTTGGCCTCCCAAAGTGCTGGGATTACAGGCATGAGCCACCATGCCCAGCTCACTATTATTATTATTATTATTATTATTAATTGTTATGATTACTGAGGAGACAGGTAAGCAGCTACAATTTAGAGTGACCAGTATGGCCGGCAGAAGGTGGTTGTAGGGTTAGCTAAACTAGGGGAAGAAATCAAGAGAGGCTTCCTAGAGTAGGGGGTGAATGAGATGGCATGGAGGCAGCAGCTTTGGGCAGAAGGATTAGAATATCCTCAGGAAATCTTTAGGAAGAACGGCAGGGATGCCTTTCACCCCATGAAATGGAGAGATGGTCCTCCCGTCCCTGTGTGACTTCTGTGCTGGTGTGTCCCAGTGGATGGGGACACTGTAAGGGTGGGATGTGGACACTGTAGGGGTGGGATGTGGAGAAGGCTCCTGATCATTCTTCCTCGGCTTGCCTGAGGGTCAGGGGGTGGACATGGAGGTTGGACCTCAGGCTCCGGCCCCTAGTGTCCCTGTTCTGGAAGCCCCCTGCTCTGCTTCTCTGGGTCTGGCTGGAGACCTGCCTTTTGTTGCTGTTACTGTAGGTGGCAGCAGAAGCCTGACAAAGTCCATCTTTGCAGGGCAGCGAGAGGGGAGAAAATGCAATCAGGTCCAAGGCGCCTCCAGCCTCTGTTATCTCTGCAGTGGTTAGGCTGGGAGTCGAAGGGGTTAGAACAGGCAGCAACCATATTAACAGAATCCTCTATTGAGTTATAGTCTGTCTGCAGATGTCTGCAGAGTCTGCAGTGCACCAGAGCCTGCCCCCGAAGGCTGGAACTTTATCAGACCATCTCCCGTCAGTTCCAGACTCTTCCGCGTCTCAGGGGACCCTGAGAAATAGCCAGGGCAGGGAGACCAGAGCACAGGAGCAATTCTGATTGAGATCTTGAACAATACAGTCCCTAGAAAGATGGACTCCCCCTGCAGAGGAAATTCTGATCTTGCTACAACGATTGCTTGGATCATTCTATTTAGACGTGTCCAATACACATCTCTCCTAAAATATTTCCTCTTTCTTCCCTGGGGCTTTTCAGATGCCCCATGCAAGTGTGGAAGCTGCATTTCAGCTGGGGAAACAGGGCACAGGAGAGAAGGGTGCAGGCTCTGGAACCACACCCCCAGGGTGGAGCCGCAGTTCTGCCATTGACTGCTGTGTGACTTCCGGCAAGAGAATTAACATCTCTGTGCCACAGTGTCCTCCTCTGTGCAGTACCCCATGTATCTTTGCACTTATTTTTGTTCTTATAGGAAGATCCAAGAGGACCTCTGGTATTACGGACAGAGAGTTGTACCCGTGGGAAGTAATTTCACCACTGTCCCCCACTCTTGAATCTCCCTCACCCCTCTTCTTTTTGGAATAGGTTTACTGAGATATAATTCACACACCATATAATTCATCAATTTCAAGTGTACAAGACACTGGTTTCTTTCTTTGTTTTGTTTTTGTTTTTTGAGACGGAGTCTTGCTCTGTCGCCCAGGCTGGAGTGCAGTGGCGCATGGCGCAATCACGGCTCACTGTAGCCTCTACCTCCTGGGTTCAAGCGATTCTTGTGCCTTGGCCTCCTGAGTAGCTGGGACTATAGGTGTGAGCCACCACACCAGGCTACTTTTTGTTATTGTAGTAGAGATGAGGTTTCCCCATGTTGGTCAGGTTGGTCTTGAACTCCTGACCTGAGGTGATCCATCTGCCTCGGCCTCCCAAAGTGCTGGTATTACAAGCATGAGCCACCATACCTGGCCAAGACAATGGTTTTAAGTATATTCAAAGTTGTGCAACCATCTCCACCATCACTTTTAGAACATGTTCATCCCCTCCCCAAAGAAACTCTCTACTCTTAAGCTATCAAACCCCTATTGTCTGGTCCTCCCAGCCCCTGGCAAACACTCATCTACTTTCTATCTCTACAGATTTGCCTGTTGTGGCCATTTCATATAAATAGCCTCCTTTCTTCTTTGCTGAGGCTCAGCCATGCCCCTCTTCTCATCATGGTGAGGAGAGCTGGCTTACCCTTTGTCTCTGGGGGGCTGGTTTGGGGCCCCTCCAGCCCCTTCCTGGCATCTGGAGCAGCATCTCCAGAGGGCGATGGCTGGGGGCGGAGGGAACTTGCCAACCAGCCTCATTGCTCACAGCACAAGCAGCTTGGCTCAGGATTACTCATTTCAAACTCGATTTGAGGCTCTGCCAAGAGCAGCAGCACCCCTGGAGCATGTCACCTGATTATTCCTACCCCTTCCCTGATCCCTGAGAGCCCAGAGCACAGAGCAGGCCGCCTCCCAGGACCCAACAGCTGCCAACTTTGAGGCAGGGCCTGCCAGGAGCCTGCTGGGCCTCGGACTTGGCTCTGCAACGCTTGCCCAGCCTGGCCCAGGCTCCTGGATAACAAGGAAACCTGGGGCTTTTGTCTTCAGGCCATTGAGAAGCAGTTTCCTGCAGTAGGGCCAATGGCATTGACCTTTCTGACCAAGAGCTGAGGCAGTCACTGTCCACACACGCACGATCATAAAAATGCCTCCATTCACAGATAGGCTCTGCTGACGCCCTCCACGCGCCTGGTGGGTTGGATTGTCTGTTACTTATCATCAAAGGGGAGGGCCCGGTTTGGCTCCCAGCAAGTAAACCAGGCACAAGCACACAAGAGCAGATGTACTGTCTACCATTTGCTGAGCATTTGCTAGACACCAGACACTGCCATAGGCATTAACTTCCATAATCCTCCCTGCAGCTCTGTGGGGAAGGAACCCTCACCAGCCCCACCTTCAGAGGAGGATGCGGAGGCTTGGGAAGACCAAGGGAGTAACTGGCCATGAGCGGTGACGTTGGAGCTGGCATGAGGGCTTGCTGACCCCTGTGGAGAAGGAAGGAGGCCATTCCAGGAAACTTTCAGACTAGGCAGATCTGTAGAGACAGACAGTGAATCCCTAGAGACAGTGAATCAGTGGTTGTCCTAGGGGCTGGGGACGATGGGTTTGGGAGGTGAGAGCTGAAGGGTGCAGGTTTCTTTGAGGAGTGATGAACGTGTTCTAAAGCTGGTCAAGGCGCTGGTTGCATAGCCCTGTGGATATACCAAACACCACTTGAGATGGGCACTTTCAGTGGGGGAATTGTGCAGTGTATGAGTTATAGCTCAGTAAAGCTGTTATTAAAGCAAGCAATGAAAGCTTGACATTGTAGGCTGCATAAACCTCTTGTATGACCCCTTCTTGCCCCCTTCTCCTCTACTTAAAACCTGGAATTTCCACCTCTGTGCTTAACGCAGGGGGCGTTGGGATAACCCTGAACTGTAGGTGGCAGAAACCATTGAACCAAAGCCTGCATTTTCCCTGCTTGGTGCCTGTCGTCTTATTCTGCTTCTATTGCTGCTCCTAGAATCCCAGAGTTTGTTCTATCTCATATTTCAGACTCCAGCTACACATTTTTATAGGGTGGTAGAGAATTGGGGGTGGGTTTAGTGTCTGAGCAACATTTGCAGCCTGAGATTCCAGGGGTGCCCTATGTGGGTGGGCAGAGAGTCCCACCAGAAGCCCTGTCTCCTGCAGCCCCTCTTACCCCTCACAGTGGTCTGGTTTTTGGGAGGAGCTTACATGCAACTACATCAGGCACTGTGCTGAATACTGTCTTCCCTGGGTGAGTGCCTGTGTCTTATCACATACAGAGTATGTCTCTCCTTTCCAGCCTTGAATTGTGTGACAAAAGATACCATCTTACATTGTCCAGGAAGCGGGAGAGGGAAGAGAGACCCATTCTGCCACACTTGTGAAGTCCATGGCTTTTGGAGGGCTGCTTGGGGATACCCCTGGCAGCTGTCTGGTACCTTCTCCCTAGACCGTGGTTTGCGTGTGTGTCTAGAGGGATGAAGCCTCACCCTGCCATGACATTTCTACCAGCAAACAGAGCCCACTCTCACCCTTCCATCCCTGCTCAAAATCTCTCTGCTATAGACTTTTTCTCACCCTCCCCTCCCGCATTGACCCAGATTGTGTGTATATCAGTTAGGGAAGGAGGGAAGATGATGCCTGGATTTCAGGGTATCTCTCAGAGTCCTAGACTCTGAAACCTCACCAGAAATGAGGAGCCCTTCCCTTGCCTTTGAGCCCACACTGCCTCACACACCTCCTCCTGCTGGTCTGCCAAGCTTGCTTTGAAATCATTAATGTGCCTGTCTTCACAGTGTTCCGGGAACTTTCTGAAGGCAGGGTTCCCAGTGTCCTCCCACCTCTCCTACACCAGTACTGAGCACTGTGCCTGCACCAGCAACTTGCTCCAGCCACATTTGCGAGAATAGGATGCTTGGCAGCCTGCAGGCACAGAGACGTAAGTCGCGGATAGCTCCTCACAGGTCGTCCTCTGTCCTTTCTCTCCCTCTCTGTCCTTCTCTGACTCCGTGGACTCTAAACCCCAATCCTTTCTTGGTCTAGTCCCAGCCTTCCAAGTTCAGGTACGTGAACCCAGACCAGAGAAAAACAAACAAATTAGGAATGTCCCCAGTGCAAAATGAATATAAATAAGTACACAAAGGCTTCTGCTCACCCTGCAGCTGCCCACACACTGCTCTGGAGGTGCAGCCAGCCTAGCTCAGCTCCATGGAAGTTAATGATAAATTAAACCTATTAATCACCCCAGGCAGTGGGGCTGGCCTGATCACAGAGAAGGTGGGCTATAGACTGGAGATGACGCCACAGAGAAGGGAGTGAGGTGTGGGTTACGGCTTCCCCAGGGACATCTTGATCTCCAAGACCCCTTCTTTCTTGAAATGTTGAAAGTTTTACCAGTCTGCTCTGTTGGGTACGACCACTGGGTAATTCAGGAGCTTCCACCTTGGGAGTGGGGTCTAAACTCTTCTCCAGCTATAGATCCTTTTAGCATTTTGATACCCTCCATTTGCATTTCCCCCTCCACCCACTCCAATCTGGAGTCCCCCCTACTAGTCTTTCTTCAAGTCTTGACTCAAAAGCCCCGTCTCAGAGACCACCAGATCTCAAAGCCTATTCTGTTCTCTACCTTTTTGTTTTCTTCATAATGGACCCCTGGAGCTTGGCTGCCTGGGTTCAGATCCAGGCTCTGCTGTTGGTTGTGTGCAGGCTCTCTGTGCCTCAATTTCCCTGCCTGTAAAGTGAGGTTGATAAGTAGCTACTTGGGTTGTGGTCAGGATGAAGAAAACAAATTCGGGTGTGTGAATTAGAATGATGCCTGGCACCGAATAAGCAACACCAACCACTGCGGCCACCATGACTGTCATCACTGCTGTTGCTATTATTATACCATTTGCCATGATTGGAGATGGTTTCCTTTATTTGTTGCTGTTGATTTTCTCTCACTGCTCCCCAAGCAGAATGCAAGCTCCATGCGAGGAGGGATTGTCTTGGCTTTGTTCCCCCCAGTTTCTCCATCAGTGGGTGGCACACATAGGTGTTCAGAAAACATGTGGTGCATGAATGGGGGTTGGCGTGGGAATGGGAGAGAGCAGGCAGCTTCCCAGTGGGCTGGAATTGGCAGAGAGCCACGTACTCTGTTTTCTGGGTCTGAAGACAGCATCTGTTGTGGGTTGAATTGTGTCCCCCACCACAAGATATGTTGAAGTCCTAACCCTTCATGCCTGTGAATGTGACCTTATTTGGAAATAGGGTCTTTGCAGTATAATCCAGTTAAGATGAGGTCATACTGGAGTGGGGTGGGTCTTAATCCAGTGACTGGTGTCCTTATAAAAAGATGAACTTTGGAAACAGACACACACAGAGGAAAAAGGCCATGTGAAGACAGAGGCAGAGGTGGGAGAGGTGCAGCCACAAGCCAATGAACCCCAAGGATCGCTGGAACCACCAGAAGCTGGGAAGACGCAAGGAGGGTCTCTTCCTAGAGCCTTCAGAGGGAGTGTGGCCCTGCTGACACCTCCATCTTAGAGTTCTGCCCTCCAGCATGAGAATGCTTATGTGTTGTTTTAGGCCATCTGGTTTGGGGTGATTTGTTATGGCAGCCCTGGGAAGCTCACATGGCATTGACCCATGAGCAAGGTGTCCCATCAGGAGTGGGGAAAAATGTAGAAGGGAAACCCCCATGGACAGTCCCCGGCCCCTCTGACATGCTAGTTTTCTATTGCTATGGAACAATAGTATGCAAACTTGGCAGCCTAATACAACATAGTAAAGTTTCTGTGTGCTGGGGGTCTGGACGTGGTTTAGCTGCATCATCTGCTTCTGAGTCTCACAGACTGCAATGCAGGCATTGGCCAGGGCGAGGGTCTCATCTGAGGCTCGTCTGGGTGGATGCAGTCCTTTGTGTCTGTAAGTCTGAGATCCACTGACATTGCTCAGGGGCCACCCTCAGCTCCTTGCCAACTACCTGCATCTCCCCACTCCAATGCGGCCACTTGTTGCATCCCAGCTAGCAGCAAGGGTGAGAGAGAGACAGAGTCTCCTAGCAAGGTAGATGCTGCAGCCTTCCTGTGGGCATGAATAGAACATGTGGCTGTGTTCTATTCATTAAAAACAAAGTACAGGTCCTGCCCACTCCCGAGGTCGGGTGGGAGATTGCACAGAGTGATTGCACAGAGTGCCACACCCAAGATGGTGGCGGGGACTGCACAGAGCAGTTGCACAGAGTGCCACACCCAAGATGTTGGGGGTGGGGGGACTGCACAGAGCGATTGTACAGAGTGCCACACCCAAGATGGTGGGGAGGACTGCACAGAGCGATTGCACAGAGTGCCATACCCAAGGTGGGGCGGGGGAGATTGCACAGACTGTGACCACCAGAAGGTGGGGATCACAGGGCCAGCTCACAGTATGTCCCTGCAGTCAGGTTGGCAGAAGTCGAGAGCTGACATTGCCTCTGGAATGTGGTGGGACTGTATTCCTCATGGTCAAGTGGACCCGGAGGCTGTTCCTACGGCAACCACCCACCTGGGGGTTCTGCCGCGTCTCTCCAGCATAGGAACCCTCTACGTCTTTGCCCACTCATCTCAAGCAGTGGATGTACTTAAACTCCAGGGTCCTATTGTTAACTGGACTTCCTTCCCTCTCACTTACACCCTTACTCAGTCATGTTGGACACTAGCTGTGTCTCAGGTGCTGGAAATATAACGTGGAGTGAAAACTGGGTCTCAGAGGCACAGTGTGAGATGTAGACATGAAATAGCCGCACACTTCCCGACATGCGATCCCCCACTGGGATTTGTACTTTGATGCCCACATGCAGGGTGGTGCAAGAGCAGGAAGTGTTGGGATATGACTGAGCCCTGGGGAATGAGGAGAGATGAATTGGCAATGATGGAAGAAGGGCAAATCCATGCAGGTGAAATCACAGACAGGGGATGTCCCACAGCTGGCCGGAACCATGGTACTCCCTGTGAATGAGGAGAAGCGGGTGATCTCCCTCCACCACCGACATCTCTTTCACCCATGAACTGTAAATTTCCCAAGGACAGGGGCCTCAGCCATTTCTGTTCACAATTGTGTCTCCAATGACAAGCACTGTGGCTGGCTTGTAGTTGGCAAAGTGAGCAAAGAGAGAAAGGGGAGTGTGGAATGAGATGAAGTGGCTGGCGGCCCAGAGGGTGTAGGTGTTGTTAGAGTCTTTGTCTCTTATTCACAGAGCAGTGAGGGGCCCTTGCAAATTCTCCTCATTTTCCAGGGAAGGCATTTCCAGTATCACCACGCAGACAGTGGATTGGAGCGGCAAGAGCGGGTGCCAGGAGAGCTGATGGAGGAGGGAGAGCTTTCGGGGCTTGGGCCAGGCGTGGACGTTAAGGCCAAGATGGGCGCATACACAGGGGAGTGGATGGACCCAGGAGGTACTCTTGGAGGCAAAGTTGACAGGGCTTAGTGATGGGTATATAAGTAAGGGAGTGCGGGGTGTCCCAGATGGTGCCCAAGAACCTTGGCGCAGACGAGTGGAGGATCCCTTGAAGAGAGTTTGCTTGTCCTTGAATGCCTTTGGTTTTAGCAGGTGGTCATGTGATGTCAGGGCACAAGTTCTGGGCTTGGAGCCAGAGTGCCTGTGTGCAGAGCTCAGCCACGCCCTACCCCTGGGCGCGTCAGTTCTGATGCTCCTTTGCCTCCTTTGGAGAATGGGCCCACAGCGTCGAGCACAGGGCTTGTCTCAGAATGGATGCAGGCTGAACCTACGAGCTGTGTAACTGGGGCTGGTTATTTAACCTCTCTGTGCCTCAGTTTCCTCATGGCTAAAATGGGGTCTATTCTGCTATAGCAGAGGAAGAAACATCCCAGACCTCAGTGGCTTCAGCAGCCGTCACTTATTGTCACAGGTGCAGCTGTGAGTTGCGTGGGGTTCAGCAGATCTTGCCTGGGGTTGGCTGGGGCCGCTCTCCCTCTGACTGTAGGTCAGGGGGTCTGCCTGGTGTCTCTGCTTCTTGTGTCTCTCATCCATTTGGAACTGGGAGATAGGCAGGGCCTATGGATCTCGTGGAGTTGGCACTGGTGGAGCAGAAACATGGCCTCTCAAAGCCAAGTCCTGAAACCAGCATGTCATCACTCCCACCAAGTTTTGGCCAAAGCAAGTCGCGTGGCTGAGTCCAGGCTCACCGGGCAGGGAAGAGCACCCTTCCTGGAATGATGCCAGGGTGAAGTTTAGGGCTTAGGGGGAGATGAAAAATGGGGGCTAGCAATTCAATCTGCAAGGTAGGTTAATAGCAGGGTTTTCCTTGTAGGTGGCCTGTGAGCTACTGCATTTAAAGCTCTTGGAACCAAGCTTGGTACCTAGTAAAACTCAGGTGTATCAGCCTCAGAACTATTGACACCTTGGGCCACATAATTCAGTGTGGCGGGGCTGTTCTGAGTACTGCAGGATGCTGAGCAGCCTCCCAGCCCTCCACCCATTAGATGCCATCTGACTCTCTCTGTCCTGACAACCAGAAGTGTCTCTAGCTATGGCCACGTATCCCCAGGTTGAGAACTACTGCTGTAAAGGGTTAGTAGTTATTATTATCTGAATCACCTGTGCCTTGTATAATCCACATGACTATTATTTTTCCTTTACTGTTTTACTTACGTCATTGCTGAAAATGAGGAGGTCCTTTGGAAGGAAGGAGAGTCACAGCATGATGCAATTGGCCGTGAAAAAAAACAGTGTGGTTTGTTTTGCCAGATTGTCTTCAAAGGAATTAGAAAGTTACAAAGAACTCAGCCTAAGCCCTGGCCCCTGAAGAGTTCTGTGCAAGAACAGACTAGTGATTCTTGCCCCAAGAAGCAGCAGTGGCAGCATTTTAAACAATGGCTTGGCTGGCGGAACTGAGATGCTTGACGTGACTTCAGAGATCTGGTTTGAGGTCTTTTCAAAAGCTAAGAGGAATGTGCAAAGCTAAGAGGAGCTGAGGTTACTGGTCTTTGGGCTCTGTTTTCTCTGCAGGGATGGTGGTGGGGGGTGCCTTTATTTTTCCTTGCCATATAAAAGGCTCTCTTTTTTCATTTTGTCCTTTGTCGATAAGTCAAGACTAGTCAGATAATAGCTATTGTTTATTCAACACCAAACATGGTGAAGAACAACACTAATCACTTTACCAGCATCATCTGTTACTTCCCTCCTTCCCCTTCTTTCTCCCTCCTCCTAGATGCCACTCAGCTCTGTGCCTCTTTCCCCTCAATATGATAATCAATAACTTTTTGAGTAGGTTCCAGTTTATCCCCATTTTATAGAAGAAGAATCAGAGAGTTAAAGCAACTAGCCCAGAGTTGCACACCTAGTGAGTGATGAAACCAGGATTTGAACCCATGTTGGCCTGATTCCAGCATTGAACCTCCTATTCACCATGTGATGCTTTATCAAGGTGAATGTAACTATGTCCCCAAAGTTCTCAGAATTGCAGAGTAGGGGAGACCAGAAGGGTGACTGAGTTGTCACTCCCCAGCAGAGTTGAGTACATCCTGCATGAAGTGTATAAAGTACCAGATATTAAAGCTTATGAGTCTATTAATCCACAGCTTCAGAGGAATTAAAGTTTCATATTGATGATAAACCTTCCCTGATAAAATGTAAGGGAAGCAGAAATAAATCTCTGATTTCAAAGGACCCCAAACCACTTAAACAATTGCATGCAAGATGGATGCACACGGTGGCAATGGGGTGATATGTCTTGTCCGGAGGAGGGTACTTTGGCAAAGTGGTTTTTGCTTCTGCTAAGTGGTGGAGATAAAATGATGGATGTGGGCTATTGATTGCATGGGAGTTTGCACGAGGGTGAGCACAGCTGGGTGAGAGGCACACAGTGCAGCTGAAACTGCTGAATATGCATTTAGGAGGAGAAGAGACAAAAGGCACTGGAGGTGGCCAATTTCATCAAATAGCGGAAGACCAGCCTTCTCCATAGATTTACTGCCCAAATGTATTGCAATCAATTTCCCTCCCTCCCTCCTTTCTTCTTTCCTTCCTTCCTCTCTTCTTCTTCCTCCTACTCCTCTCTCTTTCTCTCTCTCTCTCTGTCTCTCTCTCTCTTCTTTCATTATGTGGATAAGTGTGTGTGTGGAGGTGAGCTATAGGGTGTTGGTTTAAACACAATCATCACAATCATGGATTAGAATCCCAGCTTTGTCATTTATGAGCTCTGTGACCTAGGGCAATTTACTTAATCTCTGGACCTTAGTTGTTGCTGTTGTTTTAGTAAACCATTTATTTTGGAATAGGTTTAGGTTCATAAAAAGTTACAAAGACAGTGCAGCAAGTTCCTGCATACCCACCCCCAACTCAGCTTTACCTATTGTTAACATCTTATACTCTTGTGACACGTTCGTCATAACTAACAGACCCGTATTGATGCATTGTTATTACCTAAAGTCCACACTTTATTAGGATTCCTTTAGTTCTTGCCTCATGTCTGCTTTCTGTTTTGGGATTGTATCCAGGACACAACATTACATTGAGTTGACATGTCTTTTAAGGTCCTCTGGACTGTGATGGTTTCTCAGACTTTCCTTGTTTTTTGAGACAGGGTCTCAGTTTGTCAACCAGGCAGGAGTGCAATGGCGCCATCACAGCTCACTGCAACCTCCACCTCCTAGGCTCAAACGATCCTTCCACCTCAGCCTTACAAATAGCCAGGAAGGCAGGCGTGCACTACCATGCATAGGTTATTTCTTATTTTTTGTACAGATAGGATGTTACTATGCTGTCCAGGCTGGTCTTGAACTCCAGGGCTCAAGTGATCTGGACTCAGCTTCCCAAAGTGCTGGGATTACAGGTGTGAGCCAAGGTACCCGGCTACTTTCCTTGTTTTTAATGACCTTGATGGTTTTCAGCTCAGGGTATCTTGGTCAGGTATGTTGTAGAATATACATCCAGTGGTATCTGTCTGACGTTTCGATTAGACTAGGGATGTATGTTTTTGGGAGGAAGACTGTGGAGATAAAGTGCCCCTTTAATCATGTCATATCGAGGGTGCCAACTACCGACATGCCTATCGCTGTTAACCTTGGCCTTGATCACCTGCCTGAAGCTGTGTTTGTCAGGTTCCTCTGCTGTAAATTTGCTCTTCACACACCACACCCACCTCTTCATTCTGTGCTCTTTGGGAGGAAGTCAATATGAGCAGCTCACATTTGAAGAGTGGGGATTTTTGTTTGCTTTCATTGATGGAGGAGTATCTACATAAATTATTTGGAATTCTTCTCTATGGGATATTTGTTTATTCCCCCACATTTGTTTATTTATTCAATCATTTATTTACATCACGATGGGACTCATGGATATTTATTGTATGCTTTGAGTTATAATCCAATACTACATTATTTATTTTGTTGCTCAAATTGTGCCAGATTCATCTGGGCCCTAGTTTTTTTTGATGGATTTATTTTTATAAGGAATAAATGTGATCATCAGGGCTAGAAATAATGTGACATAAGTGAGTGGTGCAAAATTTAAGGGGGTGCCAAAAATCAGTAATTGAGGTAAATAATACATTAATTCAATATTTTAAGAAGATAGAATGAATGAAATGAATTTCATGATGAATAAAATACCAACATGTTAAGGCAGGCTTTGTCATGTATATAAATTATTTACCCAGATACCTGGTGTTTAGTATGTATTTAATGGACTGAAGCTATCAATTCATATGGATATGCTAGTATATTAGTGACTTCTTGTCTAATCACGTTAGGTAATAAACTACCCCAAAACTTTATGGTTCCAAGCAGCAAGCATCAGATTATCTTACAAGTTTATGAGTCAGCTGGCAATCCTGCTGGCTTGACTAGCCCTCTCGTATGTCTGAGGGTCTACTGTTGGCTGACCGTGGATGGGTTCAGCTAGAATGGCCAGGGCAGTGTGGCTCTGTCGCCATGTCTCTCATCCTTGTCCTGGGACAGACAGGCTCGTCTGGGCATGTGTTTCTCATCATGGTGGCAGAAGAGTGAGAAAGGAAGTAGCAAGGTGTAAAGTTTGGAGGTCTTGGCTCAGAATGGTGAGTTTTCCTTTCTGCTGCCTTCTCCTGGACAAACCTCATCATAAGGCCAGCCCAGATTTAAGGGGAAGGGGCAGTAAGACCTGCCTCTTTAGTGAGAGGAGCCATGAGTGACAGGGCAGAAGGCATAGTGTGGGTACACGAAGGAACAGAGAGTTGGGGCCATTCACACTGTCAGCCTGCCACAGTCAGGCACTGTTTTAGGTGCTGAGAATATATCAGCAAACAAAACGGATGCACATCTCTGCCCATAGGAAGCTCACATTGAAATGACAATGATGTCCACAGCAAAAGATGAAGAAAGAGGAGGAGGAGCAGGAGGAGGAGGAGGGAAGGAGGAAGGGGAAGAGGGGGAATCAGAAGAGGGAGAGAGGGAGGAGAAAAAAGAGATAACATAGTTCTGCCTTCCAGGAAGCATTTTCATTCATTTTGTATTACTATAAAGGAATACCTGATTCTGGGTAATTTATAAAGAAAAGAGGTTTATTTGGCTCATGGTTCTGCAGGTTGGAAAGAAGCATGGCGCCAGTGTCTGCTTTTGGTCAGGACCTCAGGGAGCTTTTACTCATGGTGGAAGGTGAAGGGGAAGCAGGAATGTTACATGGTGTCAGAGGGAGGAGCAAGGTCCCAGACTCTTTAACAACCAACTCTCTAATGAATTTACAGAACAAGAACTCATTTATTACAGCAGAGAGGGCAACAAGTCATCCATGAGGACTCGGCCCCCATGACCCAAACACCTCCCACTTCAATACCGGGGATTACATTTCAACATGTTATTTCGAGAGGACAAACATCCAGATTGTATCAGGTGGCCTGTGCCTACTGTCAGCTCCATGTGGGCAAGTGGTCTGGGTAGAGTGGTTTTTGGCACCTTTTCCTGTAGCTGTCAGCACTTTGGGGAGGCCCCAGCACCTGCTGCAAAGCCCCCACCTCACTGTCAGCTGCAGGTGCCTGGATCAAGTACAGGAAAGGAACCCAGCTTGGAATCCAGCCTCTGAGAGGGGGCAGATTGTTTGTGAAGAGGTGTTTTGTCCTCCCAGGAGCCTTCTATCTTATTAATCTCCTTGTCCAACAAAATGGTTCCCCAGGCACTAAAATCAAATCAACAGCTTCTACCTTTGCAAAACAGAGGCTGTTTTAATTGAGATATTGGAAGATGTATTTCCTTCATTACTACCTAATGGAAAATCCTTATGCCTGATCAATTTGGGTACGGTTGAAGTAGTCACTGCTATAAATTAGATTAATCTAAGGTTATTCTCATTAAAAACCAATATCCAATAGTTTTGGGAAATATGGCAAGTTCTGCTGCAGAGAAGCTTTGGAAAGTATCAAGACTGGTGAGACTTGCTGCCTCTTGAAAAGTACCATGCCATTCAGCCTTCTAAGAGGGCAGGAAATGATGCGTAAGGCTCCCTAAGTAGATTCTGAGGCACAGTGCTAGGCCCTTTTGTGTGCATTTTCTCACCTAATCCTCACAGTAACACAATGAGGTAGTCTATTCATATTTTCATTTTGTAAATGAAGAAACGGAGGCCCAGAATAGTGCCACCAAATCAGAGAGCACCAGAGCGTATTTGAGCCCAGGAGCTTAGCCACAATATTGCCTCCCTCTCAACTGTTTCCCAAG
The DNA here is from genome assembly GCF_000001405.40 of Homo sapiens. Taxonomy (NCBI): domain Eukaryota; kingdom Metazoa; phylum Chordata; class Mammalia; order Primates; family Hominidae; genus Homo; species Homo sapiens. Next base: position 5,516,044 of record NC_000016.10, read on the forward strand.
GTAGCTAGTCTTAGTACAGTGAATATTCCCGCTTCTGGCTGGGAATGGTCAGCAAAGAGCATTGATTAAGCTTGGTGGCCTTCTGAGTCCTGTGTCTGGTCCTGAGACAAAGATGCCACTCCTCCAAAGGGAGTCAAGCTTGATGGAAAATGAATAGGCTGTAAAATCAGATCAACTTATTTTCTATCACTTCCTGTCTCCCATCACTTTCTGTCTCCCATTATTTCCTATCTTCCATCACTTCCTGTCTCCCATCACTTCCTGTGTCCCATAGCTTCCTGTCTCCCTCACTTCCTGTCTCCCATTATTTTCTGTCTTCCATCACTTCCTGTCTCACATTATTTCTTGTCTCCCATCACCTCTTATATTCCATTCCTTCCTTGTTGTTGATCTTGCATAAGTTACTTGACCTCTCTAAGTCTTGGTTTCTGTATTGTTTAATAAGCATAATAATGTCCACATTTCAGAAGAATAGTGAGAATTAACTATGATTATGTACATGAACTACTTATTCAAGACAGTGATTCTTTTTTAATTATAGTAGGCCCTCAATAAATCTTGATTCCTGATTTGGTTTTGTGGTATTTCCACCCAAATCTCATCTTGAGTTATAGTTTCCATAATCCCCATATGTCATGGGCAGGACCCAGTGGAAGGTAATTGAGTCATGGGGGTGGGTTTTTTTGCATGCTGTTCTCGAGATAGTGAGTTCTCATAAGATCTGTTGGTTTTATAAGGGGCTTTTCTCCTTTTGCTCGGCACTCATTCTTCTCTCTCCTGCTGCCCTATGAAGAGGCGCCTTCTGCCATGATTGTAAGTTTCCTGCAGCATCCCCAGCCGTGCAGAACTGTGAGTCAATTAAACCTTTTTTCTTTATAAATTCCCCAGTCTCAGGTATTTCTTAATAGCAATGTGAGAACGAGCTAATACGACTCTTCTCCTGACTTTCTTCCTGTTTTTTTTTTTTTCAATCAAAAGTCTCCTGGGCAAGTTGGTGCATACAGGTTCATAAAAATAACTATGAAATGGCTCTTAGAAGACCTCCAGTGGTTGGAGGCCTATAGTAAGAAGCAAGTGGATGGTCAGAAAGAGGATGCTGCTGTGGTCACCAGGAGCAGAAACTCCATTAGGCTAGCTCAAGTCAAAGGGGTTTGTTGAAAGGAGATTGGTGTATCTCACAGCAGGTCTCCAGAGCCTGGATGTAGATCTGGGAAATCAGCAGAATTGCGCAGAATTGTTCAGGCCCCTTCTCAGGGGCTGTGTGGACTGCCATCCCTGTTTTTCTGCTCAGCTACTTTATTGTCTTCTCACTATAGGCTTTCCCTGTTTACTCATCTACCCTTGTCCAGCCCTTGACTTTTCCAGATGGTAGCCTCTTCTCTGAGTCTGTGGGACTTTTCGGCTTGGCTTCCAATAGCTTTTTGGCTCAGTCTCTGAATGTACTAATTCTAAAATCCCAGAAGAGAGAATTTTATTGGACCAGATTTGCACAATTGTCCAACCCTGGTCCAGTCCACTGTGAATGGTGATTTTATTTCTACCAGGGTTTGGACAGGGTGAGTTTCCTAAGATGTGTGATTGAGGAAATAATGTTTGGCATCTCAAATAGATTGGGCTTTCTACAAACTCATTAAGGGAATGAGGAACCATCCAGATCAGAAGTAGACCAAGAAGGACTTGTTTTTCTTTCCTTGTTTACTTTCACTTCACATTGTAATTCATATCCAAGAGCTCAAGAACTAGAGAGTGGTGCTGGATATATGGTGTAGATTTTCTCAAAATTGACTATTTTACATATATGTATACACACACACACACACGTACATATACTGGCTTTTACACATTTTACATATATATGTGTATATTTATAAAATATGCAAAAGCTACTGTGTGTGTGTGTGTGTGTGTGTGTGTGTGTGTAGTGGCTTTTATTGGGAAAAGTTTCTCATGGAGCCCCAGTGTTGACTTAAATTATTCAAAACTAATGTTAAACTTAAATTAATATTATTTAAAGAGTGCAAACATAAAACAACCTATAAATGCCTTATGCTTGTTGCTGTTATGCAGCTGCAAAGCTAAAACAAATTTATAAATTAAATGCAAACAGACCTAAAAAACCAATAAAATCCAAATTAGAAACATTAATTTAATGTGATGGATGATGTTCCTTGGTTGAAACTAAATCACTTCTCATAAAGTGCATCGTATACTGACTGCTGGAGTGTGGGTTCTTCTGAGTTAGATGAGCATGGACAACTGTTTGCCACATGAAAGCCCCATTGTTCCACCATTTTCAATCTCCAAAGTGACATTTTTTTTGACCCTCACCATTGCCCTTCATCACTGATGTGTCAAGATCCCCTCTGCTTTTTCCCATCAGCTCAAGACTATTCAGATTTTACTACTTGGCAACAAGGAGATTGTAAATACAACCATATGTGCTCAAGCATGCTGAAGGACAAACTAATTAAGTGGGTCAACCAGTGATGCCAAAAATGCAAGTGTTAATTTAGAGTAGATTAAGAAATGAGAGGAAATCCATAAACCTGCAAGGATATGTCCATGTTTGAAGTCCAGGACCAGACCTGGATTAGTGGTTCATATTAGTGGGTTCTGGTTCTACCTCCATTCCTCTCCAGGGGTGCAACTCTAGGGAGTCCTTTTATCTCTTGACATCCTCAACTGTGAAGCGAAGGTCCCTGTCCTGCATGAGGCACAAACGTATTATAAGGAACACAGAAACAGAGTATGTGAAAATGCTTTCAAAATGACAGATTCAAGATGATGGCTGTTATGAGTTGAACCGCATCCCTATCCCCCTAACCCCCACTCCCACACATTCGTATGTTGAGGTTCTAACCCCTGGGGGCATCAGAATGTGACTGTATTTGGAGATAAGACCTTTAAAGAGGTAACTAAGGTGGATGGGTGGCCCTCATCCATCCTGACTGCTGCTGTTATAAGAAGAGGAGATGAGAACACGAATGTACAGAAGGAGAACTGTGTGGCACAGGGAGAAGCCATCTTCAGGCCAAGGAGAGAGGCTCCAAAAGAAAACCTTGCGGACATCTTGATCTCAAACTCCAAGCCTCCAGAACTGTGAGAGAAGTAAATTTCTGTTGTTTAAGCCACCCAGGCTGTGATACTTTGTGGTGGCAACCCTAGCAAAGTAATAAAGTGGTGAAATTGGCAAGTTTTGAGTGCCAGCAGTTCATGAGTAGAATATCTGGGCTCCCATGCTAGCATGGTTGTTTTTCATGTCCTGGGGCAGTACTTTTACTATCCTGACTAACCTTCTCTGAGATGGGGGATCTGTAAGTGCTCTCTTTTATCATTATGGGATAAATGTGGTAGGAGGCAGATATGCTCACCCATACTTAATTTGTTAAAATAGGCTGAGCTGGGTATGGTGGCTCATGCCTGTAATCCCAGTGCTCTGGGAAGCTGAGATGGGAGGATCACTTGAACCCAGGAGTTTGAGATCAGCCTGGGCAACCAGGGGAGACCTTGTCTCTATGAAAAATAAAAAAAATTATCCAGGTGTGGTGGTGTATACCTGTGGTTTCAGCTACACTGGAGGCTGAGGCAAGAAGATTGCTTGAGCCCAGGAGGTCAAGGCTGCAGTGAACGAAGATTATCTCCCTGCACTCCAGCCTGAATGATAGAGTGAGATGGTGTCTCAGAAAAAAATGGCTGTTAAATACTCTAGACCTGTTATTTATGGATAAGACAGCCTGGGCGACTTGTTCCCTGAGAACTCAGTGCCTTGTTTTTTCTTTAAAACTTATCTAGAGGCTCATCTTTCTCATTTATTCATGAATGCATTCATTCATTCAATAATTCTTTATTGAGCCCATACTTGAAGCCATTTACTGTGATGAATAAGTGCTATAGTTATAGTGGTGAGCAAGGCAGATATATCTCCTGCCCTCAGGGAGATTCCAGTCTATTGGAAGTGGATATTAAAGGAGTAAACTGATAAACGTATAACTAAATGATGCAGGATGTGCGATGAAGCAGAGGTACAGGATGTGATGGAATCATTTAAAGAACGTGGGAGCATCATTCCAGGGAGGGGAATGGCTTGTGTGTAACCCCAGAGGGGAAAGAGGAAGAGGCTATTGTGGCTGGAGAGAGATGAGTGAAGGAGAGAAGACAGGAAAGGGAGAGTGTGGGGCTGTTTCACTTAGGATCTTGTAGGCTGAAGTAAAGATTTTGGAATTCCTACCCATTAGAAAATTTTCATGTTCAGGTAGTAGGAATCTCAGCTTGAAATGGCTTGAAGTCCAGCAATAAGGAAATTTATTCTTTTACCTAACAAGCAATCAAGAGGCAGAGTGGTACAGCTGACTCATTTAGATGGCTAACTCACCCCCTGTCTTCTCAGCCACCATTCAGACTTGGGCGTCCATGTCATCTACATCTGGCTGATGAACTGGAAATGAAACTGTTCTGGGGTTTCTGGGAAAACATTTTCACAATTCTCTCCCTTCCTATATCCTTCTGCTGAGACTGGGATGCAATGCAATGGCTAGAGCTACAGAAACCATCTTGTCATGTTGAGGGAAAGGCTATGTGGTAGATTATATTCTTGATCACATCTATTTGCTCTCTCTTCTGAAAAGAGACTGTATATGCTCGTCTCACCATATGGCTTGCAAAACTTATCTGTAGGAGGAACATACTTCCCCTCTTTATTGTCAGACTTAGGCTGTGTAATTTTGTCTGATAGAATGTGAGCAGAGATGACAGTTTGGCTATCTGAGCAGAAGTCTAAATGCAGTTATGTGCTTAGACTTGGCCTCTTTGATCAAGTTTCCCTCTTTGGGTAGAATGGGAATTGCCCACATGGGGTCTGCTCCTTCATTCTGGGTCCTGGAGTGAAGTTACACGAGGAGAGCCACAGCCAACTGCAGCCTGTGTGTGTCCTTTGAGTAAGAAAAGCATATTGTTAAAGTCCATGGAGATTTGGGGGACATCTGTTAGGTTAATAGAGATTAATGGACATCAAGAAGATACTGAACCAGCCCCTAACCTCTGGAACTTTTATTTTATGAGAAAAATAAGCCCCTATCTGTTTGGGTGGTTGCAGTCTGGCTTTCCAACCCTTGCAGCTGAAAGCATTCCTCCCTGAGATGAGGAGTCACAGAGCTGGTTGACACAGAGGTTTAGTGTCACCACCAGGGTCCCCAACTCCTTTATCTTTCCATCTGGCATGCCCAGTGCTTTCTCAAGGGAGGCCCCTCAAGTTTGCACAACTGCTGCCCCAGGTCCGTGCAATTCATGCAGACTCAGCAGCTTTTGCTGTTGGGGGTGGGGTGGGGTGGGGGGGTGGAAAAAGAAAAAAGATCATTCCAGCCTTGTACATTTGATTTTAGGATCCCAAATCATTTCTTAGAAGGCTGTGGCACATATCTCTTTGTATCCTCCATCTTCCCAGTGTCTCATTGACCCGAACCTGTCAACGAACCTATCTGTAAACTATTGCCTTGGTCAGTGAGTGAGGCCGCCATGATTGGCCTCTGCAGATGAGAATTTCCCAGAGTCACAGGGGACAGGTGGACACCAGAAGGCAATTGGAGCTCTGCCATCATGGACAAGAAACTTGCCTCTAGGTTTGTAAGCAATCAGGTCTGCTGCAGATCTCCCTGGGAGTTACGTCTGAGCCCAAGACTTGGTTAGGGACAATGATCTCCTGTTCACACAATATACCCAGGTATGCATCTCATTTCAAACTGCACTGCAATGCTATTCTTCTCCAACATGTCTCTCACCCCGGAAGTTCACATGTTATTCCTCTTCATATCCCTAGCTTTTGTCCAGAACTTGACGAGTCATGAGTGCCCAGGACATGTTGAGATGGATGGATGGAGATGGGGATGCCCTGGAGGAGTCAGATTACAGAGGAGGCTGAGGAGGGAAAAGACTTACTAGGCTGTAAGATACACAGGGGCTGTGACTTCCTCATCTCTGTATTCCCAGCACCCGGGATTCGACTGGGGTTCTGGAAATGTTTCTTGAGTGAATATGTGACCACATGCTGGAGGCAGCCAGGCTCTCTGGAGTAAGCTCATGCTCCTTCATTCACTTTTAAGGAGTAAGCTCAGCTCCTCTCCATTTTGAAGGGTTAAACCCATGGAGGAATTAAGATCTAGGTTCAAATCTGAGCTCTTCTACTTTTTTATTGCATGGCCATGGACAAGTCCATGTACCTCTTTGAGTCTCTGTTTGTTCATCTGTAAAATGGGTCTCATAATAGAGCTCATCTTGGTGTTGTGATGTGCGTAAAGCACGTTGCATACATACATAGGTCCTGGGGAGCATTGAGGAAACGGTGGAGCATCTGTTTAGGAAGCCACATTTTTTAACTGATACATAGTATTTGCAGATATTTAAGAGGTACATGTAGTATTTCATTACATGCATAGGATGTACAGTGATCAGGATGGGGTACCTAAGATACCCATTACCTCAAACATTTATTATTTCGATGTGTTGGAAAATGTTCAAATCCTCTCTTCTAGCTATTTTGAGATATACAGTACATTCTTAACTATAGTCACTCTACTCTGCCATGGAAGATGAGATCTTATTCTTTCTTTGTTTGTACCCATTAACCAGTCTCTCTCATCTCTCCACTCCCCCTCACCCAGACACAACCTTCCCCACCTCTGGTATCTATGATTCTGCTCTCCACCTCCATGAGATGAGTTGCTGTAGCTTTGAAATAGGAGTAAGAATGCGTCACGTTTGTCTTTCTGTGCCTGGCTTATTTCACTGAACATAATGATGTCCAGTTCTATCCCAACTGCTAAAATGACAGGATTCCATTCTTTTTTTATGGCTGAATAGCATTCCATCGTGTATCTATATCACATTTTCTATATTCATCCATCCATTGATGGACACTGAGGTTGATTCTATAGGCTGTTGTGAATAAAGTGCTGCAAAATCATGGTGGGGGCTGGGCATTGTTACTCACACCTGTAATACCAGTACTTTGGGAGGCTGAGCTGGGTGGATCACAAGGTCAGGAGTTCGAGACTAGCCTGGCCAATATGGTGCAATCCCATGTCTACTGAAAGTATAAAAATTAGCTGGGTTTGGTGGTGCATGCCTGTAATTCCAGCTACTCGGGAGGCTGAGGCAGGAGGGTTGCTTGAACCTGGGAGGCAGAGATTACAGTGAGCCGAGATCGCGCCATGGCACACCAGCCTGGGTGATAGAGCAAGACTCTGTTTCAAAAAAAACAGGAGAGGGGACAGGTGTCCCTTTGATGTACCAATTTCCAGCTGGGCGCGGTGGTTTATGCCTGTAATCCCACACTTTGGGAGGCTGAGGCGGTTGGATCACTTGAGCCTTGGAGTTTGGGACCAGCCTGAACAAGATGGTGAAACCCTGTCTTTACAAAAAATAAAAAAAATTAGCCAGGTGTGATGGTGAGTGTCTGTGGTCCCAGCTACTAGGGAGGCTGAGGCAGGAGGATCACCTGAGCCCAGGATGGTTGAGACTGCAGTGAGCCACGAACATGCCGCTGCACTGCAGCCTGGATGACAAAGTGAGACCCTGTCTAAAACAAACAAACAAACAAACAAACAAACAGAAACAAACAAAAACCTGATACACTGATTTCCTTTCCTTTGGAAAAATACCCAGTAGTGGAGTTGCTGGATCAAGTGGTAGTTCTGTCTTCAATTTTTTGACAAATGTCTATACTCTTTTTCATAACATTTCCTCTTACTGCCTCCAAGGTGGGGAGAGGATTTGGAAGTAGGAAGAGAACAAGCCGCAGCGGCCCCTGGAGGACCAGGTGTCCTTGGGGCAGCATGGAGGGGCTGTTGTATCCATCCTGGTTCGGCTGCACAGGGACGGACCAGAAGGTTAAGCGCCCCTCCGCACCCTCCCCCAGCGCTTGCCTCCTCCCGGCCCAGGACAAGACAAATGGTCTTTAAACATACCACTCATTCAAAGCTAGATAATCCGCCAGCACCTCATAAACTGTGCTGTTTGCAATTTAAAGGGTTTGTGGTTGAGAAAGTGTCAGATTCCTTCCACCAGCCTCACAGGATGCAATAAAGACACACTCTGGGAGGACCTATTTAAAGAAAACTAAATGTGAGATGGGTGATCCTCTAGAGCTGAGACAAAGCTGAGCTTTTTGGCTTCCTGAGACTGTGCTCTACGTGCAAACCAGAGTAACTCAGGAGAGTGTGGACATATTTCCGTGCTGTGTTACTGGAAGGAAACCATGCTCTGAAACTTCTCCCCATCCCCATTCAACCTTTATTCTTTTGGGTTAAGCATTGCCTTCGAGAGACACTTCTATTAAAATTCTTTTGGGAGGGCAAGCCCAGTAAGTCACTTAAAAATGTCTGAATTTGTGAGTAGTGCTGCAGTGAACATATGTGTGCATGTCTCTTTATAATAGAATGATTTATATTCCTTTCGGTTTATACCCAGTAGTACCCAGTAGTGGGATTGCTGGGTTGAGTAGTAGTTGCTTTTTTTTTTTTTTGAGACAGAGTCTTGCTCTGTCGCCCAGGCTGGAGTGCAGTGGTGCGATCTTGGCTCACTGCAACCTCTGTGTCCTGGGTTCCGTCAGTCCTCCTGCCTCAGCCTTCCAAGTAGCCGGGATTACAGACGCATGCCACCGTGACTGGCTAATTTTTGTATTTTTAGTAGAGACAGGGTTTCACCGTGTTGGCCAGGCTGGTCTTGAACTCCTGACCTCAAGTAATCTTCCAGTCTCGGCCTCCCGAAGTGCTGGGATTACAGGCGTGAGACACCGCACCCGGCCCCTATTCATCATTCTGATTTAAACGCTTGTGCTACTTACTCAGGGGAGCCTTCTCTAACTTCCCAGCCCCACAAGTCCCCCACCATACCCTCACCTCCTACCCCACTGGGTGCATTTCTAATAAGCACCTTATCTACTTTGTCCTTTTAAAGTTGTTTGTGTGATTATTTGATTAATGTCCATCTTCCCCAACACAACTTAACATTCATTAGGGCAAATAATTCCTTCTTTCTCAACACTGCTCCCCTGGTGTCTAATGCAGGTCTCCTCAGTAGATGTGTTGACTGAGTAAATGGAAAGAGGATTGTGATGCTCCCAGGGCAGAGTGGCTTGTCAGGGACAGCTGTCAGGGTGGTCCAGGGTCCGGTCTTCATCTTTGCAGGGTCAGGAACTTGGTCTGATCACTGTTCCTCAGCTGAGAAGACATGGGGAGTAATAATCACGCCTGACATTTATTTAGTGCTTCTAAGAGTTTTATAGGAACCCTTCCTCTTGTTTTATACAACAGCTCTGTGAGCTGGGTTGTTTTATTACTCTGACTTTATAGTGGGGGAAACAGATGCAGAGAAGGTGAGTGGTTTATCCAAGGTCACACAGGGTGGGCAGAGCTCAGACTCACACCGAGATAGGCTGGCTCTAGAGCCGACACTATTTTTTTTTTTTTTTTTTTTTTTTGAGACAGAGTCTTGCTCTGTTGCCAAGGCTGGAGTGCAGTGGCGTGATCTCAGCTCACTGCATTCTCCACCTCTCAGGTGAAAGCAATTCTCCTGCCTCAGCCTACTGAGTAGCTGGGATTACAGGCTCCCACCACCAAGCCCTGTTAATTTTTGTATTTTTAGTACAGACAGGGTTTCGTCATGTTGGCCAGGCTGATCTTGAACTCCTGACCTCAGGTGATCCACCCTCCTTGGCCTCCCAAAGTGCTGGGAATACAGGGGTGAGCCACTGTGTCCAGCCTAGAGCCCACAGTCTTAACACAACAGTTCCCTCTAACAAAGCTCCCTGTTGCTGCATGCACCAAGTGGCAAATTTTTAATATTAATTTATAGTAATATAAAAACATCGAAGGCTAGTGCCTCTTTACTTGAAGGCAAGCTTCACATCATGTGAAGCTACTTAGCATGGCTTCAGGGAGAGGGGAGCTGGTATCAAGGCTGGGATAGTCTGGTCTGTGGTCCCAGGGGGCGGACGGGCAGTCACAGGTGAAACATGTCAACCCCCAGGCAGTGCATGTGTAGACAGTACCAGCCCCTCTCTTTTATTTTCTCAGCCTCCTTGGCTGCTCAGGCCTCTGTCTCGAGAGTGACTTTGCTTCTCTCTTCCCTGATGTTCATGGGTTAATTTCATTGTTATCCTTGTCGAAGGAAGCTGTAGTTTGCCCTCCTTTCCAAGATCTTTCATGCCCTGACAGCAACCCTAAGCAACAGAAACTGTTTCCACTCCCTTTATTATTATTATTGTTATTTGAAACAGAGTCTCACTCTACTGCCCAGGCTGGAGTGCAATGGCACAATCTCATCTCACTGCAACCCCTGCCTCCCGGGGTCAAGTGATTCTCATGCTTCAGCCTCCCAAGTAGCTGGGATTACAGCTGTGTGCCACCATGTCCGGCTAATTTTTGTATTGTTAGTAGAGATGGGGTTTTACCATGTTGACCAGGCTGGTCTCAAACTCCTGGCCTCAAGAGATCTGCCCACCTCAGCCTCCCAAAGTGCTGGGATTATAGGTGTGAGCCACCACACCTGGCTTCCACTCCCTTTTGTGATGCTCAGAGAGGCTAGGTAATTTTCCCAAGGACACACAAGCAATGAAACAGGCTGGCATCCCAGCCCAGGTCTGTTATGTTGCAGAGTTTGAACATCTAACCCCCCTGCTGTGCCCCTCTCCCCCAGCCTGCATCCACGTACATTCTGTAAAGTACGTGACCTACTGCCTGGCACACACTAGTGTCCATAACGTGTTTGTAGGCAGGAAGCGTGTTATTGTTCATAGGAGTTTGAGTTTTGAAGTAAGACTCCTTGCATGGGAATCTACTGCTGGCTGTTTGTGTGACCTTGGGCACATTTGCTCGCCTCTCTAACCCTTGGTTTCCTCTTATGCAAAATGGGAGTGATGACAGCAATGGTCCTTCCCGGGATTTCTGGGAGGCTTAAAGGGATTAATGAGTGTGAAGTGTTCAGCATAGCGCTTGGGACGGTGCCATGTGTCAGTGGTGCTCTTTCAGTAATTATGATAGAAACCCAACTCTCACCAGTCTGGAAAGAATTAGGTGGCGACATATTGGAAAGGCTGGTGGAAAATGAAGGCTTGAGGCTTGGCGAGATTGAGTGCTCCTTTCCTCTCCTCTTTGATTTCTGCTGTGTTGTCCTGATGAGGACCCGCGATGGGCCCTGGGAATTCCAGAGTCAAGTGATCATGTCCTTTTTACCAACAGCTTGCCCACAAGGAAGCTGCTTGTACACAAGGACACCTACCTGCAAGGAACACTGGGAAATGGAGTTCGTAGACTCCTCCCCCATACAGCGTCCTCCATGCTGTTTCTCTTCCACCGGCTTAATGCAGGTGAGGATGGCAATCTTAGAAGCCACATATTGAGGATGGCATTGGAAAGTTGGAAGCAAGATGAAAAGAGCTTCTCTGTGATTTAGAACAGCTGTTTTGGAGTTTTTTTATATGAGCAAGAAGTAATTTTCTGTGTTTGAGCCACTGAATATGTAGGGGCTTGTTTGTTACAGCAGCTGGTGATGCGTCTAATTAACATGTACATTATTACCCTTCTTCCTCCCTGTCTTCCCATTGGAGGGCAGGGTTTAGGATGGTTTTTTGGGTTTTGTGCTTGAGCTGCAGACTTAGGAAAGGGCTGTGGGAGATTTAAGCCCTCTAAGTAGCTCCAGATCTCTTCTGAAATCCTTGTACCTTGCATCTAAGGGACGATCTTTGAGAGGCCTCCTAAATGACAACCCATCATTGTGGACCTTTGGGTTTTGTCTTGGATACCCTAGGTAACAAAGTGGGCCACTCTAAGAAAATATTAGATATCGGTTTAATTGTAAAACATGGAGGCTCCCTGGAGAGCACTCACAGTGACTTCTACCTTTATGAGAAATTGTATTAGTGTGAATTGCCTGTCAGGATGTTTAAACAGCCCCTCAGAGCACCTAATAGCTCACTCCTAGTCATTATACATCACTAATGGGTGCTCAACATTCAAACACCTATTTACTGCATGGATTTAGTCGTCCTGGAGGACCTATTTCTGATTAAATAATTCATGATTTCAGAGTGTCTGAATACTGTCTATATGCCCAGGGCTGCACTTCTGGGTCCTAAGGTTCTGCTCGAGACATTCCCGTGAGCTTCCTTGACGATGATCCACAGAGGCATTCCTTTGTGCCCAGTGCTGAAGCTACGGTGCCTATCAGTTTTCCGTGGGGGAGTGTAGGACCTGCAGATTTCTGGCCCCCACCCTAGAGAGCGTGACTCAGTAGATCTGGGTTTAGAATGCCCATTTTTAAAGGCACATCATTCATCTTAGGAGTATGTGTTGCACATTTACGTTGTGTTAACTCTGTGCTTGGCACCGGGGCCACATCTGAGCACAGAGCAGACCACGTTGTTGCCTGTGTGGCCCTTACTGCCTAAAGCGACAATGGCATTATAGGTCAAAGCAATCTGTGGTCCTGCATATTCCCCCGACAGCTCTTCTTTTTTTTTTTTTTTTTTTTCTGGCTTCTTCTTGTCCGATCCCCAATTCATTCTCTCTCTCTCTTTATCTTTCCTTCTCTCCTTCCTTCCCTTCTCCGCTTCCCCCCTCCCCTCCCCTCCTGTCCTCTTTCTCTCACTCTGTCGCCCAGGCTGGACTGCAGTGGCGCAATCTCGGCTCACTGCAACCTCCACCTCCCAGGTTCAAGCGATTCTCCTGCCTCAGCCTCCCGAGTAGCTGGGACTATAGGTCTGCACCACCATGCTTGGCTAATTTTTGTATTTTTAGTAAAGGTGAGGTTTCACCATGTTGGTTAAGCTGGTCTTGAACTCCTGAGCTCAAGTGATCCATCTGCTTCGGCCTCCCAAAGTGCTGGGATTACAGGTGTGAGCCACCATGCCTGGCCACCAATTCTCTAATTTTCTATTACTCATAAACCTGATTCTCATCTGGTTGCATGCAGTGGAGTAACCACTGGCTCTCTCCCTTCTTGGACCTCCTGCTTGTGCCAAGACCTGCTTTCTCTCTCATCAGTGTCCATAAGATCTTCCTCCTCAGCACAAGTCACATTAATAGAGGACTCTCAGGCTGTGCAACTGTGTGCAAAGTACTTCACCTTTCTTGGCCTTACTTGCCCCACCTATAAAATGGGAATGATCATTATTTACCTGCCTGAGGGTGCGTGACTTTGTTATGGGTTGAATTTTGTCCCCTCCCAAATTCATTTGTTAAAGTCTTAAAACACCACCTACCTTAGAATGTGAGAAAATTGGATTGTTCTGGTATAATTAGTTAAGATGATGTCATACTGGAGGAGGTGGACCCCAATCCAGTATGGCCAGTGTCTTTTTTTTTTTTTTTTTTTTAATTTGAGACAGGGTCTCCCTTTGTTGCTCAGGCTGGAGTGCAGTGGCATGATCTCAGCTCACTGCATCCTCTGCCTCCTAGGTTCAAGCAATTCTCCTGCCTCAGCCTCCCATGTAGCTGGGACTACAGGCGTGCACCACCATGCTTGGCTCATTTATGTATTTTTTTTTTTTGAGATGGAGTTTTGCTCTTGTTGCTCAAGCTGGAGTGCAATGGTGCAATTTTGGCTCACTGCAATCTCCACCTCCCGGGTTTAAGCCATTCTCCTGCCTCACCATCCCGATTAGCTGGGATTACAGGCTAGTGCCACCACGCCTGGCTAATTTTTTGTATTTTTAGTAGAAACGGGGTTTCACCATGTTAGCCAGGGTGTTCTCGAACTCCTGACCTCAAGTGATCCACCCACCTCAGATTCCCAAAGTGCTGGAATTACAGGCATGAGCCATCGTGCCTGTCCTCAGTGTCCTTTTAAATGGGGATATTTAGACACAGGGAGAGAACACCAGTGAAGGCTGGAGTTATGCTGCCACAACTCGAGGAACACCAAGAAACCACAGAACCCAAGGCAAGAGGCACACAACAGATTCTTCCTCACAGCCCTGAGAAGGAACCAACCATGCAGACACCTTGCTTTCAGGCTTTTAGCATCCAGAGCTGTGAGACAATAAATCACTCTTGTTTAAGCCACTCAGGCTATGGCACTTTGCTATGGTAGCCCCAGTGGTCTCATACACCCTTAGAGCCTGAGAGCTCTGATTCTTGAGCATAATTGAAAGAACCTTATTCCCAGCAGTCCGAGGTACAGCAAGACAACATCCTGATGTGATAATGGTGAGGACGGCTGCAACACCACTATCTCCTACTTCTTAACTGCTTCTTTTGTGCCTGGCCTTTCTCTCATTTATTGCTCTTATCGACCCTGTGGGGTAAGCTTCTAGAACCCCATTTTAAGGATACAGAATCAGGGTTCAGAGATGTGAAGTGACTTGCCCAAGGTCAAGCAGCTATTAGATGGAGGAGTTAGGATGTCAACCCAGACCACTCGACAATAGGACATGCATTTCACCTCTACCCTATAAAGTCTTCAAGCTAAACTGTAAACATTGGTGTTCAGTAGGTGTTACTCTCTGCGGCAGCGTTTCTTAACATCTACACTGTGGACATTTTGGCTAGAAAATTCTGTTGTTGGGGTGATATTCTGTGCATTGTGGAATGTTTAGCAGCAACCTTGGCCTCTACCCATGAGAGACCAGCAGCAGCCACCTCTTCCCAACCCATTCCCAGGTGAGACTACCAAAAACATCTCTAAACATTGCAGAACATCCCTTGAGGGGCAAAACTATCCCCAGTTGAGAAGCACTGCTCTAGGGGAGTCCCTTTTAAAATCACAGTCCAGCCCAGGCGTGGTGGCTCACGCCTGTAATCCCAGCACTTTGGGAGGCCTAGGTGGGCGGATCATCTGAGGTCAGGAGTTCGAGACCAGCCTGGCCAACATGGCGAAACCCTGTCTCTACTAAAAATATAAAAAAAAAAAAAAAAAAAAAAAAAAAAAAAAAAAAAAAAAATTAGCCAGGCTTGGTGGCAGGCACCTGTAGTCCCAGCTACTTGGGAGGCTGAGGCAGGAGAATGGCGTGAGCCAGGGAGGTGGAGCTTGCAGTAAGCCGAGATTGCGCCACTGCACTCCAGCCTGGGTGAGAAGAGCAAGACTCTATCTCAAAAATAAAATAAAATAAATAAAATAATCACAGTCCAGGTGGTCTGGGAAGGTGGGATACTTTAGGGGATGCTCAGAGGAGTTGTTCGTCAGCCCACCTCAGGCACTCTGGGGTGGGTTGTGGCTCCAGCAAAGGGATGGGGTGGGAAGGAGCATGTATCTTGCAGCAGACAGGGGTACTTCACATTGTTAAATCCTGGGAAATTTAGGCTGGGGTTCCATGGCCAGTTTTGATTACCGTTTGTCCATGTTGTTACCGATCTTTAAAGTTTGGTTGTGGAAAATTGAGAACTCACAAAGGCTTAGAAGTAGGGGTAATAGAACTAGCTTCTTTCTTTAAGTTCACTCTTTATTTGTTAAGTACCTTTTAGCATGGGGCAATAATGAGGGACTGTTGAAAAAATGTGTTTGAGCCTTGGCTCTGCTACATTCTAACCAAGGGACCTTGGGAATGTGTCTTAACATCTGCAAGTCTCAGTTTTTTCATCTGTGTAATAGGATTAGCAATACCCCATGCCTTAAAGCATTGCCATGAGGATTAAATGAATCAATGTGTTTAAGGTACTCAAAGCAGTGCCTGGCACATAGCAAGAGCCCATTAAGTATTTAACTTCTATTAAGTCTCATTTCTAGTGGTGGAGGTAGATAGGTCAAAGGGACATGACATGTCAAGAGGTCTTTTTTTTTTTTTTTTTGAGATGGAGTCTCACTCTGTCACCCAGGCTGAAGTGCAGTGGTGCGATTACAGCTCACTGCAACCTCTGCTTCCTGGGTTCAAGCGTCTCCTGCCTCAGCCTCCTGAATAGCTGGGATTACAGGCACCCGCCACCATTCCTGGCTAATTTTTGTATTTTTAGTAGACATGGAGTTTCACCTTGTTGGCCAGGCTGATCTTGAACTCCTGATCTCAAGTGACTGTCCGCCTCGACCTCCCAAAGTGCTGGGATTACAGGCGTGAACCACCATGCGTGACTGTCAAGTTCTTCTTGATCAGGGCTTCCCAACCTCAACACTATTGATGTGGCAGCGGGGGTGGTTTAGAAAATTCTTGGTCATGGTTGGGGTTGTCTTGCACCTTGCAGGATGTTGAGCAGCACCCAGGGCCTCTATCCATTATCTTCCAGTAACAGCCTCTTCCTCTAGTTGTGACAAGCAGACTTTGCCAAACATTTCTGGGGAGCAACATCGCCATCACTTGAGAACCATTGTTCTAGATAATAAGCTCCTTTGGGCTTTTTGGCTCAATGTGTAGAATACGGCATCAGTACCACGTGAAGTTTCTTAGAGATGCAGAATCTCAGGCCCTGACCCGGACTCACTGATCTGAACCTGCATTTCACAAGACCCCCTGGTGAGTCAGATGCGTATTAAAGTTTAAGGGGCTGGGCTTTAGAGAATGGATAGTGTCATATCATTTAGGTTAGTCTCTAAATCTATAAAGTACAGCACAGAGCAGCACTGGGTTATTAGTTGAATGGATGAATAAATGAATTGTGGCAAAGATAGAGGTTCTTTGCTGAAGATTCTAGCAGTTAACCACATTTTTCAATGCTGTGCTCTGAGCTTGCTGGCTCATACCCAGGCCTGAGATCAGTGCTTTATCAAAAGTGGCTTCACCCAGGAATCTTCACTCATCCAGGTCCTCCTGGATTGGGGTGAATTGGGGTGGTGGGTTGTGAGGCAGAGAGAAATAGCTGTGGGCAGAGTTGTGAAGTCTGTGCAATGTATTCCAACAGACTCTTCTCCTTCCCTTTCTGCCTGGAGACCCTGATGGAGATGGCCTAGGGTGGAGATCTCACATTAGTGATTTTAGAATGCTTCCTACATCTTTATGGTAATGCTGAGGGGGCTAGAGCATATAAAATAAATTATACCCTCCTAATTTTTAAAAGCATTGCAATGAGTTATATGAGAATGCATTGGAGGAAGCTTCAGAATTTTTCTTGTTTTGCCTCTGAAAGTGCAGCAGAGGAAATCAGGTCAAGAGAAGGAGTTATTCGTCATAACAGGTGGGAGAAGGAATCAAAGAAGAGGGTAAGAACGTATTTAGAAGGTTTGTAAATACTCTTTATGCAGGCTAGGGGCTGCGGACTTTTGGAATTTGTGCGCCAAGGCAATTCACACAAGTGAAATTGCAGAAATTCAACTCTAATGCTTTGAGTAACAAGCATCATGTTTTAATAGGGCTTATGGTATGTGCTGGGCTAATTTCAAAAGGAAAGGTGCCCCCAATAAATATTCCTGACGGCAGAGATAAGAAGTAATCTTCAGTGTGGATAGTTTCATCACTGGGGAAGGGGTGATGAGTTGCAGGCACACTGAGAGGGGTTTCTTGCTTGAACACACATTTTTTTCTGATGGTGGCATGAGTGCTTGTGTGTATTACAGAGATGCAAGGAACATTTAAAGTCTGAGCAGACTCCGTGACAACTTCAAACAGAGGCTTGGCTGAAATCCCTCCTGGGCCCCAGTAGACATCTCAGCATGGATGAGATATTATCACTCCTGATGAAGATTGATTTTAAAGTAACTGGGTTCTCAAGGATCCTAATTCTGGGAATCAATTAGATTAGTCAGCCTTGTAAAATGACCATGTGGAGTGTGTTTCAAGGTTACCGGGGAAATCTGAAGTCAGCAAAGTGACTGGCTCCCTGAGTGTGATGTGGTCTGTACTGTTGGTAGGTTTGATTTGGTTTATGGTGTGGCTTTCATATGGAGCTGGATTACCTTCTCCCAAAGAGAGGTGGGCAGGGGTGTTGGTCAGAATTCTAAGATGCAAGCAACAGAAAGTGACTGGGGGTGATTTAAGGAGAGCAGGAATTGTTGAGACAGTGATGAGAAGCCCACACATTCGGAGGCTATGTTGCCAGGGTCAGTGTCCCCAAATCACACCACTGAGCCAAATCTGGGAGGATGTGGTTGCCATGGGGACTGGCCACATCTACTGCTGCCACCTGCCAGTTGCTGCCGCTTTGTGCACTGGCTCTCAATTCACAGTCTGATTCACTGAGCCTAGTCAGGTGCCTAGGGTGTCATAGGTGCAAGGGTGGCTGGGAAAGGGGGAATTGGGCATTTTCAGCTTTAGTGGTGGGTGTTGGGATTTGTCATCTACCAAGTCATATACTGTATTAGAGTTCTCCAGAGGGACAGAACTAACAGGATATATGTATACATGAAAGGGAGTTTATTAAGGAGAATTGACTCATACGATCAGAAAGTGAAGTCCCCCAATAGCTGTCTTCAAGCTGTGGAAGAAGGAAGCCAATAGTGGCTCAGTCCGAGTCCAGATGCCTCAAAAGCATGGAAGCCAACACTGCAGCCTTCAGTCTGTGGTGGAAGGTGCGAGAGACCCCAGCAAACCACTGGTGTAAATCTAAGAGTCAAAAGGTCATTGAAGAACCTGGAGTATCTGATGTGGAAGGGCTGAAAGCAACCAGCGCAGGAGAAAGATGAAAGCCACACGACTCAGCAAGCCAGTTTATCCCACCTTCTTCCACCTGCTTTTTTTAGCATGCTGGCATCCGATTAGATGGTGCCCACTCACACTGAGGGTGGGTCTTCCTTTCCCAGTCCACTGACTCACGTGTTAACCTTCCCTGGGAACACCTTCACAGACACACCCAGAAACAATACTTCACGAGCTATGTAGGCATCCTTAGATCTAAGAATCCTGAGTTATATCAGGCAATCCAATCAAGTTGACACCTAACATCAACTATCACACATACAGTAGGGAATTTATTAAACACAAGAAAGATGCTACAGATATGGGTCGCCATATAAAATGACCAATTTTCAGAATAGAGGAATAGACATTCATCCATTCATTCAGAAAATATTTCCCAAAGGCTTACTGTGAGTCAGTTCTGCATGCCTGGGAAATCACAATGAATAAAACAGACAAAAATAACTATCCTCATGGGGCTTAGATCCTACTGGAGAGAGATAAAAAATGTTATAGAGGTGCATTGACCAATACAGTAGCTGATAAACACATGCAGCTACTTAGGTTTGAAAAAATTAACTAAAATTAACTAAAACTGAACATCTAGTTCTTTAGTCACAGTAGCCACATTTCAAGTGCTCAGTAGCCACGTGTGGCTAGTGTTTACTGCAATGAACAGCTCATCAACTCCAAAATCTCACCTGAATATCATCAGCTCATCTACAGTATCCACATTTGGTGTGGAAGTGGGTGGGAGTATGGTCCATCCTGGGGCACAATTCATTTCCAATTGTAAGCCTGTGAAACTCAATACACAAGTTATCAGATTCTAAAAATGTAGTAGTGGGATAGGCACAGGATAAAAGTGACAGGCATTCTGATTCCAAACCCAAGAAAACGTGAGGTGAAAAGCAGTCCCCAGTCCCAAGGAGTTTACAAATCCAGCTGGCAAAATTTCCTAGTTTCCAGCCCTAGGAATAATCCTCTGTTTTGCAGCTCTAAACTTCTGGGCTTACAGCTCTCCCCACTGGGTCATGCTTCTCTTTTTAGTGAAAGGTAGCCTGTGTTTTGCAACTGATTTGTTTCGGTCTGTTTCTTGATTGCAGAATTTGGGAACACCAAGAGCCTCCTTTCATTTTGTATTTTCTGTTTCCCTATCAAGCCAAGTGACAGTGTTTCTGCTGGTATAACATCCTCAAGAACTTTGTGCATCTCTTATGTATGTCACCAGGTTTCACCACATTCGACAAAAGACTTGTCGACAGACATTTCTGAGATACTATCTAATTTGGGCTACTGCTGAGATGGCTGAAGAGGGGCGTACTGTAAGAGTCACACACTTTAATGCTTCAAAGAGCCTTTTTGTTGAATGGGTACTCTGAAGTTTTGATCTTTCCGATGAGTTAGTAAAAGTTTGTACAGCCACACACCGAAATCTTTCTCTAGCCCCCTTTCCTGACAGGGAATCTCTTACTTTTAGCTTCTTTTGCCTGCCAGGTAGGCTGAGAAGTCCCCAAGTCATCAAGCCCCCCCCCCCTTTTTTTTCTTTTTTATTTAACAGTTCTTACCTCAACTTATTTCTCTCCTCTCATATTTTTCTTATGAGTGTTATGAAAACACAAAGCTGCTCTTCAGTGCTTTGCTTGGAAATCTCCTGTCTTTTTTTTTTTTTTTTTTTTTTTTTTAGATGGAGTCTTGCTTGTCGCCTAGGCTGGAGTGCAGTGGCATGATCTTGACTCAGCACAGCCTCCTCCTGCTGGGTTCAAGCGATTCTCCTGCCTCAGCCTGCTGAGTAGCTGGGATTACAGGTGCCCGCCACCATGCCCGGCTAATTTTTGCATTTTTAGTAGAGATGGGATTTCACCATGATTGGTCAGCCTGATCTTGAACTCCTGACCTCAGGTGATCTGTCTGCCTTGGCCTCCCAAAGTGCTGAGATTACAGGTGTGAGCCAGCGCTCCTGGCCCTGTCTAGGTCTTACTGCACACCACAAAGAAAGCCGATCACTGAGACAATGAGTGTTTCCAGGGACGAAGGGTTTGTTATGGGTGATGTCAGCTGCATAAATGGGAGACAAGCGTCAAATTCGGTCCCCACTCCCATAACATTAGGAGTTTATATAGCAGAGAAGGGAAATGGAACAAGGAAGAGAAATGGGTCAACAGGGAGCAGGTGGTTGAATGAGGGATGTAACATCTTATTGTAATATGTGGGGGAAAACAGGAATTAGGGAGGGGTAAGGAAGGGGGGAGTTGGTCAACAGACAGCAGGTGCATCTGTACCTGTACCATACAAATGAAGGTTTATTCTAGCTTCCATTCTGTGGGCATCTGGCTTGCTGGAAAATGGGCTGGTTTACATTGCTTACATATTTTTCTTTGCACATAACTGCAGAACACACTCTGCTAAGCTTTCTATCACTGCATAACAAGGATCATCTTCTCCCCAGTTTTAAGTAACAGGTTTCCCACTTCCTTTTGAGTACTCACTGGAAGCATCCTTAGTGTCCATGTTTCTTGTACTTCTGCTAGCAGTCTGTTCATGTTGATTTAGGTATTCCCTAGGGCAGTTTAGGCTTTTCTATAATCTTACTTCCTTCTGAGCCCTCACCAGCAGCATCTTTAATGTTCATATATATATTAACAATCTGTTCAAGGCGATCTCAGCTTCTTCTGTCACGGTTCTCAGAATTCTTTTAGTTTCTCCCCATTGCCCAATTCCAAAGCCAATTCCACATTTTTAGATGTTTGTTACAGCAGCACATCACTTCTAGGAAGCGAAATAGGTATTAGTTTTCTATTGCTGCTGTGTCAAACTACCACAAATATAGTGACTTATGCCAACAAAAAATTTATTATTTTATAGTTATGTAGGCCAGACATCTGGCATGGGTCTTACTGGGTTGAAGTCAAGGTGTTGGCAGAACTTCCTTACTGGAGGCTGGAGGGGGGAATCTGTTTCCTTGCTTATATGTGTTGTTGGTAGAAATCACTTCCTTGTGGTTGTGGGACTGAGGTGCCTCTTTTATTGCTGGCTGTAAACTGAAGGTTGTTCCCAGCCTGGAGTAGCCATTATAGTCCTTGGCTAGTAACCTCCTGCCTCCATCTTCAAAGCCAATGATGGCTGGTTGAATCCTTCTCATTTTTCATTTCTTTGACTTTTCTCAGACCCAGTTGGGAAAGGTGCTCTCTGCTTCTAAGACCTCATGTAATTAGATTGAGCTCACTTGGATAATCCAAGATAATCTCCTTCTCTCAAGCTGTATATCTTTAATCTGCAAAGGCTGTTTTGCCACATAAGGTAACATGTTCACAGATTCTGGAAATAAAGCATTGGGTATCTTTTTGGAGGGCATTATTCTCCCTCCCACAAGAGTTACACATTTTTCCCACACTCACTAGGAGGTGTGACTCCCAGATAATAAGGTCAGCATAAGAACCACAGAGATACCATGAATTTCTCCAGATCTTTGGTGACACACGAGCCTGGAGCCCCAGAGCAGTCATATCCTGACCCCAAAGGCACAAAGTTGTGGTTGACTCGAGCAGGAACATTGAGGAGACATCGGTAACTAGAAGGTCTGTAATCTAGGGGGAGGGTGTGGAGATGTAGAGCCAAGAGGCCAAGACCCTGAAGTTGTCAGATCAATATGGATTCAAATGACACCTCTTACACTTGATATTGAAAAAGTCAATAAGCCCTTTGAGCCTTGGTTTTCTTAGCTTTTAAAATGGAGGTAATGAAAATAGCATCCACCAAAAGAACAGAGAGAGGCTTTCTAAAAGAAAATATTTATTTGGGAATGTGGCATTGCCATGGGACTATGCATGCCATAATAAACTACTGTTCAGGGAGGTCAAAGAAGACTAAGGCTTTTAGACGAAAAATGAGGAGGATTACATGTTTCAAGGATCAATAAACAAGGGTAACACTGGCTTGAGGTTGGACAGGCAGTTGTGTTTTTCGCAGAGTCTTCTGTGATAGTTTTTGTTATCAGGCATTTATATATCATAATGCTCTCTTCCTGGCCTTTTCTGGCTTTATTTCTTCTTTTTTTTTTTTTTTGTTTTTTTAAGACAGAGTCTTACCCTTGTTGCCTAGGCTGGAGTGCAGTGGTGTGATCTCCGCTCACTGCAACCTTCGCCTTCCCGGATTCAAGTGATTGTCCTGCCTTAGACTCCCGAGTAGCTGGGACTACAGGCACGCACCACCATGCCCAGCTAATTTTTTGTATTTTTAGTAGAGACAGAGTTTCACTGTGTTAGCCATGATGTTCTCGATCTCCTGACATCATGATCTGCCCACCTCAGCCAGTGGCTCCGTTTTGATTCTGACACCTTGCACAATTCTTATATCTAGGGTAACTGCTGGGAGAGGGTTCAGCAAAGCCAATCGTGTGAAACCCATAGCAGCACGGCTCCCACACACAAGGATGGCTTTAGGAGGGTCCTTGAAAAAGAGGTTGGGAGATGTATGTTGATTTTTGAAATGCTTCTGAGGACAGATAAGACCTGCCTTTCAGACTCTCTTGTGTCTTTCCGAGGGCACGTAATTCTTAGACACCTGGGCTTCCAGGTGCATGGTTCAGGGAAAGTGCAGGAAGTGCTGGGAGAGAATGGGTCCAGGTCAGGTCCCAGGGAGCTACAAAGTGCATGTGAGGCTGGGGCTTCACAGGAATGCAGGAGAATCACCTTGTGTCCCTACTCATTTGTTTTTAAACCTTGTTCCAAGGGAGTGATGGGGCCAGCTATGATGGCTCACGCCTGTAATCCCAGCACTTTGGGAGGCTGAGGCGGGTGGATCACTTGAGGTCCGGAATTGGAGACCAGCCTGGCCAACATGACAAAACCCTGTCTCTACTGAAAATACAAAATTAGCCGGGTGTAGTGGAAAAATACAAAAAAAAACACTTGTAATCCCAGCTACTCGGGAGGCTGAGGCAGGAGAATTGAACCTGGGAGGTGGAGGTTATAGTGAGCCAAGATCGTACCACTGCACCCCAGCCTGGGCAATAGAGCGAGACTCTCTCTCAAAAAAAATCCCAAAAAACAAAACAAAATGACAACAACAACAAAAACCAAGGGAGTGATGGGAATAGTTAATTTGTAAATGTGAGAGATTGTAAGAATTTTTTCCCGTTTTTCATCTCCCTCCCCCACACCATTGTGTTCTCATGTTGGGCCATATGAAAGAAACTAAAATTCTGCTTAGATGCCTATTTTTTTAAGCATTATCATCTTGGAAAGTTGGATTTGAATTGGAAGAGTGACATGGAATCTTTAAAATGACTTTATTTTGGTCACAAATGAAGTAGGAATTTAACATTTAAGAGGTAAACAAGTATTTTATGGATGTTTCAAGGAGGGTTTTGGCTTTGACAGGGTAAAATTATTTTTGATTGGAAAAAGTACATTTTAGCATTTAACCAAGATTTTTGCATTCTTTTTCTTCTGTTCTGATTTCTGCCAATCTTCTGGGAGGGAAGACAATTATTTTTCTAAAGGTAAGAGACAGTTAAGAATGAAGATATTAAATAGCAAGGGTGCTGAACAGAAAAACAAAGGAAGCCGAAGCCTTTTGCAAAATCAAAAGGATCTGGGGTCTTAGACACCATGTGGCACTGCTGAAACATCATTTTGTTTATACCTTTGAGCATAGAATTCTCCAAGTTATTGGCTGTAGCTTGCAGGGTCTTAATAGGTATACTTTAAAGAAGAGAGGTAGAAGATTACATGTTCATATATGTTTGGAAAAAATTGGCATAGACAGATTATGTATACTATGAAATATGAAGAGTGGGATAAAGTAGCCAGTGTTTCACACTTACTTGACCACAGAATTTTCGTTTGTTGGTTGGTCTGATATATGGCACACCAATTAACTCTTAGTGTTCCCAAACTTAAGTTTGGGGAATATTACACATTTTTCTATGGTGAAATTTAGTCGAATTTGAAAGAGTTGGTTTAGTATAACCCCGGGAAATCCACAGTAACGGATCTTTAGTGGTATTTCTCAAATTGTGGCTCATGAACTGCCTGTGTCAGAATCACCTGACGCGTTTGTTAAAAATCCAGATTTCTGGGTCTGATCTCAGATTTATTGAATACGAATCTCTGGCACTGACATCACGGACTCTGACTTGTTAAAAACACCCTAGTCTTTGCTGCTAAAAGTATGGTCTGTGGACTAGCAGCGTCAGAATCACCTGGAGCTTTTTGGAGTGCAGAATCTCAGCTCCATCCCAATTGCGCTGAATCTAAATCTGAATCTGCAGTTTTTTAAATTTATTTTATGTTTTTAGACAGAGTCTTGCTCTGTCGCCCAGGCTGGAGTGCAGTGGTGTGATCTCGGCTCACTGCAACCTCCACCTCCCTGGTTCATGTGATTGTCCTGCCTCAGCGTCCTGAGTAGCTGGGACTACAAACATGTGCTACCCCGCCTGGCTAATTTTTGTATTTCTAGTAGAGATGGGGTTTCACCATGTTGGCCGGGCTGATCTCGAACCCCTGGCCTCAAGTGATCCACCTGCCTGGGCCTCCCAAAGTGCTGGGATTACAGACATGAGCCTCCATGCCTGGCCTGAATCTGCATTTTTAAGAAGAGCTCTAGGTGATTTATGTGTATGTTTAAGATAAGAAGCCCTGGAGTAGAGAATAAAGCCTCGAATTTTACTATATGTCTTGCTCTAATGCTTTGTATTGTGAACGCTGAAAATCTGAGACAGGTCTCAGTTAATTTAGAGAGTTTATTTTGTCAAGGTTGAGGACACACGCCCATGACACTGCCTCAGGAGGTCTTCATGACATGTGCCCAAGGTAGTCGGGGCACAGCCTGGATTTCACTTATTTTAGGGAGACATGGGACATTAATGAATATAGGTAAGATGTACATTGATTCCTTCTGGAAAGGCAGGACAACTCAAGCAGGGAGGGGGCTTCCAGGTCACTGGTAGGTGAGAGACAAAGGGTTGCATTCTCTTGAGTTTCTGATTAGCCTTTCCAAAGGAGGTAATCAGATATGCGTTTATCTCAGCGAGCAGAGGGAAGAGTTTGAATAGAATGGGAGGCAGGTTGGCCCTGAGCAGTTCCCAGCATGAGTTTTCCCTTTAGCTTAGTGATTTGGGGGCCCTAAGATTTATTTTCCTTTCACAGTATCCTTACATCTTGCTCTAATTATTTATTTCATTTTTAAAACTATTTAAACAAGGAGTTGTATTTTAGCTAAAACAAAATCGTAATTGGAAGGATAGGATTGGTTATTCCTCTCTTAGTTGGCTGTTCTACGGAAAGCATTGCCGTTCAGATCAGGGGCCTCTTTAATTTTTTCAAATTTTATTTCAGTAGTTTTTTGGGAACAGGTGGTTTTTAGTTACATGAATAATTTCTTTAGTGGTGATTTCTGAGATTTTGGTGCACCATCACCAGGGGCCTGTTTAAAGGAACTGCTGTTCACTTGCGATCAAAATATATACTGATTTTCTTTAAACTGGCCAAAGAAAACAGCCTCTTGAGGGTTGATCTTATTCTAGATTTATGAACATGATGGTAGCCGTCAGGTCCAGAGCATGGGATGTCTTTCAAGAGTAATCGACTCTGTATAGCTTAATTCCACCTCCCCTTCTATGCGCACTCAAGAATTGCTTATAGTCATTTCAATTTAATAACACAGGTATTGATTTTTTTTTTTTTTTTTTTTTTGAGACAGAGTCTTCCTCTGTCACCAAGGCTGGAGTGCAGTGGCACGATCTCGGCTCACTGCAACCTCTGCCTCCCGGGTTCAAGCAATTCTCCTACCTCAGCCTCCCGAGTAGCTGGGATTACAGGCATGCGCCACCATGCCTGGCTAATTTTTTTTTTTTTTTGTATTTTTAGTAGAGATGGGGTTTCACCATATTGACTAGGCTGGTCTCAAACTCCTGACCTTGTGATCCACCCGCCTCGGCCTCCCAAAGTGCTGGGGTTACAGGCGTGAACCACCGCATCCAGCCATAGTTATTGATTTTACTGAATACATCTACCTTGCATTTCAATCTAGTACAACAATGAAAGGATGGATTTTAAGTAAACAAAAAGACCACGCAACACTTCCATTGTTATTTAGAGATGCATGGAGTTTTAGCAAGGAGAATGAAAACTGTCAGTTTGAAATACTAATTTCTTGAGTTTTCAAGTAAGAAGGCCAAAATTATGCTTGATTTCTTTGTAGGTTCTATGATTTGATACTTTACCATCCATACTCATTAATAAGGCAGAGTCCCCTAAGGTTCAATGTCCACTCAATGACCCGTTCCAGGGAACATAATTCAGCAGTTAGAAATTATTTTAAGAGCTGCTTATAAGGATTAGAAGGACCAGTACCTGGTGCTCAGTCATGGCTGAGAATAGTGCCAACTTCCACCAGCCAGAGTTGGAAAACCTCACAGTTTATAAGACATTGGGTAGAGTAATCAGAAGGCTCTTGCCTCAGGAGTGGGGAATAATTAATCATAGAGTAAGCATGGCTCTAGTCCCAGCTGACAAATCTTAAAAATAAGTCTTAAAGGGATCGAACTGTTTTCAAGTAACTTAACTGTATCCCAGAACAAAGGTCAAGGATATTTATTAGAATGCCATAATATCAAGCCCAAAGAAGTTGCAAAGAAGCATGAAAATACAACCTAAAATGAGTAGAAACATGTATCAGTTGGAATTAATAAAGAAGTATCAAAAATGTTAGAATTAGCAGAGAGGGACGTGTTTAAAAAATTAAACAGAAACATGGAAGACAAAAAAAGACCCAAATCAAAACTCTAGAGATAGAACTCTGTGATATTTGAGATTTAAATTCATGGGGTGAAATCAACGGCGGATTAGACATTGCCCATACACAAAAAAGATGAGTGAACATGATGACATAGCAACAGAAACTGTCCAAAATTAAACACATAGAGAACAATAATAATGAGAAAAAGAGAACAGCATTAGTAATCTCTGGAACAAGTTCAAGGAATTTAATATATGTGTAGATGAAGTCCCTAAAGGAATGAGAGAGATGGAGAGACAGAAAAAATATTTACAGATAGTGGCTTAAAATTTTTCCACATTTCATGAAAATCACAAACCCAGAGACCTAAGAAACTCAATGAACACACAGAAGAGACACGAAGAAAACTACTCTAGGCACATCATAATCAAGTGTTCAAGCTTAGTGATATAAAAACTTAAAAGCATCCAGAGGGAAAAACAAGACAGATTACTTACAGAGCCACAAAGATAAGGGTGACAGTGTATTTTTTGGTCAGAAATAATTCAAGTGTAAAGATAGGGAGTAAAACAACAAAACAAAAATAAAAACACTAATGTAAGTGCAAAAAGAAAGTCCAAACCTGAAATAACTGCAAGGAGAAATAGTCAAATCCAGAATTATGATTGAACGTCAATACACTGCTTACAACAATTGATACAGAGAGTAGATAGAAAGTGTGCAAATGACCTGAACAATGTCACCAACCAGTTTGACCTAACTGAAGCTTACAGAGCCCACCACCCAACAACAGGATACACATTCTTTCTGAGTGCACCCAGAGCATTTACCCAAATTTTATTTGGTAAAATAAATTATTTTCTGGGCCATTAAACCAGTCTCAATAATTTCAGAAGGATTCAGGTCCTGCAAAGTAAGTTCTTTGGTCCCAGTGGAATTAAACTGGAAATTGGCAACAGAAGGAACTCTGGGAAATTCTCAGGTTTTTTGAAACCAGCACATGTTAAGTAACTCATGCATGGAGAAAGGGGTTAAAGAGAAATTAGAAGCTATTTTGAATTGAATGAAAATGAAAACACAACATATCAAAATTTTGTGGGATACTGTTAGAAAGGGAAATGTATATAGCAGTCATTAGAGAAAAATAAAGTTCTCCAATTTCACTCTAAGAGACTAGAATGAAAAGAACAAAATCAACACAAAGTAAGCAGGGAAAAATAATAAAGATCAGAGAGAAATTAATGAAATGAAAAACAGAAAAACAATAGAGAAAAATCAATAAAACCAACAGCTAGTTCTTTGGGAAGATCAATAAATTGAGAAGCAGCTAACCAGAATGATCAGGATAAAAAATGATATCAAATACTAAAGATATATCTTTGTATAGTACATACTTATATCTTAAATAAGGCATAACTATATCTTAAAGATAATATGGGAATATTGTGAACAACTTTATGCTCATAAATTTGACAAAATGAATGAGATAGATAAATTCCTTGGAAGATATAAACTGCTAAAGCTAATTTAAGAACTAGGTAACCGTATTAACCCTATATCAAGTTTTAGAGATTGAATTTGTAGTTAAAAACTTTCCCACAAAGACAAATACAGGTATAGATGGCCTTACTATTACATTCTTTTTTTTTTTTTTTTTTTTTTTTTTTTTTTTTTTTTTTTTTTGATACGGAGTCTCGCTCTGTCTTCCAGGCTGGAGTGTAGTGGAGCATTCTTGGCTCACTGCAACCTCTGCCTCCTGGGTTCAAGTGATTCTTCTGCCTCAGCCTTCCGAGTAGCTGGGATTACAGGCACCTGCCACCATGCCTGGCTAATTTTGGTATTTTTTAGTAGAGACAGGGTTTCACTCTGTTGGCCAGGCTGGTCTTGAAACCTTGACCTCAGGTGATCCAACCGCCTTGGCCTCCCAAAGTGCTGGGATTACAGCTGTGAGCACGCCCTGCCCTTAGTGTTAAATTCTAACAAATATTAAAGAAATAATATCAGTTCTATACAAACTATTCCAGGAAATTGAAGAGGAAAGATTATTTTAGGAGACAGGTATTGCCCTAATAGCAAAACCTGACAGAGAAATTATAAGAAGAGGAAACTGAAGTCCAATATCTATCATGAATATAGATGCAAATAATTGTAAACAAAATTTTAGCAAAGCAAATACAGCAATATATAAAAAGGGTAATATATCATGGTCAAGGGTGGTTTATGCTAGGTTGGTTTAAAATTCAAATATAATCAATAGAATCCATCATATTAAGAAATAAAAAGTGAGAGACACATGATCATTTCAATGGATACAGAAAAACGTAAGAATTTAACATCTATTCTCAATTAAAAAAAAACCCCTCATCAAGTAGGAATGTAAGGAAATTACTTTGATAAAATATGTCTATGAAAAATCTCTTTCATACTTAATAGTGAAAGACTGAATGCTTTCTGCTTAAGATCGGGAACAAGAATGTCTGCTCTTATCACTTTTTTCACACTGTAGTGGAATAAGTCACTTTAATAAGGCAGGAGAAATGAATAAAACCCAGAAAGTAAAGGATAAAATAGATGTGTCTTTATTTACAGATAGCAAGATCTATTATAAAATCCAGTGAGATCTAAAAACTTTTTTTTTGCTGAACAACTATGAATTTAGTGAGATTATAGAACAGTAAGATAATTATACAAAAAGCCATTGTATTTCTATATAATAACAATAAAGAACTGAAAATTAAAGTAAAAAATACTATCTGTAATACTATCAAATGAAATAATAAGGAATACATAGGGATAAGTCTGACTAAATTTGTATGATTCATATACTGAAAATTACAATATATTAATAAGACAAACTAATGAAGAACTAAATAAATGGAGAGACGATTACAAGTCAGAAAACACTGAATATTGTTAAGGTGTCAATTCTCCCAAATTGATCTACAGAGTCAATGCAGTCCAAACCAGAATCTCATCTAGGCTTTTTTGCGGGGTGGAAATTCACAAGCTGATTTTGAAATTTATACAGACAATGAAAGACCAGTAATAACCAAAACAGCTTTGAAGAAGAACAAAGTTAGAGGGCTAACATGATCTGATTTAAAGATTTATTACAAAGCTATTGTAATCAAGACAGTGTACTATTGACATCAAGGTAGATACTTGGGTCGATGTAACAGTAAAGAGAGTTCAGTGGAGTAGAATAATCTTTTCAACAAATGGTGTTGAAATAGTTGGACATCCATGTGCAAACAAATGAATTCCAATCTGTATCTGTGGCATATACAAAAATTAACTGAAAATGCATCATACATTCAGATATACAACCTAAATCTGTAAACCTTCTAAAGATACCATAGGAAAATCTGTGTGATGTTGGTTTAGGCAAAAATTTCTTAGATATGTTGCCAAAAACAAGACCTATTAAAAATGGATAAATTTTAAAATTGGCAAATTGAACTTCATCAAAATTAAAAACTCTACTTTGAAAAACAGTTAAGAGAGTGACCAGCAACATATTTGGAGAAAATGTCTGCAAACTATATATCTGATAAAGGACTTATGTGTAGAATGGGTAAAGAACTCTCAAAACTCGATAATAAGACAATACCCAATAAAACAATGATAAAATATTTGAACAGACATTTTACCAAATTAGATATACATGGCAAATAATCACATGAAAACTTGTTCAACATCATTAATCATTAGGGAAATACAAGTTAAGACCACAATGAGATACCATTATACATCTTCTAGGATGACTGAAAGTAGAAAGACTGACCACACCAAGTCTTGGCAAGGATGAAGAGAAGCTGGAACTCTCATACATTGCTTATGAGAATGTAAAATGGTATAACCACTTTGAAAAACAGTTTGACAGTTTTCTAACTGGTTCAACATGCACCTGTCATGTCATCTAGCCATTTCATGTCTAGAGGTATTTATCCATGAGAAAAGGCAGCATGTCCTCAAACAACACACATGTGCATGAACATTGATGGTGATTTTATTTATCAGAGCCAAAAACTAGAAACCACCCAAATGTCTATTATCAGGTGAATGTAGAAAACAATTTGTGGCACATGCATATAATGGAATAGTATGCAGCAGTAAAAAGGAATGAGCTATCTATACATGCAAGAACATGGGTAAGTCTCAAAATCTTTATGCTCAGTGAAAGATGCCAGATAAAAAAGATTACATACTATATAAGCCTATTTATATGAATTCTAAAAAATGCAAATCTATAGTGACAGAAAGCAGATCATTTGTTGCCTGTTGACAAGGATGGGAAGTGGGAAAGGATGAGAGGGAGAGATTACAGAGAGGCACAAATTCATTAACGGTGCCTTGAGTGAAGAATATGTGCTGCATGTACACAATGGAATACTACACAGCCGTATCAAAGCACAAAAATCATGTCCTGTGCAGCAATATGGATCCAACTGGAGGCCATTATCCTAAGCGAATTAATGCAGGAACAGAAAACCAAATACTACATGTGCTCATTTATAAGTGGGAGCTAAACATTGGGTACACATGGACGTAAAGATGGCAACCATAGGCCAGGCACGGTGGCTCATGCCTGTAATCCTAGCACTTTGGGAGGCTAAGGTGGGCAGATCCCCTGAGGTCAGGAGTTCCAGATCAGCCTGGCCAACATGGTGAAACCCTGTCTCTACTAAAAATAAAAAAAATTAACCGGGCGTGGTGGCTTGTGCCTGTAATCCCAGCTACTTGGGAAGCTGAGACAGGAGAATCCCTTGAACCAGTGCGGTGGAGGTTGCAGTGAGCTGAGATTGTGCCACTGCATTCCAGCCTGGGTGACAGAGCAAGACTCTGTTAAAAAAAAAAAAAAAAATATATATATATATATATATATATATATATAGACATTGGGGACTACTGGTGGGGGAGAAAGGAAGAAGGGAGGAAGAGTGGGAAAACTAACTGTGGGGTACTATGCTCACTGCCTGGGTGATGGGATCATTTGTACTGCAAACTTCAGTGTCATGCAATATACTTGAGTAACAAACCTGCGCATGTACTCCCTGAATCTAAAATAAAAGTTGCAATTAAAAAAAGGAGCACACACAAAAACAGAATGAATAAGACCACCTATTTGGTAGCACAATATAGTGACCATAGTTGATAATAACTTAATTGTAGATTTAAGTATAACGTAAAAGTGTAATTGGATGGTTTGTAACTCAGAGGATAAATGCTTGAGGGGATGGATACCCCATTCTCCATGATGTGTTTATTTCACGTTGCATGCCTGTATCAAAACATCTCATCTACCCCATAAATATATACACCAACTATGTACCCAAATGATTAAAAATAAAAAAAAACTAAAAAAATTTAAAAAGGAGCACAAATAAACTCTTGGGAATGATGGATATTTCACTGTCTTGAGTGAGATGAGAGTTCATGGATGTATGTATATGTCAAAACTTATCAAGGGGCACACTTAAACACTAAATTCAACCTTCTCTCAGTGAAAACACCTGAGCATTCCATGGATGAAGTGAGAGAAGGCTGGGGCCAAGGATGAGGAAGAAGATGGAAGGGGCACAGGGGCACTTCCGCAAAAAAACAAGTCCTCTACATTATACATCCTCTCTCTGTTGTTTCTGAAAATTGTCTGTTATTAGTAATGAAGATAAGGTGATTTTATTGGATGTGGATGCTGATACAGCTCATGACAATTCATACTGGCCGCAAGGCAGTGGTTTGTAGATAGTATTCTGAAAAGAGACATCCTCGTGGAGGACCCCAGCTTCCAAAGATGACCCTATGAGCAGCTCACTGTACTTGCTTCCTCCCCTGCCTGAACATTGCAGATGGTTGTTCCTGAGGCAGCCATGAGCAAGTGGCAAACTTGTTGAGAAGGAGCTGAAATGCGGTCAGCATCTGGGAGAGCCTGGGAGCCTTCCTTCTGGTCTGCAGATACTTCTGTCTGTCTCACTCTCTGAGCTTGACTGTTCTTGGTTGAACTTTGCTTTCTCTCCTGGGTCCCCTGCTGGTAACTGGATCTGCTTCTTCAAGCTGTGGGACCCTCAGTAGCCATAATCTGGTGGGTGACGTTGATCAGAAGGAATTTTTCTATTTCAGAGTTATATTTATTGGCTTTGAATACTTAGGAACGCTTTGGAAGAGGGAAATGACATAGCGAGTAAGATATTTAGATAGGCAGATACGATAAAGGGGAAGATGATACAGTCAGTTCTGTGATAGCGTGACATGTATTTTCCTAAACTTGACTATACTATGCAGAATTGCACAGTAAAACCAGATGGGAAAAATTGGGTTGGGGCACAGCATTCAAAAACTTCATCAGTGAGATGTTTAAAAAGGGTAGAAACCTAATACAAATCATAGCATGGTTTTACATACATTAAGTGGTTAAGAAATGCATATATAGTAAAATAAACATCTCATTTCACCCTGGAAAAGACCTGAAGTTTGGTTTGGAAGTGGATGTCTGAAGGAATGTAGTTTGTGAGTTACTGGGAAGGATGGAAGCAGTGTCATCTGAGATGGGAGGGAATCTTGCAGGCCCAGGTGTGGATGAGTGTGGCTCATAACTTGCACAATGAACTGAGGTTGCTGGTAGATGTTTGCATGTGTATGTGTGCGCCCATGTGCACAGATGCTTGTATTTTGCATATTGCTCAATGTCTCAGCCCAGCTGGTTACAGCTTTCTTTGTTTACCTACTGTTTCTCGCAGATGAAATCATGTATAAGCAAATGCAAAATGTTATGCTCAGATTGTTCCCTAATATATCAGTTACACTGGAACAAATTCACATCTTCCAAACAAGCATCACTGCAGAACCAACTGTGCAGTGTTGCGAGAGGGGCTGTGTGGAGAAGCTTTCTAAAGGAGGTTTCTGGAGGACATTGTAGGGTAGGACTGAACTGTAGGATCTCAAGAGCACCCAATCGTGGCACCTGCCTTTGTTTACCTACTGTTAGTAAACCAAGTGTCTGTGAATCCATGTTTCCCTGTCTTACCCACCACTGTTGCTACATGGAAGGAACTGGAAAGGCAGCTCATTCTTCAGGGCTGTCGTGAGCCACCCTGGGCTCTGATTACCGCTCTGTTGGATCCATCAGCCACCAAAGAAGGCTGAGGCTGCCCAGGGGGGCAGTAGGAAGGGGAGCCAGCTCTCCCTTGACCCAGAACTGAGAGAGTTGTACAGAAACAGATGCCCAGACATTGTTATTTCAGACCTGTCACATTAAAAAAATGTAGTCATTGACATGATGTTGTCAATTCAATCACCAGCTTGTTATTGACTTATTGAGTACCTAGTATGTATCAGGTCCCATTTATGGTACGTTAGCAAATAAAGCAGACAAAGCTCCCTGTCCCTGTGGCATTTATATTCTGGAGACTCAGATAAATGAGGTGTTATTTTTCTGAATACGGACATGAGAATAAACAAGTCAGCAATAACAATAACAATTCATGCTTTCATTTCAAAAAAGAATTGTCACCTTTATTTTTGAAAGGACATCTTTATACCAGGTGCACAGGGCTGATGTAATCTCAGAATGCAGGACTGATCTTTAAAGAAAATGGTATATCCACATACAGAGTCTTGGAAACCACAGCTGATGGGCAAGGGAAGGTTAAGCCTTGAGAAGGATCCAACTGTCTTATTTCTGGCCCATAACTCTCTGTAATAAAGCATATCAAACGCTCAGGGAACTGTGGGGAGGCAACCCTGGGTCCTAAATACCCACTGCATGGTTCTTACTTGCTGGGAGGTTTCTCCTGCCACTCTTGCCTCAGTTTCCCTTCTAACCTCTTGAGAGTTGAGGTGTTTTTCTTCTGGCTTGAGATAAGTAACTGTCTCTGGAGCTCTTACCCCGTGACTTCCTCCAGCAAGCACTTTCCTTCCCCATCCTCCCAGGCTGAATTTTCACCAGGGGCTATTTGTACTATAGTTACTTACTTATCGAACACTTCAGCATCCATGGAGGCAGCTGGTCTGCCCAGAGTGGGATACATGTGCGAGGCTCCCTGAAGCCCTAGATGCTACTGGGTTGTTGGACGGGACACAGCCAGAGCTGCTAGTATATGCACAGGGCGATTCCAACAAGCATCTCTTGTTACCACTAAATTGTGCTGCCTGCTGCAGCCAGGGAGTTCCGGCTTCCTTAGGTTATTTAGGAATAGATTTACAAAGTGCCTCCGAATCCACTCTGCTTTGGGACTGTGTTCCATCAAGGGTGATGCCTGTTCTCTAGCAGCTTGCTTTCAGCACGGTGATTCGGTGTGTGTCCCCTGGGCCTGGGTTCAAATCTCAGCTCTTTTTTTTAACCTTACGTTCTGGGATACACGTGCAGGTTTGTTACAGAGGTATACATGTGCCATGGTAGTTTGCCGCACCTATGAGCCTATCATCTGGATTTTAAGCCCCACATGTATTATGTATTTCTCCTAAAGCTGTCCCTCCCTCCGCCCCCCACCCCCCGACAGGTGCTGGTGTGTGATGTTCCCCTCCCTGTGTCCATGTGTTCTCGTTGTTCAACTCCCACTTATGAGTGAGAATATGCGGTGTTTGGTTTTCTGTTCCTGTGTGAGTTTGCTGAGAATGATGGTTTCCAGCTTCATCCGTGTCCCTGCAAAGGACATGAACTCATTCTTTTTTATGCTCAGCTCCTTTTTATTATTAGCTGTGGATGAGTCATTCAACTTTTCTAAGCTCTGGTTTCCTCATCTAAGGATATGCATAATAATGAAACAGACTGTGTCGTGTTACCGTGAAATTGAACTAAGATAATGTAGTCAGCCCAGTCTGGTACGTGGCCAGAACTTAACGCAAGCGAGCTCTCAGCATCAAAGGAGTGCAGCTTCTCTGAGATAACCTTGCTTGGTGATTCCCAGCCCTTGGGGATGATTCTTTTCCCCTGGGTTAAGAGTGGTTTATTATCCATCCCTCCTTAAGCATTCCGTCATATGTTGCCTCCTATGAGGCTAACATGCAGAGTGTTTCTGCCTTATTTTTCCAGCGCTATTTGCTCACAATTATTGAGCTCTTCAATGACAGGCATTGGGCTAGTGACTTCCCAAAGGTTTCTGTATTAAATGCTCACATAGCCCAAGAGGTGCGGGATGTTTTAGTCCATGTTTCAGGTGAGAAAACTGCAGACCAGGAAAGTTTAGTAACTTACTTAAAACCACACACCTAGTCAGGGGCAGAGAAGTGGTTAGAAGCCTGGCTTTTCTCTCCACCCACAGGAATTTCAAACTGTCAGAGGATGGAGGTCAGCGTATGCATCTTATTTGTAAGTGTAGAGAAGTTGGCCAGTAAAATAGAATTGGAAACCGACTCACATTGAGAAACTCTATTCTGCCAGCCTTCCCTCTACAGTGCTTCTGAGCGGGAAGATCCCATGACCCAGTGGTGAGTAATGGCTTCCCTTTGCTCTGATCACAGTCAGATAATGAAGTCCCTGCTGCTAAACAAACATACCCCCAGGCCTCGGAGCAGATACAGCCCTTGGGAAACGAGGGAAAAGGGAGAAGGTCAGCATGTTCCCATCTTGATACCCATCTCCAGGTCCTCAACAGCTTGGGGCAAGAATTCAAAAGGCAAGGTGTATGGAATACTATGCAGCCATAAAAAGGATCAGTCCATGTCCTTTACAGGGACATGGATGAAGCTGGAAACCATCATTCTCAGCAAACTGTCACAAGGATAGAAAACAAAACACCGCATGTTCTCATTCATAGGTGGGAATTGAACAATGAGATCACTTGGACACAGGGCGAGCAACATCACATACCCGGGCCTGTCGAGGGGTGACGGGCTGGGGGAGAGATAGCATTAGGACAAATACCTAATGTGAATGATGAGTTGATGGGGGCAGCAAACCAACATGGCACATATATACCTATGTATCAAACCTGCACCTTGTACACATGTACCCTAGAACTTAAAGTATAAGAATAAAAAAAGTAAGGTGTATGCCATATGTCTGAATATTTTTTTTTTTTTTTGAGATGGAGTCTCACTCTTTTACCCGGGCCAGAGTGCAGTGGCACAATCTCAGCTCACTGCACACTCCGCCTCCCAGGTTCATGCCATTCTCCCGCCTCAGCCTCCCGAGTAGCTGGGACTACAGGCGCCCGCCACCACGCCTGGCTAATTTTTTGTATTTTTAGTAGAGACAGGGTTTCACTGTGTTAGCCAGGATGGTCTCAATCTCCTGACTTCGTGATCTGCCCGTCTCAGCCTCCCAAAGTGCTGGGATTATGGGCGTGAGCCACCACGCCCAGCCATGTCTGAATATTTTAAAACTGTGCAGTAAGCTAAAACCATCAGATAGAATGTTCTATATATGTGTGTATATACACATATATATGTATATATATGTGTGTATATACACATATATATGTATATATATGTGTGTATTTATGTATATACATGTGAAACCTCATACCACAATATTGAAAAAACATGTATACTACTATAGAGTTTTTATATAATTAAAGGTCAACAAAATATCCTACATGATTGAATTTAATTATTATTGCATATGTCTGGGTACCCTGTGGATGGATCAGAGATGTCTGGACGATTGGCAAACAACAGACATGTCTTATAATAATCAATACTTTCTTATAACACGTATTCTTTTTTTTTTTTTTTTGAGACAGAGTCTTGCTGTTGTTGCCCAGGCTGGAGTGCAGTGGCGTGATCTCAGCTCACTGCAACCTCTGCCTCCTGGGTTCAAGTGATTCTCCTGCCTTAATCCTCCCGAGTAGCTGGGATTAGAGGTGGCCACCACCATGCCTGATTAATTTTTGTATTTTTAGTAGAGATGAGGTTTTACCGTGTTGGCCAGGCTGGTCTAGAACTCCTGACCTCAAGTGATCTGCCCACGTTGATCTCCGGAAGTGCTGGGATTACAGGCATGAGCCACAATGCCTGGCCTTTTTCTATGTATTCTATTGACAATAATGACCTAAAAGCATAAAACCTAAAATAATTATATGCGAAAGTTATAAAACTGGTGTATATTTCTGTAAAAAATGCAAGTTATATGTTTTAAAAATAAAAAAATTAAAATTATTTTTCTATATTTTCAAAAGAGGTTCTTCTAAAACATTAAAAAGTATCTAAGAGTAAATGGAAAAATACAAACCATATAAAAATGTATATTAACATTTTAATAAAGCTGACCATTTTTACTTAATTTTAGCAACTTCAATCAGATAGTGTATATTTCTATAATGAAAATGCACAGTTTTGCATTCAATGTCCATCTTGGGGCCAATGTAATGTCTATCTTGGGGCCGTGATTCTGCACTTACACAAATTTAAGACAAATGAATTGGTTAGTATTGCAACCTATTCCCAGACACCAAAGGCTCTATTCACAAACGTCTCAGGGATTATGAATTGATCAACAAAGAGAAGCAAGGAATGAATGCTTGACACTGGTGGATGATGGATTTGACAAGTTAATTAATTCATTTGTCTTTTTTCTTACTCACATTCTTCCTGCCTTCTGAGCAGTTGTCTCCAATGTCACGGGCAGTGGTACAACCTACAGACCTTGAGTGCAATTAGAAGTGACCACTTTCTGATTCAAGGGCAGGATGCAGAGTTGTATTTCCATGGGGCTTGAATGGTGTTAGTCATAGGAGTGGATGTTTATGGTCACAGACTGCACTGGGTCACTCTGACAACCAAATCCCAGAAGAGAGAAGTTTTCTTTAATTAATAAATGTACTCTTTTGTGTGTTTGTGACATGTGGGGCTCTCTAAAGCCCGGGGTACAGGGCAAGAGCCCCCCTTGCCTGCATCTAGCTACCCTCCGCTATGGATGTTGGTGGATTTGATTCAGTGGATAGAATGGAACTATTAGGTTGGTGCAAAAGTAATTGCGGTTTTTGCAATTACTTTTATTATTATTATTTTTATTATTTTTGAGATGGAGTCTCACTCTTGTTGCTCAGATTGGAGTGCAGTGGTGTGATCTCAGCTGACTGCAACCTACACCTCCTGGGCTCAAGCAATTCTGCCTCAGCCTCCCGAGTAGCTGGGACTACAGGCATGAGCCACCAGGCCTGGCAAATTTTTGTATTTTTAGTACAGACGCGGTTTCGCCATCTTGACCAGGCTGGTCTTGAACTCCTGACCTCAGGTGATCCACCTGCCTCTGCCTCCCAAAGTGCTGGGATTACAGGCATGAGCCACTGCACGGGGCCTTGCAATTACTTTTAATGGCAAAACCACAATTACTTTTGCACCAACCTTATAGTTGGAGAGACCGTGAAAGTTACCATAATCTGGAACATGTGCCCTATGTGTAGCTCTGTTGAAGTGAGGATTGAGGGCAGAGACGGGGAAGTGTTTCACTAAGTCTGGACAGGTTCATTTGAAAGACCCTCTCCCTCGGCTGGGTGCAGTGGCTCATGCCTGTAATCCCAGCACTTTGGGAGGCCTAGGTGGGCGGATCACCTGAGGTCGGGAGTTCGAGACGAGCCTCACCAATATGGGAAAACCCCATATCTACTAAAAATACAAAATTAGCCGGTCGTGGTGGTGCATGTCTGTAATCCCAGTTACTTGGGAGGCTGAGACGGGAGAATCGCTTGAACCCTGGAGGTGGAGGTTGCAGCGAGCTGAGGTCATGCCATTGCACTCCAGCCTGGGCAAGAGAGTGAGACTCTGTCTCAAAAAAACAAACAAACAAACAAACAAAGACAAACAACGACACCAAAAAACACCCTTTCCCTGTATTCTACTGCTATGATTTATGCCTAAGCCAGCGTGTTAGAATTTATATTGAGGAAATATGAACACACATGTTAATTAAGTAACACATTTCCCTCTTGCGGTTACATACATTCGGTCTGCAGAGGAGCCTTGGTCATATTAATGAGGCTTTGCTTTGCTTTAAGGCTAATTCCAAGCTTGCCATCTGTAGAAAGCGCTATCAAAGGGATCTCAGTGTAAACGGTGGTATTCGTGATTGGCTCTGGTGGGGCCTTGCCTACCCTCCCCGGCAGCTGCTGAAATTGAGCTGTGAGCCGAGGAAGATGAAATGCTAGTTTGTTCTATGGCTTGAGTTCCCAGAGGCAACGTTTCCAGGTCATTTGACATTAGTTCAGAGAATGGGAAAGTATTTATCTTTTCCCCCCGCTTTTTCTAAAACTTAAAGAAATGCTCAATGCTTGTTGGTAAGTAGGAAGTGACAGCTCTCCAAGACGGCTGCCTGAAGTTTGAGGGGAGATGTTTACTGGGGTTGCTGGCTGAGCTGCAGAGGATGCCAACCCTCTCCCTCTTGGGAGAACCAGCGGCTGCAGACTGACTCTCACCCTCGGGCACCTTCCATGTGATACTCTTTGAAGCAATGTTTTCTGAAGAATGTTCCTTGGGACATGAGATGCATGACATGTCCCCATGGAAAGAAAGATGCCACGAAAACAAAACAAAACACTGTTCTGTGGCCACATAAGTTTGAGGCCACAGTATTTTCAGGCCACTGTGTACCCTATTACTTCCCTGTCATTGACACACAGTTTATATGTCCATTTTATAGGCTCTGGGGATTTCTGCAGGCAAGAAACTCCTTCAGCTTTGCTGAAGCTAGAATTTCCTCATGTTAATTTGAACTTTTAAAATTCTCTGGGACTGAACTTGGTGGCTCATGCCTGTAATCCCAGCACTTTGGGAGGCTGAGGCAGGCGGATCATGAGGTCAGGAGATCAAGGCCATCCTAGTTAACACAGTGAAACCCCATCTCTACCAAGAATACAAAAAAATTAGCTGGGCGTGGTGGCAGGCACCTGTAGTCCCAGCTACTCAGGAGGCTGAGGCAGGAAAGTCGTTTGAACCCAGGAGGCAGAGGTTGCAGTGAGCCGGGATTGCGCCACTGCACTCCAGCCGGGGTGACAGAGTGAGACTCCATCTCAATAAATAAATAAATAAATAAATAAATAAATAAATAAATAAATAAAAATTTCTGAAAGGTTGTTTGCGTTCCTGCTGTCTGTCTGGCACTGTGCAAGGCAGACATTTGAGAGGTACAATGGGAGTCAAGCACATGGGCATTGGGTCCCCATATGAAGCTTATAGAGAGATAATAAACAGGGTAACAAAACTGAATATACATTTTGATGCATAATATGACGAAACAGGTGGGGTGCTTGCGGTAAGGGGTATCAGAGGGGTGACTGTGATGGGGAGCAGGGATCACTCCAGGAAGGCAACTTTTAGTTGAAAACCAAAGCATGAGAAGGAAGCAGACATGCAAAGTGTGGGAGAAAGAGCTGGGAAAGCATGTGCAAAGGCCCTGAGGCATTGTGTGATCTAGTTCTTAGAAACACTTGTAGGCTTGTGGTGCAGACAGGGAACAGGGAACTACTTGGTAGAAGAGGGTGGTACCCAGGTGGGGCAAAGGCCCCACCCCCAAACCTGAAGACCCATGGCTGTAAGTGAGGACAGGCATTTCTGTTTTCACACCCATAGAAGTTGCCTTTTGGCCTGCCATGCCCCTCGTCCTGGCCCCGTATAAACTCAAGACCTTAGTGGCCACACCGACAAACAGCTGAAGGTCAGAACCAGAACAATGACAGTGGAACAACGTGGCAGAGAAAGAGAGAAGAGTAAGCATGTCTGGATGCCAAGGGGAGTTCAGCTGGTGGTGGTCAGAGACTCGCCACTGGGCGGCCCAACTCCGGGGGAGGACTGCCTTCCCACTCTATCCCCCGCTTCCAGCTCCCCATCCATCTTTCTGAGAGCCACTCCCATCACTCAATAATACCTTGTACTCATCCTCCCAGCCCAGGTGTGATCCAATTCTTCCGGTATGCTGGGCGAGAACTTGGGATACAGAAGGCTGTCACACTAGCCCCCCTGCCCTTGTGATAAGGCCGAGGGTCTGTTGAGCTGATTAACACACAAGCTGTCTGCAGCATGCAGAGCTGAAAGAGCACACTGTAACACACGCCTACTGGGCTTTGGGAGTTCTTAGACACCCAACCCTAGATGCAGCTGTGGAGGCAGAGCCCAAAAGCGGTCCTCATGTCCTCACCACCTACCCATCTGCAAGTTCCCCTTAGAGGTCTGAGCATCGAGGAGACTGAAGGAGCGAGCCACAGCCCTGTCACACATCCTGCCAGGGGGATATGGGAACTCTCCCATTTCACTTGTACCCTGTACAAACTACCTTAGTGACCAGAGACACTCCTGAGATCCTTACAAAGGCCTGGTACAAAGTAGATAATCTGAATTGGTCCCTTTCCTTTCCTTGTCAAGGGGATTCTGAACATGGCCACTGAGAATAGTTTCAGTCTTGAGCAAGCTCCATGGCTCTGTTCCTGCCATCGTCTCAGTCTTGTGTGGGGTGGGACCCTGAGACTGTCAGCCCCCTCAGAGTGCAGAGGGTCTGTCTTTGTAGCTTTCTGGCCAAAGCCCCCAATTCAGATCAAGGTGTGTAATTTGGATTCACTCAATGCATCATGAGCATGCAAAGGTGTCAGAAAACTAGAGCAGGAGTTCTCAAAGGTCCACGTACAAGAGAGACACCTGGAGAACTTGTTAAAATGTGCAGTGTCTGGGACCACCCCTTAGATATGGAATCCACAAGCCTTGAGCTAGATGTGTGAGGCATGCCAGGTGGGTCAGAGGGAGGTGATCCCACACTCTCACACTTTTTGAAATACCCTGAAACCATAGCAGTTATGCTCACGTGGGTACAGAGCTGGGCTGGGGGGGTTTGCCTGAGGAAACCTGAGATTTTGATATGTGATCAGTTTTTGTCTTGCTCCTCCATAGTAGCAAAAGGGGTTTATATAGCTAGGAGAACCCCCCCAGGCAAAAAAAAAAAAAAAAAAAAAAAAAGTCAAGTGTAGAGAAAACTGGAAGAGTACTTTGCCACCCAGCATGGGCAATGGCGTACCCCTGTTCTGGTTCTTGGTTTGTTTAAGCATGGTTTGTATATTTTTTGATTTATAAATTCCATGACGTACATCTTAAGGATCATAGTAAACATTGATGTGGAAGCCATTTGTTTTGTAATCTGGTGTGGCTGTGATCCTCAGATCTGAAATATGGCAGCTAATAGGCTAATACATGAGGAAATAGACTTATTTACATACTGTCAAAACAAGCCGAAC
Organism: Homo sapiens; assembly: GCF_000001405.40. Taxonomy (NCBI): domain Eukaryota; kingdom Metazoa; phylum Chordata; class Mammalia; order Primates; family Hominidae; genus Homo; species Homo sapiens. The sequence goes on from NC_000016.10 coordinate 5,559,466, forward strand.
AAGGCTACAGTGTTTTTGCAGGCAAATGAAGCCCACACAATGGGGAAGGCCTGTCAGGATCGGGCCTTGGCCACATGGACCAGGGGAGATTGATCCACACCTCCTTCCTTGAACCTGGCCTGGTTCCCCTGCCCTAAAGGCGCCCCTCCACCTGGGACCTTGATACCACTCTTTTCTTGGAAGTTGCTCTATCAATTTTCTCCTCTTTCCCCTTGGAATGTAAATAAACTTCCCAAATCTCTTTCTTCCTAGGTCATTCTGTCTTGTGCAACGTTAAAAAGTCTTCAGTGATAACCACTCCCCTCATCTTGCTTTTAACATCTGCCCAGGGACTTCTTACTGCTTCCAGGATGTGCACGGACTAGCCCCTGCCTACTTCTGCAAGCTCACATCATACCCTTAACTCTAGCGTGCTGTACTCCAGCCATCCTGAGATCCTTTATTCTTCCTCACCCTCCACTTTGGGGCTTTCTTAACAGGATCTGTTTTTATCTGGATGATCTTGTTGATATTCTATCCGTCTCCCTAACCAGCATGAAAAACGAGTGAATTTAGTTCTCTTGTCTGTCTTATAACCTATTGCTATATTCCCAGAGTGTCAACAGTGCTTATGAAAATGGCCAACACATATTCATTATTTATAGAATAAATTTCTTCTCTTTCCTCTGAGTATTTGCACATGCCTGACAGTCTCTTTCCCTTGTGCACACACTTTGTGAAATACCTTGCTTGCTAACTCCTGGGCATCTTTAGATTCTCAGCTCATATGTCACTTCCTCCAGAAAGCACTTAGTCACCTCCTCCAGGAAGCACTTAGTCACCTCCTCCAGGAAGCACTTAGTCACTTCCTCCAGGAAGCACTTAGTCACCTCCTCTAGGAACCATTGAATTACTTCCTCCAGGAAGCACTAAATCACCTCCTGCAGGAAGGATAACCTGACTCCCCAAGTTTGAGATGGCTTCTCCCCGCACTCCGGTGTTATTACACTGCACTGCAATCATCCATTTATGTATTTTATTTCTCTGTAGACTGTAAACTCTAGGAGGGCAAGGCCCCTGGATTCCTTTGTCTGTTTGAATCTCCTGTCATCTGTGCATCACTGTACAAGGTCAAATGTGGTGCCTATTTTTGGTGGGTGTGCAGTATGTATTTATTGAATAAATGATTTTTCACCTTATGCTTTTATTCCTTCATTTTTATCCAAACATCTCAGCGTAGTCTGTGCTCCACATCTTTTTTCTTAACCTACCAAAGTTTGACTCTTGGACCTGCTATTGGACTTCTCTGGACAAGATACCTATGAGCTCCATGCTGCCAAATCTAACATATACTTTGCAGTCCTTTTATCCTCCTTGTGGCATTTCACACTGTCCACCCATCCTCCTTGACACTCTGCCTCTGAAGGCAGCCCTGGTGCCTAGGTCCTGCTGTGATGTGCATTGCAGTATGGAGGCGTTTTGGCTAGCAGGTAACAGGAGATTTCATTAGCTACCTGGCACACCCTTGTGGCAGGAGAAATGGTTAATGCCAGGACTAAACCTCATGCAAAGAAAAGGAATTTCCTAAAGATTTTATTGCAACTTTGGGTTTTATCAATTCCCAAATGGATTCCCTCTGTTGTGTCTTCCTCCCAGTACAACACTGTGACTATGTCCATCCTCAGGGCAGGAGGGGTGGGAAAATGGGTAGACATGGCTTGCTGCCTGATCCTTCATCCATGGGAGGGGGTCTTGCACATTAATATTTCCAAGAAATATGAGCAGACTCTATTATGGCCCATGGTTAAAACCAACTTTCTTTAAAAAAAATTGAATGAGGACCTATAATTAGTTGGAATCAATATGTATTTCAGATACTTATAATTAGGTGTCAGCAAACTTGGCTAAAAAGGGGACCTATAGCTTCATTTTTTTTTTCTTTAAAAACCCCCAAATTTGTAATTCTGTATTTTGAATACCAGTTAGTGGGACACAGACATTCTCTTTCTTTCCTGCCTTATAGACACTTCTGGAAGCAGGTCTGTTTAACAGTCATTCTAACTTAATTAGCTGGGAAGAAAATGTACAAAAGAAAGCCATTATGCAAAAGTCAGGCCCTATTAGACACCAGGGAAGGGGTGACGATATAAGGTTTTAAATACATTTCCAATCCTGTTTTAATACTAGACCTTTATATGATGATTATTATTAATAATATGACTTAATGCTCTTTACCCTAGGGATTCTTTTAATTATCTTATCTCCAGGAGGGTCCCCAGGACTTACTGGGCAATCTGCTCCCTTCTTTTGGGGTGAGAGGGTCACTTGTTCTACCCTGAGATGTATTTTAGCAGAAGTTACTTGAGGACGATGGTCTTGGTTCCTTTTGCAATTTAAGTTTAGGGTCATGACCCTGGAATTAATGAGAAGCTTTATTGCAAATGCATCCCATCCATTGAGAAATGGAGTCCACCCAAGATAATTCTTTCGAGGGCCTCTTTTCCCCTGTCATCGGTTCATTCATTGGTTAATTTATTCGCTCATCCAATATGGTGCTAGAGGGTGTGAAGACACAGGGAAACTTGTCTTTTGTCAGCTGTTTTTTATTTCCAGGGTGAGACGCTTTGAAATCTCGGCACTCATTTTGTCTCTAGCTTAAAGGCAAAGCTCTTCCTGAGCTCATGGCAAGGTTAGAATGACCTCTCATCATTCAGGAAAAAGAAAGATTTGATAGAACAGATTTATTTCTGCTCCATCCAAGTTTATTTCCGAGGACACCATCCGTGGCAAAGTGTGGAAATTGGAGGTCTGCAGTTATATGTCAAGTAGGACCCAGAGCCTCCAGCAGTCCTACTTAGAAGTCAGACAGCTGCCCGAGAAAGCTGCCTGTTTCCTAGATATTGGAACTGCTGGGGTCAGGATTCAGTGAAGAACCTCTTGGTCCTGTCACTTTTGGTTATGTGTTAGATCAGGGCTCTGAGGGCAGATGCTGGGGCCAGGGCTGCAGTGAGATACCCAGGATGTATAGAGCAATTCTCCAGGGCCAGGAGGAGAAGAAGGGGGAGGACCTGGGGGAGACAGGAAGACCCCAGGGGTTGGTCTTGGGATCAGAGGATTACCCACTATGGCAGAACTGGCCTCAGTTTTCTAGGATAGAAATGGGGTTCCTCCAACTTGTAAGTGCTAGGGAGTCTTCCTTAAGGTTCTGAGTGCAAGAGAGCTGGTCCAGTAGGCATCTGGCCACATTCCCCTGCTTCTGGTATGGGTGCCTCTCTGTCCTATATTTTTGTTTTTTTCTGATCTGTTCAATCGTTTCAAGAATTAAAAGTGAAAAATTCTCTGCCATTTTCTGATGAGCCCTTTGGGATTTTACAAGAGGAACTACCTTTAGGCAAACTATCTGCTAACCATAAACCTGTGATATTGATATTGGCTTCATACTGCCGCTGTCTCAGGAGGAATATGCAGATGAGGTCTTGGAATCCCAAACTATGTAAAATAGGGCTGTATTATTATTATTATTGAAATGGAGTCTCGCTTTGTCACCCAGGCTGGAGTGCAGTGGTATAATCTTGGCTCACTGCAACCTCTGCCTCCCAGGTTCAAGTGATTGTTCTGCTTCAGCCTCCTGAGTAGCTGGGCTTACAGGCACCCGCCACCATGTCTGGCTAATTTTTGCATTTTTGTAGAGACGGGGTTTCACCATGTTGGTCAGGCTGGTCTTGAACTCCTGACATCAGGTGATCTGCCTGCCTTGGCCTCCCAAAGTGTTGGGATTACAGGCGTGAGCCACCGCGCCCAGCTGAGGCTGTATTATTGTATTATTGCATCTCCTGACCCATGTTCATTTCCATTTCCATTTCACTGATTCAAAACACCTCCTAGGTGAACTAACTGTCTGTCCTCCAAATATAAAGCGAAGGAGTCACATATCCTCATCTTTGCTGATGGTATCGTTATCTACTGAACTACAATGCTTAAACTGTTGAAATAATAGTTTTCTGGAATATTTTATTTTCTGAAATAACCCAGAGAGAATAAAGTACACCAAAACTAAATATAAACCATCTGGTAGTTTAACTTCAGGAAACATTTTACAGTTAACGCACCTTGGTCATCAAATTTGATGCTGTTGAGTTGTGCTGAAGCTTGATTCTTTCAATAAGTAGTTGACCAGCCCTGAAATCCTGCCTTATAATATGATGATAGTAGTTTTTTAAAATTACAGCTTTATTGATATATAATTCATATGATATACAATTCCTCCATTTAAGGTGTACAATTCAGTGGCTTCTCATATATTCACAGAGTTGTGCAATGAGCACTATAGCATATTTTGGAACATTTTCATCACCCCCAAAGTAACCTTGTACCTTTTAGCAGCCACATCCCATTTCTTCTTCCCATCTCTAGCTGTTGGTAACCACTAACCTGCTGTCTGTTACCATCATTTATTTTCTTAAGTTTCTTGTCTGTCACTGACATGAGACTATGACCTAGATGTGGTTAGGAACCACGTCATTTTTATCTACTGCTCCAAGTACTCAGTGTGTAGGAGAGAGTTTTTTTAAAAAATTTTTTTATTTTTAGACTGAGTCTTGCTCTGTCACCCAGGCTGGAGTGCAGTGGTGCGATCTCAGCTCACTTCAACCTCCACCTCCCAGGTTCAAGCGATTCTCCTGCCTCAGCATCCAGATAGCTGAGATTATGGTCCGCACCACCATGCCTGGCTAATTTTTGTATTTTTTTTTTTAGTAGGGACAGGGTTTCACTGTGTTGGCCAGGCTGGTCTTGAACTCCTGACCTCAGGTAATCCACCTGCCTCACACTCCTAAAGTGCTGGGATTACAGGCATGAACCACCACACCCAATTGAGGAGAGAGTTTCTTTACTCTTCTGTCATTTTCTTTCACCTTCTGCCATTTGATGATGTTGTCTTTCTGGGTTGAATTTTTGTCTCCTCCCACTGAATTTGTCCTTCTACCGTCTTCTTGGATTATCTCTTTCTCTCCCATTCATTTATTTTTTTGGTCTAATAAGAAACCCTCCTGACATAGAACAAGTTTCATAACACGTGTCAGGTGTGTACCCTTTCCCTTGCGGTCACTTAAAACCTTATTTGCTGGGAATGGAATGGCTTAATCTGTGTGGTCTTTGGAGCTGTAGCATCTCTTTTTGGAGTCTGTCCTGTATCAGATGAGGGAGACTCATACCTATGTGACTTGGAACCTCTCCAGGCTTTCTGGCAAGCATCCAGGCATTTATTTATTCATTCTTATCTTTGAACAGTATTTATTGAGTGCATATCAAGTTCATCATGGTCTTCTAGGCAGTGGGTCCTAGAAGAACAACCCAGTTTTCACGGTTCTCCAGCACTTCTCTGGTGGATGCCATCATCGTGGCTGGGCATCTCACCTCTTGGATGAGGAGGTGGAGACAGCTGTCCCTCGGGTGAGATGCCGGTGGAACACACCTCAGCCTTGGCAGCCACGTGTAGTTTCTTACATGGATTGGTTTTTTAGTTCCTACTGGATGAGGGATGGCACTTCAAAGAGCCCTAGCCACTCACATTGTTTAGCTAAAACATGACAACAGTTGTTCTGTCCATCACAGGTGAGCAGGAGACAGTGAGGATGTCAAGAAAATGGGAACACGTGGGGTTTGTTACCATGGCTGCAGCCTCAGTGGGATACTAAGTGGCAGACATGGCTTGGATCATCCAAAGCACCAGGGTTCAGAACTAATAAGGTGCCTTTTCCTTACCTTTTGCTAAGCTATCTCCATGATATTCCAGATTTCAGAAGGAAAACTGGTGTGTGTGTGTGCGTGTGTGCACGTGCGTGCGTGTGTTCATGTGCATGCATGTGCACATACCACTACATTAGAATTTGCAAGTCATGGCCGGGCGCAGTGGCTCACTCCTGTAATCCCATCATTTTGGGAGGCTGAGATGGGCAGATCACCTGAGGTTGGGAGTTCAAAAGCAGCCTGACCAACATAGAGAAAGCCTGTGTCTACTAAAAATACAAAATTAGCTGGGCATGGTGGCACCTGCGTATAATCCCAGCTACTTGGGAGGCTGAGGCAGGAGAATCACTTGAACCCGGGAGGCGGAGTTCGTGGTGAGCTGAGATCGTGCCACTGTACTCCAGCCTGGGCAATAAGAGCGAAACTCTGCCTTACATAAATAAATAAATAAATAAATAAATAAATAAATAAATAAATAATTTGCAAGTCGTTTTCCCTCTTTTATGATAACCTGTGAAGGCAGTAGAGTAAAGCTTTCCTGGAATCTCCTCTGTAGCCATCCTGAGATATTTTCTAGTAGCCAGTCTACTTGAGGCTAGTTTTATGTGGACATGGGAAATAAGAGAGGCTCCTAAGGGTAGGTGGGTGATATGGTTTGGCTGCGTCCCTACCCATGTCTCATCTTGAATTGTAGCTCCCATAATTCCCATGTGTTGTGGGAGGGACCCGGTGGGAGATAATTGAAGCATGGGGGGCAGTTTCCCCCATAGTGTTCTCATGGTAGTGAATAAGTCTCCTGAGATCTGATGATTTTATAAGAGGAAACCCCTTTCTCTTGGCTTTCATTCTCTTTGCCATATGAGATGTGACTTTCGCCTTTCGCCATGATTATGAGGCCTCCCCAGCCATGTGGAACTGGGAGTCCATTAAACCTTTTTTTCTTTATAATTTACCCAGTCTCGGGCATGTCTTTATCAGCAGCATGAAAATGGATGAATACAATGGGGATGTGAATCCGACCACACTTGGTCTCCTCCTTCCCAGTCACTGTCTGTTTTTCTGCTGAGGGTTCATGTATTAACATAGTTGGGCTGGCTTATGTCAGCACTGTAACGGCATTCCACTGTCGGAAGATAGACCGTTGATGTATAATCACACAAACATCGGGCTGCAAATGGTGGCACGGTACATAGAGAATATTAAATGTGATGGAATTGACCGTAGATGGATGGTTGGAAAAAGAGACTTTGGAAGTGGAGTTTAATGTGTAGAACCCGCTCCCTCGGGTTGTTATATTTTGTCTTTGGTCAGTTTCGTGATATTGGCTGATTTTTCTTGTAACTTGCTCCATCTCCCAGAGATTTCAGGAAAGTAGTTATATATATATATATGTATATATGTGTGTATATATGTGTATATATGTATATGTATGTATATATGTGTATATGTGTGTATATATGTGTATATATGTATATGTGTGTATATATGTGTATATATATATACACATATATAGATATATCCTAATATGGACAAACTACCTAGAGAGCTTTCGAATGCTTTGGAATGATTTTTGTTGAGTATTAGAGATACATTCACAAATGAGCCACGAGACAATTCACCTACAGACACACCGCATCGACTCACTCCCTTGTTGTGTATTTAATCAAATAGCCCATAATAAATTAACAGTGACTGGTCTGGACACCACATACCAAGTTGTTTTAGGTGACCTGGATTGATTTCCATGTGTCGCAATTCATCAGAATGAAGTGGCTTCACCGGCTGGGAGTCCAAATACCCTAACACATTTCTGTTCTCACTTTAACCAGAAAAAGACATTTGGTTTTTCTGCCTCAGGTCCTAAGCCTCACAATTAGTGGGGCTGGAAATGCCACACAAAGACCCTCAGATGAATTGGAGATGTTGAAACAGAAAGGCCTTGTGAACAACCGAGGGAAACAAATAAAGCCGGTGCCCAGGAGAGAAAGATGCACCATTTAGCTGTATCCCACAGCCCATGGCCTTGCAGACATGTGGGACGTATCCTGTGTGGATATCCCATGTGGACACGTGCAGCTCAGGACTGCGTCACTTTGCAGTGGCTGTGTGTTGCAGCACTTTGGTCAGGTTAAGTGGTGAATATTAGTTACTAGCTAACGTGTATCATTCTGTACAATGTTCCAAGCTCACTCTTAAGTATAGTAATAAGTCTGAACACAGCCAATCTCTCTGGGTAGATGAGTAGCCGTATAATCTCCACTTTACAGACTGGGAAGCATGAAGCATCCAGCGGGTCACCACCTGCCCCTGGTCATAGGGTGAGGCAGCAGTGGTGCAGGTTTTTTGTACTAGGCTTTACATTAGAAACAGGGCTAATTTCTATGTCTGTGAATGGAGGAGAAGCCAGCTTAAACCATAGTGGGGGGGTATTCAGGTTATAGGCAAAAAAAAAAAAAAAAAAAAAAAGCCTCCTAGATGGAAGGGCTGTGTCTATGTTTAGACAAGATTACTGTCATTGCTGACATCATCCTCACTGCCACCATCAACATTGTCATTACCATCATCATTGTCGTCACCGTCACCTATACTGATTAGGTTGATGGGCCAGATATCTTGCCAAGCACGTCCTGATCATTATATTCGTTAATCCCCACGACTTTCTTATTAAGGAAGTAGGGTTGTTACCCCATTTTATGTTTGAGGACACTGAGGCTTAGAGAAGGTAAGTAACTGGCTCAAAATTGCACAGTAGTGGGGCAGAGGGGCTGGGATTAGAACTCAGTGTCCTCTGAATTCCACCATGAAAACTCTGAACTGATCTGCTCTATAGCCTGACACCAGTACCCAGTGATGCACTTTCACTAAAACACAGATCTGATCCCATCCTTCTCTAGCTCACAAACCTTCGCTGGCTACTCACTGCTAAACAATGAGATCTGAAGTACTCAGCATTGCATTCAAATGTCTCCAGCCTTCCCCTGTGCCCTCTCCTTCCTCGAATCCCCACCACACTGCACTTCAGGTTGCAGCGTATGGGGGCCTGTGCTGCATTCTCTGTGCACGTGGCACAGTCCCACCTCCTTGCCTTTGCCCAAGCTGTGTATTCCCTGTGATCTCTTGCTTCACTTATAGTCCAAGACCTCCCTGTGACACGTGATCCTCCTCTTCCCTCCTTGCTTAATACCTGATGGGATGTCTATAATTGGACATCGTATAATCTGTGATCCCTTCCCTCAAAGCCCCTTCTCTTTCCCCCTTTCCTGTATTTTTTGGTAATTTCACCATCAGTGTTCGTCAAGATGGAGCAGAGAGCAGCGTAAAGGTCACCAAGATAAGCGCGCAGGGGTTTGGAATTTGAGAGCTAGGCACTCAGGGATGTGAGGATGCGTGACACTCATCACTCTGTCTTCTGTTGTCTGCAGTGGGCTGGCATAATTTGATAAATTCCATGTTTTCCTGCAGTTCCTTGTCCACCTATGCCAGCATGGGCTTTCTCTCTCATCCGTATTCTTCTTCTGCTCTCAGATTTGCCCCACGATGGTCTTAAGAATCCATGCTTTGAAGTTTGAAGTCAGTTTTGAAAACATTTGTTTTTTCACTCCTCCCACCAAATGACTCAACCTGGCTTGGGAAATCATGACATCGGTTCTTTTTGTTGTTGTTGTTGAGATGGAGTCTTGCTCTGTTGCCCAGGTTGGAGTGCAGTGACGCGATCTCAGATCACTGCAACCTCCGCCCGCTGGGTTCAAGTGATTCTCCTGCCTCAGCCTCCTGAGTAGCTGATATTACAGGCACATGCCACCACGCCCGGCTAATTTTTGTATTTTTTTTTTTTTTTTGGTAGAGGCAGGGTTTCATCATATTGGTCAGGTTGGTCTCGAACTCCTGACCTCATGATCCGCCCGCCTTGGTCTCCCAAAGTGCTGGGATTACAGGCGTGAGCCACCATGCCCGGCTGACATTGGTTCTGTATGTGTCTTCACGTGGGGTGGACACCTCTCTCCTAAAGTCAGGGCATTGGTGGAGCCGGGTAAAATGTCTCCAAGGGACTGACCAACCCCGGTGTAGATGTTGGAGGAGTCAGCAGAGGGGCTTTGAAAAAAGACAAATTTGAAGCTTGGTTCTGATTTTCTCTCACCTCAGGCAAATCACTTCCACTGGCTAACGCTCTGATTACTTCTCTGTGAAACAGAATGTATGATGCTCTTTTCAGACATTTGGTAAGGGTTAATGATAAGAAGTAACCTTTTTTTTTTTTTTTTTTTTTTTTTTTTTCTTCTTCTTTTTGGAGTACTCTCTATGTTCTGGCCACTGTGCTAGGAAATTCAGCTCATCATCTCATTCGATTCTCAGAATAGATCTATGCGGTGGATACATACCATCCCCATTTCACAGATGAGGAAGCTGAGATTTAGAGAGAGATAAAATAAAGTCCCTAAAGTCAATTAGATGGTGGAACCAGGAGTCTAACTCCAAAGCCATTTCTCTTAACCACTCAGCTTGGTAGAGTGGGGAGTATTCAGTTGACGAGTTCCCCCTTTTCCTTTCCTCATGACCCCTCCATCTGATCTTTCTGATGGACATCCTGCCGTGGGAATATGACATAAGGGTTATTTCTCTCCTCTTCCTTTCTTGACATGGTCTTCCTCTTTGGATAGTTTAGGGTTCATCTTGTTCTGTCTGCGACATAAGAAGATCCTAGTCAAAGAACAAGACGTAATGTCAGTCATATTGCAGATATCATAAAGATTAAAAACCCATAATGATGGGAACTCGGCATCTAACTAAAGATTTTCACATTAGGAGTGGAGTTTAGACTTTATCAGCCCTTTCGTGGCAACAACACCCAGTGACATTTACAGAAGAGCATTTTATAAACATGGAAATACACACAGTGTCACAGCCTGGGTGAGTCTTCCACACCTGATAAGTAGGTGACCAAATATTCGGAGGTTTATTGTTGGTTCTTCCTTATGTGCTCACTCTCTCTTTTTTTTCCTCTTCTAACTCAAAGTACATACAGCAGGGGTTTGCACATAGCACACATGATGGGTTTGTACTGGAAGGTATGGGTTCAAATCCTGTTTTTGTCATTTGCAAGCTGTGTTCCCTGAACCTCCATTCACTCATCCATAAAATGGGCCAAATGATCAATAACCCTATAAGGGTTGTTGTGAGGTTTGAATAGGAGTTAGTGTATGGGACTCATTCATGTTAGTTAGGACCTGACAGTCCTTAGAATGCTTAGGTCCCTGGCAAGCATTTGATAAGTTGTAGCCATTTGAGCATTCTGGGTGCTTAACAGCTGGTCAGGTCAGGTCAGCCTCTGATGCACAAACGAATCTTGGGCATTACAAGCATTTCGGGTTGGATGTGGTGGTTCACGCCTGTAATCCCAGCACTTTGGGAGGCCAAGGAAGAAGGATCACCTGAGGTCAGGAGTTTGAGACCAGCCTTGCCAACATGATGAAACCTCGTCTCTACTAAAAGTACAAAAATTAGCTGGGCTTGTTGGTGCGCACCTGTAATCCCAGTTACTCGGGAGGCTGAGGCATGAGAATTGCTTGAACCCGGGAGATCGAGGTTGTAGTGAGCTGAGATTGCACCACCGTACTCCAGTCTGGGCAACAGAGTGAAACTCTGTCTCAAAAAAAAAAAAAATAAAGCATTTCATAGATTACACTTATTAAGTTACTTGGAGATCTTTAGAGAAATAAGACAGTGAGTAAAAGGTCCAGATGCTGAGTTTGATATTAGCTAGAAGGGGATTTTATTCTTAGTATTGCCTATTTTATTTTCTTCTCAAAATAATATTCAGCTCTCATATACACAATCTCTTGGATCTTTGCTGGTGAGATTTCTTTTCTTTAGTTGTTTTTGATGTCTGTTCACTGAAGATCCCCTGATCACTCCCCCAGCCCTTCATGTAATTCTACCCATGTCTACAGTCAGAGTCATGAGACAGAAACCTTGTAACTCTCTTACTCCCTTGTCCCCTGGTAGTGAAGTGACCCATCTTTGACTTTTTTTTTTTTTTTTTTTTTTTGAGATGGAGTCACACTGTGTCACCCAGGCTGGAGTGCAGTGTTGTGATCTCAGCTCACTGCAGCCTCCACTTCCTGGGTTCAAGTGATTTTACTGCCTCAGCCTCCCAAGTAGCTGGGATTACAGGTGCACACCACCACGCCCAGCTGTTTTTTTTAGTAGAGATGGGGTTTCACCCTGTTGGCCACGCTGGTCTCAAACTCCTGACCTCAAGTGATCTGCCCGCCTGGACCTCCCAAAGTATAGAGAGCCAAAGGCCTGAGGGTCGTGGCCAACTCAGCATTCCACTGAAGGCTGTACCATCAAACAACAAACTGTTTATCATGAACTCACATCTGCGCCCACCGCCAGAAGATATGCTGAGTGCAGTCACTTCCTGGCGCCATGCTTCTTGAGGTTATCTACTGGAACATCTGGAGACTACTGTTCAAAGAATGCAGTCATGCAGGCCTGCACCGAGTCAAGCAGCTGACTGACAACCACCTCCTCCTCGCTATCTCTTTTACTCAATAAATACGAAGGGAGCTAGAAGCTCAGGGTCCTTGTTCACTAGAAGCAAGGAGCCCCCTTACCTCTTCTTCCAAATATAGTCTTTTGTCTTTGTCTTTATTTCTGCATTCATCCTCTTTTGTTCAGTCCACCAAGGTCCGTAGCACCAAAGTGCTGGGGTTAGAGGCGTGAGCCACTGTGCCCGGCCCATCTTTGTCTTTCATAATTAAGATAATGGACCTTTTCTTATGTGGGGCCCCAGGAGACCAGCCTCCTCTATTCTCCATTAGACACACTGCAAAGAGGAACACAAGAAGCCCTCCTGACATAGAACAAGCTCTGCAGCACATCTCAGGTGTTTGCTCTTTCCCTTGTGGTCCCTTAAATACATGATTTGTTAGGAATGGAATGGCTTAATCTAGGTGGTCCGTGGAGCCATAGAAGCCCTTTATGGACACTGTCCTGGATCAGATAAGGGAGACTTATACTTCTGTGGCTCAGAAGCTCTCCAGGCTTTCTGGGAAGCATCCAGCCATTTATCTCTTCATTCTTATCTTTGAACAGTATTTATTGAGTGCATACCATGTTCCTGATGCTTTTCTAGGCAGTGAGTCCATGGCAATGAACACAGCAGACAAAAATCCCTGAGGCCACTAACAGTATATTCTGTGGCAGGATTTCTCAATCTTGGCGCTGTTAACATTTTGGGTCACTTTGTTGTGGGAGGCTCTTCTGTACGTGGAAGGATGCTTGACAGCATCCTAGGTCTCTACTCACTGGATACATGGCAGCATCTTCTTCCCCAGTCATGACAACCAGAATCTCTCCAGGCATTGCCAAATGGTCCCTGGTAGTCAAAATCACCTGAGGTTGAGAACCCCTGATCTGTGCAGCGGGAAGAGAGAATCTGTGAAATAGTGTAATGGAGAAAATCTGCAGGGGAGAGAGGAATCCTTGAAGAGTAGGGTTGGCCATTTTACAAAAGGTGGTCAAACAAAGCCTCACAGAGATAATATTTGAGCCAAGACATAAAGAGGTGAGGGAATGTACTCTGTGGATATTTAGGGCAATCGGGATGGGGCAGAAGGAGGAAGAAGTGCAGTGGACTATGTAGGAATAGAATGAGCAAAGGCAAAGGTACTCAGGGTTGAGGCCAGACAGGTAATGGTGGGAGCCAGGGCAGACGGGGACAGAAGGCATTTTCTCTGAGGGAGACTGGGGGGTGATTGAAGGGTTTTCAGTGGAAGAATGGCGTGACCTGACCTTTGATGAAGGCTGCCCCAGCCACTGCATGTACAGAGGGCCATATGGGGCAGGGGCAGGGAGGACATTTAGGCAGTTGTCGTAATGATGGTGCCCTGGATCGGATGGTGGGATGGAGATGACGAGAATTGGGAGGTTCTGGTTCTGTTATGAAACTCAAGTTGGGAGGACATAATGAAGATTGGAGGTTTGGAGGAAGACTGTTAGGGTTGACTCCAGGCATCAGGTGTGAGCAATGCAAAAAGGGAGTGTCCACGTTTCATTGGCTGCTGGTGGGGACGCTGTCCCTTCCCCACGGCCTCGGGTGGGAGGTGAAGGCCACAAAGGTGGTTCTTCTCCAGCTTTCTCATCACTGCTTTGACCTGAGCTGTTCCACCTCTTCCCCTGCCTATGTCATGATCACTTTTGGGTGCTTCTTAAAATGCAGATTCCTGGACCCCCACCTGAATATACTGGATTGGAATCGCTGGAGGCAGAGCCTGAGACATTGTATTGTAGTATGCACAGCAGGTGACTTGGGTACTGACAACTTTGAGAGGTTCAGCTCCACGGAATGTACCAGAAATCAACCTGAGCTTCCTTTAAAGGAGGCCTTGTTTGTCTGCTTCCCTGGGTCCCAGTCCTGGACCCAGTGTGCATCCCCCCTTTCCCCGTCCAGGCATCCCAAGGCTCCTCTCTAAGAAACAGACCGGCTGGACGCAGTGGCTCACACCTATAACTGCAACACTTTGGGAGGCCGAGGTGGGAGGATGGCTGGAGCCCACGAGTTCAAGACCAGCCTGGGCAACATGGCAAGATATCATATCTACAAAAAATAGGCTGGGTGTGGTGGCGTGTGCCTGTAGTCCCAGCTACTTGGGAGGCTGATGTGTGAGGATCACCTGAGCCTGGGAGGTCAAGGCTGAGGTGAGCTGTGATCGCGCCACTGCACTCCAACCTGGGCAACAGAATGAGACCCTGTCTCAAAAGGAAAAAGAAGAAAAAGAAAAAATGAAACAAGTCTGTTCCGAAACCATATCTTGTTTATGTTTAGCTTCATGGATTTGCCCCCGATGCCATTCTTCTGATGAGCTCTTGAGATTTTTATCTGTTGCTTTTGGTGGAAGGTGGAGTAACTTGTACAATAGGCAGATGTATAATCTTAGAAGGGCAGAATTTTTATGCCTATGCGGATCTATGAGGGCATCGAGTTCATTGGTTTCATTTTTTCCAAGTGAAGAAACAAAGGCTCAGAAAGTGCCGTGATTTCGTACAGTTTGATGCAGTGATAATGCTGCTGGCAGCACTTGCCTGGAAAATGAGGATCTGATTGTGCTGTATCTGTCTGTAGCCTCCTAACTCTCTGTATAGGTTACTGATTCTCATCCAAGCCCGCCTTGCCACATCTCAATAACTGCTTTTGTTTTATAAATTAGGAAAATTGTTACTTTTTTTTCTTTTTTTTTTTTAAGACGGTGTCTCTGTCGCCGAGGCTAGAGTGCAGTGGCACAATCTTGGCTCACTGCAACCTCCACCTCCCGGGTTCAAGTGATTCTCGTGCCTCAGCCTCCCGAGTAGCTGGGATTACGGTGCCTGCCACCACGCCCAGCAATTTTTTGTTTGTTTGTTTGTTTGTATTTTTAGTAGAGATGGGGTTTCGCCAAGTTGGTCAGACTGGTCTTGAACTCCTGACCTCAAGTGATCCGCCCACCTCGGCCTCCCAAAATGCGTTACATGCTTTTAAACGTCAATGCTTCTCTCACTCCTCCCTGTTTTAGTCTGTGCATCTCTGAGGTCCATTTCTCGGGAAACCTGGGGGCTTACAGTGAACTCTGGAAAGGCATTATTTTGTTGTCTCATTTTGCAAGAAAGGCTTGGCTCCAGAAGGAGATGGTTCTATAACCCAGGTAAGTTATAGGGATGGTGGCCGCCCAGACACTGTGCTGTGAGTTGAGCTTTTCATACCCTGCAGCTTGATAAGGCTGCACAGAAGCCACTGTGCTAAGTGGCTTCTGGCCTTGTCCCCTGGCTAACCAGATAACAAACGGATACTTGAACAACTTTGTGATAATCAGGGCCATTCACCTTGTGATATAACAGCATCTCCTGAAGGATTTCCCATTGGGATTATTTTATTACCTTGGAAGTGCCTTTGCGTTATGAAGGGGATGGATTTCATTACAACTATGATGCTTCTGTTACCCTAAACACACCCTAACTTGCTGTCTCTGAATAGTTTGTTTCTTAATTTTAACTCTGAGAAATCAGGTATTAAGGAATGGATGAAGTTAAAGAAAAGCAAACCATTGATCATTATCGTCGTCATCATCATCATTTTCATTATCATCATCATCTTCATTAGCGTCATCATCACTGCCATCACGGCTCAGCCATCATTGAGTTCACATGCCCTGCGTGTCCTCTGTCTTAGGTGATCATCCTAACAGCTCTATGTCAGGCAGGTTCAACTTTTGTCATTTTATGGATGATACACCAAGAATGCAGAAAAGTGAATTTCCTTGCCCACAGCCATCACAGTCTGTCTGGAAAGTGGTAATTTCTGACAGTACACTGCCTGGCATCTACTCCTACCTGACGGAAGTGAACACACATCCCATGCCAGCCAGGGTTGGAGCTACCTGTCTCCGAAGCAAAGCTTCCAGAGGCGCATGAGACAGGCAGGAAAGTGCTACATTGTGTGGAGTGTGGACCTAACCAGTGAATAATCCATTTGCCTTGCTTGATCTAATTGGGCTGATGCCTCCCTGTCCAAATAGGAAGAAAAGATAACTCTATCTTTATTTGACATAAAATGTAACCTCTTCTTGGGCTGGAATGTGCCCAGAGAATCTGGTGCCAGGACACTGAATTTTCTCTCATTCAAAAAAAAAATAGCATCAAAAGCTGGCATGATATGAAGTTTGCAGCAAATGGGTCACGCATGTTTGCACTTAGAAGTGAAGACATCTGCTTCTTTGGCTGGGGGGAGGGATAGAGAGATTTGCAGAAATTTTCATCTTTTTTTTTTCTTTTTTTGGGACAGAGTCTCACTCTGTCACCCAGGCTGGAGTACAGTGGTGCAATCTTGGCTTACTGCCACTTCCGTTGCCCAGGTTCAAGCAATTCTGCCTCTGCCTCCAGAGAAGCTGGGATTGCAGGTGCCTGCCACCATATCCGGCTAATGTTTGTATTTTTTTTAGTAGAGATGGGGTTTTACCTTGTTGATCAGGCTGTTCTCAAACTCCTGACCTCAAGTGATCCAGGCTGGAGTGCAGTGGTCTCCCAAAGTGTTGGGATTACAGGCGTGAGCCACTACGCCTAACCAGAAGTTTTCATTTTTTGATGGGGTCCTGTTAAGATTACTTCATAATCCTTTTTCCTTTTCTCCTTCAGTCCCTCCCTACTTGTATTTCTATTGAATCCAAAATTTATATTCACCAAGAAGCGTGGTTTAAAAAAATCAAGGCAAATAATCCCCTCCCACCAACCTAAGAGTGGAAGTATTTTTCTTTTTTTCATCTGTGTGTATTGCAATTGCTTAACTGGAAAGTGATAATTTCCCAGATGAATCCTATAAAGATGTGTATCCTGCCCCTTTCCCCCGTAGACCCTAATGAGGTTTTGCATTAACGGGAACTAGGAGAAGTGCCAAAGTCCATTTTCCGCTGGTTTTGGAGGTATGGCAGGAATGCCATCTCATTTGTCTCTTTGGTGCTTCTTGCCTTTCCAGTGTAGAGAATTCTCATCAAAGCCCATTTCTTAAAGGTCCACCTTCTGGGTGGATGTCAGCAAGCTGCCTGTTCCTGAAGGAAAAGTTCAGCTTCAGATATCTTGGGGAATAAGAAGCTGAAGGGTCTGAGCGCTAGAGAACTAAATAAATAGAGGGAAGAGATTTTTCAGATCTGCTATTGATTGGATGCTGAGGAGTTATTAAGTTCTCAGAGTGGCTTATTACAGCACTTGGGCCAAGATTAAAGAGGAGTTAAGCCGTCAATATCCTTTGGGAGCCATTGCTAAAGTTCAGAACCCTCGGCGGAGGCCCTTTTCCTCCTCTGCTCCTCTCTCCCCAATTTCCCTCTTCCCCTGTCTTCCAGATTGTCTAATGCAGGATACTGTCAGGACATTTTCCAAGTTGGTCTCTCTCTCTTAATGGACTATCCCTCGGAGCCCCATGTGGGATGTCTTTATCAAATCACACATTTCCCCAAATTAATACAAACTGTTCTCCTACAGAAGACAGCAGTGTAATTACTTTTGCAACGATCTAAGAACAAGCAGACTCCGGGTCTGTTGAGGCTCCTGTTCGTCTGATTGGCTCTGTAACTAGCAGCATTGTAGTGGGATCAAGCTCTTCCTTCAGTTTGTGGGTGTTAGGGAGGCATAGACCTGTTGGCGGGGGGGTCTCACCTCCTCACCTCAACATTTTTATGTTAGGACAGTAAGTGGCTTCATCAGCTGGCATTTTAGTGGGAAAAATGGTGCCTTATTTGAGTTCATATAATGAACACCTGTGAGCTTTTTCCTCCCCCTACTCATCCTTATCCCCAGAATGAATAATCTATGTAGTCCCCAGCACGGGGCCTTGTGCTGCCAGAATGTGCCCCACAAATGATTTTAACCACTATTCTGTTACTACATGTTTGCAATCTTGAGGCCAGGTGTGGTCTCGAATGGATCATTTGCAAAATTTTAAAATGGCAAGGCAGTGACTGTGCTGTACATTACATCATAGCCCCAGTGAGGTCTGGGGCAGTGTGCCATGATCAAACACGTTAATATTCCTGAAAAAACTAAAAAGTCGTGTTCACACCAGGCGGCATAATAGAAGCCATGAAGTGGAAGACATGGTTCTTCTTTAGGTTGGAAACTGTCAAAGGTTGATTTCTTTTGGTGCAGCCTAATATAAAGAGCCTCATGTTAGAGCAGAGGGGATGAGGCCAAGTCAAATTTAAGAAGGAAATTACAATTTGTAGAGAGATTCTGGGGTTTGAGGATTTCTTTTGAGACAGAGTCTCTCTCTGTTGCCAGGCTGGGGTACAGTGGTGTGATCTTGGCTCACTGCCACCTCCACCTTCCAGGTTCAAGCGGTTCTCCTGCCTCATCCTCCCGAGTAGCTGGGACTACAGGTGCGTGCCACCACACCCAGCTAATTTTTGTAATTTTAGTAGCGACAGGGTTTCAGCATGTTGGCCATGATGGTTTTGATCTCTTGACCTCGTGATCCACCCACCTCGGCCTCCCAGAGTGCTGGGATTACAGGCATGAGCTGCCGTGCCTGCCCTGGGGATTTGTGATGGATGACCTGGGCTTCTCACCTAGCCTCATTCATCAGGAGGCACCTTGGCATCTGGTCTTTCTGGCAGCCAAAATTTACTTGTTGGGTGGGGTATGTGTATGTAAAAGGAAGGAAGGGTGGAGTGGAGAAAGGAGAGGTTTGTTCCAGTTCCCTTATCCTCCCTGAATCCCAAGAAGGACCTTGGGCTCTAAAGCCCACCAGGAAAAACCCCATCCACGGTCTGACATTTAGAAATGTATTGGCTAGAATAAAAGAACTGTCAATTTCAAAACACGAAAAACCACTGGGAGATCAGGTACTTCCTGCAAACATTCCCACACAGTGACTCCTGGCATGGGAGAAAAAGCCTGCCTTGTTGTTCTATTAATTTAGCGCCAACAGCTGTTAGATCTAAGGCCTTCAAGGTTCTCGGCAAAAATGAAACTCATCCTCAGGAACTCCTCTGTGAAGTATCAGTAATGAACCATGGAGGGAATGAAGGCTAAATGAAGATAAAAATATCTCCACCGGGCCAGGGTGTTTTTGCGCTTCAATCCCAAAAGTACTAGCGCATGAAACCTCCACACACACACACACACCCTTTTTTTTTTTTTTTTTTTTTTTGAGAGAGTCTCACTCTGTCGCCCAGACTGGAGTGCAGTGGCTTGATCTTGGCTCACTGCAACCTCTGCCTCCTGGGTTCTAGTGATTCTCCTGCCTCAGCCTTCTGAGTAGCTGGGACTACAGGCTTGTACCATCACGCCCGGCTAATTTTTGTATTTTTAGTAGAGACAAGGTTTCATTATGTTGGCCAGGCTGGTCTGGAACTCCTGACCTCAGGTGATCCCACTGCCTCAGCCTCCCAAAGTGCTGGGATTAGAGGCATGAGCCACCACGCCTGGCCACACCCCTA
This sequence comes from Homo sapiens, assembly GCF_000001405.40. NCBI lineage: Eukaryota > Metazoa > Chordata > Mammalia > Primates > Hominidae > Homo > Homo sapiens. The sequence continues at coordinate 5,579,157 of NC_000016.10, forward strand.
ATTCTCTAAATTGGTCAAGACTGGACCTGCTATCGCCCCACCCAACTTGCACTTCCACTAGGATCGCCAGGCTCAGTAAATAGTGCAGGTAGCCAGACAGGTGCTTATGCAGAAACCCTCCAGGCATTCTTGCCTCCCGTCCGTCACTCCCCACCCACCTTCACTTTCCAGTCCTAGGAAATCTACTTCCTAATCTCCTCTTTCTCATCACTCCTCTTCTATGTGCCTCCCCCAGCATCCTTGATTCTGGGATTCCGCTTGTGGCCTCTTACTGTGCTCCCCGCATCCATGTGTGCACTCGTAGAATCCAGCCCCAGCCTCTCAAACACACACCTGACCTTGCTTCAACCCTCCTGCTGCTCACAGCGTGGCCTTTAAAACCCCCAATCCTCTAGTCCACCTGTTTCTCCAGCTCGCCCTGCTGCTCAAACCACGCCCTGGTGACCCCGTTTTGCTGGAGCTGCTCCTTCTGCCAACTCCTGCCATTCTTAGGGGAAACCTTCCCCAACTGGGTACACCAGGTAAGGTCTTGAAGCTCGCTTGACTTTTCCTTTCATGACACTTATCACACAGTCATTGCCCAGTTAATTCTTTTCTTTCTTTCTTTTTTTTTTTTTCCTTGAGAAGGAGTCTCGCTCTGTTGCCTAGGCTGGGGTGCAGTCACTCGATCTCAGCTCACTGCAACCTCCGCCTCCCGGGTTCAAGCTATTCTCCTGCTTCAGCCTCCCAAGTAGCTGGGATTACAGGTGCCTGCCACCACGCCCGGCTAATTTTTTTCTTTTTTTTGAATTTTTAGTAGAGACGGGGTTTCACCAACATGGCTGGACTGGTCTTGAACCCCTGACCTCAGGTGATGCACCCACCTTGGCCTCCCAAAGTGCTGGGATTACAGGTGTGAGCCACTGCGCCCAGCTGGCAGTTAATTCTTTATCTGCTCAGCATTACCTACAACAGCTTGTAAGCCCCAAGAGGGCCTGGACTCTGCCTCCCTCGTTCCCAGCTGCCTCCCTTGGCCCAGCGTAGTGATGGTGCCTAGGGGGACCCCAACAATGGATGCATGAATAACAGTTGGGCCTGAAGAGCCAGTGAGGGCAGCCTGGCTCTTCTGGGTTCTGGGAGCGCCGGCTGATTGGATTCCACTCTGATCTGGGAGCAGCTGCAGGGACTGATTGGTAATTGAGCTTGTGGGAAAACATCCTCAGCTGCGTGGGTCTCAGCCTGGCACCATTTTCCGAGGGGTAAGTGCCCACTGAGCTTGCAGAGCATCTCAAGGAGTGGGAGAAGTGGTTGTACGGATGGCCCCACTTCACCGCCTGGGTGACTTGGATGCCACCTGCTGCCAGGCGGCCAGCTGGGTGTGCCTTAGCTCAGAGCCAGGGCTGCTTGGCTGAGGTGCCAGCTCCAGCTGGTCCTGCTTCAACGCTGGTTGTTCCCTTTGTGAGGCTTCAGCCTTCAAACATCTGCTTTGTGTGGGTTTTGAGCTCCCCACACTGGATACCTTTGGGGAGAGGATGCAAACGTTACCTTTCACGGCATCTCACACTGCCCTGCGTCTGCACATAGAGGCCGAGAGGTGGGGACTCCTACACTTAGGTTTAATTAAAGGCAAACTGGTGGGATTCCAGCGAAGGGCAATCCAGACCCAGGAAGCTGTAGGGCAGATGGCATTTACATGGTCACCTGTCTTAATGATCCCATTCCTCAAAAGACAGAGCTGGGAATGACATGCATCCACGCTGGTCCTTCCCAGTCATTCTATGGATGGGAATGATGAGGACGTGACAGGCTAAGGCAAGGGAAACAGTTTTCCTTTATCTCAACTCTTCAGGAGAGGCTGGGATGATTCAAGGGCTGTCAGTGTGCACAGACCTGGGATGGATTTTTAATGAACCGGAAAGCGTTGTCTGTCTTCTTAGGTAAATGCAAATATCCACGTAGCCACCATTGTAGATGGCACTTGACAGATCCAGAGGAGAAGGGGGCAGGGCTTTCTTGGACTCCTATGTGCATTTTTTTTTCTGACAGAAAAGAAACTAGAAGCTAAAGCAAGAGTCTGCTTAAAAATTCTGCCAGTTCAGACCGAGTATTTTGTCATGTGCCAGGGACTGTGCTAAGTTCTACAAGGAATAGACTTTGGGCGGAGACAGAGGTCCTAACTCTAGCAAGTTGCTCTCCTTAGGAGGAATAAGCCATTTGTGTAATTAAACACTCTTTTGTCCAATACCTATGTGTGTCAGTGGGGCTGTGCTTGGTTCCTGGAGGGAGAATCCAGTGGCAACCTTGGAACAGGAATGGAGTACACGAGTCAGTGGTGGAGGCAGACATCTACTTTGTAATTATGTATACACAAGTAACTAATTACAAGCTTTAGGAAGTGTCACAGGGCTAATGGGCATGATGCTGCAAGAGCATGTTACAGGAGTCTCATGGTTAGTGTGGAACATCAGGGAAGGCTTCCTGGAGGAGGTGATGTCTGGACTTTGACATGAAGGATGTGTAGGAGTTAAGTTGCAGAATGGGAACAGGGAACTCTCCAAGCCAGGGTGACAGACAGCTGATGCAAGGGTCAAAAAGAAACACTGTATAGTTGCAGCTCATGACAGGGGCCAGAGTAGTGGAAGAGGAGGGAGGAGCGAGTGGGAGGCAGACCATATGCAAGGTGGGCCCAGGTAAGGTGTTAGGATATTATCTAGGGACAAAGAGAGGCCTCTGAGAGGTAGGAAGTGATGCAAGATTTAGGAACAGAAGCAAGGACGCTGTAATGTAGATGAGTAAGTGTAGTTGAAGGCAAAACTGAGAAACTCCTTTGGGGTTTATGCACAATGCAGGATTACATTTAAGCAGCAGTTGTTTCGAACAGAAGGTGGCTTCTAATTGCAGATGTTCAGCATAGAATCCACATTCAAACTTGCAATTATTTCACTGTTAAAAGAGCTGACAGCTCCCTCTTCTGCAGGCAGGCAGTCTCGAGGGAGCCCTAATCCCAGGGACTTGTATTACTCTCGCCCCGGGAGTACCAGACCTCACTCCCATGAGGTTGCACCACAGGAAGTGAGGCTGGGGTAGCGACAGGCTGGTGGGGAGTTAGGAGCATCTGAGGCATGACTGGGGCTGCACGGGCCTTCACAGCAAGCTGAGTTAAAGAGTGCAGTGACACGGCTTAGCGAAGTTGGGCTCACCTTCCACACAGGGCATTGGACTGGAGCCGGTGGAAAACATGGACCACACTGGCCGTCGTGATTGGCATTGCCGGGTATTGTGGAACTGAGGTGCAAGTACAGTGCCCCTGTTAACGATGAGGAAACCAAGACCAGAGAGGTTAAACAGCCCTCCAAGGTCAAAGCCAGAGCAGAGCTGGGACTTGAACCCAGGCATTTTCAAAGCACGTCACTTTTTTTTTTTTTTTTTTTTTTTTTAAACGGAGTCTTTGTTGCCCAGGCTGGAATGCCAATGACGTGATCTTGGTTCGCTGCAGTGTCTGCCTCCTGTGTTCAAATGATTTTCCTGCCCCAGCCTCCCAAGTAGCTGGGACCACAGGCATGAGCCATCACACCCACGCTCGGCTAATCAAAGCCCATCATCTCAACCTCTGCCTCCTGCCCTGCCTCGGATGACCCTGGGAAGTTCATTGAGGAGGTGGTTATCAGTTCAGCCCCAAGTGCAGAAGGCAGAAGAGCCTGGGTGACAGATTTTAGATTCTGCCTCTCATTCAACTGTGTATCCTTAGGCTTACCCTCTGTGGGCCTGGTTTGTGAGATGAGCTAAAAATCAGTGATAATGTTGAGCACTCGGGAGCCAGGCTCTATTGTGAGACCTTTACAGACATTAACTCATTTAACTTCTCACTCTGTCCTCTTTTTAACAGATAAGGAAACTAAGGCACAGAAAGGTAACATGCCCAAGTTCACACAGCTAGGGAGAGGTTGAGCCTGACTTTGAACCCTGGCAGTTTGGCTTGCACGTTCTTGCAGAGCTCAAATACATTCAAACAAAAAATTGTACAGCCATAGAATGCCATGCGCAGCAAAAGCCAATACCTGTGAACATCCATTCATGTTATTTAACTGTTGTTAAAGCCAACTAAATATGGCCTTAGAAGGACTCCATACTTCTATATTTGAGTTCTTGGGGACAAACCGTAACCTAGCTTCATAGGCAGACAACAATGAAAAGCTAACTTAATAGTATGTATCTGTAATAATAGCTGAGTGTTGGCCAATCCCAGCGGCCATACTTCAACCACTTGTAGACTGCTGAGTGTTCAAACTGCGTTCAAATAAGTCAAACGCCGAGCTCTAACCAAGCTCGCTTCTGATTCCTGTACGTCACTTTACTTTTTTTTGTCTGTAAATTTGTTCTGACCGCGAGGCAATCCTGGAGTGTCTCTGAATCTGCTGTGATTCTGGAGGCTGCCTGATTCACGAATTGTTTCTTTTCTTTGCTCGATTAAACTCCATCAAGTTGAACTTGTCTGAAGTTTTCTTTTAACATTGGGCTGGGCTTCAGTTTCCTCTCTGTAAAGTGGGGTCGATAAGAGCTAAGATTTATTGGGCTTTTAGGATTGTCTCATTTTAGGATTGTCCTATGATGTAGGCTGTTAGCCCCATCTTATAGAGGGGAAAACTGTGGCTCAGAGAAATGGAGTGAGCTGCTCAAGGTTATAAGTCTGCTGAAATAAACAGCAGCATCTTCAATGCTGGGCTGCCCCAGTCTAGAGCCCATGGCCTGAACCTCTGCCATGTAGAGTTTGTCTGGTGGTGCCATCTTCCTTTGGAGGGACTTCTCTCCGGGAATGGCCCAGGGAGCTCAAGGCTGTGCCAGCCATTCCTGGTTCCACCGAGTCTGGGTCACATCCCTCTAATCAGCCTGCCTAGTACCCCGTGCTCCAAGTATCCCATTTCTGCATCAGTGGCCTGTGATGTCATGTGGGTTACTGACAACTCCTCTCTCAGGAGCCCTGAGGAAACCCTGGGCAGATTGAATAAAAAGCCCTTGTCAGACATCCTAATTTTAGTGTTCTCCCTTGTGATTATGTTCAGGAAGTATTTATTTTACACTTCACTTGTTTTGCCATTCTCCCCAACTTCATTTTGCAAGAGCTTCTGTAATAATCCGTGTCTCTTTCAGCAGCTCCCCTGCTCTTCTTGTCCTTGGGAAAACTTGAGTGCTGTGTTCAGCATCTTGAGCCAGAAATATGTCGGAGTTTCATCTTGCATCACTAATGCCCTCCTTTATCACCAAGCTGCATCTCCCAGCATTTTTGCCAGACTTCTTGATGTTCCGTCTTCCCTTGTCTCATTACGTCTATTTCTGATACCATTGCCCACTTGCAAATGGACATTTTTCATGCTGTGAGTTCCCTCACAAGGGCACAGAGACCAAGGGTAGGCTGGCTTTTTTCCCCCTTCAGCTTCTGTTTTCTGGAACTTTTCCCTTGCGTGGCAGCACAGGCAGGTGGGTCATTGTCTCCTGAGTGTGGTTACCCTCAGGTGTCTGAGGCTGTCCCTGTGACACAGATGGGAGAGGAGGGCTGGGTATTGTTAACCAGTCCCCACTCACTTTAGATGGAAGTTCTCATTGCACCGGGGACTGTAGTTCTGTTACTGCTTGGGCCTGTTTCTTGATTCAGTGAATTGGCAACTGTATTAGACATTGCTGATACAGACCCTATTAATTTTAATGGCTTTTGAGATGCATGGAGAGGAAAGCTTCTTTTGATTGTACAGATGTGTGTAGAAATCTGTGGTTTTATATATTTATTTTTATTTGAAAAAATACGGTCAAAGCACAAAGGGAGGGATAGAAGTCTGGGTCTGCTGGGAATTTTTTGGAAGTCTTCTGTAGAAAATAAAGGCAGCCTCCACATAGCATAAAATTAACCATTTTGGAGTTAACAATTCAGTGGCATTTAATACTTTCACAGTGTTGTACAGCCGTCACCTCTATCTCATTCCAAAATATTTTAATCTCCCCAAAATAAAACCCTGAATCCCTTAAGGAACTACTCCCCATCCTGCCCTCCCCCCGTCCCTGGAAATCACTAATCTGTTTTCTGTCTCTACAGGATTGCGTTTTCTGGATATTTCACATCAGTAAAATTATGCAATGTATGGTATTGGTAACTGGCTGCTTTTGTTTAGCATAATGTTTTCAATGTTCATCCCTGTTGTGGAATGACTCAGTCCTTCTTTTTTAAGGCTGAATAATATTCTGTTGTATGGCTGAGCCATGTTTTATTGATCTGTTCATCCAGTGATGGACATCTGGGGTGTTTCCTGCTTTGGGCTCTCTTGGGATTTTTAAACTTGTAGACATGTGCCGTGGTCTGGATCCATGGTTGCCCTTGGCCTGTAGCTATTTGTTTCTTGTGAGTATCCTGTGTCTTGATTGACTTACCTCTGTGGAGAGTGCAGCTAGGTGTGTATGAGCTTCTGTGGTTTGTGAGACTATGGGATATCCCGATGAAAGGGCTGACAAGGCCCCTTATAGATACCCTACCACGTTATGGGGTGACCCTGACTTCCCCAAAGCCATCGGCTTCTAGGACCACTGCAGCATTTATGCAGGGTGTAGACCTGGGTTTACCATCTAACTGTATGTGGCCATCACCTGGGTGGATTCAAGAACTGCAGATCCTTGGTCTTCACTGCTGGAGATTCCAACCTGATTCGTGTGAAGTAGAACAAAATTCTTGGCATTTTTTTTGGTGTGCTCTAGTGGGTTGAATAGTGGCTCCCAAAAGATTTGCTCAAGTTCTGGACCCTGGAACCTGTGAATATGATCTTATGTGGAAACAGGGTCTTTACAGATGGAATAAATTCAGGGATGTCATGATGAGATTATCTTCCCCTAAATCCAACGACTGGTGTCTTTAAAAAAGACATAAAGGGAGAAGACACAGTGCCGTGCAGAGAAGAAGGCCATGTAGAAACAGAGGCAGAGACGGGACTGATGCTTCTACAAGCCAAGGCACCTTGAGGATCTCTGTGGCCAGCAGAAGTTGGGGGAGAGGCAGAGCATAAATTATCCCACAGAACTTCTAGAAGGAGCCAGCCCTGCCCACACCTTGGTTTCAGACTTCAGGCCTTCAGAACTATGAGAGAATACATTTCACTTATTTTAGACCACTCAGTTGGTGGCAATTGCGTGACGGCAGCCACAGGGAACTAAAGTACATGTTTTTAAAGCTCGCTGGGTGATTATCATATAAAGCCAAATTTGGAGACCACTGCCTTTGACTGTGCCAGAACTCATGCTAAGAGCTTTATATATGTTATTTCATTTACTTCTGACTCAAGTAGATAGTTTTACTAACTATTGCTATTATTATCCCTAATTTTATTTGTTCATTCATTCGTTCAAGACAGGTTTCACTCTGTCTCCCAGGCTGGAGTACAGTGGCATGATTATAACTCACTGCAGCCTCAACCTCCTGGGCTCAAGCAATCTCCCCATTGCAGCTCCTAAGTAGCTGGGGCTACAGGCATGTGCTACCACACTCATCTAATTAATTTTTTCTGCCTGTAGAGAGGGGAACTTGCTGTATGGCACAGGCTGGTCTTGAACTCGTGGCGTCAATGATCTCCCACCTCTGCTTTCTAAAGTGCTGGGATTACAAGTGTAAGCCACCATGGCTGGCCCCCATTACCCCCAGTTTTACAGATAAGGAGAGTGAGGAGCTGAGGTAGCATTGATGAGGTTTGGACCAGGACAGTATCCTTGAAATGCTGACACTCTTAGCTGCTCTGTTCTGCTGGCAGGCACTTAGCAGGTTCTTAAATGTTACTGGCTGAATTGTGTTGTCATTGAACCTTCCTGTGCTGCCCAGATGCCCTTCCCAGAGCAAATCCTGAAAAGAAGGCAAGTAGAGGAAAACCTGGGTCTCAGCCCCAGAGGGAGCCAGGGCAGAAAGCTCTGAAAATGGACATGGCCCATTGGTTATGCACCTGAAACTGACATGACCAAGATGCTTTAGGATAAGACACTGTTCAAAAGTGAGCAACCCATTGAGTTGGGAGAGTATATATGCAAATTGCATATCTGTAAGAGACTTACATCTAGAATACATAAAATTCAGCAATACAGACACAACTCAATTAAAAAATGGGCAAAGTGTCCGAATAGACATTCCTCCAAAGAAGATTCACAAATGGCCAGTAATCACATGAAAAGATGCTCGACATCGTCAGTCATCGGGAAAATGCAAGTCAAAACTGCAGGGAGATACCACTGCACACCCATTAGAATGGCTAGAATCTAAAAGTCAGATAATTGGGCCTGGTGCGGTCGCTCACGCCTGTCATCCCAGCACTTTGGGAGGCTGAGGCAGGTGCATCACCTGAGGTCAGGAGTTTGAGACAAGCCTGGCCAACATGGTGAAACCCCGTCTCTACTAAAAATACAAAAATTGGCCAGGCCTGGTGGCAGATGCCTGTAATCCCAGCTAATCTGGAGGCTGAGGCAGGAGGATCACTAGAACCCAGGAGGCAGAGGTTGCAGTGAGCCAAGATCGCGGCACTGTACTCCAGCCTGGGCGACAGAGCGAGACTCTGTCTCGAAAAAGTCAGATAATTTTAAGTATTGATGAGAATATGGAGGGACCTGAGCCCTCATAAACAGCTGTCACTTGAGAAAACAGCCAGAGAGTTCCTCAAATATTAAGCAAAGAGTTGTCGTATAAGCCAGAAATTCTACTTCCATGTATGTACCCCACAGAAGTATCAACCTATGTCCTCATGATAACGTGTGCGGGAATGCTCACAGTAACATTATTTTTCATAGCCAAAAGGTGACAGTTACCTAAATGTCCATCAGCAGATTCGTGGAAAAACAAAGGTGGTCTCTCTATGCAATAGAATATTTTCAGCAATAAAAAAGGCCTGCATCCCTGATGCCTGCTGTAACTTGTTTGAACCTTGGGAACATGATGCTGAGAGAAAGAAGCCAGGCACAAAAGACCATAGATTGTGTGAATTCATTTACATGAAAGTCCCACACAAATAAATCCATAAAGAAGAAAGTAGATCGGTGATTGCTTGGGGCTGTGGGAATGGGGGGATGGGGGATGGAGGATGGAGGTGATGGAGTTTCATGGTGATGAAAACGTTGTAAAAATGCAACGATGGTCACACACACCTGTGAACATACTAAAACCCATGGAATTGTACACTTAAAATGGAAGAATTACTAGGTGAATTAGCTCAATAAAGTTTGGAAAAAAAAATGACTGAGAATTGTGGCACAGAGGCCGAGTCCCCTTCCTGGTTCTGCCACTTAGCTGTGGGGTCATGTATTGAAGCACATAGTAAATGCGCAATTAAGTAGCATTCTGCTTTTTTTTCTAGTTTTACAGTCCAGGCAATCCAGGCACTTCATCTTCAGTGGCATCAGTGTTGACTTTGTCTGACGTGGGCTGTTTTGTGTCTCTATGACCGAGTTACGTATTTAAGGGCAACAGTCCTCAGCACGTCCCCATGTGAGCAATGGACAGCACTTTGCAGACTTAGAGGGCTGGGAGGGCATTGAATTGGGAGAGGCATGAACCACTTTATATCCAACAATGATCACTCTGGCTGTCAAGAATTGACTGAGGGTCGGGGGGAAATGGAGTCAAGCCGGTCTTTTTTTGGAAGCCACTGCAACAAAAGTGATCTGAGTTCAGGCATTAGCATTACAGATGCCCACATGAGACAGGATTTTGCAGGTGGAGGTATTTTACAGGTTGAGAGGTACAATTGGGTGGTTGATTGGATGCACAGGTGAGAATACAGGGCTGGCTTTTGCAGAAACAAAGAGTTGAGGATGGTTTGGGGCTGCCTAGATGTCATGGCCTCATAGGAGCAGTTTGTTAATCTTCTGGATGTAGCTGAAAAACTGCATAGAGAGGGCATCCATCAGGGATGGCAGGGCCAAGGCAGTGGGTATGGAGTGGGGTGGGAAGAAACCGCCTCCTTATGGGAGATGTTGTAAAGATGGGTTTCCCCAATCTGCTGGGTCCAGGACCCACTGTAAGAAGCTGTTGGCCCCTATCTGCACTTGGCCACATCCCTGGTGGGTTTGTGGGGCGGTGGTGGAGGGAACATGAGTGTACCAAGGGAATGCTTCTGTTCCTTTGCATGGTTTGTACAAGGAAGTGTGGTGTGTGCTGGGGTCATTTGCCTGAGGCTCAGGGGTCCCAGCGTTCAACTTAGATGGGCTGCTTTTAAGTTGGCCAACCTGGGGCAAGTCACTTGCCCTCTCTGAATCCAATTTACTCACCCAAAAATGAGGATGAGCGTTCTCTTTCTAGAAACACATAACATTATTATGTCCATCTTCCAGAGGAAGAAACTCAGAGGATAGAAGGTAAGTATCTTGTCCAAGGCCATATAGCTCATTAATAGATCAAAGGTGATTTGGACTCCAGAGCCTGTTTAACCCTCACACTATTCTACGTGTTGATGAAGGATCACTACATGAAAGTGGCTAGTCCTAGGCCAGTTCTCCAGGATGTGTAACCTTTGGCAAAGTCCATAATGGACTGGGTTGAAGCATTCTGTAAGGTTACCTAGTCCTCATTTTAAGTAATTTAACAAGTGTAGAGTCTGAAGCTCAGAGAGGTGAAGTCACTTTCCCAGGACTCACACAGCCACCCAGACAGACTCCTGGCTTGACCCCAACTCTACGTGACCCCCAGTGCAGCTCTCCTTCCACTCCACTGCCTTGGCCTGCAGAGGGTTGCTTTGCTGGATCCTGTTAATCTTGTCCATCCCACACTCACACCTGGGGCCACTGGGCCATGGTACCAGGGTCTCCCCTGTCACTGCCTTGACTGACGTGAGACTGGGTTTTCTATTCCTGCCTCTTGACGACTTAGACAACAGCCTAGCGTTTCAGAGGAGTCTGCGTGTTACACACACACACACACACACACACACACACAAAAAGGGCAGCAGGTGTTATTTGGGCTAAATTGACCTTGAAATTGATTTCTTTATTTTATGACTTACTGAGAGGAGATTAATACTTTTTTTTCCTGCAGTCTGAAACGATTTACATGGTAATAGAAGGCATAGTCAGTCAAATAAATTGCTGGAAGTGGTAGTGTTCCAAAGAGGGGAAAAAAAACCGAGCTCACTTGCATTGATTTCTTTGCCCTGGGGAGAAGCAGAGATTTTAACATCTGGGAATAGGGAGGTAAATTTTATCTCTCATTTGAAAAGCAGAGGACTGAAGAGTTTAATCTGACATTTACACAGAATTTTCTAAGTTGGGGGAAATGAGGGTAGCCTGAGTTCCTTGCTGAAAGTTAACTGGCATTTCCTACGAAGGGCTGGGGGTGGTTTGATTCAGAATGGGCAGGGGAAGCCTCGGTGTCATTATGATGAGCTTGGAAGTTGGCTGCATGCTCTTGGCTGCCGTACTGTGATTCGGGGCGTGATGGAGGAATGGGGTGGTGGTAGCGGACTGTCTGCCAAAGATTCAAATTCACTCCCAGATCGGGCACTGAGGAACCATATGGGTGGAGGCCATGCTTCCAGCTTTCTGGGCATTGCCTTTTGGTCACCCTACCCCAGGAGGGGGTTTAATGTTCGCAGATGCTTCAGCTCACACAGATCAGTGGGATTTGCCAGCTTGCCTGGAGCATTGGGTTGAAATCTGAGAGTGCATCTACCTCAGTGGTAAAATGCAGTGATTGATTAGTACTGCCTACCCTGGGAACAGGAGGGGTACTGGTGGCTTGCATGCTGTTTATGTTTCCTGGTGAAATCCATTAAGGTATTACCCCAATGCCAGCATTTCTGCATTCAGACCACACTGAAAGGACTCCTGTCGTCCAAAGCGACCCCAAATTCATTTAGCATGTGATGTGAGCTAAACATTTTTTTTTTTTTTTCGGAAAATGGCAAGAAATGAAGCCTTACCCAAAGGGTTCTTGCCAATGTTGTCATGTGTTTTTCCCTTAAATTATTTTCTTTTAAAAATCAAATAAAAAGTATCGGGTAGCATAAAAAATATTTTCCTCAATAATACATGCCCAGTGTACAAAATTCAAGGGTCAGAAATATAAAATGAGTTTTCCTGCTACCACATCCTTTTCCTTCTCCAAAATGAACCTTTTTTTTTTTTTTTTGAGACGGAGTTTCTCTTTTGTTACCCAGGCTGGAGTGCCATGGCATGATTTCAGCTCACTGCAACATCTGCCTCCTGGGTTCAAGTGATTCTCCTGCCTCAGCCTCCCTAGTAGCTGGGACTACAGGCACCCACCACTGTGCTCGGTTAATTTTGTGTTTTTAGTAGAGATGGGGTTTCACCATGTTGGCCAGGTTGGTCTCGTACTCCTGACCTCAGGTGATCTGCCTGACTCAGCCTCCCAAAGTGCTGGGATTACAGGCGTGAGTCACTGCGCCTGGTCCAAAATGAGCCTTTTAAAAAATATCAGTTTCTTCTCTGTCTTCTGAAGATTTCAGTGGATATACTAGAAATGCCTATATTCTTAAAACAATGAACAGATGTGGAGTACTATACATACCACTGAGCATTTTACTGTTTTCTCCCCGTCATTCCATATAAAGCTACCTCATTATCTTAACTGACAGTGTCTGGATTCACTATAACTTATTTACTTGGCATCTGAATAATGGAATTTATGTTGTTCCCAGTATTTTGTAATTACAAAAAGGCTTCCATGAATATCCTTGGCACAAGTCATGTTATACTCATGCAGATGTTTAAACAGCAGACACTCGAAAAATGGAATCCCTAGTCCGAATATTATCAACTTTTAAAATGTTGGCCAATGTATAATTTCACTGTGTATAAAGAATACTTGTTGCCCTAGAGTCTTATAATTTCCATGCTTTATTCAAATTTCTTCTTTGTCAGTCTCCGTAAAAAATAATATATTGCCTTATTTGCATTTCTTTTATTATGGTTGAAGTTTTAATTACAAGGATTATGGGGATTTCTTAATGTGCATAAGAGGTATTTGCATGACCATCTTGTGAAATTGTCTGTACATTTCCTTTGCTTGTTTTTTTCTATGGACTTCCTTTGGTGTTTTCCTTATTGACTGGGGCGAAGCTCTTTATAAATGATGTTATCTCTTTGTTCAGTGGGTTTTAATTTTCTCAGATTGCCCTTTGTCTTCTACTTTGTTTATGGTATTTTTTTCATGCATACAATTATATATGCGCAGAATTTTAAATCTTTTGTTTTGAGGCTTTTGGTTTGGGGGTCATAATTAGAAGGATCTTCACTACCACTCTGAGATTATAAAAATCTTTTTTTTTTTTTTCTGAGATGGAGTCTTGCTTCATCGTCCAGGCTGGAGTGCAGTGGCACGATTTCGGCTCACTGCAACCTCTGCCTCCTGGGTTCAAGCGATTCTCCTGCCTCAGCCTCCCCGGTAGCTGGGATTACAGACTCCCACCACCATGCCTGGCTAATTTTTGTATTTTAGTAGAGATGGGGTTTCACCATGTTGGCTAGGCTATAAAAATCTATTTTATTATGTTAAGTCCTCTGTTTGGACCATGCATTAAGGAGTTATTTTGATGTTTTGCCTCCAAGAAGGAAGTCTCTGAGGTGTGGTGGAAATGTGTGTGGTCTGTGTTCATCCAACAGCCATGATCTGGCCTCATAGGCTCCTCAGCCTGCTTGCTTTCTCTTGGCGTCCAGAATTCCCAAGGAGATATGTCAGAGCCCTGGGGTCAGAACACTTTAGGGTTCCGTGGGCCCTGGCAGCCTGGTAGACCTTTAGAGCTGTCAGTGGTGCGGGGGCCAGAGCAACTCCATCTTGAATAGGAGCTGGATAAAATGAGACTGAGACCTACTGAGCTGTGTTCCCAGATGGTTAAGGCATTCTAAGTCACAGTGTGAGATAGGAAGTCAGCACCAAATACAGGTCATAAAGAACTTGCTTATAAAACAATAGCAAAGACCTGGAACCAACCCAAATATCCATCAATGATAGACTGGAGAAAGAAAATGTGGCACATATACACCATGGGATACTGTGCAGCCATAAAAAAGGATGAGTTCATGTCCTTTGCAGGGACATAGATGAAGCTAGAAACCATCATTCTCAGCAAACTAACACAGGAACAGAAAACCAAACACTGTATGTTCTCACTTATAAGTGGGAGTTGAACAATAAGAACACATGGACACGGGGAGGGGAACATCACATACCGGGGCCTGTCAGAGGGTGGGGGGTTAGGGGAGGGATAGCATTAGGAGAAATACCTAATGTAGATGATGGGTTGATGGGTGCAGCAAACCACCATGGCACATGTATACCTATGTAACAAACCTGCACTTTCTGCACATCTATCCCAAAACTTAAAGTATAATTTAGAAAAAAAAGATCTTTCTGATAAAACAGTTTGCAGTGGAGAAGTTGGCCAAAACCCACCAAAACCAAGATGGTGATGAGAGTGACCTCTGGTCGTCCTCACTGCTACACTCCCACCAGCGTCATGACAGATTACAAATGCCATGGCGATGTCAGGAAGTTACCGTATATGGTCTGAAAAGAAGAGGCATGAATAATCCATCCCTTGTTTTGCGTATCAAGAAATAACCATAAAAATGGGCAACCAGCAGCCCTGGGGACTGCTCTATGGAGTGGCCATTCTTTTATTCCTTTACTTTCCTAATCAACTTGCTTTTGCTTTACTGTGGAGTCGCCCTGAATTCTTTCTTGCGCGAGATCCAAGAACCCTCGTTTGGGGTCTGGATCGGGACCCCTTTCCTGTAACAGAGGTACTGACCCCATTTGTCTTACACAACCTTGGTCCTTGAAGGTCTCCGTGCTTCATCCGTAGGAACCCGTGATACACCACCCCCATCCTGCCCCCACACCTTCTGCCCATTGTTCATGAGGCTTTGGTCAGCCATGGCCTTGGCTTGGAGCTTTGCACAATGTTGGTCCACGTAGGTTTTACTGGCGCCATCATTGGGAACTCATCATGCACCCAGAACCCCACCTCTGACCCCACACCCTCTGTCCATTGCTCAGGAAGCTTTGATTGGCCATGGTCTTGGCCTTCTGTTAACCTGTAGGATGGAGTGTTTATTTTTTTCCACCTCCTACATCTTTATTCTATGTGACTATAGATACAAAGATTGATACATCTGGATGTGGCTATTCATAGGTGGGCACATAAACGCTCACAAGATTACATGAATATGTCTGTGAGCCCCGAAAATCTGAGACACAGGTCTCAGTTAATTTAGAAAGTTTATTTTTCCAGGGTTGAGGACACAGGCCTGTGACACAGCCTCAGGAGGTCCTGACGACATCTGCCCAAGGTCAGAGCATAGTTTGATTTTATACATTTTAGGGAGACATAAGACATCAATGCATATGCAAGGTGAACATTGGTTTCTTCATCTGGAAAGGCGGGAGAACTTGAAGCAAAGGCAGGAAGACAGGGAGACACTGGGAGAGGAGGCTTCCAGGTCAGAGGTAGAAAAGAGACAAATGGTTTCATTCTTTTGAGTTTCTGATTAGCATCTCCAAAGGAGACAGTCAGATAGATAGGCATTTATGTCATTGAGCAGAGAGGTGACTTTGAATGCAATGGGAGGCAAGTTGGCCCTAAACAGTTCCTAGCTTGACTTTTCCCTTTAGCTTAGTGATTCAGGGGCCTCCAAGATTTATTTTACTTTTACATGTCTATGTAAGTATTTATATACACAAAAATGTGTGGCTGAATGTGGTGGCTCATGTCTATAATCCCAGCACTTTGGGAGGTTGAAGCAGGTGGATCACTTGAGGTCAGGAGTTGGAGACCAGCCTGGCCAACATGGTAAAACCCTGTCTCTACTAAAAAAAAAAAAAAAAAAAAAAAAAAATTAGCCAGGTATGGTGGTGGGCACCTCCAATCCCAGCTGCTCAGGAGGCTGAGGCAGGAGAATTGTTTGAACCTGGGAGGTGGAGGTTGTGGTGAGTCAAGATCCTGCCACTGCACTCTAGCCTGGGTGTCAGAGCAAGACTCCATCTCAAAAACCACAAAAAAACCATGTTTCCCCAAAGACATTTCCAAACAGGAAAAGACCCTGTAAAGGCAGTTGTTATGCAAAGAATATCACCTTCTAATGCCACCTCTGGGAGCTGACACCAGCCCATGACAAATCTGTATTGGATGATGTTTGATGGCCCATCTGGGATCTCTGCCTGGGTCACTGTCTTAACTGGCTAAATCCTTGCTGCTGGGGATTCATGTCCCAGCTTTTGAAAGCTGTAAACTGAGGCGCAAGAGGGCATACATTTCCAGGGGAGACTACTAGACTTCTAACAAGTGGGTGGAAAATGAGGGAGCAGAACTTGCAGGGAAGAGAAGAATGGCAGACAGCGACCAGAGTGACAGCTGGTTCGGGACCCTGGTTTGGGATCTAAAAAGGGTTGCAGATCAGATCTTCTCTGTACGCCTCAAGAATTTTCATCTGAATGGATCAGGCCAGCTCAAATGATATGGAGGCTTATTGTAAGGATTCAGGGAAAAGACCTGGGCTTTCTGAAAACCAGAACAGTATCAGACAGCCACTACCTCCCTCGCTGCATCTCTTGGCTCTGTTTCCCCAACTCAGTCAGACTTAGAATGTTAATATGTGCTTGTCTCTGTTTTCGAGTTAAGGAGGAAAATAGGGACACACGGGATTGGGCACAGAGCTTGCTGCTTTGTTCAGATAGCACAGGGACTGCGTTAAGAAGGAGGGTGCTAATCTAGGGTTAGGGTGCATGTCTAGTTCCAGGGTATGGAGAGGTGTAAAAGTGGCAGGAAGGGCAGAAAAAGTCTCTTGAGAAGAGCAGATTGAGTTGGTACCATCTTCTGTCTCCTAGGAGTGAAGGCTTCCTGTGCTCCTGATGAAAATGACACGGAAGTGCGGCACAATGAGAGATAGACAGCTAAAGAGGACACCAGGCCTCTGGGACCTCAGGCTCAGGGATGTGGAGAGGGAAAGCCCCTAGCTAGGGGGAAGGGGCTGGAAAGTGTGGAAGGGGCAAAGAGGAAGAAGGCTCTGCAGGGGCAGCTGGATAGGAATTTCATCTGGTAGCTAGGTTCCCAAGTAAGATCATACTCGAGTGTGAGTCCTAACTTGTCTATTTCCAGGCTCTGGGATACTGGTTGCCTAGATCCTCTATTCTCTTTTCTTCCAATCAGCTTCCCCTGGAAGACTCTTAATTTTGACTCAAACCTAATTTTACCTTCCTAAGGCTGGTGGTTGCTACGAAGCCAATACTGGCTTCACATGCAAGGTCTTGGACTTAGGAAGTCCAACACAATGCAGTGACCATTTCCATGGGTCTCTGTTTCTGTTACTGAGAAAGACAGATTGATTCATGCTGCCTGGGGCAGGAGTGTGTCCCTAGACTAGATGGAATTGGGCAAGGTACTGGGTCACCTGTGAGTCTGGGAGGGAGGCCCGTCTCAAAGAAAGGACCAGGCTGTAGATAGGGATCCCAGGGCATCTAGTAACACTTGGGTCTTGTCACTGGGTTGAAATCTGCTATTGCGCTTAACTCGTTGATCAAGTGCAGTTTTTTCTTGGTCCATCTATAAAGTGGGACTGAAAAGAAAGTGACAAAAGCCAGACATTCTCAGACCAGTGGACATTCTCTCAAAGGAGAATTGACGCATCTGGCAGCAAAATCACTGCATCATCCTCCTCCCCCTTCTCTCCCCATTCAGGCTACTACTTTAGACAGTCGCTGGAAGCAGGGGACATCATTTGTGTTTATTTGTTCACTTCAATAAGCTGGAGGGTGGATGTGGCATGAGGACCATTCTCTGTGTTGAGGAAGGAGGGGAACAAACACATTTTTGATTTCTTGGTCACCAGATTTTTCCATGACCAATGTCTACTAGAAAACTGCAAAAAGAGAAACAATAAAATATGTGTCTTCTCATTATAAGTTCAGAAACGATGTACAGAAACAGAAATCCCAGAACTCTGTGGGTGGGTCTGAGTAATTCTTGTGGCTGGTACAGGAAAGAGTAGGTAGCTTCTGTCCCCCTCTGTTTCTCTCTCTTTTGATATCTGTGTCTGTCTATATCTTTGTCTCTCTCTCTTTTTATACACCTCTCCTTCCCACCCCCCTCCCGCTTTCTCTGCACCTCTCTGTCCTTCCCTCTTTCTCTCCGTTGCTCTCCCGCCCTCTCTCTTTTGAGACAGGGTCTTGCTTGAGACACACACGACCCTCTCTCTGCCCAGGAAGTTAAAGGGGTGACCCCAGGCCAAAGCTTGCTGACTTTTTTTTTTTTTTTTTTTTGAGTTGGGGTTTTGATCTCGTCGCTCAGGCTGGAGTGCAATGGCGGTGGTCTTGGCTCACTGCAACCTGTACCTCCCAGGTTCAAGCGATTCTCCTCCCTTAGCCTCCCAAGTAGCTGAGATTACAGGTGCCCGCCACCACAGCCTGGCTGATTTTGTACTTTTAGTAGAGACGGTGTTTCACCATGTTGGCCAGACTAGTCTGGAGCTCCTGACCTCAGGTGATCTGTCCGCCTCGGCCTTGCTGACTTTTGATTAATGACATTGTAGAGCTTTAGGCATTGCTGACACTTTTGAGGCAGGAGCAGTTCCCTAGAGTTGATGGTGGCCAGCTTTAACATGCTCCTGCGCTGTACCTCGTGGAAAGGTGGACGAAGGCTTTGGGAATACTACGACGGTGATTCACATCCCAGTGTTTGCAGTAGGCATGCTCAGTTCAAGCTGAGGCTCCACTGCAACCCTGCTGAGTGCTGTGTTACCTTGGACAAATCCGTCAGCCTCTCTTTTGCTTCTTCACCTGTGAGACGGGGCTGAGGTTAAGACCTACTTCTTAATACCCTAGTAAGGATTCAGGGTGAAAATGCACAAGAAATACACAGTGGCTGGGTGTGGTGGCTCAGGCCGGTAATGTTAGTACTTTGGGAGGCCGAGGCAGGTGGATCACCTGAGGTCAGGAGTTCGAGACCAGCCTGGCCAACATGGCGATTCCCTGTATCTACTAAAAATACAAAAACTTATCCAGGTGTGGTGGCGGGTGCCTATAGTCCCAGCAACTTGGGAGGTTGAGTGACAGAGGGAGACTCTGTCTCAAAAAAAAAAAAATAAATAAAAAAAGTAGTGCATAGCATTGCAGATGCTCCCTAGATGCAAAGTGTTGCTGGAGTGGAAGGTGGAAGGTTAGGGACCCCCAGCATCCTCGGTCTGGGACGAGGAGTCCACACTGAGAAACATCCGGACCAGCACTGCCTCAGGAGTGTCAGCGGAGTCAAAGATGCAATTTAGCATTTGCTGGTAGCCACACTAAAAAGTAAAAAGAAACGGATGAGATTAACTGTAATAATAAACTTCCTTTGAGATAGTCTTAATATATTTACATTTTTAAACATAGCAATATATTTTATTTTTATATATTATTAAATGTCTTTCTAACATGTAATCGATATAAAAATAATGAAATATTAATATTAATGAGGTGTTTTATATTCATTTTCTTCATCATGTCCTGAAAACCCAGTGACTATTTTATGTATACAGCCCATTTCAATGAGACTAGCCACGGGGCTTTGTAGCCATATCGGGCTTGTGGCCATTGCGCAGGGCAATGCAGGTCTTGACCCCTGCAGGGGATGGGTGGAGAGACAGAGGGTACTGTGGCTAAACGTGGTGAGACATTCTGGGTTGTGCTAAACTGGGTTACTCAAGGTTAGAATTTTTTTCCTCAACCCGGCTTCCCCAACCTTTTTCTCTATTTGTTTGTTTTTTGCCAGGACTACAAGTCTGAAAATTCAACCCTCCTCCCCGGTGCCAAGAACAGCCTG
This sequence comes from Homo sapiens, assembly GCF_000001405.40. Classification (NCBI taxonomy): domain Eukaryota; kingdom Metazoa; phylum Chordata; class Mammalia; order Primates; family Hominidae; genus Homo; species Homo sapiens. The sequence continues at coordinate 5,598,953 of NC_000016.10, forward strand.
CAAGACTCCGTAAGTAGAAGCATTTTGCTGAACAGATTAGATTTTGAAACTACTTTTGCATCCTTTTCAGCCTCTTTGGTCTCCGTCATCAATCACCGGGAATGGTTTTTACCTGAAACTGATCTTGCTGGAGAATTAACTGGGTTTGAGGGGAATAAATTTTCCAGAGCACTTGCACAATTTCTATCACTTGGGCCGTATTCCCAGCCTCTGGTACATGGTGTGAGAGCTGTATTCTGTCCTCTAAAAAAGACCAGGCCCACTTGGTGGACAGATCCGGGGCACAGTGGTTGGTGACAAGGCTGCAAATTGGTCCCTCTGCGCCCTGGTGTGACGGCCCCAGGTTGTGGGAGCACGTGAAAGAAGTCGAATGTCATTGGGTTGTCTTCCTAGTAAGGACAGGAATGCTTACTGAGTGCTCTGGGGTCCTGCATCATGGCATTGGGCTTGGAGTCACTGGGGTACATAACCTGGGATGATGGCAGTGAATTCCCGTGTATCCCTCATCTGTCACCCACGAATAACAGTGGCCAGGAAGTTCCCTGCACAGATACTTCTGAAATCACTCATGCACCGCCTCTCGGCAATGCAATCATGGTGTGGTGCATTCCCCAAGTGTGACCTGTTTGTGTATTGTTGGTGACCTTGGGATGGCACCTTCAAGTGGCACACAGACTGTTGCTGTTTGGTATTCATCATTATGTATTTCATTTTATGATGATTTTCTCTTTATAGCCATCACTACTAGCTTTCCGTTAATGGCAGTGGTATGAAATTTCCTTCAAAAAAAGTTTAACATAAAGTGAGTTGACTCAAAGACAAAAAATGATATGGAAATAACAGAATGGAAATCGTAATGTAGGTATGGTGAGACATTGTGATAGTGGTAAGTGAAAGGCTGAGAGTAAATTCTTTTATCAAAAGATGTTCATGGCTAGGCCTAATGGATCACACCTATAATCCCAGCCCTTTGGGAGGCCAAGGTAAGAGGATTGCTTGAGCTCAGGAGTTGGAGACCAGCCTGGGCAACATCTCTACAAAAAATAAACAAATTAGGCCGGGCACGGTGGCTCACACCTGTAATCCCAGCACTTTGGGAGGCTGAGGTGGGCTGATCAAGAGGTCAGGAGATCGAGGCCATCCTGGATAACATGGTGAAACCCTGTCTCTACTAAAAATACAAAAAAAAAAAAAAAAAATTAGCCAGGCATGTTGTCAGGTGCCTGTAGTCCCAGCTACTCAGGAGGCTGAGGCAGGAGAATGGCATGAACCTGGGAGGCAGAGCTTGCAGTGAGCCAAGATCGCGCCACTGCACCCCAGCCTGGACGAGAGCGAGACTCCGTCTCAAAAAAATAAAAAAAAATAAAAAAAAAACAAAACCAAATTAGCTGAGCGTGGTGTTGTGCGCCTGCAGTCTCAGACACTCGGGAGGCTGAGGTGGGAGGATTGCTTGAGCCCAGGAGATGGAGGCTGCAGTGAGCTATGATTATGCCACTGCACTCCAGCCTGGGCAAACAGAGTAAGAGCCTGTCTCAAAAAAAAAAAAAAAAAAAAAAAGTCTGCTTGGCCCTGGGCCTTGTCCATGAGTGTGCTCTGTATTTGGAATGTTCCCTCCTCTTTATGCACCAAGCTATACTGACCCTTCGTGCAAACTGGAATCTCTAAGGGCCCACTGCTTGGTGTAAACTGGAATCTGTAAGGGCCCACTGCTTGGTGCTTGTCTATTCCCCCAAAATGACTTTCCAGGCTGGATTTTTATAATAAACCTCATTAATGGATCATCTGAAAGTAGTGTTTACCTGTGATGCCAAGAAGAAGAGGAAGAAGAGGAAAGGGATGATGAAAAATGACAACCACACACCCAACTTTCTTATCCCACTTTTCAGTTGACCAAATGTTTGATCTCTGTTCTTTTAACATCCTCTCAATGACTCCGTAAGGTGTGTGCTGTTTTTATCCTCATTTTGTGGCTTAGGAAACCAAAACTCAAAGTAATTGCCCATGGTCACACAGCCTGGACTTACCCTCTGACCCACCTGCATCAGTGGAGTACCAGGAGTCTTGCAGCTTCACATCAAGTCTGTGAAGTATTCTTCCCATTTTGGATAGATGGAAAAATGATGTATGAAGCACGAAAGTATTGTATTGGCTGTCTCTTGCCCGTGACAGTTACACTGAACTTAGTGACTTCTAACAGCAGACTTTCATTATCTCACAGTTTCTGTGGGTCAGGAATCTGGGAGTGGTTTGCTTGGTGGTCTGGCTCAGGGTCCCATGTGAGCTGGGGCTGCTGTCTTCTGAAGGCTGGAGTGGGGCTAGAGGGTCTGCACCCAAGGTGTTTCACCTAACAGCTATTGTCAGGAGGCCACAGAGCTGCTTGAGTGTCCTCAGGACATGGTGGATGGTGTCTGCCAGGGTGAGAGATCTGAGAGATTAAGAGCAAAGTAGAAGCCACATGGGAGGATGGGAGTGAATTCCTGTGTATCCCTTAGATGATGTAGCCTCAGATGTCCTATGCCATCGCCTCTGCTGTATTCGATCAGTCATACAACGGAATCCTCGGAAGACTGTGGGAGCATACCATACAAGGGCACGAGTACCTGGAGGAGGGATCATGCGGCCATCTTGGAGTTTGGCTACCACACTCTTCATAATCTTGAAATAACTATGTCTTGCAGTTCCACCCAGGATGCTTGTAATGTCACACTGAGTCTATGGAAAGAAAACAAAGATACTAAACACATTTTGCAGATGGGGAAATGAGGCGTGGAGCAGGAAAGTGACTTACTAAAGAGCCTTGATATTGGTGGCACAGAAGCTTTTGAAGGGAAAGTAGTTGAAAAAGTTAATTGCCCACAATAGGATCAAAGGTGTCTGAGATGGCTCCATTTCCCCAGTGCTTAGAATAGTGCCTATGCCTGCTAGATTTTTAGCTCTCTTGGGTTGGGTCAGGTATTTCCTGGCCCCCAACCTCACTCATGGAGGCTGATGTGTTCTCTCTAGTGGAAGGGATGATGGTATCCTGCTGGTTTCTCCTCTGGAGGCTGTAGAGTCTTCTAGGTTTGCAGAGATTCAGGCTGTGAGGATCCAGTTGCCTTAACCTGCTCCTCCATCTCCACCCTCTGACTGTAGCAGGGCTGCTGAGCTGGGTCCTTCTGGCTGGACTCTCACAGGTCAGCTTCCTGTCTTGCCTTGGAATGTGTCATGGGTAGAAGCAGTCATTTTGACGACCTCTACTGGAGGCAGCATATGTTGGCCTGACCATCTCTGGATGGCAGATTGCCTCACATTCACATGTGTCAAAATGTAAAATGTGTTCCATCTTTGGTCTAGCAATTACACTTCTGGGAATTTGCACCTTGGAGATGATTGTACAAGTGTGAGATGTGTTTGTATATTTATTAAGGAAATGATTGTAGTAGCACAAATAATTTTTAAAAAGATGTACCCTCAATATCCCTCAGTAAGGGATAGTTTAAGTCAATTGTGTATATCCATAAAGTCCAATTCCAAGCTGCTGCTAGGATTTTGTGGTGAGGATTTATGTTTATTGACTTGGAAAGATGCACATGACATACTGTTGAGTGAGAAATACAGCCTGTATTATATGATTCCAATTGTGTGCAAACTGTATTCATAGATCTCCCTTTCTCTGAGTGCAGAGAGATGTCAGAAAGGCAGATGGAAAGTTCAACTAAATTACTGGTTTTTGCATTTTCCTTTAGACCCTTTTATTTTTTTTCTATAGTGAGCAGTTATTTTCTTTGACAGTGGTAGTAATAATATAATATTAGTAATAATGTAGTTGTAATAAATGTAATATAGTAAGAAGCAGTAGTAGTAATAGTAGTAATAATGTAGTTGTAATAATAGTACTAATACTAGTAATAGTAATAACTATTTATGAAATTAAGCAGTGTGTTCTGGACTGTTAAGAAGGTTTTCCAGGAGAGCTGACGGCATATTCGTTCAAGTTTCATTCTCAGTTGTCATGGAAATGCTGTGTCGTTCCTCTAGAGGAGTGAAAATGGGGTTTACAAGACTAAATGTGGCCTTTAGATAGACTTTTTGGTCCTTGCCTGCTCCAGAATGCAGAACACTCCAGGCCATGGCATCTCACCGCCCTTCCTACTCACTGCCCTGTGGCACCAGTCAGCTCTACTTTTTCTGACCTCCACCTGTCTGCTTTGGCACTGTCTCCCAGAAAGGGCTTTCCCTGGATGCAGAAAGTATATTTTGCCAGCATTCAGAATAAAATAATCATAACAGCTAGCATCTTTGGGAACTAGGAAGTACCTGGCATTGCACCCACCATTTCACAGGCATTGTATCTTTCTCTACCCAGAGTAGTCCAAGGAGGGAAGACCTATTCAAACTATTTGTTTACAAATGGGGAAACTGAGGCTCAGAAGGGCATGGCTTGCACAGTCTCATAGCTAATGGGGAAGCAGTCTGAAATTCAGACCCAGATTGGGCTGTTTCCCATGCTGCATTGAGCTGAGGGGAAGGCCAGCAGGTTCTTTTTGGTGATGCAGGGAGCATTTCTGGGAACCTGTGTCTTAGATGCAAAGTTAATTCCAGAGTCATCAGGTAACATAAAAATTACACCTGGTCAATTACTTGTGCAAGTCCTGTTGGAGACCAATCTTTCTGCCCCTCGATACATCAAATACAGCCACACTTTCCTTGATTATTAGAAAAAATGAGGGTCTTTGCTTAGATGCCAGATGAAGTGATTGTGTTGAGGTGGCATGGTGGATGAATGAAACATACCTGTCTTTAAACATTGCAGTCATCTGTGATCATGTGGCCACAAGATGGAGAGGCACTTGGGAATGAGACTGAGAAACTTGCAGGTACATGTTTCCTTTTGGGTTCACTCTGGAGCAAATGCATCCTGAACTCGTGGAAGTGATGCTGTCCAGCGTAAGAACCGCACTATTATTTTTTCTCTCTTTCTTGATATAGTAGAAACTATACCCTCCTATACCCAAGGCAGACATTACTAAGCAATGGTGTCATTCTCCCCTCCTATACCCAAGGCAGACATTAGTAATCAATGGTGCCATTCCCCCCTTCTATACTCCAGGCAGACATTACTAATCAATGGTGTCACTCTCCCCTTCTATAGCCAAGGCAGTAAGCATAGTGCAGTTAAGTGGAAGAACCCAAATTTTTACTTTGTTCTGCCTCATTCCAGAGCCATATTTCAAAACCCCTGTATTTTTCTGTAATAAGAATACAAAAAATTCATTTTTTATGCGTGCTTAAGAGACTAAGTGGCTTCAAACAACACCTGTCTACCATCTTATTGCTTCGATTGGTCATAGGTCTGGACACAGCTGAACTGGGTTCTCTGCTTAGGTTCTCACCAAGCTGCAGGCAAGGGAGTTGGCAGGAGCTGGGAGTTTCATCTGGAGCTCAGGGTCCCTTTGCAATCTCACTGGTTGTTGGAATAATTCAATTTCTTGTGGCTGTAAGATGCAGGCCCTCAGACCCTAGAGGCCACCTACGGTTCCCTGCCACATGGCCCTCTCCACAGGCAGTTTACAATGTGACAGTGTGCTTTTCCCGGGAGTGTCTCTCTAGTGCATGTTAGCAACATGGAGTCTTGTGTACACATGTCCCAACATAATCATGGCATGCCCATCATCTTTTCTATTGGTTAGAAGTAACTCGTGGGTCCTGCCTACATGCTACTGATCATGGGGCCGCACTGAGGTCTGTCCATGCTGATACAGTCCCGAGATGAGTCTGGATTTCTCCTCTTCTTGGGGCCAAGTGTGCTGCTATTTCTCTCCAGCATTTTCCCTTTTTCTTGCAGAAAAGGGGCTCATGGGCCCCCCGGGAACCAGACCACTTCAGTGTTTGACCCTCCAGACTTCCTTATCCCCTAGTCATCTGGACGTCTTAACTTCCTGCCCATGTCACCTCTGTAGGACGTCCCCTGCTGCAGTCTCAGCAAATGAATATTTGATGGAATGCTGCCACCTTTTGGAATTTAGCAAAAGTGATCTGTGTTGTTCAGAGGGATGGAAGTGAAACTCCTGTTCCCTTCTCTACAGCCCGCGCACACACACCCACTCACCCGGCCTTCATTTCCGCTGAGCATTGACTCAGGTTTGACGCCAGTTTGAGGCAGGTTTGCTTGTCCTTTCTGCTCTGGCTTCTAGTTGCTGTGAGTGGTGACAGGCTTGTTCCCTGTTTTACCCTCCAAGGTGCAGCAGAATGTTGAAGAAAGAGATGGGGCAGATTGGACTGGATTTCATCTCTGATTCCACCACCAACTCTCCAAGGACTTTGGCTTCCGTGTCTGTGAAATGAGGGTTTCTCAGGCTCTTTCTGCTCTCACGTCCCTGATCCCAGGTTATGATGCCTGTAACCATGTATGGAGAGTAGGTAACACCTCATTTATAGACGGCAGTCAGATGGGAGTGGAGGTTAGACCCAGTCCCAGGTCAAGGATGCCAAGGCTATATCTGTACTCAGTAGGGAAGAGTGGTGCCATTGATGAGTAATAGGAGGGGACAGTGGTGCCACTGATGATTAATGATTAATGTCTGCCTTTGGTATAGGAGGGCAGAGTGGTGCCATTGATTAGTAATGTCTGCCATGGGTCTGGGAGGGGAGAGTGGTGCCACTGATGAGTAATGTCTGCCTTGGGTCTAGGAGGGGAGAGTGGTGCCATTGATGAGTAAGTCTGCCTTGAGTCTAGGAGGGGAGAGTGTTGTCCTTGATGAGTAATGTCTACCTCAGGTCTAGGAGGGGAGAGTAGGGCCATTAATTTAATAATGTCTGCCTTGGGTACAGGAATGGAGAGTGGCACCATTGATTAGTAATGTCTTCCTTGGTATAGGCGAGAAGAATGGTACTCTTGAATGGTAATGTCTGCCTTGAGAACAGGAGGGGAGAGTGCCAACACAGATGCTGTCCCAACTCCAGGTGTCTCATAGAGACTTGTAGCAGCCATCATGGAACCCATAAGCTGGCCCACCTTTCCCATTGCTTCTCTTTCTGTATATTCACAGGCATAGCTTTCCTCCCTCTTCCCTGGCATCCTTGGCATTTTCCTGTCTTACTCTCAATCTGAAGTTAGCAGAGGTTGCCCGTGGCATGTCTCTAGTTGACCCACTGTCTGATCAGTTCACTTGCTGAACCATGGCTCCTCCTTTCTGACATATTTCAGCAGCTCTCTGTGATGTGAGAGTAGAGAGCAAGGTCCTGTGATTTCATACTTGGCATTGGGATACTATCTGGTGGCTTCTCCAACCTTATCTGCTACTCTCCTCCCACCCTGTCCTCCAGTGTCCATGCCCCATGTTCCCTGACTGCAGACCTTTGCTTAGGCTATCCTTTCTGCTTGAATTCTCCCCTCAGATCTGACCATCCAAATTCCTAACCATTCATCCATAGTCATCAGAAAAGCCTTGTTCAGAGATTCTTCCTAAGTCACTCTGGTTGTGTTGCTCTCCAACCACAAAATGCCCTCCACCCTCATTCCTCCCTCCCTTCCTTCCTCACCTTCTCTCTCACTCACCTCCTCTCTCCCTCACTTCTCATCTCTTCCTCATTCCACCCCCAACTCCCTAAATTATATCACAGTCACTGCTAAGAGTTGGAAGGTATGCATATGAATAAGACTCAAACCGTGCCCTCAAAGCGCTTGCAGTCTGTGAGGAGGACACAGGATGAATAAGAAGTAGCCCATAACTGAGGCACAATCTGATTGCTTTGTAGTGTAGGAAGAATATAAAGTTGAGTGGTAGTGCAAACAGGTAGGGAAGGCTTCACAGAGGAGGTGATACATAGAGTCTTGAAGGACAAGTGGGAGTCGTAACACTGATTGCAGGAGATGGGGGGCTCCAGGTAGAAGGAACAGAATCATCAGAAACATGGGCATGAACTTGGGTCTGTTATAGTCTGGAAGAGGGGATGTCAGGGGTTGGCGGGAGAAGCAGGCATGCCCCAGTGCTCCATAGTAGTTAAGAAATTGAGTTTTTGCTGTGATCAGTGTGTGGCCACTGAAAGGTTTTAAGCTGGTGATTGTCTGGATCCAATTTGCATTTTAGAAAGATCTCCCTGGGACCTGGCTTAGGAGGCTGGGAGGCCTTGGTCCCTCCTGGGCATTTTTCACTATGTCTCCTCACTGGAGTGGGCTGGGGAGCAGAGGGGTCACCAGCTCTACGCCCAGACTCCTGGGCACGCTCTACTTCTCACTGCTAATGTGCCTTCTACAGCGTCTGCTCGGCAGAAAACCAAGTGTGCGGACGAGATAACGGCATTAGGAGCAGGAGGACAAAGCTGATACTCGGGGCAGTGAGACATGGAGGCTTAAATTCTTTCCCTTCAAAATATCACCCGTGATGTTGGCCACATGGTTCTGATTAAAGGAAGTTGGACTTGCTGGGACGAAATGCTAAGTGGCACTCTTGACCTCAGGCACAGATAGCGCAGGGTCTGCCATTTCTCTCTGTTGCTTTCTGCCAGATAAGAGGGGAAATCTATTTAGTGATTTCCCCTAATCTCTGAGGATGGCTGTGCCCCCTGGAGTCACGGTGATGATACTGACGGGTTTCAATGTTGGCATTGAACTACGGATGGGGAGTGAAGGTCTTTTCTCCTTCCTATCTCCTGATGGGGTGCCTAAAATACAGTAGGTGCTTAGTAAGGCTTGTTCTTGAAATGAGTGAATGAAAGTGTCAGCTCTGTTGATGTAAACTGTCCCAGAAGGCTCCCTCATACTTCTCTCTGTCGACACTACCTGCCCCAATCTGAGGTCACTGCCTTTCCAATTCCACTGGGCTCATTTCTGAAATCTCTATAAATGGACCCCTGCAGTCCATATGTATCTGCCTTCTTTCCCTCAAAAGCATCCCTAGGAGAATCACCTATGCTACTGTATGTACCACTAGCTACTCTTTTTAATGGCTGGACAGGATTTCATTGTATGATTGGACCATAATGTATCCATTCTCCCATGGATGAGCATTGGGGTTGTTTGTAGTTTGGGGCTATGTGCACTCGTGCACCTGTTGTTTGGTGGACGCAGGTACTCATTTATCTGGGGAATATACCTAGGAGTGTGTCTCTTTGGTCACAGAATAGGCACATGTTTAATTTGAGTAGCTACTGTCCAAAAGTTGCCCAAAGTGGTTGTTCCAGTGCTCATTCCCACCAGCAATGACTATGAATCCCACTTGGAAGCTCATTGTCTGAGCGCATACCTTGTGAATTGTCATAACACCCCGGGGGCAAGTGTGGTTGTTGTTACCCTCACTTCACGGAGGGGCACTTTGAGTCTCAGCTGACTGGGTCAGTGTTGCAAGGGTGTAGGACGGGAACCAAGGGCTCTGTTTCCGTAACAGCAGCAGCCGTCTGAGCAGTCATAGCATACCATGATTCTGGGAAGCTCTGGAGGTGTGAGGGTCCACACGTGGCCACATGATGAAGGGGCAATATGGCAAAGTGGTTCTGTGCATGGCTGGGAACCAGGCTGCAGCCTTGAGTCCCAGCCCTGCCACCTATTTGTTGTGGAAGCCTGGGCCAGTGGCTTGACTTCTCTGTGCCTGTAACTTTTCTCATCTGTAACACAGAGTTGATAAATCAAATTGTTATGAGGATTCAACGAGTTAATATAGGTAAAGCCTTAGGAGAGAGCACTAGAGAAGGTTTAATTATTATTATTGATTATTTCAGCTCTGTCCAGTTTGAGTGCTGGAGTTGTCTGTTACAAGGCTGCAAGCCCTGTAATAGTTGTAGGGCTAACAGTTGTGAGATACACTGCTTAACTCTCCCTCCCATCCCCTATCCTCTGAAGGTAGCTGGCTTTCCTGATGTAATCCAGAATCTAATTTTGAGCCCAGATCATTGGTTTCACAAAGCCTGTTGGGGTGCAGTCCGAGTGGTCCCTTCTGAAATGCATCTCTGCTCTTTAGTGCCCCTAATAAGAAATGCAGTCTGTTTGCTCAAGGTTTTACCCTTTACAGAAATGGTCAGACTCCTTTCTTCCCCCCATATCCATTTCGCCAATCCATGCCAAATATTGATGTTTGATAACTACAAATATCACACATAGCTTTTAATCAAGAAAGACGGAAGGAAGATAAGGGGAGCAAATACATCTCTGTAAGGGAGTTCAATATTCTCAGTAATGATTTTGCTAAGAAATAAAATTATTGGAGGGAGGGGAGAGGGCTCTGTGCTGTGTATCGAAATGGGCCGAACCACCTGAAACTACCTGGGGCCTTCTTCCAAACTCCCATGGCTTGCTTTTAAGTTATGTATTCATTACCCGAATTGGTAGATGCTATCTCATTTTACAGAAAGGAGAGCTGTATTTTAAATGTGAATTTCCAATACGCCATCAGTCTATCCCATTACCAGCAAAACCCATCCAGCCATCTTACATTCTCTGTCGCTTGTCTGAGACAGGAGTGGAATGTGAATGCCTGTCACCTTCCACTCTAGGGAAAAGTCAGCCTGCTGGGGGCAGAGGAGAGGTCAGCTTCCAGGCTTTTATTCAAGAAGGCTATTTCCTTCTTGTGGAGACAAAGGGCAGGATCGTCCTGGAGTAGTGGCAGGTGTCAAGCATGTAGAGATGTCCACCGTGTCAGCGAAGGTTGACCCAGCGTCACTCCAGGCCAGAGCCTGGCCAAACCAAATGGGACCCTGTGACCTGCATCCAAACCCTCATGTACAAGGCAGCCCCCAGTGTCCTGGTACCTTTCAGCTTGACTGTTTTTCATGGTCCTCATGCCTTGTGTCCTTTACACATGCTGTTCCCCTGACCACAAATGCTTTTCCCTAAGACTTGTTAATCTCATAATATTTTTTATCGGCCACCTACTTTGTGCAGAGCACTGTTCTAGGAGCTGCGGAGAGGGTAGGTGGGGGTGGGGAGCAGAGGACTGTGCAGAGACGGTGGGGGCGGGGTGGAAGACAAAACCGACATCAGCATAATTTGTACTCTTACCCTCTTTGAGTTTTTATTCAAATATTATCTTCTCTGCAACGTTTTCCTTGATGGCTTTATTTAAATGTCTAAGCCCTGCTTAGCACCCTTCTTCTTTTCTTTGCTTTGATGCTCACACAACACTGAGCACCACCCTCTGACATCCAGTGTATTTTACTTACTTGCCGGCTTGCTGTACCTCCTGCCACTGGGAGGGCAGGGAGTTTTCTGAATTTCCAATATGCCAGCAGTCTGTCCCGTTACCATCAGTCTGTCCCATTACCAGTGTTTTGCTCATTCTTGTATCCCCAGCACCTATGCCTGTGCCTGCATGTAATAGACTCTCAGTCGCTACTTGTTGAAAGACTAGTGAGCAGCTGCTGTACACTCGCTATGTACTAGGCCCATGTTTTATTCACATAGCTTCATGTGATTGTCAGAGTGTCTCACGGGGTTCTGTTGTCCCCGTTTAACAGAAGAGCAAGTTGATGCCTCGTGAGGCAAGGGAACTTCCCAAGGTCACACAGCTAGGAAAGGGAACAGGGACATGGGTATAGGCAGGATGGCGGTTTACCTAAAACTGTGGTCTTGGCAGGGGTATTAAAAACACCGCAACGTACAAAGTTGAAAAGTAAAAATTAGGCTGGGCACAGTGGCTTATGCTGTTAATCCCAGTGCTTTGGAGGTTGAGGCAGGAGGTCGGTTGAGGCAGGAGGTCAGTTCAGGCCAGGAGTTTGAGATCAGCCTGGGAAACATAGGGATACTTTGTCTCTATAAAATCAGAAAATTAAAAAAAAATTATTTTAAAATTAAAAATTTAATGGCGTGGTAGCACATGTCTTCAGTCCCAGCCACTCCAGAGGCTGAGGTGGGAGGATCGCTTGAGCCCAGGAGATTGAGGCTGCAGTAAGCTATGATTGCAGCACTGCACTCCAGCCTGGGTGACAGAGCAAGACCCTATCTGTCAAAAGATAAAAATAAAAATAAATAAAAATCAGATCCCTCTAGTCCCTGGCTGGCTGAGCATTTTAACACTCAAGTTGTGGGCTGTGGTTCTCAGGCTAAAATCCAAACTCCTTGACACAGCTTACAGAGCATCCTACGATGTGGCCTCTGTGTCTCTCTACAGCCTAGTCTGTTTCCATATCTCCCCAGCAGACAACTAGAGCATCATCCACATCCTTAGGTGTGGCGTGCTTTCTCTCTGACCCACATGTGCTCTGTTGGCAACATCTCCATCCCGAATCCACCCAGTCTCCCTGCCTGCCTTCCCCTGAAATCTTGGGTTCATCTTTAAGGTACTGCCTTACCTAGGGCAGGTTCTTACTCACCTGTCTGGGTTGGTTTGGCAGTGGGTTTCATGGACCCCAGGCTCCACTTACTTCCTTCATCAAAGTGTCGATCACTCTGTATTCTAATTTGTTCTCTCATCTCCTTTCTCATTTCTGACACATCTAGTTTGACAGCTCACTGCAACCCCAGCATCACCTCAGTGCCTGCACGTGTAAGAGCACAGAAAGCCTAACAGAACGAATGAATGACTTGGTGGACCTGCCTCCCTACCAGCGTTGTTGCTGCTGTGTTCCTTGGCTCCTACACTGGCTTTTCTCTTCTTCAGTAGCCTTTTGCTTTGCACTTCTGTGTACTCAACTTCTTTCAACTGATAAAAATGATCAATTTTATAAACCAGTATCAACAAAAACTAGTGATTCACCTATCCATCTGTTCATCCAGCCACTCTCCTATCCATCCCTCCATCTACTCTCTCATCCATCCATCCACCCACTCCCCCACCCACTCTCCCATCCATCCATCTATCCATCCATCCATCCATCCATCCATCCATTCACCCTTCTTTTCAGTCTCCCATCCATCCATCCATCCATCCATCCACCCACCCACCCACCCACCCACCCATTCATCTACTCTCCCGTCACTCAGCTACTGTGTGCAGTAGCTCATATCTGTAATCCCTGCACTTTGTAAGGCCAAGGGAGGAGGATCACTTGAGGACAGCAATTAGACAAGCCTGGGCAACACAGTGAGACCCCATCTGTACAAAAAATAAAATAAAAACAGCCAGATGTAGTAGCATGCACCTGTGGTCCCAGCTACTTGGGAGGCTGGGATGGAAATATTACTTGATCCATCTCTCCATCTAGTCTCCCACCCACCTACTCTCCCATCCATCCCATTCATTCATTCATTCATTCATCTACTCTCCCATAATTCCTCCCATCCATACGTCTACTCTCCCACCTACCCACCCATTCTCCCACCCATCCATTCATTCATTCTCCCCTCCACTCTCATTCATTCATTCATTCATCTACTCTCCCATCAGTTCTCCCATCCATCCATCTACTCTCCCAGTCACTCTCCCATCCACCCACCCACCCACTTTCCCATCTACTCATCCACCTATCCACCACTCCATCTGTCCATCCATGCAATATTGGGAAGCCACCATGTGCCAGGTCCTGTGAAGCTGCTAAGGTTATAGTGACAAGCCAAGACACACTAGGACCCCCCCTCTGTGGGTCTACAGTTTAGTGAGACAGAGATTGAGCAGATACTCATACAAAAGTATATCTACAAATGAAGAAAAGTGCTTCACAAGGTAGATAATGGCTCTGAGAAAGGTTTTTATAATAAAACCGGGCATACATGGTGGATATGTCTGGGGTTTTCCCAGGAGGAGGCTCATGAACTGAGCTCTCAAGGCCACAGGGCAAGGTCAGGCGAGAATAGAGCATTCTAGACAGAGGAAATAGCATGTGCAAAGGCCCTGTGGCCAGAGGAGTTTTAGGAACTGCTAAAAGATAGCCAGAGTAGCTGGAGTTCAGGGAGGAGGAGCATTCCAGTGAGGCCAGGCCGTGGTGAGGATGCTGGTCTTTAACCCTAAGCATTGAAGACCTCAGTGCCACCATGAGGCAGAAACCTAGCTAGGCACTCATCATTTGGGGTTCTTTTTCCTAACGAGGTCTCCTAAATTGACCTAGGCTCATGTCCCACAAAACATGGATCTGGCCCCTTCCTGGCACATAGAAAGGACTCAATCCACAGTGGCTGACCAGCAAGGTAGAATGGACTCCATTTTACAGATGACAAGACTGAAGCTCAGGGGCCCATGAGAATGGGACTAAGGCTAGGGGAGGGCCCTGATGGGTTTTCAAGGAGGTGATTGGATTTGCATTTTGTGAAGATTCCTCAGGTTTCTTTGAGGGGCCTCAGTTGGAGCAGGGGACAGAATCACAGGGGTACCAAGACGGGAAACAGTTGTTGACATGGACAAATCTTCCTTCAGGCTTCAGAAGAACCTCCCCACACCCAACATGTGGGTGGACATCCTTCAAGGCTCAGAACACACATATGCCTGCAGTATCTCTGCATTTGCACAGTTGAGGGTGGGTTCCCCAATATAAGCCTACCAGGTTCTTGACAGAGGGAGGGTAAGTAGACATATTTCTGTACGTGGGTGCAACGTTACCCTCACCTGCATCCCATATATGTAGGGATCTTCCACTTGCTTTCATATCTGCTGATGGCACAGGGTTGCAGCCCTGATTATGGCTCCCAGAAGCTGAGATTTGTGGTCTAAAACTGAGGGCAGAGGGGAATGAGAGAGTCATACTCCAAGTGAAATTTTCCTTTCTCATTATCTGTGAGCTGATAAAGACGCCAGCATGTCAAGTTCATTTGATGGACAAATTCAGACCATCATTTCATGGGGGGAGGCAGTCCAGTACCAGGACCATATTGGGGTCATGTTTATGGGGCCAGGTTCCATCACTGAGTGGAAAGCTCACAAAAGCAGTTGATGCCTGAGGGCTTCTTTGCACATCTCCAAGTTCAAGGTTCTGTCATCCTTGTTTAACTCCCCAAATCAAGGTAGATGGGGTTTTTTTTTTTCTTCCCCAGCCAGCATCCGAAGACTGGATTCTATGGATGAGCATAGAAGTCCCTCTTTCTTCTCTGACTCCTTCATCTCCCATTTTCCTCCTGTAGAATTTCCTTGGACTTTTTTTTTTTTTTTATCCTGATGCTGCCTTTCAGGGTCCCAGCTCTTTGACCTAGGTCAGTTCCCTCCACTTCTCTCAATGGGGCTGTGGAGGGAGTGTCAAATTCTGTAGGAACACTGAGAAAGAAGCCCAGCCTTTTTCTCGCTAAGAATGGCCACCTTTTTATAGGAATGATGCCCACCTGGTCTCAATTCTGTCTTAGACTCCCTCTAGGTTGGGAGGTGCGGATCAGGTGGTTGGGGGATCCTGTCCTGTCACGTACAGCCTGAGCCTGACATTTTTTTTCCCTCTACAACTGAGACTGCAGACATTTTTAAACTAGAAGAAAACAAATTTGCACATGGACTAAACAGAAACTTCATTTCCCCCTAGGTCTCTCCTGGGGACTACGCAGGAGGGCTCTGGGCCAGTGGGGAGAATCTTCAATGCAACTTTCATCTCTGGTTATCCTCCCTGAGTCCATGGGGATTTCATAAACATTATGTTGCTCAATTTCAGTTCACTGGCACAGAGTCGTTCCAATGTGTTCTAATTACTCAGACATAAATGATTTCTGGTGCACTTTAAATGACTTCGGATGCACTTTTGTCTATCAGGCTCCTGATTTGTCACTCCCTGGGACTTTGATGTTGTGCTTCATTGATTTCTTTTAAGGCTCTTCAGAGGTATATTTATTATAGACGATACATCTCCCTGTTCATTTGCTCCATAATTCTGAAACACTTTCATTTTCCAGTTGTCAACATTCCACCCCTACCCCCTGTACATATCTTGTACTAGCAGGAAGAAGACACATTTATTGAGTGCTTACTGAATGCAAATCTAGATGCGAGATGCTATGGGTGAGTGAAGGTGCACAAATTAAAAACAAAAACATCCGACATTCATTCCTGGCCAAGATAATATGCTTATCGTTTAGAGAAAAGGACAGTGCACACCCGTTGACTTACATGACATGACAGAGGAGGAAGAACACAGGGAGGGTGGGGGTTTGGTCCATGAGCTGTGAGAGGTACTTGGAAGAGAAGAGTGATGAGAGATGGGTGGGGTCAGAGCTTTGCACCCAGATTTCCATGATGATGGGCAACAGAAAGTGTGTAGCATTCAGCTCAGTTTTGTTTGTTTTTGAGATGGGGTTTCACTCTGTTACCCAGGCTGGCATGCAGTGGTGCCGTCATAGCTCACTGCAGCCTTGAACTCCTGGGCTTAAGTGATATTTCCATCCCAGCCTCCCAAGTAGCTGGAACTACAGGTGCATGCTCCCACATCTGGCTATCTTCATTTTTGTACAGATGGAGTCTCACTATGTTGCCCAGGCTTGTCTCTAATTCCTGGACTCAATTGATCCTCCTGCCTTGGCCTCCCAAAGCACTGGGATTACAGAAAGGAGCCACTGCACCCAGCAGCTGAGTTTTTTTGACAAGCTAAGAGGCAAAGCTGCCACTTTTTGATGTGTGCTTGATAGACCCTAGAGCTTCGAAGAGTGAGTGGTGTGTACTGCTCAAGTCTACTTGCTCTGAAGACAGCTACGTTTATCTGAACAGGCACCTTATTAGCCTTTAGCCTCTCCCCATAGACATGAGGACAGGAGGGACATTGGAGTGGTATTTTGACAAGGCAGCTGGCTGCCAATCTGAAGATGTGGTGGGAGTCCCAGCTCCGTCCTGTTCCCATAGGTCCTTGAACCTCAGTCTTGTCATCTGCAAAATGGAGGCCATCCTATCTTGCTGGTCAGCCACTTTGGATCGAGCCGTTTCTATGTGTCAAGAAGGGGGCAGATCCACATTTTGTGGGACCTGAGCCTGGATCAACTTGGGGGACCCCGTTAGGAAAAAGGACCCCAGATGATGAGTGCCTATCTGGGTTTCTGCCCCATGATGGGAGCCCACCAGTGTTAGCAATGGGGTCTTCAATGCTTTTTTAAGCTGTGGACTTTTTTTTCTCCCCAATTATTTGTGGCACCGCTGTTCAGTGCTTAAAACGGGTCACAGTGGAGCTTCTGTTAATGGGAACGCTTCTTTCCCCTCTGAAGTTGGGCTGAGAGGCGTCTCCAGGAAGCATGGTTTGAACCTGAACCGTCTGTTGTGGTCAAGATCAGATCTGAACCCAGAGCTCTTCTCCACTCCCCTCCCTGCTCCGGGGTCTCTCTGGGAGCACCTGTAAGCTAAGCCCTGACCTGCAAGGGACAGTGTGGACCTACTTCGCGGGCAGACCGTGGTGACAGTTCTTGCTCCCTCAGGCTGCTCTGCCGTCCCCTGGGCTGGCTTAACGGTCCATCTGTGAAAGGACCTTCGGCTTCCTGGAACCCCAGCACCACCCTCTGCCTCCCGCGGCTGGAAACCTGGGAAGGAAGTAAGGCGCACACGCCACCTGGTGGCCGCTTCCTGGAGCTGTCACTCCGGACACCGCCCCTGGGAGGGAGCTCATCTCTGGGCCCAGCTTGTCTGCGGTGCTGGCCAGCGAGGTCCAGGCGCTGCTCCTGAGAGCCTTGGCTCAGAGGAGCATCTGGCTTGTTAGAGCAGGAGGTTCTTGTGTCACAGTGCCCTTGATTTTCCCACTGAACTGCTGCCACCGTGAATACGAGCTCTTGGAGATGCCGCTGTCTGCCCTCTTCCCTTTCCTCTCCCTCCTCCTCCTCCTCTTCCCTCTCCCTTCTCCCTCTCCCTCCTCCTCCTCCTCTTCCCTCTCTCTTCTCTCTCTCCCTCCTCCTCCTCACCCCTCCTCCTCTGCTTCCTCCCCCTCATCCTCCCCTTTATCTTCCGCCCCCTGATTGCTATTGTCCTCCCCACCTCTTTCTGTCCCTCTCCTCCTCCTGTCCCTTCTCCCTCTCCTGTCCCCCCTTCTCCCCTATTTTCCTCCTCTTTCTCCTTCTCCTCTCTTCCCCCTCCTCCATCCTCTTCTTTCTCTTTCTTCTCCTCCTTTGCTCCTCATCCTCCCTTCCCCACCCCTCCCCTTCCTCCTTTCTCCCCTGCCTCTTTTTCCACCCCCTCACTTTGGCTCAGCCAGCTTTCTTTTAATTAAATAGATACTTATTGGCAGTACCCTTATTTGTTCCAAGTGAAACTGGCCGGAGGGCAGTTCCTGAGTTAGAGACTAGATCATGAGTCCCAGCTGCGGTTGCTGAGGGGTTGAAATTTCCCTCAGATCTAGCCATCCATTCCCTCCCTCACTCCCTCCTTCCCTCCCTCCGTCCGTCCCTCCCTCCCTCATTCATTCATGAATGCACGCACAGATTTAACAAATGCATTTTGAGGCTCTGTGCCAACATCCCCTCACTTCCGACTTTGACCCCAGAATCTTTAGCACATGGCATTCCTCTAACTTCCCTACCTGGAAAGCTCCCATTCACTTTGAAGACTCAGGTTCAATGCTGCCCTTCGGACTAGCCTGTGAGCACTTATTCCTGCTACCCATGGTCCTGAGGTCTTCACGAGTTTTCTGGCTCAGTCTTCTCTGGTTCCCATCCCGGGTGCTCAGCAGTCAAAGCCAGCCTTGCACTGAGTCAAAAACCCCAGAAGCTGTTTCTGTCTGCCTGGGACTCTGTGTTCTCCAATCATCAGGCTTGTTCCCCTCCTTTAAGGGTGTCCTGTACACAGTAGCGTCCATTGAAGTCCAGAAATGCTAGCACAGCATTGTGGAAAAAGACAGGTGCATATGTCTTCTGCATTCTTTGGGTTTTGCCAATCTTACTGTAATCAAGCTGTCTTTATTCTCAGGTATTCAGTGAAAATGAGTTGTTTCTGAGGACTATACCCTGGAAAGCTAGTGTTTTTTCTGTCTTGTCTTTATTTCTGTCTCTCCATATTCCTAAGCTAATGCTGTGAACGGGAAAAACAAGGTTTGCTCTTTGATTTGTTGCAGAGCCCAGGTCAGGTAGCCATTTATATTTAATAGAAGAATAGATGATGAGAGTGTCTCTCCTTCCCCTAGGCAGCATTTCCGAAGCTTATCTGTGACATTATGAAAGGTAACACTCTTACCTGGTATCTACTAGGAGGGTATTGTTCAAGCCATCAGTCTTTTGTTCAAGCTCTGGCATGCAGAAGGTACCCAGGAAATGGTTGGCAATTTTAAACATTGAGGTATAACTTACATAACATAAATTATACAAATCTGGAGTACACAACATTATGAATTTTTACATCTGTGTATCTCTGGATTACTACCACTCAGATCATGATGTAAAGTATTTTTATCTCCTGGAAGTCTTCCCACTGCCCGTCCACCAACAGCTCTCCCTACTCTGTCGTCTCTTTCCTTTGGTAAATTTTGTTCGTTTCTGAGAGTCATAGAGATGGAATCCTGACCTGATGCATACATCTGTTTCCTTTGCTGTGATGATGGCTGTGTGGGTATATGCATGAGTCCAGATTCATCCAATCATATACAGGAGATGGCTGCAGATTTTTTTTTTTTGTGTGTGTGTGTGTGTGACAGAGTCTCGCTCTGTCACCCAGGCTGCAGTGCAGTGGTGCGATCTCGGCTCACTGCAAGCTCCACCCACCAGGTTCACGCCATTCTCCTGCCTCAGCCTCCCAAGTAGCTGGGACTACAGGCGCCCGCCATCACGCCCAGCTAATTTTTTGTATTTTTAGTAGAGTTGGGGTTTCACCGTGTTAGCCAGGATGTTCTCGATCTCCTGACCCTGTGATCTGCCTGCCTCGGCCTCCCAAAGTGCTGGGATCACAGGCGTGAGCCATCGCGCCCAGCTGGCTGTAGATTTTTGTACGTAAGTTATACCTCAAAAAAACTGTTTTAAAAGAAAGAAATGCCCATGAACACCATCCATCCCTTTGAAATTCTCATTTTGGGTCAGGTTGAAGCCAGCTCAGGAAGGTAAATCAGGTTAGTTTCTGTTGGAGAGTTTGCTTTTACTTAAAAGCGTTAAAAGGCAACCTTCAATGTGGATTTTGCTGTGTCTGGATACCAGTGGGTGTCAGATCCAGAACCCAGCTTCCTGTTGCTGCTGGGCAGGATCATGGGATCTGGAGAGCTCCAGGTAGGGCAGATGACTTTGGGTAGCTGATGGGTGCCGGCTCCTCCCAGCCGGCATCCTTTGCTCCGGTGGTTCCAGGGAGGCCAGGCTATTTAGGAGGAATGTGGCTGTTGCCCCTGGACAGGACAAAATGTCTAGTCTATTCACAGTCACCGTAGTTTGTGCCTGATTTGCAGTGCTGGAGGAACCACATGGGAAAATTGTCCATTTTACAAGACGTGCAAAGGGGTTACCTGTGAGGCCTCAGCTCTAAGGCTATGTTCGTTCTTAAAAAACAGTGTTGGCCCCACTCTCTTCCCACTAAGGAGTGTGTAGGGTGCTGACAGACAGGCCTCCCGGGCTCCAGCCACCTTGGCTGCAAACATCATTATGGAACTCTGACCCTGGAACGGAGGGCCTGAGTTCCTTGGCAGATAGTGCCCAGGGACGGGCATGTTCAACATGAGATTAACAGGCTCTGCAGGGAGGCCCAGAGACCTGGGGCTGGGACTAGATTGCTTTGCAAGGTAAGCTCTTGATTTTATGACCTCATCTCTCGCCCCAACCCCGAGACTTCACTCACAATCCAGGTTGTTAACAGGGAGCGATCTTATCCTGTTAGCCTTTCACTCGAGAGAAATTGGATTGAAAATCTCGCCAGACTGCCTCCGGACAGAGCTTTTCCATCAGCTGTGAGTGACCCTTGGGCAGGGAGAGTTGCTTTCCTTTACACACCATTAGCAGGTGGCAAAGAGGGGGGCCTGCATCTCTGCCCAGCTGTTGCCAGAAACTCTTGGAGAGGAGGCTCCACTGGGAGCTTGCTGCCTGACCCATGGTGAGACCTGAGTAAGCTGCTTCCCTTCTCTGTACTTGGGCTCACCTCTCTCTTCCATGTCCTTTCACTGAGTTTCCGTGAAGGCAGTCAGACCTGGGCAGGTCCCCTGGGGACATGGGGGCTCACTTCCTTCTCCTGGTGGCCTAAGACTTTAAAGAAGAATATGCTGACTTTCTACAGCCATTATTTTTTACTGTGCTCTTTCTGTTTTATTAAATCTCTGTGCAGATAGTAAATTCCTAGGATGCATTAAAAAAAAAAAAAAGAAAGAAAGAAAAGTCTCATGAAACTCCAAGACCTGAACTCATGACACCTTCTGGGTTGGCGCCTACTGTTTCATTGGCCTCGCTTACTTTCCTAGTTCAGCAGAAAGTGAACATTACAGTCAGGTGGCAATGTTTCTGAGTAGGCTGCTGGAACCCGAGGAGCTTTGCGTACATTTTTGCGCCATGCTCACATTATCCCAGGATCATCAGTCCTGGCATTAGCCCCGTTTTGTGGAGGGGAAAGCTGAGCTTAGGGATCCACCCAACACATGCCATCTGAATTGAGATCTCACTCTCTTCCCCACATTGCCGCATCTCTACACATGGTGTGGAGAGACATCACATTGTTGCCTCTATACAGCATAGCAAGATCTGAGGTTGGCTGAGTACTTTCTGTTCTCAGTGCTGCGTTGGTTGGCTGGGGCTGCCATCACAGATCACCCAGACTGATCGCTTCAACCGGAGAAATGCATTTTCTCATAGTTCTGGAGGCCAGAAACCTGAGGTCAGTGTGTCAGCGGGGTTGGTTTCTTCTGAGACCTGTCTCCTTGGCTTGCAGATGGTCATCTTCTTGCTGTGTCTTCTTACGGCTTTCTCTTTGTGTCAGTATCCTCACCTCTTCCCATAAGAACAACAGTCTTGTTGGATTAGGGCCACCCTAATCTCATTTTATTTACTCATTTATTTTTTTGGTAGAGATAGGGTCTCACTCTGTCTCCCAGGCCAGAGAGCAGTGGCAGGATCATGGCTTGCTGCAGCCTTGACTTCCTGGGCTCAAGTGATCCTCCCACCTCAGCTGCTTGAGTAGCCGGGACCACAGGCATGTGCCACTACACTCAATTTTTATTTGTATTTTTTTGAGACAGAGTTGCTCTGTCCCCCAGGCTGGAGTGCAGGAGTGTGATCTCGGCTCACTGCAAGTTCCGCCTCCCGGGTTCCTGCCATTCTCCTGCCTCAGCCTCCCAAGTAGCTGGGACTATAGACGCTCGCCACCACGCCCAGCTAATTTTTTGTATTATCAGTAGAGGCGAGGTTTCACCATGTTGGCCAGGATGGTCTTGATGTCCTGACCTCGTGATCCGCCTGCCTTGGCCTCCCAAAGTGCTGGGATTACAGGCGTTGAGCCAATGCGCCCAGCCTGCTAATTTTTATTTTTTGTAGAAATGGGGTTTTCCTGTGTTTCCCGGCTGGTCTCAAACTCTTCGGCTCATGGGATCTTCCCACCTCAACCTCCCAAAGTACTGGGATAACAGGCATGAGCCACCATGCCTGGCTTTCCTTTCAGCTGAATTAACCTTTTTAAAGACCTGTCTCCAAATAGGTCTCACAAATATGTCTCACATTCTGAGTTGCTGGGGGTCATGATTTCCACAAGTGAATTTTGGATGCACCCAGTGTAGGCCGTCAAAAGTGCTTTGCATGTTATTTAATTTGTGTCGTCTTGACAATGCTCTGTGAAGTAGATACCGCTGTCAGTCATTGATGATGGTTGACCTATCAACCACGGATGAATTGAGGAAATGGAGGGAGGGAGGGCAGGAGGGTTTACATAGAAGGTGGGATGTAGGCATCAGCGGGATTCAGTGCTGACTTCCCCTACGGAAAATACTATAAGTGAAGATTAATTCTTAAACCCCTATCAACTCACTGTGTCATGGAATGATTTAGGAAGACGAGGATATGGAAAATACCAGGATGGTGAGGATTCTCTCCAGGCAAAAGATGTTGCCCCACCCTTATTAAGAATGGAGTCATTAACTCCAAAAGGGCAGTGAAACCATCATGTGGGTACTGTATTTGGATTTGGTGCAAATGTGTATCTATCCAGGTACATATTTTTGCACCCAAGCCTTCGTGTTTCAATGCTTAGGGGTAGTAGTGATGATGTCCATACCAGGAAAACATCTTTCAGTGCTCCAAGCAGCTGCCAAAAGCCACTGGCCCAGCATCTCCTGGGAAGAATGAGGTTCTTGTAACAACACAGACCTTGGCCACGTGTCAAAAGTAAACATGGCTATGGGGAAATGGAATTATCTGGGTTATCTGAAACTTTGCCAGAAGCATTGTTCTCTTATTCCTGAAAAATGTGTTCTTCATTAAAACCATACATGAATCACATTTTCCCCAACGTTCTCAGCAACCAATTCCACTTGGCATCGATGATCCACAATCTACAGTGTACCTGCTAGGCTCTAGTTATCAAAAACAGTGTTTTGACAGTAATTATGATGCCAAAGCTCCAAGTTTGAGATGTTAGGCTGCTTTGGCTTGTTATATCTTCTGTTTGTCATGCTTCTCAAAATGGTGGGACATTAATTATGCATAATTAATTAGTTATGTTTAGTGTCTGTCTTTTCCACCAGAATGTAGGTTCCATGGGGTAAGGAGTCTTGTGCACTGCCCTCTACTCAGTACCTGGCGTAGTAAGCCCTTGGTAAATAATTGCTGGATGAATAAACAAATCCATTGAATTACAGAGTTAGGTCATCGGAGATCTTCGTTCATGCCTGTGGAATTTTTAGAAGTTGACTCTTGTCCTTTTCTCTAGTGGTACTTTTTAAAAAATCCATTTATTTGCTTAGACCAAGGGTTGGCAAACTTCAGCCCATAGGCCAAATCCGGCCCGATGCCTGTGGGTTTTAAATAAAGTTTTATTGGAACACAGCCACACCTGTTCATTTATGTATTGTGGCTTTCCTGCTACAATATCAGAGCTGAATAGTTGCAAGGGAGACTGTGTGGCCCTCAAAGCCAAGAATGTTTACTGTTGGCCCTCCATATCTGGGGGTTTTGCATCTGTGGATTCAACCAACCTCGATTCAAAAATATCCTTACGTGTACGATGGCTGCGTCTGAACCCAACATGTGCAGAGTTTGTTTTCTTATTGTTTCCTAAACAACACAGTATAACAACTCTTTACATGGCACTTACGTTGTATTGGCTATTACAGGTAATCTATAGACAGTTTGAAGTATATGGGAGGATGTCTGTAGGTTATATGCAAATACTATGCCGCTTTGTATGAGACTTGAACATTCATGGGTTTTGGTATACGGGGGAGTCTTGGAACCAACCCCTCATGAACACCAAGGGATGACTGTGCTGTCTGGCCATTTCAGAGAAACTGGCCAATCCCTGGCTTAGTCTAAAGAAAGCCACCAGTGAAGTGAGCAGTCTCATGGGGGCATTATGGTGTTGGCCTGAGAAGAGAAGGGGTGTGGTACATCTTATGGGGTGACTGTTTTCCGTTTCCCAGTGGACAGGACTCTAGTGGATTTCTTAGGGCAGGGGTCCTCAAACTGAAGGGTGTGTAAGAATCACCTAGGCAGTTCCTCAAAATGCATTTTCCTGGGCCCTTCCACAGTCAGTGATGTACTGCACTGAACAAAACAAAACAGAGAAAGTCTCTACTCTCAGCGAGTTTCTGTTCTAGTGGGAGAACACTCATAATCACCAAACAAACATGCATGGCCATGCTAAGTGCTGGACAGGCCCATGAAGACTTTTCTGCATCTTTACCTACACCCTACATGGTACAGGTGCAGGTGGCCGGAGGACCACATGGTCCCAACTGCTTTCTTAAAGCCTCTGATAAATTCTCACCGGTGCCTTCTTTTGTTCCCGCTACACTGGTTACCCCTTCCCCCAGCTGCTTGTAATGTCTCTCTCTCTTCTCCCTACCTCCTTCCCTTTTTCTCTCTCATTTGTTTTCTTTGTCCTTCCCTCCCTGTGTCTCTCCTGCTCTTTTTCTCCCCCATCTCTCCCTCTCAATCTGGTTGAGAGTTGAAGTCCTCAGATGGCAAGAATCCTTCACTGTTTATAAAGGCTTTTGGAAAAACGGCTCTATTGAGATATCATTCATATACAGTACAATTCACCCATTTAGAGCATACGATTCAGTGGTTTTTTATTATTCACAGAGTTGTGCCAACATCAGCACAATCAACTTTAGAACATTTCCATCATCCCCCAAAGAAATCCCATACCAAGGCTTTTGCAGACTATTTGATTTGATCCTTACAGAACTGAGAAGAGCAGGGCAGATGGTGTCCACCCCATTTTACAGAAGAGCAAATAAGGGATTAAAGAGTTTGGGGATTTGGAAAAGCAAAGGAGAACATTTTAGGTCACTTTTAATACTCGAAGGTTTCAAAGAGTCCCTAAAAATAAGGCCTTTTAGTGACTCTCCTGCTACCCAGAGACTCTTTTTGAGACGGAGTCTCGCTCTGTCGCCCAGGCTAGAGTGCAGTGGTGTGATCTAGGCTCACTGCAAGCTCTACCTTCTGGGTTCACACCATTCTCCTGCCTCAGCCTCCCAAGCAGCTGGGACTACAGGCACCTACTACCGTGCCCAACTAATTTTTTTTCTTATTTTTAGTAGAGACAGGGTTTCACCGTGTTAGCCAGGATGGTCTGGATCTCCTGACCTCGTGATCCGCCCGCCTCGGCCTCCCAAAGTTCTGGGATCACAGGCGTGAGCCATCGCGCCCAGCCACCCAGAGACTTTTAAAGCTCGTACCCAGGTGGGGAAAAGCTCCTGAGAACCCCCTGAGTTCCTGGGATTTCTAAAGCACAGGTTCATGTTCCTCATCCCCCACCTGGGAGGCACAAGGACAGTGTCTGTGATTGTGTCTGGCTAATGGATTCCGACTGCCAGCCACTAGCTGAAGGGCGCTCTCAGCTACTGCAATGCATATGCATCAGGCTAGCTGGCTTGGACACAGCCACCAATGCGGGGTGACAGGTCTTTGAGCTTGCCTCAGGGACCCTTCAGGAAGCTCATATGCTGAGTGCCAGGTGGCATCACAGAGCTCTTATGGCAGGATGGGGGGACAGAGAAAGCTGCTTGCTGAATGGCTCTGGGAGATGAGAGGGGCTGTTTGACCACTTGGAAACTGCCCAATAGGTTTATCTGGTGCCAAACAGCAAAATGCACGGTCTGTAGGGACCCCACCCGGATTTGGGGCCGTGTGATTGAGGGTGACTCTCGGGCCAGAGAGCCTGGCACGAGAGATACCAGCAGTCACCCTCCATAGGCGGCTCTGGATTCTATTTAAAATGGGATTCAGGGACATTGCACAGAATGCAATGAAATGGACCCAGCGTTACCATTTTGCATGTGAGCCATCTTTCTCTTTCTTACCAAAGTGCACTTAGTATTGTCATTGGCTAGGCTTTACTGGAAGATGAGCCCCCCAGAACAGGGCAGGATATTTTTTTTTCTGTATCCCTAGGATCTGTAGCAGGACCTGGGCGTGGTAGGGGCGTAGGAAGCATTTGTTGAATGAATGATGCAATGGAGTCTCTGAGGGTGGTCCCCAGCTGTCAGGGGCTGCTCCACTCTGATGCTCACTGCAGTTCTCAGATGAAGAGACTGGGGCACAGAGAGGTCAAGAACGTGGCCATGGGTCACACAGCTCCTCAGGAGTCTGGTCGGGATTTGAACTCACTGGTGTGCCTGACCGCTGCACCGTTCTTCATAACCAGTCAAGTTTTGCGGAGGAGTTTGGATTTACTCTTTTAATATTTTTTGTTATTTATTTACTTATTTATTTATTTATTTATTTATTTTCGAGATGGAGTTTTGCTCTGTCACCCCGGCTCGAGTATGGTGGTGCAATCTTGGCTTACTGCAACCTCCGCCTCCTGGGTTCAAGTGATTCTCCTTCCTCAGCCTCCTGAGTAGCTGGGACTACAGGTGCCCACCACCATGCTCAGCAAATTTTTGTATTTTTGGTAGAGACAGGGTTTCATCATTTTGGCCAGGCTGGTTTCAAACTCCTGACCTCAGGTGATCTGTCTGCCTCAGCCTCCCAAAGTACTGGGATTACAGGTGTGAGCCACCGTGTCCAGCCCTGGATTTACTCTTTAATATCTTATTTTATTTTTTTGAGATGGAGTTTCACTCTTGTTGCCCAGGCTAGAGTTCAATGGCACAATCTCAGCTCACTGCACCCTCCGCCTCCTGGGTTCAAACTATTCTCCTGCCTCAGCCTCCCATGTAGCTGGGATTACAGGCATGTGCCACCACGCCTGGCTAATTTTGTATTTTCTTTTTAGTACAGACGGGTTTCTCCATGTTGGTCAGGCTGGTCTCGAGCTCCTGACCTCGGGTGATCTGCCCGCCTCGGCCTCCCAAAGTGCTGGGATTACAGGCGTGAGCCACCACACCTGACCTCTTTAATATTTTGTGTCCTCCAACTTATCCTCTGGAGGAAGGATGGCTCAGAGTTCTGGAGGCAAGCAGTCAGAGATCAAGGTGTTGGCAGGGTTGGTTTCTTCTGCAGCCTCCCTCCTTGGCTTGTGGATGACCGTCTTCTCCCTGTGTCTTCATGTAGGCTTTCTGTGTCTGTGTGTGTCTGTATTTTAATCTTCTCATCTTAGGAGGACACCAGTCAGGTTGGACTGGGACTCACTCTAATAACCTCACTGTCACTTAATTACCTGTCTTTCAAGACCCTGTCCTTGATAGCAGTCACATTCTGAGCTCCTGGCGGTTAGGACTTTAACATATGAATTCTGGCGGAACACAGTTCAGCCCGTAGTGGACCCTAACCAAAAAGATCCTGGAATACCCCTGTTCCTTCCTCTCCAAAATCCTTTGTTTTCAGCCTCTTCTCCCGCCATGGGAATAAGGTGTCAAATGTTGACACGAGCTCCGATATTCATCAGTTCTAGACAACTGGTTATACTCCCGTGCTTTGGGAGGAATGAGTTTCCTTACTTTCTGGTGATAGATCTTGTGACTGGGACTGAAGGTTCAACCAGGGTTTTAAAAAAAAAAGCTCAACTCTCTTGCTTTCCTTGGTGCCCTTCTGAGCACATTTGAGCAATCGTTTTATCCAAATCATTTTTTTTTCTATAAGAAAGAATTTTGCTTAATTGGGTCTCATTTCTGTTCTCCCCTTAACAACTGAACATCTACATTTCTGTTGGGATTGAAAGCCCCAGTCAGTTCAGATAAATCAGCTTCCTTTTAAATTATGATCTTGGAGGAAATAATGATCTAACTCACTTTTTGTTAATTACTTTTATGTGAATTAGACATCCCGGCTTTGCAGTTGCTGCTTTCCTCAGAAGTATTTAAGCCCTCAAATCTATTTAAACTTTTTCTTTTTACTTAAATTAAGATGCTGAAAAAATCCACCATTAGAAATTATTTGGGTAAGTTCAGCTTCATGGCTCTGTAATTTTAAATAATTTGAGCTGAAAATGATTCTATCATATCCCATGTAGTGGCACCAAATTACCATCTTCTCTTCAAGATTTTCTCATGTTATTGGTGTGTCAGACTTAGTAAATAAATAAATAGAACAAAAGGTAATGAATGAAACAGTCTGGTAGAATTGTAAAACAGAAACCAAATTGTGTATCCCACATTCAGCAATTTTGCCTTTTAACCATAGTGATCTTGGGGTGTGTGTGTGTGTGTGTCCCAAAGGGGGAAAATAATCATTTGTAAAGGATAGAAAATGCTATTGCTTTGAGTACAAAGCAATAGATTACAAAATGAATAATTTAGGGTTTTTATATTAAAAAATCTCAAACCTTCAGTAGAGAAGCGACAACTTTATAATAAATAAGCAACAACCTTATAAATAACAACAAACTAAGAAGGGGATTGATACCCCAAAGTAGAAGTACAGTTGCCCCTCTGTATCCACAGATTCAACCAACTGAAGGTTGAAAAATAAAAGAAACAGTAAAAATAATACAAATAAAAAATACAGTATAACAACTATTTACATAGCATTTACATTGTATTGAATATTATAAGTAATCAAAGATGATTTAAACTATACAGGAGGCTAAGCATAGGTTCTATGCAAATACTGCACCATTTCATATAAGGGGGTTGAGCATTCATGGATTTTAGTATCCACAAGGGGGGTCCTGGAACAAATCCCTCATGGATATGGAGAAATGATTGTGCCTAATTAAAACTGGTGAGAAGAGGCCAAAGCAGCATTTAGAGGCATTCTTATAGCCTTAGGTATTGTCAGGCCTCTTCTGCCATCAGAGAGAGGAATTCCTTATATTTTGAATATTAAGTAAAGTAGTATAAGGGTGATGGTCTGTCTCTGCCCACCCCACCCCAATTAGTAAAAATGTTGTACAGTTAGAGTTTTGGTGCTGGCTCACAGTTTAGTGTCTGGCATTGGGTAGATACCCTTATATCAGATAGTCTATTGAGAAATACATTGCAGCCCAGTGTTTGAGTTGAGGACTTGGGAGTTGAAAGAATCCAAGAATTGAAGTCTCTTCTACCATGCAAATGGTGATCCTACCTGTGATACCAATTATCACAGACTAAATTCTTTTTCTTTTTCTTTTCTTTTTTATTGCTTCTTTTTATTGGACCCTCTGTATCCTGGGCACATTCTCCATTGAAAGCTCAGTCAAAAGGAGCTCTGAGTTTTGGGGATAACTGATATAACCATAGTGATCACCATAGTGATCATGCTGTGTTTGTTTAGGTTTCTAGGATCTGGGTTAGGGGAAGAACGCTTTAGGTCAGCCAAGTAGTATTTGGGCTCTAGGAAACAACTCAAACATAAAGTCTGAACTGCTGAACTGTCCTAGAGTTATTGCTCTGTCTTCATCTGCAATAAGAGCGAAGATACCCCAAGAACCCACAGCTGAGACAGCTGCTGGGATAAATGATGGAAGAAGCCTTGCTATTACAGTCCTTGATATCAAGCCAGGGTTGACATAGCAGTCTCTTGCTTTTCACCTGCCAAGTTCCAAGGGCAGGATTTTATATCCCCAAGAAATATCAAATTTGAGCATCCTTATGGCTGAAGGGAGATCTCATGGCACCCTTGTCTGTCCTATTCTACATGGGCTATGATGAGTGCTGTAGCATCTGACCTAAGCTAAGTCCTAAGACGTTAGTCCTAAGTCAGATCATGTACCAGGGAATCTTGTAGCTTTGTGTGGATAGCAAGTTATGGCTGATGCCAAATGTCAACAGAGTAAACTGTGAGTGCGATTAAATGTCTTTCTAATGATGCCATCCAGGCCCCAAGCACCCATCGTAGGGCAAACAAATGCACCAGAGCAGCAGTAAGCAATCAAGAGAAAAGAAAAAAAGTGATGCTGTAAAAAGAAGAAGCTATTTTACTCTTCATTTTCCACTTAGAACATATTGAGAGTACAGGGCTGGATAAGCAACCTGAATTCAACTCACAGAATGTAAATTCAAAGCAGAAGTGATTCTAGAATACCTTCCCTCTATCCCTACTCCTCCATCTTCTAAGGATGTACCAGTATGATGTTCAATATTTAACAACATTTAGGGCTCAGGTGCTAGTCGCTCAGAATGGATACAGCAGCTAACAAGAGCAGACCCAGCTATAAACCCACACAGCTCTGCCGTGGTCAACCAGGACTGCCAGTGGTATAAATCCTTTGTGTCTTCAGGACATTGGCTACCAGTTTGTAGGGGACCCTGTGGTCCTCATGGACCCAAAGCCACTGCCCAAAGAGGGCTTCATGGACCATTTAACTACTGGATAACTCAGTAGCAAAGGAAGAATGGAGTCTAATGTCAGAATAATACCTGAGAAGCTGCTTTAGCTTAGGACCAATGCCTTCTGGTTTCCACAAGAGATCTTGTCCGTGGTGCCTGCTTGGGGTCTTGGTATGATAATAGTTGCTCTGAGCCTTGGCTTTTTATGTGCTTACCTCCCTTCCTTTCAGCTTAAGGTTGTGTTTCTCCAACTCTTGTATTTCAGCCGAAGGACCTGACGTCAGTGGTGAGTGCTTTCTGTTCAGTTGGAAGCAACAGAGCCAAATGGCTAAGAGGGTAGGTTTGGAGTCCATTAGCACTGGAGTGAAATTCTGGCCTTGAAGCCCACTTTATGTCTTCTTGAGTAGGAAAGTACCCATCTTAGGGTGTTGTAGGGAGGAGTCAGTTAGCTGATGTTGATCAAGTGCTCATCTCACAGGAGAGCTCCGTGCCTGGTGACTGCTGTTATTTGGTTGGGGATAGGATCTCTCTATGTCCTGGGAGGTGCTCTTTGCAGGAGATCAATGCAGATACATATCAGGATTCTCTGTTTCTTTCCACCTATCTTTATCCACTTCTCAAAAGTCATTTGAGGCTCAGAGGCACAGAGGTATGGTGCCTTCTGCAGGAGTAGAGATCAAGGAGGAAGCATAGGCACTTTAGCTGGGTGTAGTGGCTCATGCCTGTAATCCCAGGACTTTGGGAGGTCAAAGTGAGTGGATCACCTGAGGTCAGGAGTTCGAGACCAGCCTGGGCAACATGGTGAAACCCTGTGTCTACTAAAAATACAAAAATTAGCCAGGCATTGTGGCACATGTCTGTAATCCCAGCTACTCAGGAGGCTGAGGGAGGAGAATCGTTTGAACCCGGGAGGTGGAGTTTGCAGTGAGCCAAGACCACGCTATTGCACTCCAGCCTGGGTGACAGAGTAAGACTCTGTCTCGAAAAAAAAGAAAGAAAAAAAGGAGAAAACTTTGGGACCTTAGACATCAGATGTGCCCCACCATCTGATTACAAAAGTTCTTCAATCTCTGCCTGCAGGCCACGTCAGGACCTTCAGAGCACTGGCGGGTGGCTTTCATGATACTCTTGATGGAAAGGACTGAAGTTTCCATTGATTGGTGGCAGTGCCCTCATCAACCAGCGTTTCCCAGAGAGAAGCCAAGCCGGCTTCTTATTCTTTTTCTATCCTGATGGACGTGGGCTTGTCATTCATACCCAGGCAGTATCTGGAGGGCCAGGCTCTAACTCTCGCCTTGGACTTCAATTGTTGGAAAAAAGGCAATGAGGGAGATAGAGTGTGTGGATGAGGAAGTCATTTCAGAGGGGAGCAACTTGAACTTTACATGTTTTAGTTTGCTGATGTTTAATGACCAAATATGTTTTTTTTAGTTGGTTTCTGATGTTATTTTCTCCATCTATTCCAAAACAGCTGCAGAATGGCAACATTTGACATTTAAGAAAGGGAAAGTGGGAGTGGTGAAGTGATTCCCCTTGGAAGGGTCGCACTTGTATCTAGAGGTTGTCCACAACAGATGGCCAAACCAGTCCCCAAAACGTGACTGTTGGCACTCAGAGGTGCTGCATCTACATTTGAAACAATCTAAAGCAAAGCAAAGAAAACTCAACCGGTCATTGAGTATGTCGGAATTTGCTCTGATGAAGGTGATGAGGTTGATGATGATGATGTTGGTGGCTGATGTTACTGGTCAGGGTCTTAGAGGCTCTCTCCAATCCTCATGCACATTTAAAAGTCTCTCTTCGGGCAGGCGTGGTGGCTTACGCCTGTAATCCCAGCATTTTGGGAAGCCGAGGCAGGTGGATCACGAGGTCAGGAGTTCAAGACCAGCCTGGCCAATATGGCAAAACTCCATCTCTATTAAAAATACAAAAATTAGCCGGGTATGGTGGCGGGTGCTTGTAGTCCCAGCTACTCGGGAGGCTGAGGCAGGAGAATCTCTTGAACCAAGGAGGCGGAGGTTGCAGTGAGCCGAGATCGCACCACTGCACTCCAGCCTGGTGACAGACCGAGACTCCATATTTAAAAAAAAAAAAAAAGTGTCTCTTCTATGTATCCATTACATTTTGACTTCAGTTTTAGGTAATTTATTGCAGACTCCTTTGCCCTTCTGCATTCATGTTTCCCACCTCCTAGAACGGAAGCTACTTGATCATTGCCTTCCCCTACCCTCATTTTTTGTACTTAGTATTGAGTTTTGGCTCTTAGGAGGTGCTTACTGAGTATTTATTCAATGAAGTGTCCAGAGTCTGGTGAAAGGAAGTTGAGCATTGTCTAGATGAGCTTTTCTCTTACAAAGTCAAAATTTGGCCAAAGGCAGCTCCCATTGTAGGATCATTTTCTGGGATGGACACTGGGGTGTTCACTAGGGTCAGGTGAATGATAGAGTGGAGACAGTAGAAATGGCATCCCCAAGTAGGAAAGAAAGGTTAAGCCTCCACCTGTTTGCTCTCTATAAGCTTCCGTCTAAAGATCTCACAGGAGGATTGGATGTCTGAGCTTTCTTTTCCAGTCCTACTTAAGCTAGGAAGCCAAGGAGGGCACAGAGGTACCAGAGGAAGGGCATCTGTGTGTGCCCAGAAGAGGCCTCTTCACAAAGGACACAGGATGCAGGTAAGCTACTTCATATGGTACCTATCACATGTATGCATTCAGTATACTAAAAATAATTATTATTCTGTATTAGAGACGATGTCATGAGACAACTAGCCACAGTCTGATGAACGAGAGTAAGGATGAATATGGGAGTTACACCTGCTGGGTTCCCAACCCACATCAATCTCTGTGTCCCTTGGGCAAGCCCTTTTACCTCTTGTAGCTGTTTCCTGGTCAACGTTATTTGACCCCCTTAAGATGGAGATGCTAATAGCTACCCTGTATGTTGTGGTGAGAATCAAATTAAGCAGATGAAAAGTGCATAGCATAGTGACAGCTCAGTACATGAGAGCCATCATTTTTGTTGTTGTTGTATTTTTCAGCAAGGCAAGGGCTTTGATGTCTTGTAGGAACAGTTGAATTTTGGCTTCATGTAATTACACACAATATCAGCGGTGATTTATCTGGAAATAGCACTCACCTCCAGGCCCTGTCCACGAGCCACCTAGCCCAACTATGTTTATTTGTCTTTTGTTTTGGAGCCTATAAGGGCATATTGGGAAGGTTTAATACAGCCGCATCACTGTGATTTAGTGAGCACTTACTGTCCCGCACATGCTGCTGTGATAACACTTTACAAAGTGGTCATGAATGAGCCTTCCTTCAAACCTGTGAGGTAGGTACTCTTCCATATAAGCTGGGAGAACTGCAGCACACAGAATTTCCGTAACTTTCTCCACTGTGGCTAAGAAAACTGGGCTGGGAACACAACCCAGGTCACCTGATTCCTGGGCTTGCAATCTTAACAACTCCTTTTTTTTTTTTTTTTGAGGTGGAGTCTCACTCTGTCACCTGGGCTGGAATGCAGTGTTATGATCTCAGCTCACTGCATCCTCTACCTCCCAAGTTCAAGTGATTCTCCTGCCTCAGCCTCCTGAGTAGCTGGGACTGTAGGCACCAGTCACCATGCCCGGCTAATTTTTGTATTTTTAATAGAGACGGAATTTCGCCATATTGGCCAGGCTGGTCTCGAACTCCTGACCTCGTGATCCAGCTGCCTCGGCCTCCCAAAGTGCTGGGATTACAGGTCTGAGCCACCACGCCCAGCCAACAACTCTTTTACATCAGTGCAAGTTGGAACATTTTGAAGCTCCCACTCTTCTCCCTGGAACCACACACTTCTGGTTTCTTTTCTCATTCCAAAGCATAGGTGCTCTTTTTGTAAAAAAACTTTCAATAGTTTTAGGGTTACAGGTGGTTTTTCATTACATGGATGAGCTCTTTAGTGGTGATTTCTGAGATTTTGTTGCACTCATCACTGGAGCAACGACTCTCTACCCAATATGTAGTCTTTTAGAAAATATTCACAAACTGTGTATCCGACAAAAGACTGACATCCAGAATCTACAAGGAACTCAAATCAACAAGAATAAAAGAAATAATCCCATCAAAAAGTGGGTAAAGGGCTGGGTGTGGTGGCTCACGCCTGTAATCCCAGCACTTTGGGAGGTCGAGGTGGGTGGCTCACCTGAGGTGGGGAGTTTGAGGTCAGCCTGGCCAACATCGTGAAACTCCGTCTCTTCTAAAAATACAAAAATTAGCCGGGCGTCGTGGTGCATGCCTGTAATCGCAGCTGCTCAGGAGGCTGAGGCAGGAGAATGGCTAGAACCCAGGAGGCGGAGGCCACTGTCCTCCAGCCTGGGCGATAGAGTGAGACTCCGTCTTAAAAAAAAAAAAAAGTAGACAAAGGAAATACATAGACAGTTCTCAAAAGAAGATATACAGACACCCAACAAACATACGAAAAAATGCTCAACATCCCTAATTATCACGATGCCCATTTGAAGGCCAATTGTGAGCTGTTAGCAAGCCCACCTTGAGTGTAATGGTGTTTCCTCTACTGCCATCTAGAGGACACAGACTCAAATAAGCGTCATTAGTTGCAGTTTCTGAGGTCCAACTTCCAAATGATCCTTACCCTTTACCTTTTATAGCCACTGGCCTCACTTCTTTGCACATAGCAAATTCAGACTTGTGTACATCAGTTGGCAAATTAACATTTTGGGTATTGCAAATTTGATATACCTGACAGCTACTGGTTCAGTACTGGCAAAGCCTGAAGTCTTGTCCTTACAGCAACGGTAGTGCAATCATTTGACTATTTATTTTCACTTTCTCCATACTTTATACAGAGTGGAAAACAAGCAAATTAAAGTACTGATACAAGTGATAAAAAGCAGTGGTCTCAAATGTAATTGAGACAAAAATAGGGACAATTTAACTGTAATTGGACACTTACTCATTTAAGCTAATTAATCATTTTAAATTGCAAAGGGAGTAAACAAAATTAAAGAACTTGTACAAAATGCTAAACATATTTTTTTTTCAAATACCTAAGTGTGATTAAGGATACATATCTATCCCTTCTGGAATTGAGCCAGTGTAAGTCAGGATGGTTTCAGTGACAGAAACTATTTCAGATCATTTAAGCTGAAGGAAAGTTATTGGTCAGAGAGGAAGGATCATAGATCACTCGGAGTCAAAGAAGAGTTGCAGGAGGCAGCAAATTGGGATGGGGAGCCAGGAGTCAGGGCCCACCAGCGTATTCTCTCCATTTCTCTTTCATTTCTGGCTGACTTCCTTCTGCAGACAGATTCTGTCCAGATGGCATAAATGGTGGGGGAAATTACCATCAGCTCTTTGGCTTTCTAACCTCATATTTGGCAACATCATAAAAAAGAGAATCTTTTTACTCACAAGTGTTTATATGTCTATTCCAGGACGGATTCTGATTGGCTCTCCTTAGATCATGCACCTTCCCCTATACCAATTACTGTGTACAGGGGAGGAGAGTCACCATGATTGGTCAAGAC